>NC_000020.11:56931599-57548480 GCF_000001405.40 Homo sapiens | reverse complement strand
GTCACAGCTCTGAAAACAGTCGCTAGACCAGAGTAGGTGCTGACTAATATTTGTCGAATGAGTGAATAATTTCAGTTTCTGTAACCAGCATGTTTGCTTGATTCTCTGGCCCTGAGCCCCTGGGATTGAGCTTTGGTTTCCAAAGGCCGTGCAGATCCTGGAGACCAGACGCTCTTGGAGCCAGCTCAACTCTGGTTTGAGCACAGATCAGCATGTCAGCTTTCTTGTCCTAGACATCGCTGTCTTGAGTTTGGTTAAGATGAGTGTACCTTTGAGAGCAATCTCCTCCCAGGATGTGAAAAGCTGGAGGTCAGTAAGTCTGGCACCTGGAAAGATCATGTAGACGTGAGCGTCTCCCCGATGCACTCGGGAGACCTTGGCCAAGGCTCCGCCTCTGTGCACTACTCTACCTTGTTTCAGCCTCTAAACACATCATTGAGAAGGTTCTGGGTTTTATTTGCATGGAGCACTTTACCTCTCTATTTTCCTGAGACATCCCAAGCCTCTTTCTGCAATTATTCTTTATTTAGAAAACAAAATAAAATAAACAAATGTGTCTTGCTAGATTTAAAAACAGCACTAAATTAGATTGATTACAAGTTAATCCAAGAGAGACAAATGGGCACTTCGAAGCCTGTGCACATGGCATCTTTAGAACTTGGCAGAACCTTACTTTCTCAACATGTTCTCAACCTGAGGCAGAACCCTCATCTCAACATGTTCTCAACCTGAGGCAGAACCCTCATCACCACCTGGCAAGGGGCTGCCTTTGGAAATATGCGGGAGTCTGGGGGGTTGCCACAGAGTTAGGGGAGTGCTACAGGTATGTGGTGGGTAGCAAATTCTTCACGTAGTGCAGAATGCTGGACAGGCCATGTCACAGTCCTGCCCTGCGGGGTGTCTCTGCACCTTTAGTCTCGGAGGAGGGCACTGAAGGTGAACCCTGCCCACAAGAGGTACTTTGCATCCTCCTGGCACATGGGATGACCTCCCTCGGGCAGGCAAACCTGCTCCAAGCTCCATCTCCTTTCAAGTGCAGTACCATGCGGTGAGTCACCTTAGACATCAAAGCATGAAGCAAGAGCACACTTTGTATTCGTGATTCAGTTATGTTTTTGAAATTAAACAATAATTTCCCTCATGCTCTGCTCGTTTACATAACCATGCCAGTAAAAACTCTTGTGAGTCATAGGAGAGAGTTCAGGGGGCTTAAGTTCATCTTTCATCATAAGATAGTCAGCCCCCATCCACCAAATGCCAGCCAAGCATCCCAAACACACACTGCTTTAATGAGACCCTTTTCTGGGCATTGTTAATTAATGTATTCATTTATTCATTAAACCTTTCAGGGCAATTTACCATGTGAAAAGAGAGACGATGGCAGAACTATAGGCTTGTTGCAAAAGGTCTACAGTGCAAGCCTGAATGAGCCAATTTAGAAGATGCTGAAAAGTTTTTCAATACTGAAAGTATAAAAATTAATTAAGAAAAGAAAAACAACATTTGTGGTAGTAAATCATAACATGCTAATATATAAGAAAGGCAATTACATATTCATCATTTTCAGTAAAATGGTTATTATCATAGTATGGTATTATAACAATGACACGGTTATTTTAAAATAATAGGAAATTTATCTTACCTTTTCTTGCATTAAGATATAATAAAATTATGCTCTGAAAACAAATGATGCCTTCTATTGTCCTTATGAAACATTAGCTAGGCCTGGACGGTACTCTACGAACTTTCTTTGTTTTGCTGAGTGTTTCTTTTAGTGAAAACCTGCTCAGGAAGTGCCCAGTCCATGGGCATTCCCTGAGGTCTTGCAGCAGGGAATACAGGAAGAGCAAAGCAGGACTCTGCATGGGGGTGCAAGAGGCCCGCACTCAGTGTGGTGGCTCTGAGGATGGCATCAATTTCAAAGGAAGCATTCCTTTCTTCATCTGGGTATGACATTTGAAACTAGAGAGAAGCTTCTGGAAGGACAGCGAATCCCTCCTCAACCTGCAGAGGCCACTGTGGCTGAGCATGGTTAGTGACCTCAAAATAGGCTCAAGAGCACATTTGCAGGAGGAACTCCCATCTCTCTAGATCCCACTCTTACCACAATCCCAGAGCTAAGCTGCTCCACGAACTTAAAGCTCATCGAAACTTCAAGTCCACCAGGGCTGGCAAGGCACTGTCAGCGTTTGAGTGTGGTGGAGTTCTCTGTGCAATGTGTTCCCACGACACACCGAGGGTCACATTTGTGCTTGGGCAATGCGGCATTTTAACTGAGAACCTGATAGATCCATTGCCAATGGAGGAGGGAAAAAAGGCAACCAAATGCCAAAGAAGACAAAATGTTCAGAGTGGCCACGCCGGTTTCCTTTTTGGTGTCAGGACAAAGGAAAGCAATGTCTTCCAACCCCAGATGGGCCCTGAAAACGCCTCCCTGTGGCTGTAAACCACACACCAGCCCTTGTGGGAGATGCACATTCACGGTGATGCAGTGGCTTCAGCAGGCAGCCTGGGCAGGCAGGTGGCAGAGAGGTCAGAAACAAGAGTCCTTGCTGCTCATGTGATCTTGAACAAGCTCCTGGCCTCAGTTTTCTCATCTGAACTAGAAGGATAAAACCAGCACCTATTGCATAGGGCCCTGGTGAGAATTCAATGGGAACACCCACATTGGCCCTGGGCCCTTAAGAATGTTAGCCATCTTCTTCCACTCTTTTCTTTCTGAACAGAAGAATCAAAGAGATCCAATAAGCCCCCTTGCATTCCCTCAGTCTTGCACTTCATTGCCACCTGCAAACGTTGGCAAGTCCTGGCCCTTCCCATGCCAGGTCAGAGCGAGCCACTCACAGGTCCCTACAAGCCATGATCACCTCATCCAGGAGCACCCATCTCAGACTGTCTGATCATGTTTCCAAATGAAAGTACACTTATAATTTGTCTGGCTTCTTAATTTCTCCTAAGACAAAGTGACAGACTCCTCTGCTCTCCCCCTCTGTGTTGGCTTTTATTATTCTCTCTTTATTTTTCCATCTCGCCCACTCCTTTCTGTTGCTCAGCCTCCCTGCTGCACTGCCATTGTCACTTCGGTATTAGCCCACTGTCTGCCTGGCAACCCACTATTATGCACTTATTTTATTACTTGGTTTCCTACCCCGATCTTGTGATTCATTTCTAACCTTTACTGACTGCAACATAACTCCTTTGCCATTCTTTCCTTCCTCCTTACCCCCCTCCTCAACCCTCTACTTTTCGATGTCAGTATCTGTTCACACCTAGTGTCCTCATAGCACAGAAAAAAAGACTTATCGCAGCTCCAAGTGGACAGCCTTGTTTTTCACTCAGAGCTATCAATGTAATCAAATGGAGTGCTGTACTGCGTGTTTTCCTGTTCCTTTGAATAGGAACCGGAGAGATAAACAGGAGTTAAGAAGGGAAATGAGGTGATAAATGGGTCCCAAGGGCGGATCCTGGACCCAAGACAAAAGTCAAGGCACTCCTCTTTTTAACCTAAACTTCATTGCCTGATTGCATAACCAAGCGATTATATAAATGTGGGTTAATGTTCACAATTCAGGCAGTCCATACACGGAGTTTCAGGGTACTTTTAGGATCGTACAGGACAGTTTAAGAATAATTAGGAACGTCCTGCATTAAGGATGTCCCACTCAAAGAAATCCCAATACAGTAAACATCCCAAGTTATAGAACAAAATAAGTTCTTTTCATGTAAATACTGGAAAGTAGATGTCAGAGTGGGGTTTTCTGGATAGATGCTGGGAAGAAAAATGACCAGAAGAGAATCTTGGAATCACAGGGTACTAAGAGCTGGAAAGGCAGCCGAGAATCTCCCCATTGAACTGCCTACTATTTAGACAAGGAAACTGAGGCCCTAGGAGGTTAGGAGACTTGCCCAAGAACTAGAGCCTGGTCTCTTGACTCCAACACTCAAACTCTTTCCAGCAGTCACATTTATTTATAAGCGTGAGGTTCAGATTGAGAATTTAGATAAAAATTCAAATCTGGCGGGGTCTGTTGCTGTCTGGCCCTATGAGCTCTCCAGTAGAGCCAGCGTATGTGAAAATGAATTAAAATTTCCTTTTAAAATTACTTATTTGCCAATTAAAAAATCAACAGATAAAACAGGACACAATTAAAATGGGGTGCCTGGAATTAAATGATGTGAGGCATCTATAAAAACTGTCATCATATGAACATTGTATATGTCAGAAATGTAGAATGTTCTGACATTTTGAGTAAGTTCAATAGAATGGAAGTGAGCTAACTAAACCTTCTTAATTCTGGATAACTCTAATCCATAGTGATTCTGACAGAGGCTGGGTGAAAGTTTACCTTTTAAGATCTTAAAGAAAGTCTTTGCTAAGCAAATTAACAGTGTCAATAGGATTTCGGGTGACTGTTGAAGCTACTTAAAACAATAAGTTGTTTTTAAACATGGTAAGCATGGCGGGAGTTATAAATGAGCATTTCTCAGTGGGTATTGTATATGGCCATAAAGAGAGTCATCAATACAGAGCTTACAAAACAGAGTTCTGAATCATTCTCATCTGTTTACTTACTGTTTCCCTAAAGATTTTTTTTTGTCATAGTTTCCTAGCCCCATTCTTGCTGGGTTTGAAAGTCATACAATATCTCTTTTTTAACTGGAAAATAATTTGAACTTTTACTCATGCAGGCCTTCTCAGACATTAGTCCAAATTACAAGGGGATGGGCTATTCTGGTCATGATACAGAGATCTGCAAACCACTCAGTTATATTGGTAAAGAAGTTAACATTTTCAATTGGATAGTAATGTAGATAAATACAGGCATAGGGAGAACAGGATCCTCAAAAAACTTAAGTTTAGACACATTACATTAACTTCCGTCCTTAAAAACTCTTACGGTAAATACCAAGAGGCCACGCATGGTGAGGTGCCTCTGCAATTTAGAATAAAGTTATCATCGGAAAGGAGAGAACAGGGGTAGGAGCCTACAGAATCTCAATGAATCCACTTGCAAGCGCTGCTGAAGGGAGCGTGTCATTATCCCCATTTTGCATAGGAACTTGAGGTCCAGGTTGGTTAATGCGTTCCCCCAAGGTTTTCATGCTAATAAATATCGTGAGCATTTGCACAAGGAAAAAGGCACGCTCTTGGAAGAAGTATTAAATAATACACTGCAGAGAAGTTCTGCCTTCAGAGAAGGGCTGAGTGGTGGCTTCCCACAGACAGCAGTGTCGTTCAGACAGTTGTGATCTAGTCAACAGCATTGTGCCTCACATAAGGAAGGGCAGTGCTAAAGAAGGGGGTGAAGGGAAAAGGTCTGTGGGGTGTCCTGGAGGGCAGAGGCCAAACTTTGTTCTCCCACAGATTATGCCCAGGTGCTTGTTCATAGTGGCCACTCAGTCTTTGTCATCTAATGGACTAAATCTAGGAAAGAGAACTGAAGCAAAGCATTGGGCAGGTAGGAGTGTGTGCAGGTGCAGGCACCGGGGCAAGTTTTGGAGGACCACAGGCTTCCCCGTCATCTCGGTGACATATTCCCCTAGACATTCTCAGCTGGGATGATTCTGCCCCCAGCCCAGAGACAATGGCAGTGTCCAGAGACGTCTTTGGTTGTCACAACTGGGTGGTGCTATTGGCACCTAGCGAGTAGAGGCCAGAGATGCTTCTAAACACCCTACAGTGCATGAGAGCAATCTGTCTAGCCCCAAACATCAGTAGTGCCAGGGCTGAGAAGCCTTCTACACAGTTCACCTCTGTTCCGATTTTATAGTCGCCGAATGACCTGCACCTCCTGGCTGCTTGTATTTGTTGCTGGTGGTGCCACAACAGCTGCTACTATTCTACCATCAGAACTATTAATCTTCCCAATAACAATGAGAGCTCCCATTCATTTGAGCCCTTACTGTGTCTGGGTACCATGATCATCATGCTATGTGCTTTCTATAGAGTATCTTATTTGATACAACAACAGCGACGAGCCTATGAAGTAGATAACATTCTGATCCCAATTTAGTTTGTAGATCCCAAATCTTAGAAATATACAGGAGTTTATTTCAGGCCATGCGATTGGATCAGGAATCCACACACTGGCTCCAGTCTGTACTCTGCATCTGCCTGTCCCAATTAAATGATTCAGTGCTTACTCCTGGACCCAGCAGTTTACATATGTGTTCTCCTTTTAGCTTTCCAACAAGTCCTGTCATAGGAGTACTGGATCACCATTTTACACATGAGGAAACTGAGGCTCAGGAAGGTTGAGGCTTCTCCAAGGTCATTAGCGGAACTGGGACAAGTCTTCTATACCAGCTCTACCTTTCCACCCCAGCATGGCTGTCTCTAACCTGTCATGACTGTCTCTAACAGTAGCTGCAAGGAGTGGGGCAACTTGGGTGGCAGATTTGGGGTCTGTCTCCCCAGAAAAGTGGTGCTTTTGATGTGAACTAAGACATTGGCCCCCTGATTGATACACTAGTGCTTCTGAGTCTGTCTGGCTCTGCCATAGGGTCCTGACAGCACCAGGTTCCTGGCCTCCAAGTCTGCAAACCAGACCCCAAGCCCAAGCAACAGCTCCCAGGTGACCCCCAGGCCTTCTGTGACATTGGTTGCCACGTGACATCAAACCATGACAAGATGCAACACTTAACCAAGCAAAATGTCACACAATTGCAGAAGAAAACACAAAAGCCACCTTATAAATATTACTGTGTATAAGTTTGACATTTTTGCAGATAGCAACTGAAAGGAAAACTTTCACTTACAGTTGAAAGTTCCCATGAAAAAATGTCCCAGTGATATCTTTAGGCATTATTATCTAGAATAGGCGTCAATAGCTATTACATCTTTAACGTTTGTACTGACAATTCAGACTCAGAAGTGTTCCATCAAATGAAGATGAACATTTTGATATTGCTAAGAACGCAGACGTCCTTGAAGCGTGTTCCTTTCATCAGTTCTGCTAGCTTAACTTCCACAGCTGGCCCTGTTTGAACTCCATTCTCAAGCAGCCAAACTCTTCCCCTCACTGTCCCCACATTAGCAAAAGAAGCAGAAAGTTAATTGGTTTCTAAGCTGCTTGTCTCCCTGCATTCATCACCAAGGCACAGGACCAGCTCCTGCTGTAGCCAGGGCTCATTTCTGCCCAGGCAAAGACTCAGCAGTCTTCCGTCTCAGTTTATTTGACAACTGCTAGTAATTAGAAAATTACCTCTAAATTCATCTTTCAAAAACGACTGAAGTCCAGTCTAATTGCCGAAGGGTAGCTTAGTCTATAACTCCCGGACAGATTGCTGGAAAGAGGCCAGGGGAAAGTCTTGGGAAGAAAGCAGGCCTAGGGTGGCAAAGCCAGCTATAGATAAAAAGTACGTTGGTACACATTAACCACGGAGCCCAGAGCCCTCCGCCTCGTGCCTGTGCATGAGGTCCTGGAATGCCCAGTGCCATGGAGTCCACGCGAGCCAAACGCTCGCATGGGGATGATGACTGAGGAGACTGAGGTTAGGGAGTTATGTGTGCTGTGTCTGTGGTTGTCAAGGTCAGAAACACCAGCAGTGCCCCGGCTCCAGGTCACAGTAGGAACTCAAGACTCAGACGTGTGTGTGGCATTTGGACTTTCTACATCCTTGCAGTAGATGAGTTCCAGACACTGCTCAAAGCTCTGTAGGAAAATGGAGAGCAAGACAGACAGGGCCCTGCTTTCCTGGGGTCTGCATGCTAAGGGGGAACAAACAACTGACAGGCAAACACATCAACAAGAAAGCAGATAGGAAAGATCTAGAACATGGGATTGTGATAGAAATCGTGTCTGGGGAAGAGGAGTATTTTAGAAAGCAGTTACTTTGTGCAGTTTGGATGAGAAGGAGCAGACCACGTTTACATCTCAGGGAAGATCTCCTCCTCAAGTGGGCCAGAGCTGAGTGTTCATAAGGAAGGCTGAGGCTGGGGAGGCTGCAGCTCAGGGAAGGCTGAGGCTGGGGAGGCTGCAGTTCAGGGAGCAGTGTCGCAGGAAGGGAAGGAGGCACCAGGCCGAAGGAGCCACTGGCGAGCTGGTGCACGTGACCGACATGGTGAGCACGGGTAAAACGATGCTATCTGAGAAGGAGCCAGCACCTCATCCTCCTTCTAGATCAAATTTTCAAGGTCACCAAACCAAAGACTAATTCCCTTATGCTTCAGCCCAGGCTATTTAAAACAATAAAGACTAAACAGGTCCCAAGTGGGCATCTCCGTTAAGAATAACCTGATAAGAAAAATGTTTCAGTCATAACAATGTTTGTGTCAGTCAGGCCTCGAGATGGGGATCAGCTCGGTCATGTTTGTGACCTTTATAGCTGTAAGAAAATAGTTACAGCCTCCTGACGCAGACGGCGGCCGGCCTGCCCTGTGCTGAGTCACTGCTGCTCACTGAGTAAAGCACATGCTAGCAACACCCTCAGCACAAGGACACCTCGATCGATGTCTGTCCTGCCCCGACATGAAGACACCATAGACGTTCCAGCTGCAAAGATCACAACGATAATGATGCAGTCAAAGCACCATCCTAGGTACTCTGGAGACAAGACAAGAAAGAACAAGAAAAGAATGTTCTAAAATATAAATGGTTTCAGTCAGTCACAATGGCTCACTACTGTAATTCCAGCACTTTGGGAGGCCGAGGCAGGTGGATCCCTTGAGGTCAGGAGTGCGAGACCAGCCTGGCCAACATGGTGAAACCCTGTCTCTACTAAAAATACAAAAATTAGCCAGGCGTGGTGGTGTGCACCTGTAATCCCAGCTACTCGGGGGCTGAGCCAGGAGAATCGCTTGAACCAGGGAGGTGGAGGCTGCAGTGAGCTGAGCTTGTGCCACTGCACTCCAGCCTGGGTGACAGTTTAAGACTCTGTCTCAAAAAATAAATAAATAAAAAATATATAAATGGTTTATGGCTTCTTGTCATTCCCTGGCTTAAACCCTCCAATGGCTTCCTGGGGAACATAAATAGAGTCAAACTCCTTACCAGGGTCTGTCTACACAGCTCTATGGGAGCTGGCCTCTGTCTCTTCCCCAATCTCATCAAGGCTCTGAACACAGGGAGGAGAGAGGAGAAGGGGCTCAGAAGTGGCCAGTGGGACCCAGGGAGATACAGGGGAAGGGAGATTTGAAGGGATCATGCAGGATGCTTGGATTAGATTCAGATAAAGAGAGGGGCAAGTGAAAAAACAGCATGGGGAGGAAACGTGTGTCAGTGTGTGTGTGTGTGTGTGTGTGTGTGTGTGTGTCTCAGTGTGTGTGTTTCTCCATCTGTGAATGTGTGTGTGTTAGGGCGGATGTCTATAATAAGGTGTGTTTGAAAGAGGTGAGATAAAATTTCCTATGGGAATTAGGTTCTGAACACAGTCAAAATTACATATGGTCTAAATTCTACATGAAAATTCCTCAAAAAGCTGCAATAACCTCTCAGTTTCAACACAACAGGTCCAGCACAGCCAGCTGCTCCTCTGTATTGGAAACAGACCCTATTTCTCTGGCTGGCACCATGGAAGTAATTGTCATGTCGCTGGGAGCTCTGGCAAGACCCCTAAGGTGCCCTCACACCCTGATTTTGTACGTACCTGTGGTGACAGCTCCGTGTGTGTTCAGGCTCCCCAGGCTCCAATGTGGAGCCCAGGGTATCCTTCTCTGCCTAAGGGCCTTCCTCAGAGTGGGTGTCCCCTTTAATCCATGTGCAAACATAGAAAGTGGGGGGATACCCCAAGAGCATCCCTTGACTGCAAGCACGAGAGGGGGTGGGCGAACACTCCTTGCCCACAGTCCTTCTGGCAGGCAATCTGGGAAGCATTCTGGAAGCTTTTCTGGCATTCAAGCATCCATGGACTACAGCAGAGGCCTCAATAATTTGCCCTTATGCTGGATTTCCTTCTTCCCCGTGTCATTTCCCTGCTCCCTCACTTCCTTCTGGAATCCTCTCCAAATAAACTACCTGCACCCAAGCCCTGGACTCTCGGTGCTGCTTCCAGGGGAGCTCAAACTGATACGGGGCTAAGACTTGAGGACAGTGCTGAACCCCTCAGATTGACTCACCCTAAGAAGAACATGTATCTGAAACTGACCGAGGGTGAGTTGCTGGTTCATGTCTTCAACTCCACACTCACTTGGGAGAGTGGGCATAGTTGGTGGGGTGGTGGCAGCTGAATTCTCCAGCTTGGGGCCAATTGAGAAGGGTCAGAAATGCCTGGCAAAGAAAACTGAGCTCTGCTGTAGGCACACTGGTTTGGGGAGAGGGAGCCAAAAGAAAAGAGGATTGGGTATGGGATTGAAATAGAGCATGGGATGTGAAGTCAGTTTTGGGTGCCAGTCCTGGTTACATCATCCAGCTCCCTGCCTTGAGACCTTAGACAAACTATCCATGCCTTAGACAAACTATCCATTCCTCCCTAGGAGGAAAATCAAGGCGGTGTATTCCAACATGACTTTGGTAAGCCTTAGAGCATTATGCAAATATTCATTATTATCATTTCCAGAGCTCTCCTTTCAGAAAAGCAATGACTTAATGGGTTAGTAAAGTGCTTACAAGTACTTTCAGGATGATTTCTTCCTTCTGTGTCTTCTTGTTCTGTGACTTAAAAAAATGAAAGCGAGAGAGAGAGAGAGATAGGAAGAAGGAAAAAGAAAGAGAGAGAAAGAAAGAAAAAGAGAGAGAAAGAAAGGAAGGAAGGAAGGAAGGAAGGAAGGAAGGAAGGAAGGAAGGAAGGAAGGAAGAGAACCTGTGAAGAAATATCCAGGATAAAGGTCACCAGCTGGCAGTGACCAAAACTAGTTCATGCATATATTTTGTCTGGTTGACGGGAGAATTTGAAATTTCTTTTAATTAATTGTCACTGTTTGAAAATCAGGAGAACTTACCTGGGACAGAGGACACCTGTCCCTCTCCAGCTGCCAAAGTCATTAACTTGCCTGGTTCCTGCAGGCAAATCACTCTGTAACCTTTGTCCTAGGTTTTAAAATATATCATTTATTCATAATGTAGGAACCTGTGATGTCTCATTTACACAATCAGTGCCACTGCACTGAGTAGGATTTGGGGCTGCTGAAAAAGATGAACCCCTCCCATGCTTCACCACCTCCCTGATGCCTTCTTCTCCCTATCCATGGATACCCCTCATGCTCAAGGACCCAGCCTCAGGATGGCTCCTGTGCACCATCCTGCCCCTCACCAGAGACCGTCTACCAATGCAGAAAGGGGTTGGGCACCACTGTTTTTGTGAAATGAGAGGACTTTGGAGTGTGAGCTATTCAGGATTAAAATCAATGAATGTTCTTTTCAGTATCATCAACATAGTTCCAGCATTACAGTACAGCAACCTAGATGGCCCTTCATATCCAGATAAGATAGGCATGAACCTTCCATACGAGCCTTGTGGAATATTCCAATGTCCTTTCCAAGACTTCTGCCAGTTCCCAAAGGGGTTAAATTCTTACAGTCATCTGGGTGGGGTGAGGGAAGAGGGTGGATGTGACTATAAATGGGTAGCTTAAGGGATCCGTGTGGTGATTGGCTGTTTTGCATCCTGATTGTGGTGGTTTCACATGTGATAGACACCACACACACACACACAAATGTGTGCAGGGAAAATTGGTGAAAGTCTAAACAAACTCTGGATTGTGCCAATGTCAGTTTCCTGGCTTTGATATTGTATAATAACACATAAGAAGTGCCCATTAGGAGAAATTGAGGGAAGGATACATGGAACTTCCCTGCATACTCTTTTTTCTTTTTTTTTTTTTGCAATATCCTGTGACTCTATAACTATTTTCAAAACAAAAAGTTTTTTTGGAAAAACACAAGCAAAATCCCAGTGGTAGATATTGTGCCCAAGCTCCCCACTATGGGTTGATTCTGGGTGCTGATCACCCTCCCCTTCCCACGATGCTGTCCTGCCCTGCACGTGCTCCTATGGACAGGGAACTGTAAGAATTAAAGAAAGAGGAAAGAAACATGAAAGGTAGCCTGATGGTCAAGACAGGATTATTTTAGAGAAAACAAACCTGAGAGGGACATCTGGCCACATTAGGTCAGAGGCACACTTTCTTACAGACTAAGAGTTTTTAAGGATTTAGGGTGGGAGAGTTTATCAGAGGCTTGGACTCCTTCTGTGTCTCTTTGTTGTGCTTATCTGGGAGGGAGAGTTGTGTGTCTGTTCCCATACATCTTTCTGCAGCTGCAGGCATACTCCCTGAGTCTGCTTTTACATTCCCTATCTTAGTGCACCTGAAGGGAAAGGAGTGTGCTTATTAAGGCCCACTGTTTTACTGGGGCCCATGGTATGAGGGTGAAGTTTGGCAATTACCCAAGAGAGTTTCCCCCACCTCCCCTCTGGGCGGGGGCTGTCTTCTCTGTGTTTTACTGTCTGCTCTTTCCGGCTGCTTGTAGTTAGAAAAGAAGTGATTTCCTTGAAATGCATGAGGCTAGAAAAGGAGCTGGATTTTAAAATGGCGGTGTTTGTCCGAGATGTCAGTGCTCCTGCTCTGTCAGGAACCAGCCTCTTTGCTACACCGCACCACAAGCAAACACACAAGAAACCATTCCCCAAGGCTTTTGAGAGTGCCCCACAGCAGGCTGACGGCTTGAAGGAGGCACGCACAACCAGTCCTTTAGTAAGATACATCTTTAAACAATATTTCGGCCATTTCGCAGGACGGTTTGGTTATCCACTTTCCCCACTTTCTCTCTGTTCTTTTCATGTCCCACCCCTTTGAAATCATACACACAAAAAAACAAAAAGTAAAAGTGAGGAGTTCTCCCTTTCTAACATGGAGTCTTTTGGCTTTCTCCCTTCGTGTCTTGATCGGGGTCTTTCCTTCCACCCTCAGATAAACTGTCAAGGTGATTTCCTGAATCAGGACAGTTCTGCTGTCAAGAGAAGAATAGGGCAAGCTGCACCAAACAACGTCCTCTCCCCTGGTCCCTGGCTCTGAGAGTGTGTTTCTGGCTGGAGCCGCACCCTTTGGGAGTCCAGCTTTATCAGCCTTCTCCAGCCTCCCTCTGACCCATGGTGGGCTGCTTGTTCACTGACAACCTGCTCTGTCCTTCTTTCCTTCCTTTGCTTTGCAGATACTTGGTCAGCCTCTCCCCAGGGCAGCCCTGAAGACCCAGAATTGAGGAGGAGCCCCTCAGCGTATGGAAGACAAAGCAGTCTCTTCCCATGAGTTCTCTTATCGACCTAAATGTAGCCCTTGTTCCAAATGAAAATTGTCCCTTCCCTGTCCGGGGCAATTATTCTGAATTTTAATTCTGGAGAAAATATGTTTTGGAACCTGTATCAAGAAGAAGCCAGAGGTAATTAGAGCAGGAAAGGTAAACTGTGAATATATTTTCAGCTTCAGTTTGGGGATTCTGTTTTATATTGTTTTATTGTAGTAAACAGCCTTTATAAGTTCTATAAACAGAGATGTTAAAGAAGTGCTAAGGTGCATATTATGTTAAACTTAAATATAGACAACTAATCTTAGAGATAAACCAAACCCACTGCAAATTTATTTTGAACACTCAGCTCTTAGAACCAGGTAAGCTTATTGCACAATTATACGTTCAGGTTCATTCATTCAACAGACATCTGTTGATTGACTGCTATGTGGCGTGCACTGATCTGGTATTGGGGAGAGAACCAAAGCAGAAAGAACCCTCACCTTGTCCTAGGCACATTGTACATTTTAATTACATGTATCCATAGCAGACCACCAGCACCCAATTTTTGGAGGAGATACCAGCAACTCTTTTTTTTTTTTTTTTTTTTTTTTTTGAGACAAGGTCTTACTCTTTCACCGAGGTTGGAATGCAGTGGTGTCATCGTGGTTCGGTGCAGCCTCTGCCTCCTGGGCTCAAGCCATCCTCCCACATCAGCCTCCCGAGTAACTTGAACACTGTCATGCATCACTACACCCAGCTAATTTTTCCTTTTTTTTTTTTTGGTAGAGATGGAGTTTTGCTATGTTACCCAGGATGGTCAACTCATGGGCTCAAGTGATCCGCCCACCTCAGCCTCCCAAAGTGCTGGGATTACAGAAGTGAGCCACTGTGCCTGGCCCCAGCAACTTTTAATCCTGGGAAAAATAAAGGAGACAAGGAAAACTGGGGTTGCAATTTTTTCTTTTTTTTTTTAAGACAGGGTCTCATTCTCTTGCCCAGACCAGAGTTCAGTGGCACAATCACAGCTCACTGCAGCCTCGACCTCCTGGGCTCAAGCAATCCTCCTGTGGTTGTAATTTTTAATAGGGAGGACTGGGAAGGCCTCAGAGACAGAGCAGTTGAACAAAGACTTGCAGAAAGTGGAAGAACAAGTATTGCTACTGGGGGGAAGAGCATCCCCACAGAAGGAACATCAAATGCCAAGTCCCTGGGGTATCAGCCAGCTTGGGGTGTCTGAGCAACAGCAAGAGGCCACAAGGTGGGAGCAGGTGGAAGATAGGGTGGCCCACTGTGATGTCTGAGAGGAGAAGGGCACCGTGGAAGGGTCCTGCTTGGGTGTGGTGGCATTGGGCCTGGTGGCGTTTGGAGTGGTGGCATTTGGAGTGGTGGCATCTGGAGTAGTGGCATGATAGACGGATCAGGGTGGGGGCCAGGAGGTAAGGAGAGGTGGCCAGATTCTGAAGACACTTTTGAGGTAGATGCATTTGCTGATGGAATAGATTCATCTGTGAGAGAAAGAGGAACCTCTAAGGTGTTCAGCCAGAGCATCTAGAAGGATCCCCATTAGCTGTGATGGGAAGACTAGGTAAAACAGCATTCAGGTGGAAGGAGCAAGTGTTCTGCCTTGGACAAGCTACGTTTGCCCATTAGACATTTTGACAGGGATGATGGGGGGCAGATGGGTCCCAGGGTCTGGAGGCAGGGAAGCGGTCCCCATTGGAGACGGGAAGCCATCATGCATACACAGTTCACTGAAAACGTCGAAACTGGATAAGATCCCCAAGGGAGAGTGTGGGGAGAGGAAAGATCCAAGGGCTGTGCCTGGGTTCCCCCATCTCTTCTTGAAAGGCCAGGAGGAGAAACCAGAAGCAGCACCGAGATGAGGGGGTAGCCATGAGGAGGGAGAAGCAGAGGTGTGGGGCATCCTGGATGCAGGAAACTCCTGTATGAGTTTCCCCAGCTGCTGTAATAAATGACCACAGACTGAGTGGCTTAAAGTTCTGGAGGTCAGAAGTCTAAAATGGGTCAGCAGAGCTGTGTCCCTTTTGGAGGCTCTAGGGGAAAATCTCTTTCTTTGCCTTTTCCAGCTTCTAGAGGCCACCACCATTCCTCGGCTTGTGGTCCCTTCCTCCATCTCAAAGCCAGCTGCCTCTGATCTTCTAATCTCTGTCTCTCTGCTTCCTTTTCACATCTCCTTCTGACTCGGATTCTCCTGCCTCCCTTTTATCAACCCTTGGGATGACATTAGGCCCACCTGAAGAATCCAGGATAATCTTCCCACCTCAAGATTCTTACCTTTCTCTTTGCACTATTAATGTGTACTTTTCAAAGCAATTATGCAAAGGAGAAAAAGTCGTCCTTCACATCAGCCCCTTCACCATCTGCCACCCAAATGACCATTTATGGATTAAAATGCACTTTCCAGATTCTTCTCCCCCAAGATGCTTGCTTTCAGACCCCATTTAATGTGGGCAGAAAGGGGACCTCCAGCTGAGTAGGCTAAGCATGAGACATGAGTTACTTCTCAAATGTTCCAGAAAGTCCTATGGGGGGCAGTATCATAATCCCCTTTTCATGGAGAAAGAAAGTTTAAGAAGCTTGCTCAAGGCCAGGCAGGGTGGCTCACACCTGCAATCCAAGGAGGGAAGGTAGGAAGGTAATAAAGCTTTTATTTGCTTATTTACCAAATGCTTCTTCATGGATAAGTAGGAGAAGGAAGAGGTTTTAATGATAAATTTCTGGGGAGTTCCAGAACACCTGGTGCACTTGTACAGTCGAATTCCCATTCTTTACTCCACCTCTTCCTCTTCACAAACATTACAAACAGTCTTAAAAATTCTCTCTGGGGCTTCATGTGTCCCAAAACTCCTCACCTCTGTGGCCAATTCCATGAGCAAAGCTGAACTGCTTGTTCAATAAGGGTACACCCTCTCTGTGTTCATATCAAAGTTCAAAGTATAGTGCTCTGTATATAAACAACATTTGCCCAACAGGTTAACTGACATGCTCTTAAATGGACACTCCTTTGCCATTCATTGGTTGAAATCAGGTGAAAGGGAACTAAACTGTTTATGTACTTTTTTGGTACAAATTATCTTTATAACACTAAGAGGAGCCAGGCACCACGTAAGCGTGGATGAAATAACAGTTTACATTCCAGCTGCTGGTCAGGCTTCAGAGTGATAATAAATAAATACAGAAGAATCAACTGTGCAGAAGAAAAACTTGGTGTCTACCCTCTAGTTCTGCCATTTGACAAGGTAGCAACCCACTCCCAGCTGTTTTTCCTGAGAATTGAGCTGATTATACTAATGCATGCAGTTGAGGCAGTACTAATAAATCTTAACCCTAAGACCTATTTCCTGGCCTGGTATGTGTTAAATTCTCTTTGCCTTAATGCAGGTCCATAGTATATCTAGGGGAACTGACACATAAAGTGCCAAAGCTGGAAATTCTGGTTACCAGATTACATTTCAGAAAAGACTTCTGGGCTGGGTGTGGTGGCTCATGCCTGTAATCCCAGCACTTTGGGAGGCCAAGGTGGGTGGATCACTTGAGGTCAGGAGTTCGAGACCAGCCTGGCCAACATGATGAGACCCCACATCTCTACTAAAAATACAAAAATTAGCCGGGCATGGTGGCGTGCACCTGTAATCCCAGCTACTTAGGAGGCTGAGGCAGGAGAATCACTTGAAACCAGGAGGCGGAGGTTGCAGTGAGCCAAGATCATGCCACTGCACTCCAGCCTAGGTGACAGAGTGAGACTCCATCTCAGAATAAAAAAAAAAAAGAAAAGAAAAGAAAAAGAAAAAGAAAAGCTTTCTGAGCACCCCGTTTCTCCACAATATAGATATCACAGTTCATTATAAATACCTATGGCATGAATAGACAACTGTTGAATGAAGTAAAAAGTTCTTGAAAGGTTTCTTAAAATGAAGAGGTCAGAGACATCATTAAACTGTCCAGGTAAATACCACTGCAGAACAACAAGAGAAAACGCAATCATGACATTTATTTGTGTAAGGCTGTGGGATATAAAACTCAGATTCACCCTTCATGTATGCCAGAGGGGCTGTAAAAAAGAGTGGTCGAAGGCCAATGGACTCCAACACTCAGTTATTCCACAAATTGTTGTCAAGGGTCCTGTCCCAGGCACTTTGGATACAACAGTTAACAAAACTCACAAAGATCCTTACCCATGTTGAGCTTTCTTACCATATATATTACATAGCACATATATGGGAAACATATGTAGAAATACGTATTTAATATATAAGTATATATAATATATATTTAAAAACATAAACATATATATAATTTCCCATGTAGAAATTAACAAGAAGCATAATAAATAACACATTACAAAGTATTTAAGACAAAGATCCCTGAATCACTGTTTCCACCACTTCAGCAAGTTTTTATTTTTTAATTTTTTGGTTTTTTTGTTTTTGTAGAAACTGAGTCTCACTATGTTGCCCAGGCTGGTCTCAAACTCCTGTCCTCGAGTGATCCTCTGGCCTCAGCCTCCCAAAGCACTGGGATTGCAGGTGTGAACCACCGTGCCTGGCCTTGAGCAAGTTTCTTAACCTTTCCATTTCTTTCTCTGTGAAAAGGGTATTATGATACTGCCCCCTCATAGGGCTTTCTAGAAGATTTGAGAGATAATTCATGTTACTTGCTTGGCATACTCAGCTGGAGGCCCCCTTCCTACCCAGACTTTAGGGCAATTCCAGCCTTCACTCACCATTTCACTACCGAGCTCTTTTATCCCTTGGGTACTTCAAATACTTATGTGCTTACCAAGTGCCTCATAAAGATTTTACAGTCAACTTAGGGGAGCCAGAGAACCACTAAGTAATAAACCTCATGACACTTACTTTGAAAGCAGTGAACATAGTATTTTTTAAAGACAATGACAGCACTCAATGGCCTGTCTCGTCCATTGCTGCCTCATAGAATTTTTTTCAAAATATTTTTACATTTCTGATTTGTCCATCTCTATCTGAATCTATGCCAGTTCCAAATAATGCTCTAGAGCTCATCTGTCCCCATGCCCACCCAGTCAAGCACATGTGCTGGGGATAATTCTTAGCCCAAAGGGCTAAGTGGAATATGTTTTCCAACATTTGCTTTCAGCAACCATGCAGTAGCACAGCCTCCCACACTCGGTCCCATTTGCATGGTGTGAGCCTGCATTGGTGTGAGCCTGCACTGGTGTGTGCCTGCACTGGTGTAAGCCTGCATTGGTGTGAGCCTGCATTGGTGTGTGCCTGCATTGGTTTGAGCCTGTCCTGGTGTGTGCCTGCACTGATATGAGCCTGCAATGGTGTGAGCTTGCACTGGTGTGAGCCTCTCCTGGTGTGTACCTGCACTGGTGTGCTAGAGCTGCCGTAACAAAACACCACAGACTGAGTGGCTAAGAAAACAGACATTTATTTCTCATAGTTCTGGAGGCTGGAAGTACAAGAGCAAGGTGTTGGCAAGTTTGGTTCTCCCGAGGCCCCCTTCTTGGCTCACACAAAACCATCTTCTTGCTGCTCTCACGCAGCCTTTCCTCTGTGTGTGTCCTTCTCTGGTGTCTTCTCTTCTTATAAGGACCTCAGCCAGGTAGGCTTGGGACCCCATCCTCTCGCCATCATTTTAATAATCACTTCTTTGGAGGCCCTAACACAGTCAGGTGGCTTAGTTCTCCCCCACCCCTACTGCCCCCCGTGGCCTTTGTTCAAACTGAATTACCTCTTTAAAGGTCCTACCTCTAAATATCGTGACATTTTGTACCCCCAGGTACTGGGGGTTGGGACTTCAACATATGAATTTGGGGGGACACAGTAATATGCGTATAGCCCCTACCTGTGCCACATACTTCGCAAGGCCTTCCTTTCCTTTGAGCACATTGCCTGATAAGCTCATAGTGTGGACCCACCACGAAGCAATACCACCTGCAAAACATGTGCACTACAGCCAGTTGGCAGCTGGGAGAGCAAAGCTCACCTGTCCACCACATGGAAATCCCCAAACATCGGGTACAAAAGGCATAATAAATATCATTGTTACCCGGAGGATGCAAGTGACCAAGCTCCACAGCAGGCACTGGGGGAACCCATGGCTGGCCCGTCACCACACCTGGGCATCTGTAAGAGACCGAATGGCATTTGCTACGAGGAGGGCCTGGGTCTCAGCAGGTTTTGGATGCAAGCAACAAGACACACTCTGCCCCTTACATCCACTTCTAGCACAGCCCCTGGGGATAAGGAGGAGATGGGTCTGGATGGAGCAGAGACAGAACTCTGTAGATGAAAAGGCTGGACAGGTGCACAGCATTAGTTAAAGAGAGAACTGAAGCCCATCTGAGGAATTGAGACTTGACAAGGAGGATGAGGGCCCGGGAGTCCACTGTTCTTTTCATCTGAGACTAAATGCAAGCATCTTGCCTTGCAGTCTATCTTGATCCCCTAAAAAACAGGGATGGAAGGTTTACCTGGTAGAAACTGCTCCACACACTCAGGGTACAAATAGGATCCTACCTCCTACTTTTCTGAACAGTTTCCTGGGCTGCACAGGCCTACGAGCAGGAAATCCAGCAGGTCTGGCTTGGAGTGCCTCCCCACAAATATTATCCAAGAACGCGGGGAAGGAGCAAAGTTTAGCAACTGCAGGCCTGCCTCCCCTGCCTGCTTGGCCCTCTCTCCTCCTCCTCATCCCTCCCTTTCCATCTATTTCTCTTTTTAAGCCCCTTTGTCCCCTTCAAATTTAACTCAGTTTCCCCTTTCTCTATCCCTCCTCCCACTGGCTTTATATCTCCTTTTAAAACATGCCTTTTAAATTGGTATTTGAAATTTTCTAAACATGATTCTATAATACAAACTCTGAAAAACTTCCTAGCAGCATGTCACAGCCATCACGCAAAATTACTCAAGGAGGCACTAAATAGGTGCTGATTACTCAAGCAGAAAAACTCATTTAAATGATTTAAAGTAAGTCATTATAGCATACTACTTTCCCAGTGACCTTCAAATATTTATTTTCTTTGTATAGTACATATACTGTGACGGAAACCCCAGACACCACGCAGAAACTAGGGAGCGAAGAAAGTCACTGGCAAGTGTACCAGTACCCACTGGTACATGGGTGTCTTTCAAAGCTGAATTTAGTTCTATCTTTTATATTATTGAAAATGAAAACAATATTTGATTATATACTATTCGCGAATGACAAAGAGGGAGCTGTGGAGAGCGGGCAAACATAGAAAGCACTTTGATGGATACAGAAAGTTCTCTGGCTATGGATGGGAGGGAAATCCATCCCCAGGACTGGAAGATATGTTTAAACAAAAGAAGGCCAAGAGAAAGCCATTTCTTCATCCAGGTCAATTTTCGTCACTCCAGGAGTTTTGGGGTCCAATCTCCAATCTCCTGTTTGCCACACTTTCTCCTTTGAGCTGTTGGTTTTGGATTTGCTTTTCGCAGCATACAAATATTTATTCACAATCAGCAAACAAAATGCCATTAAGATTTTGAAACAAAAGTGAAAACAAATAGAACAGTTTCTGGAACGTTGTAAGCTATGCCTTAAAAGAATCAGTGAGGTACAAATTATTTCATTCACTCATTGGCTCCAAATTTGCATTTTTAAAATCTGGTTGCAGGTATCAACCCAACTTCTTCTGGAGACCATCAATATGATTAATTTCCATTAAAAGCAATTGATTGAAGTGAAAACACACGTAACGAACTGAACCACTTTAGAGTGAACAGTTAAGTGGGCTTCAGTCCGTTCACAGTGTGGCCGCCCCTCCACGTCCCCCGCCCTCCCACCTGCCTTAAATGAGCTCCTGGGAAGTACCCATGAACTCCGATGCACCCCTGCTCCATCGGCTGCCTCCTCACCCTTTCCAGCCCCCACATTCCTGCCCTTTCTCTGCTCAACTCCTCCGTCTTCTCCCTCGGACGCTCATCCTCCTCCACACCCGCCTACGTTCTCCCTTCTTTGCCCTCGTCGTCCCCTCTCTTCCTCGTTCCTCGAGCTCCCTCTGCTCCCTCGAGGGTACTCAGGACCCGGCAACTCTGCACACCTCAGTGCCCCGGAGCCCTCGGAGTTCCTCCTCTTTCCCACCACGAAGCCTCTTTTTTTCCATTTATTTCCATCCCCATTTCCCTACCCCCATGTCTGGGGTCCCTGTCAATCTCCATCACCCCTGCCGCCCTATCTCCCCCTCCTTCCACGTCTCCTTTCCTGCACATTCCCAGCCCCCACCTAGCTCCTGCTCAGGTCTCTGTGGCTCACAGAGGGCCCTCCTCACCCTCCACTCTGCCCTGTCCAGCCCACCCCAACCCATCTCCTGGAACCCTTGTAAGGTCTCTCCCCGCCCAGTCCCTGCTGCGTCCATTTCCCACCCAAGTCTCTAAGCACCCCATTCCCCATCCTCTCCCATTGCCCCTCCTTATCCTCCCCCCGACCCCAGGTCTCCCAGCGCCCCCTGCAAGGCCCTTCTTCCCTCCTTACCCATTCCCCACCCCTGCCCCGCCTAGGTCTCCCAGCGCCCCCTGCAGGCCCTCCTCCCCTTCTTATCCAAGCCCCCCAGGTTCCCCAGCGCCCCCTGCAGGCCCTCCTCCCTCCTTATCCATTCCCCACCAGGTCTCAGTGCCCCCTGCAGGCCCTTCTCCCCTCCTTATCCATTCCCTCCACCCCCGCCCAAGTCTCCCAGCGCCCTCTCCAGGCCCTCCTCCCTCCTTATCCTTTCCCCTCCAGGTCTCCCAGCGCCCCTTGCAGGCCCCCCTCCACTCCTTATCCATTCCCCGCCAGCGTCTCCCAGTGCCCCTTGCGGCCATCCTCCCCTCCTTATCCATTTCCCCCCCAGGTCTCCCAGCGCCCCCTGAGGGCCCTCTTCCCCTCCTTATCCATTCCCCCCAAGGTCTCCCAGCGCCCCCTACAGGGCTCTCCTCCCCTCCTCATTCCACCCCTCCCCCCAGTATCTCAGTGCCTCCTGCGGGCCCTCCTCCCACCCTTATCCATTCCCCTCCCCTAGGTCTCCCAGCGCCCCCTGCAGGACCCCCTCCCCTCCTTATCCATTCCCCCACAAGGTATCCCAGCGCCCCCTGCAGGGCTCTCCTCCCCTCCTCATTCCACCCCTCCCCCCAGTCTCTCAGTGCCTCCTGCGGGCCCTCCTCCTCTCCTTATCCATTCCCCTCCCCCAGGTCTCCCAGCACCCCTTGCAGGCCCTCCTCCCCTCCTTATCCATTCCCCTCCCCCAAGTCTCCCAGCACCCCTTGCAGGCCCTCCTCCCCTCCTTATCCATTCCCCCACCCCTCGCCCCCCGCAGGGCTCCCAGGGCCCCCTGCAGACCCTCCTCCCCTTGTCCTCTCCTATTCATCCCCCAGGTCTCCCAAGAACCCCTGCAGACCCTCCTCCCCTCCTTATCCATTACCCTCACCTCAGGTCTCCCCGCCCCCCTGCAGGGCTCTCCCCTCCTCATTCCACCCCTCCCCCTGGTATCTCAGTGCCTCCTGTTGGCCCTCCTACCCTCCTTATCCATTCCCCTCCCCTAGGTGTCACAGGCCCCCTGCAGGCCCCCCTCCCCTCCTTATCCATTACCCACCACCCCCCTCAGGTCTCCCAGCCCCCCTGCAGGGCTATCCTCCCCGCCTCATTCCACCCCTCCCCCCCTCATTCCACCCCTCCCCCCAGTATCTCAGTGCCTCCTGTGGGCCCTCCTCCCCTCCTTATCCATTCCCCCTCAGATCTCCCAGGCCCCCTGCAGGCCCTCGTGCCCTCCTTACTTCCCCCCCGGGTCTCCCAGCGCCCCCTGCGGGGCCCTCCTCCCTTCCTCATCCACTTCAACCCCAAGGTATTTCCGTGCCCCTGCAGGACCCTCCTCCCCTCCTTAGGCGCTCCCCCACTACCCAGTCTTCCAGTGCCCTGCAGGCTCTCCTCCTCTCCTTATCCACCCCCACCCCAGGTCTCCCAGTGCCCTGTATGGGACCCTCCTCCCCTCCTCATCCACCCCCCCAGGTCCACCAGTGCCCCCTCTGGGGTCCTCCTCATCCGTGCTCCCCCTCCCCCTCCCTACTCCCCTTCCCCCCTGCCCCCACAGTACATCACCCCCTCCCCCAACCCTGCCTGGCTCCGCCCCCTTCACGCCCCCTCTTTTCCGCTCCGCGCCTGCGCACTGCCACCCTCCACTCTCGCGCCAGCCCGGCGGCGGCCGGCTGTGGGCTGCAGCACGCGGTGCACGAGGCAGAGCCCACAAGCCAAAGACGGAGTGGGCCGAGCATTCCGGCCACGCCTTCCGCGGTGAGGGGCCAGTCCCGGTCAAGCCCACCTGCTCTCCTCCAAGAGCATGGGCTGTTCTGGGCGTGGGCGGAGGGAGGGGCTGGCCGGAAAGGCCCAAGGGCGGGCGGCAGACGCTGAGGGGCTGCCTGGGAGGGTCGGGTCGGGGCGGGGCGTGGGGGGCAGGGTAAAGCAGGGGCCCTGCCAGGCCTCCGAGGGAGTGTGCTTGGTCTGGCCGAGGGCTGCTTGGCCAAGTCTGGGTGGGCTCGAGGCCACTAGGCCCAAAGCCTGCCTGGCTCTGAGGGTGCTAGGTCTAGAACCGTGCACGAGGGGAATGCCTGCTCGGGCCCGAACCTCGCTGGGCGCCGGGTGTGCACTGGCCCGGGGCCTGCTTGGACCTGAAACTTGCTAGGCCCAGGATATGCACTGGCCGAGAGCCTGCTGGGCCCAAACCTTACTAGGCCCAGGATGTTCACTGACTGAACCGGCTCAGGCCTAACCTTGCTAGGCCCAGGATATGCACTGGGCCAGAGTGTGCTCAGGCGGAACCTTGCCAGGCGCAGGATGTGTGCTGGCCCTAAGCCTGCTGAGGCCCAAACCTGTTCGTTCTAGGGTTTTGTACAAAATCCTGCTTTAGCCTAAATCCTGCTTAGCCTTGACCCCCTCCTAGACCCAAGCCAGATCAGCATTGTTCTGACCCTACTAAGTCCAAAACCTTTTGAGGCCAGACCTTGTTTCAACTCCAAAGCCTGCTAGGTTCCAGCACCCCCCGCATCCCTCCTCATACCACCCCCTTCTCCCCCCTATGGAAACCGCTTGCTTATTTTTCAAACAGGCCAAGTCATTATGGCAGCCACTGAGATCTCTGTCCTTTCTGAGCAATTCACCAAGATCAAAGAACTCGAGTTGATGCCGGAAAAAGGCCTGAAGGAGGAGGAAAAAGACGGAGTGTGCAGAGAGAAAGACCATCGGAGCCCTAGTGAGTTGGAGGCCGAGCGTACCTCTGGGGCCTTCCAGGACAGCGTCCTGGAGGAAGAAGTGGAGCTGGTGCTGGCCCCCTCGGAGGAGAGCGAGAAGTACATCCTGACCCTGCAGACGGTGCACTTCACTTCTGAAGCTGTGGAGTTGCAGGATATGAGCTTGCTGAGCATACAGCAGCAAGAAGGGGTGCAGGTGGTGGTGCAACAGCCTGGCCCTGGGTTGCTGTGGCTTGAGGAAGGGCCCCGGCAGAGCCTGCAGCAGTGTGTGGCCATTAGTATCCAGCAAGAGCTGTACTCCCCGCAAGAGATGGAGGTGTTGCAGTTCCACGCTCTAGAGGAGAATGTGATGGTGGCCAGTGAAGACAGTAAGTTAGCGGTGAGCCTGGCTGAAACTACTGGACTGATCAAGGTACAGCTGGTTTTAATAAACAACCCCTTACATGAAAAAGAAAAAATTCAAGTCGGCTTTTATGCAATATTATGTCTGGACAAGGTATTTTGCAGTTGCAAATTAAAGACAGTACAAATACTTCCCAGGAAAATCTTGAGAGTTCTTAGGTTCTTTTTTAAAAAAGAGTTTTAAAAGTGGTGCTAATTGGAATAGTGTAAGGCGCATTATGTTTTAAAAAAAAGTGTTAAGTTTCACTGCCACAACCCTGATGCGAAATAATTAACATTGTGATGCATAATCTTCCACTTTGGCTTTTCTTTTTGTATTCTGTGCTTCATCCAGGCAAAAGTCTAATTATACTGAAATCAATAGTATCATATTTGAATATTTGTTGTTTATTAGCTCGAGGAAGAGCAGGAGAAGAACCAGTTATTGGCTGAAAGAACAAAGGAGCAGCTCTTTTTTGTGGAAACAATGTCAGGAGATGAAAGAAGTGACGAAATTGTTCTCACAGTTTCAAATTCAAATGTGGAAGAACAAGAGGATCAACCTACAGCTGGTCAAGCAGATGCTGAAAAGGCCAAATCTACAAAAAATCAAAGAAAGACAAAGGGTAGGCCAGTTCATCTCATAGAATACACTCCCTAAAACTGGGCTGCTGTTTTTCTTTATGGGCAGGTGATGGTAATTGAAGTTTTAAGTGGTTGACTTTTACTTTCAAAATGTCAGGAAATGGGAGAAATTTTAAACTAATGTTCTGTATTGTGAATCAAATCCAGAAGGGTTTTGCACTTTACACACAAACGTTTTGAAAGCACAGTAAAAATGTTCCCACAAAGCCTTGTGCACGTAAGCATAGAAGACCAAGCCCTGGTCTCTGCTGCCTAGTTTGCAGCCCCAGAGGGATATGGGGGACAAGTCATTACAGGACAGGTGGTGAGGCCTCGTGTGCTTCAGGGCCAAGAGAAGGAGTGATTCCTCCTTCAGGAAGCCGTAGAGGGTGCCTTCTAAGGGAGGTGATATTTAGGTGAGTCCAGGACAAAGAAGCCACTAAGATGGGGATCAGGATTCCAAGTACTAGGAAGTGGTCTGGGCGTGTAGCTCTGGAAGTATTTACTTTGTATCTGAGGGTGGAGAGCTCTACTGTGTCTGTAGAGCTGGGTGGGTGCTCAGAGAGGTGGATGGGTCCAGATTAGGAAGACCCTGAAGCAATATTAAAGCCATATTAAACTGAGATTTCATTCCAGCAGCCCACAGGATGAATTTGTCCTATGAAAATAATTTGTTTGGCTTATTTTTTAAAAATATTAGTTTCTCACTTATTTAAATCAACATATTTCACCCCCAAAATTTCAATTTCTAGCTCTTTTAAATTATATCTGGCAACACTTGGCACAGTTTTCCTTCCTCCTGGCATCAGGTGCCTGGGATTGGAAGGTGACTCAGTTTAGAAAAGGAGAATGCCAACCAAACACTGCCACCACCACCCCATTCTTACATGTGGTCAGGGCCCTTCACTTAGGTTTCTTGCCTCTGCCTTCCATAGGTGGTTGAGTTTGCAGCCTTTTGGTACATAGTAGTTTCTCATATGTTTAAATCAAGAGCTTTGCACCCCAAGTTTTACAATTTCTAGCTCATTTTTAGGTTTTTGATATATTCAAATTTGTAGACCCATCAACACTGTCTAAATTCCAGAATATTTTTATCACCCCAATAAGAGGCCTGTACCGATTAGGCAGTCACTTCCTACTCTGTTCCTCCTAGCCCCTGGCTACCACTAATTTACTTTTTGTTTCCGTAGATTTTCCTGTTCTGGACATTTTCCAGAAGTTGAATCATATATGTATACCATGTGCCTTTCGTGTCTAGATTCTTGAGCTTAGCATCATGTTTGCAGGGTTTGTTGGTATTGTAGTATGTGTCAGCGCTTCATTCGTTTTTAATGGCTAAGTAATAATCCCTGTATGGGTATAGCACATTTTATTTATCCCTTCATTCACTGATGCACACTGCAATTGTGTCCACCTTTCAGCAAGTGTGAATGGTGTTCTTATGACCATCTGTGTACAAGTTTTTTGTTTGAGCACCTGTTTCCAGTCCTTTTGCGTATATACTTAGGAGTGGAATTGCTGGATGGTGTGGTTACTCTATGTTTAATTTTTTGAGGAGCTACCACACTATTTTCCATAGCAGCTGCACCAATTTGAATTTGCACCAGCAGTGTGTGTTGCTTCCAGTTTCTCCACATCCTCACCAACGCTTGTTTTCCATTTGTTGTTATTGTTTAATTATAGCCATCCTAGCAGGTGTGAAGAGGTATCTCGTTGTAGTTTTGGTTTCCATTTCTCTAATGACGAAAGGTGTTGACTATCTCCTCATGTTTTCATTGGTCACTTACGTATCTTCTTTGGAAAAAATGGCTATTCAAATCTTTGGCCCATTTTTAACTGGCACTGTGTTAGCTTCCCAGGGACGCCATGACAAAGTGCCACAAACTGAGTGGCTTCAAACAACAGAAACATACCTCTCACAGTTGTGGAAGCTACGAGTGTGAAATTGAGGTGTTGGCAAAGCCATGCTCTCTTGCAAGGCTGTCGGGGAGAATATATTTCATGCCTTTCTCTTAGCTTCTGATATTGCCAGCAGTCGTGCCATTCATTGGCTTGCAGATGCATTACTCCTCCAATCTCTGCCTCTGTTATCACATGGAATTATTCCTGTATGTCTCTACATCTCTTTTCCTCTTCTTATAAGGACACCAGTCATACTGGCTTATGACCCACCTTCATCCAGCATGACCTCAGCTTAGCTTGATTGCATCTGCAAAGACCCTTTCTGCACATAAGATCACATTCACAGGTATCTGGCATGAGGACTTCATGTATTTTTGCAGGGGTCACAACTCAACCCATAAACCTTCTATTCCAAGTTTGTTGAGTATTTTATCAAGAAAACGGTGTTGGATTTATGAAATGCTTTTTCTGCATCTATTGAGATGATCTTGTGTTGTTGTTTTTTTCATCATTCTGTTAATATAGCTTGGATTGTTATTTTCAAGGCCACCCCTGAGCTAGGGAGCAGAGAATGGAACCGGAATAAGTTAGAATTCCACCAAGCTCTCTTTTTTACTGAGAATCAGCTAGATTTTTTAAATTGTTTCCCCTGGTTGCTGGAAGCTTCCAGTTAGTTTCCAGTGTCCTGAAAAAGTTGCTTGTGACATTTTTTTGCCAGTTGTTTTCATTGCTTTTATGGAGGGATGGATTTTGAGAATAACAACTCAGCTATATTCTGTATTTGATGATTCCAACATCTGAAGTCTTTGTAGGTCTGAGTCTTCTGTTTGTTTCCGCTGCCCTTGCACTGGCATCTTATTTATCACTGTGAGCTGATTGGTTCTTTTTACTGTTATCTGTGGGAATCCCTTGAAGCCTGGGGTGAAAGTGGGTTCTTCAAGGGATGGTATATATTAATTTCTGCCAGGCAGTGATGGTCAAAAACTGTCTTAAACCAGATCCCCCAAGGGTTACTGTTAGAACCACCCAGGACATGCTCACTGGGGCCACCTTCCCTCTTTGGAGCCATCTTCTTAGGGCAAATGTTTTCACCTCTCCATCAGTGCTAGACCAGCATCATCCAAGAGAACTTCTTTTGCTGATGGAAATGGTCTTTATCTGCCCTGTTCAGTACGGTGGCCACTATCTCCATGTGGCCTTTGGGCAGTTGAAATGTGGCTTACAACAGAGGAACTAAATGTTCAATTATATTTAATTTTAATTAGTTTAAGTCCAAATTTAAGAGTCACACATGACTTATGGCTGTGGTTTTGGATGGCACCATTCTAGATGGTTTTTCTTGCAGTCCCCTGGCTAGAGAGAAGGATGCAGAGATGGGGCGGGTTATCTTTAGTTCACCCTACAGAGAATGCAGGGCCACATTTCTTGGGCGCCCCACTTCAGGTAGGCGGTGTGCCTTTTCTCATCTCTCCTTAGGTCTACAAGACATTCTGAAATGTTCAGGCATCTCCTCCCTAGCATTGTTTTTCTCAGCAAGAAGGATGAGCAGAGTACCTAGTCCACTCTGTGCCCAGAAACAGACATCGGCCCATCTTGAAACAGCGAAAATGCATTGTTCATTATCCAGGAACATGGTGTCCTGAATTGCTTCGATCAGCTTGTGGATATAAATAGCATGTGCTATTGTTCAGTTCCCACGTTAGTTGAAAGGACGATGTGCTGATTTACTTTCAAGTATTTAAATGGAATTTGAACCTCTAACAAATACATAAACTATTTCCTGCCTATAGGAGCAAAAGGAACCTTCCACTGTGATGTCTGCATGTTCACCTCTTCTAGAATGTCAAGTTTTAATCGTCATATGAAAACTCACACCAGTGAGAAGCCTCACCTGTGTCACCTCTGCCTGAAAACCTTCCGTACGGTCACTCTGCTGCGGAACCATGTTAACACCCACACAGGTAAAACTGCCGGGAAGGCTGTTTCTCTGGAATGATGTGTGTTAAGGCTTATGTTAAGAATGTGAATCCACCTGTTTCTACAGTAGAATCGTGTAACATTTTATACTTTAGTTTTGTCTTCTTTTTCTTGAATTTCCATTAAAAATACTGTTACAAAGATTTTTCTCACATGCATCTGTGGTATTTATAGTTTAAGGAGCCTCTTCTTAATTTTTAAAGCATTTTTGAGACTGAGTGTAATTAAAAAGCTATGAATTCCTTGGAATGTTTCTGGTTAAGTCTTGTTTTGAAAGTATGAACTATGTGATTTTACAGGAACCAGGCCCTACAAGTGTAACGACTGCAACATGGCATTTGTCACCAGTGGAGAACTCGTCCGACACAGGCGCTATAAACATACTCATGAGAAACCCTTTAAATGTTCCATGTGCAAGTATGCCAGTGTGGAGGTAAAGCCATTCTTGGACTTGAAGCTTCATGGCATCTTAGTAGAGGCTGCTGTACAAGTTACTCCAAGTGTAACTAACAGTAGAATCTGTTACAAACAGGCTTTTTATTATTCATATAAAATTTATGCAGGAAATAATATGCATTCTCTTTTATGAAGTTAAAATAGAAAATTGGATTTCTTTGTTTCTTTGATTACTAATTAG
Source organism: Homo sapiens (assembly GCF_000001405.40). NCBI lineage: Eukaryota > Metazoa > Chordata > Mammalia > Primates > Hominidae > Homo > Homo sapiens. The sequence goes on along the minus strand of NC_000020.11, from coordinate 57,518,553 downwards.
TGAAAATAATATGTAAAGGTTTACAAATTACAAATAAACCATCTGTGGTCAAGAAATAAGTCCCAGATTTGTTTAAAAGTTCTGCATTTTATCTAGTACTCTGGGCCACAAAATCAAAATGTATTTGCTCTAACGTAGAATGCAGATCCAATCTCAATGTTGGCTGAAATTTTTGAGCTTGATTAGATACAAAGCAGCTTGCTCGAAGATTTAAGCGTAGACGTTTCTGTTTTTAATTACAGAGAGACCACCCTTTTCAAACTTCAGGTGTGCCATAGTCATTTTAATTAATTTGCTTTATTTGTACCTTCTAACAGGTTTGGCGGTACTCACGTGAAACAGGCAGAGCACTGCTTTTACTAGTCAGTACCAGTTTCCACCAGTTAATTGTCAGGGTCTCACTGTGTGCTGGGAAACAGGCTGAGGCCCGGTTTTGAGCCTGGTCGGGACTGGGTCAACAGTACACCCAAATGGAACTAAGTTAAAGGGAACAGCTGATGATTAAATATAGTAACAGTGCAGCCGGGTTTCACAAATTGGGAAATTTCATGGTTAGGGTCAGAATTTGATTCCAAGAACTTTTTTCTGCTGTTACTATTTTTAAAAAAATTATTTCTCATCTGAGTTAAAGGTTGTGATTGTAGTATGAGAATGCAAAATGGAGGGATCAGGGAACAGAGTCACCTGGGGATCCTAAGCCTGGAGTGGACTTTTTGTTGGTGTCCTGCCGGTGCTTAGTACAAACTTCCTAGGTCCACGAGACCCTCCCCCAGTGCCAGTGGTCTGCACGCAGCCTGTGGGGGGTAGCCTCAGCACAGGGGTCTCTATTGCTGCCATAGCCCCCCATTTTTGCAGTCTCCTCAAGTCTTGCCATGCTTGTTTGTTCCCTCATCCCATCCCGTGACAAAAATGGCAGCAGGAACGTATCAAAGCTGTGGTGCAGATGTGCCCCTTTTTTTAAAAAAGCTTTTGAATTGGCCGGGCGCGGTGGCTCACGCCTGCAATCCCAGCACTTTGGGAGGCCAAGGTGAGCGTATTGCTTGAGGTCAGGAGTTCAAAACCAGCCTGGCCAACATGGTGAAACCCTGTCTCTACTAAAAATACAAAAAATTAGCCAGGTGTGGTGGCACATGCCTGTAGTCCTAGCTACTCAGGAGGCTGAGGCAGGAAAATCACTTGAACTTGGGAAGCAGAGGTTCCAGTGAGCCGAAATCGCGCACTCCAGTCTGGACGAGAGTGAGACACCGTCTCCAAAAAAAAAAAAAAAAAAGCATTTGAACTCCCATTGTCCTCCCATCCCACCTTTAAGAGTCATCCAGAGTCTTTTTTAATGGCCTTCTTTGCTCATTCACACCACTTATCCTCCTCAAAACTTTCATGCTATACAGTTTTTAAAATTCTTTTTGTTTTGCTTTCTAATATACTTGAAGGCATTCACTTTTCTTCTGAAAACCTAAGTGAAATTTTTTGGCTTGGCTGTTGTTTTCCATTCTAAGCTTTCTTTTGTTCTCGAGTGTTCCTTAGGCTTCTGTGCGCTCATCACTTACTGGGGAGGCAGATGGAGTGTGGCATCCCTGGGTCACCAGCAGGACTGATGCAGCTTCCTGATGTCTGTAGTCCACGTGTAGCTGATGCCCCCATTTCCTGCTAGCAGTAGATAAGGGCCTGTGATACACGAATACAGAATAAGAATAGTTCTAGAAGGCAATCAACGAGTCAGGCAGTGAATGCTCAAATGGGAGGTATTATGTTGTTTGCTATTTAACTGATTGCCTGGGATACATAATTACTCAAATTAGAATTTAATTTCTTCTACTTAAAACTTAATTCTTCTTAGGAACCTGCTGTCACATGGCACCAATGCTGAATAGCCAGGGACACCTTCCTCCACTCACACTGTTACTGTGGGGCCAGCCAGGGTGGAGTCTGCAGGACTTGTGACCATGAGGCAAGACATACAGATGTTCCTCCATTAAAGAGCTAGGGTTTCGTTTTTATTTTTATTTTTATTTTTTTTGAGACATGGTCTGACTCTGTTACCCTGGTTGGAGTGCAGTGGTGTGATCTTGGCTCTTTGCGGCCTCAGCCTCCCAGGCTCAAACAGTCCTGCCACCTCAGCCTCTCGAGTAGCTGGGACCACAGGTGTGTGCCACCATACCTAGCTCATTTTTAATTTTTGGTGGAGACAGGGTTTTGCTATGTTGCCCAGGCTGGTCTCAAACTCCTCAGCTCAGGTGATCCACCCCTCTCAGCCTCCCAAAGTGCTGGGATTACAGGCGTGAGCCACCACACCCAACGAGAGCTAGAGTTTCAAGATTTTCACTTTATGCAAGGAAAAAAAAATGTTTGCCTTTGTGCTTTTACAGTGTAATCTAAATTTTGTAACTATTGAGCATATATTGCCTTAGAAATGAAAACAAAATCTTGTATGGCATTTGGCAGGTAGGCTTAAAGTGAAGGTGAACGCGAAAGTCTCTCAGAACTGCTGCTCATTTTCCCTAAAGGAGCTTATACACACACACATCAAATGAGATAAAATCACCCATAACAGATGATCAAAAGTGATGACTTTTTCATGTTTTTTCAGTGAGTGAAATATGCTCTGGTGCTCTGATGTTAAAATATGATTAATTTAAATCTCTTTTACAATGCTGATTAATGGAAGACTCTGCCATTTTTTAGTTTCTATTGCAACGAACATCATTTATGTATTTATTAGGCAAGTAAATTGAAGCGCCATGTCCGATCCCACACTGGGGAGCGCCCCTTTCAGTGTTGCCAGTGCAGCTATGCCAGCAGAGATACCTACAAGCTGAAACGCCACATGAGAACGCACTCAGGTAAGGGCTCTGGTGCTGAAGGCCTGATACCTACAGTGTTAACTCTTAAAGCAAGCTTTAAAAAATTACTTTTTATTGGCACAATTAAAGTTCAAAGGTAAAAGTGGATTTTTGCGTGCCTTCATGATAAAAGAATCTTGATCTGTACTTTTACCTTTATTTAGCAGTAAGAGAGTCTGCATAGATACTGTGCCACAACCCCACTGTGTGGAGTAAAACACAAAGTATTTGCTTCCGTAGATTTTTCAGGTATTTAAAACTCAACTCCTGGCCAGGCATGGTGGCTCAAACCTGTAATCCCAGCACTTTGGGAGGCTGAGGCAGGAGGATCCCTTGAGTCCAGGAGTTTGAGACCAGCCTGGTCAACATAGGGAGACCCTGTCTCTACGAGTAATTTAAAAATTAGCTGGGCCTGGTGGTGCACACCTGTGGTCCCAGCTACTTGGGAGGCTGAAGCAGGAGAATCACTTGAACCCAGGAGGTTGAGGCTGCAGTGAGCCGGGATTGCGCCACTACACTCCAGCCTGGGTGACAGAGTGAGAACCTGTCTCAAAAAAAAAGAAAAAGTAAATAAAAATAAATAAAAGTCAACTCCTTAATTCATTCTTCAACTTTAAGGCAAAACATAAAGTGTGCTGCTTTTGTAACAGAGGTACTTGATGTCTTGTGTTAAGAATACATTTATGTGTACTTCTTGGTTATTCGTACAGCCCCATGGATGTGAACCACCTTGAACTCTTGCGTAGCCACCAGATGCGGGGAAGTCATGTCTCTGGTCCATCATGGACACAGCTGTACTTGACATAAGCTGTCTGGGCTTGATTTGGGAGTCTCATACTAATTGGGGGTTGTCCGGTGAGAAGGGGGTTGATAAAGGAGGCTTGGGGCAAAAAAAAAAAACACTTTCAGCACAGGTGGCCTTTGGCAAGGATCAGGCCTGGAGGGGGAATCACTTTGTTGTCTGCATCTCAGGTGAGAAGCCTTACGAATGCCACATCTGCCACACCCGCTTCACCCAGAGCGGGACCATGAAAATACATATTCTGCAGAAACACGGCGAAAATGTCCCCAAATACCAGTGTCCCCATTGTGCCACCATCATTGCACGGAAAAGCGACCTACGTGAGTGGTTTAGCGATCTTTCTTTTACTACAGCATTTGCTGGCTCTTTGGAGCGTGGTCCTATAAACCTGCAAAGTACTGGCCCTGATACTGGGAGGCCCGGTCTTCGGGAACTTGGCCCTGGGACGAATTTTCTTCCAGAAGTCCTGTCGCACCATCTGGTGGCTGCATCTCATAAGTGCATTTTATAGCATGTTTTTAGAATCCGGGCCCAGGCCTGTTCCGTATGCACGTGATAAGACCTTTCACAGATGGGTATTACTTCATTCCACATTGGGCCTATTTTTCAGATGAGGACACTGGGGATCAGAGACATAGAGTAACCTGCCTGGGAGTCATACGAACCAAGGGTGCTAGGAGGTGGCTGGATTCTGGGTTCCTATTTATCAGTGCTCTATCTATGGCACCCAGCAAGCTTTTGTTAAACCCTGGCTGTGGGCCTAAGAAGTTTTGGAAGCAGAAGTTTCAAAAGACACAGTTTTCCCCTTAAGACAGTCACTTCGGGAAAGGAGGCGGGCCTGTAACGTGTAATCCGCATCTACCACGGTGAGCCTTTTAACTGTCACACCCCACAGAGTGGGAGAGGGAATCCAGAGGGTCTTGGAACAGCAGGCCTAGGAGCTGGGATTTGATACTGCCTGTGGGGAAGCCAGCCAGTGTTGAGCAATGGGAGGGAGGGTGTGGGAAGCGTGAGTGAACGAGCCTCTTCTTTGTTTCAGGATTCCTGGGCCTCCCTTTTCCATGATCTTATTTCTCTTTCCAAAATATATGACACTGTGATACACAAAAATATGTTAGCAGAACAAAAAATTTGACCCTTTTGCCCAAAGAGATTCTGGAGATGAGATGAATTTTTTTGAAAACCTTTCTGAAAGGCGAAAGGTGTTCCACAAAGTCTTCACTTTTATTTTTCATCTGGACCATTCTGTCATTGTTGCCGTAGATACCAGCACATCACAAAACACAGTCCAGTGGGGCTTGGTGGGGCACAAGTCTAGCCAGTTGCTAGACTTTTTTGACACCATGGCAAAGTAACATGGTTTATATCCATCTCATGCCAGTGGGTGATACACTCCACATAGCCCTATAAGATGCTTTATAAACACATTAATTCTTCCTTCCCATGACTGTATGAGAAATCAAGCTCTCTAAATGTCTGAGTCACTGTGGGTAAGGTGGAGTAGCTCCATCACACAGCTGTCCATTGTCATTTGGCTTCTTACACAAGTATCACAAGACCATCATGCTTTAGACTTAGATGAGCAAACCCAGCCAGACCTTACCATGTGTCTCAGGTTAATTTCAACATAGGAAATAACAGGGCACTGACTTCTAACAACGAGTGGATTATTTAAGGTAAAATAAAGATATTATATCTTTTTATATAAAACCACCTTAACATCATCCTAAAATTCACCTACCCCATAATAGTTCTCAAAGTGCTTTGTTCAATGAACATTTTAGGTCCAGTGTGACATACCTTATATAACATTTAACTCCATACCGAGAGTATTAAAATGATATTTCAGCATTCTGTTCGTTTAAAGCAGTGGTTCTCAGCTGAGAATGATTTTACCACCCAGAAGACAGGCGGTGATATCTAGAGGTATTTTGGCTTTCACAACCGGGGAGAAAGAGGTGCTGCTGGCATCTGGTAGACAGACACCAGGAATGCTGCTTAACATCCTACAATGCACAGGATAGCCCACCCTGCCCTGCCCAGGAAGGAACTAGCATGTTCCAGCGCCAAGGCTGAGAAACCCCGGTTTAGAGGAGAGGGGAAGCAGGCTAACAGAAAACAACACTCTTGAAGTATATAATGTTCTGTGACCATTTTAGGTGTGCATATGCGCAACTTGCATGCTTACAGCGCTGCAGAGCTGAAATGCCGCTACTGTTCTGCTGTCTTCCATGAACGCTATGCCCTCATTCAGCACCAGAAAACTCATAAGAATGAGAAGAGGTTCAAGTGCAAACACTGCAGTTATGCCTGCAAGCAGGTATTGTACTTTACTTAATTTGGAGAGGCAGTGGTGTATGGAAGAATGGAGGGCTGGGTGGGATTCTCTACCACCTTGAAGATACTGAGAAAAGTCATGCTTTTAATAGAGTAGCCTATTCAGAATAACCAGAAAGCAACTGTGAGCCAGTCATTCAAAACAACAGTTCTTAAAGTATGTTCACATATCCCCAGAGCTCCCTGTGACCAACTAGGGCCCCACAAGAGCCAAGCCTTTGTTATGATAATGGAAAGGTGTCATTTGCCCTTTTGAGACATTGACATTTGCACTTTTGGTGCCAAAGTAGTGGTGGTCCTTAGCCCGGATCAAGGCAGTGACACCCAGTGGAATTGGTGGTTGTGGTATTCTTCACCTTCACACACTGGCAGCAAAAATAAAGGGCAGTTTTACATGACAGTGTGCTTGAAGAGGCAGTTAAAGTTGTTAACTTTATTCAGTCTTTACCTGGAATACTTTCTTTTTAATAATCTTTGTGATGAGATGAGAAGCCGGCATACGCACCTCCACTGTCTTCCAAAGCTTGGAGGAAAAGCACCTGGGGGTTTGTTTGAATTTCCAGCTCAAGTAGCCACTTTCTCAGTGAATGTCATTTTCACTAAGAAAGGAACAAGATAAACAAATTCTGTTTACTCAGTCATTGGGCGTTGGTGGACATTTTTTTAAAAAATGAACAATGTAGGCCAAGTGCAGTGGCTCACACCTGCAATCCCAGCACTTTGGGAGGCCGAGGCATGTGGATCACTTGAGGTCAGGAGTTTGAGACCAGCCTGGCCAATATGGTGAAACCCCGTTTCTATTAAAAAATACAAAAATTAGTTGGGCGTGGTGGCACACGCCTGTAGTCCCAGCTACTCAGGAGGCTGAGGCAGGAGAATTGCTTGAACCTGGGAGGCAGAGGTTGCAGTGAGCCGAGATCGCGCCACTGCACTCCAGCCTGGGAAACAGAGCAAAACTCCATCTCAAAAAAAAAAAAAGGGGGGGGATTAGAGTGATTTTTTTAAAGCAACTTTTATATTGTGTGATGAAATATGTCAGCATTTAGAAGATCTGCATAACTCAAGTGAACTAGTATTTTCCAAATGACCAATCCATGATGTTACAGACTCACACACAGGTAAAAGATCCATTCAAAGTAAAAGATAGACCAAGAGGTTATAATGTCGCAGAGGAGCACAAGTTCTTTGGCACGGTTTCAGATTCCACATTGCAACCCATGGTAAGAAATTACCATGGCCAGACACACTGGCTCACACCTATAGTCCCAACACTTTGGGAGGCCGAGATGGACAGAACTGTTGAGCTCAGGAATTCAAGACCAACCTGGGCAACATAATGAGACCCTGTCTCTACAAAAAAATACAAAAATTAGCTGTGGGTGGTGGTGCATATCTGTCCCAGCTACTCAGGAGGCTAAGGTTGGAGGATCACTTAAGCCCAGGAGGTTGAGGCTGCAGTAGGCTGTGTTCATACCACTGCACTCCAGCACGGACAACTGAGTGAGACCCTAAAAAAAGAAATTACTACTAACTGAATTTTAGTGTAATAGCAGAGAAGAATGCCCACAGTTATTTGGAAGAGCTAGTAAAATGTTGCTCTCTTTTCAAACTACATGTCTGTGAGACCAAATTTTCTTTATCACTTAACATACTCCAGTGGACTGAGGGAAGAGCAGAGATAGGAATCCATCTGAATTCTTTTTTTATTTTTTTATTTTTTAGACGGAGTCTCACTCTGTTGCCCAGGCTAGAGTGCAGTGGCGCTATCACTGCAAACTCCACCTCCTGGGTTCACGCCATTCTCCTGCCTCAGCCTCCTGAGTAGCTGGGACTACAGGCGGCCCCCACCACGCCTGGCTTATTTTTTGTATTTTTAGTAGAGATGGGGTTTCACCATGTTAGCCAGGATGGTCTCGATCTCCTGACCTCGTGATCTGCCCGCCTCGGCCTCCCAAAGTGCTGGGATTATAGGCGTGAGCCACCGCGCCTGGCCCCGAATGCTTTTAATAGAGCTGTCAGACTTAGCAAATAAAAATACAGCACACTTAGTGACATTTGAACTTCAGACAACAACAAATAGTTTTATATACAAGTAGTTGCAGCCTGTATTTTAACTGGAAACCTTATCTATTAAGACAGACATTAGGTTATTTTTGTTTTGAAAAATAGATAATTTTACAGAAATAATATGTAGTTGGTTTGTTTTTATTTTTAAATGAGTTAATAAATTGTTTTATTTTAAAAAACACTTAAGAATTCCCCAGGTTTGCTTTCTAAGAAAGTAAATACTAATACATGCCACCTGTATACATAAAAGCTCTTCAGAGGCCACAGTAATTTTTTAAAGTATAAAAGGCCCTCAGAGTAGAAGTTTGAAAACCAAAACACTGCTTCAAAGTATTGCATGCTATTGGTTACCAAAGGTGAAAATCAGTGCTTACTGTGTGTTTTGAAGTGTGGGCTGTAAACTGTAAATGCTTTGAATAAGGGAAAAGGAGTTTTTCTGGTAGATTTTGAACAAAGAATATTCTGAGGCCTCAGGCTCATACTTATTCAAATGAACTAGGAGGGCTTCCTGAAAGATGGATAGGACTTGGAAAGGATGAGGGGCCCTGGAGCAGGCATACAGCAGGTATGTGGGAGTAGAGAGCAGCCAGGCAGGTCATGGCCGTGGGCAGAGGCTTGGAGCACTGCTGGGTGCTCCTGGCTGCCGCGGTCCTGGAGAGTCAGGCTCCCAGCAGGGAGCGCCAGAGATGCTGTCCCAAAGGAGGGTGATGAGGTGAAAGCTGTGCATGGAAGAGGGTGTTTAGTGAATTGGGTGAGAGAAAGATTAGAAGAAAGAGCATCAGTTAGGCCACTGACAGTAATGCAGAAATGGCCGAATATATATTTAATCCAAATAATCATCACATTTTAAATAAAACAAAATGTGTACTTTTGCTTGACTTCATACATATTTTTTTCCTGATTTCCCAAATTATTTTCTCCTGTCTAAGATAAAATCTCTATTTAGGCCAGGTACAGTGGCTCACACCTATAATCCCAGCACTTTGGGAGGCTAAGGCAGGAGAATTGCTTGAGGCTAGGAGTTTGAGACCAGCCTGGGCAACATAGTGAGACCCTGTCTCTACAAAAAATACAAACTGAGCCGAGCATAGTGGCATGCGTCCACAGTCCCAGCTACTCAGGAGGCTGAGGCAGGAGGATCACTTGGGCCCAGGAGTTTGAGATTGCAGTGAGCTATGATTGTGACAGAGCGAGACCCTGTCTCAAAAAAAAAAAAAAAAAAATCGGTATTAAGATCTGTTACGATACTATTGGGAAGTAAATGGAAAAATGTTGATACTTAAGGTACTTGCAACCCCAAAGGTCTGCTGAATTTAAACTCTGACATTTGATTTTTAAGTTTGCAGGTTCTATTTGCCCTTTGTAAATTCAGGTAATTGTAAATAGTTGTATAGAAGGAGGACTCCCAGTAATGAGAGGACAAAGGACCATCCTTTCACGCCCTGCGGTGTGTACTCCCACATCCCAACAGGACAGGAGAGCCAGCAAGGAATCCACTGCAAGACCTTTGTCACTTGCTGCTGCATACGAGTTTTGTTTCCTAGGCGGCCACTTACTGAGAGTGAATGCTGCCTTGTTCAGAATGTGTTTGCAGTAATTCTGCTTAATAGTGGACTCATCTTTGGGGAGGGAAATAAAAGGTATTGTATGATAAACAGTGTCTAATATCGAGAAAACCCTTTGAACTAGACAAGCTGCTTTCTTCCCCTTCCCTCTTAGGAACGTCATATGACCGCTCACATTCGTACCCACACTGGAGAGAAACCATTCACCTGCCTTTCTTGCAATAAATGTTTCCGACAGAAGCAACTTCTAAACGCTCACTTCAGGAAATACCACGATGCAAATTTCATCCCGACTGTTTACAAATGCTCCAAGTGTGGCAAAGGCTTTTCCCGCTGGGTAAGCTTACTTAAGTCACAGTAAATCCCCCATGGAAAGATCCCTCTATCTCAGGAGGACAGTGTCACACCAGGAGAGTTTAAACCCGATTATAGAAACCTGCCAGGACTTCAGGAGCATCTGTCATGCCTTAGGAAAGTGGTTATTAGTTTTTTAAAATCACAAAATTCTTGAAGAATCCTATGAAAGTGTGGTCTCCTCATCCCCTAAAAAAAAAAAAAAGGACAATCCAACACACAAAATCTTACAATAGGGAGTTATCAGACTCCCCAAAGAACCCCACCTTTTAGTGTAATATTTTCAAACAGTGAACTAGATTTAGGCTACTTGACAGAGAGAATGCAGTTTTCACACATTTTTTCAGATGTCCCTAGAATAATGTTATTGGTGTCTATAATCCCAGCTACTTGAGAGGCCAAGGTGGGAGGATTACTTGAGGCCAGGAGTTTGAGATCAGCCTGGGCAACACAGGGAGACCCCCATCCCTCCAAAAAAATTAGCTGGTTGTGGTGGTGCACCCCTGTAGGCCTAGCTGCTCAGGAGGCTGAGACAGGAGGACCACTTGAGCCCAGGAGTTGGAGGCTACAGTGAGTCACGATCGCACCACTGCACTCTGGCCTCAAAGACAGAGTGAGACCCTGTCTCTAAAATAACTTTTTTAATTAAAAAAAAAAGAATAGTGCTGTTGGTACTGGACTAAGCAATACATTTATGGTTTTATTCTTTTAGGTGTTGTATTAGTTATCTATTTCTGTATGACAGATTACCTCAAAATGGAGTGGCTTAAAACCACAAACATTTATCACCTGACAGATTCTCTGGGTTGGGAACTCGGAAGTGGCTGAACTGGGTGGTCCTGGCTCAGGGCCACTCCTGAGGCTGCAGTCAGGATGTCCGCCAGGGCTGCATCATCCGAAGGCTGGACTGGGGCCAGAGGATCCACTTCCAGGACAGCTCCGCCACACAACTGCTGGCACCGGCCTCAGTTCCTTGCTACAGGGACCTCTCTGCAGGGCTGCTTGAGTGTCCTCCTGACTCAGAGCAAGTGAGAGAGTGCAAGTAGGAAGCCATGGTGCCTTTTGCAGTCTAGTCCTAAAAGCGGCACAACAGCCAGCTGTGGGGGCTCACACCTGTAATCCCAGTACTTCGGGAGGCCAAGGCAGGTGGATAACTTGAGGCCAGGAGCTCAAGACCAGCCTGGCCAACATGGTGAAACCCTGTCTCTACTTTAAAAAAAAAAAAAGAAAATAGCTAGGCGTGGTAGTGCACGCTTGTAATCCCAGCTACTTGGGTGGTTGGGACGGGAGGATCACTTGAACCCAGGAGACAGAGGTTGCAGTGAGCTGAGATTGTGCCACTGGCCTCCAGCCTGGGCGACAGAGCAAGACTCTGTCTCAAAAAAAAAAAAAAAGTGGCACATTCTAGTCACAAGAAATGAACCATGAAGTCCCACCCACACTCGAGTGGGGAATGAAGTTTCTTTTGAAAGGAACAGCATCAAAGAATTTCAGGACATTTAAAAACCACTGCACATGGCTAGCTAGATCCTTGGACCATGTAGGCTTCAGCCTAACTTTATAAAAGTTTTATAAAAGTTGAATTTCCTGAAGTTGACTATTTTTTTAAAAATATTTCTTCTTAAAACAGTAGTGTAGTTGTGTTTTTCTGAGTAGCACAGTGGGATAGTTCTGGAATGTCAACCCTATTAGTTTAAAATTTCAAATAAAAGCTGTGGCAGTGCTCCCAAAACACCATTGCTCATGCAAAAATTGTGAAGAGTTAAAATTAACGAGTAGAATTCTAAAGAGAAAAAAACTGCTCTTTGGTGCAAGAAATAAAAATGTAGAGAAAAGAACAAGTCTGCCTCATGCAGTCCCTCAGAACATAAAATTTTTGAAATTCCGATTCAAGAAAGCATATTTGGACTTGTGTCTAAAATATAAAAAGAACTCTTATAACTCAGTAAATAGACAGATACCCAATGAAAAACAGGTAAAGTATCTAGGCCAGGCGCGGTGGTTCACACCTGTAATCCCAGCACTTTGGGAGGCAGAGGCAGGTGGATCACAAGGTCAGCAGTTCAAGACCAGCCTGGCCAAAATGATGAAACCCCATCTCTACTACAAATACAAAAATTAGCTGGGCATGGTGGCACATGCCTGTAATCCTAGCTGCTCAGGAGGCTGAGGCAGGAGAATTGCTTGAACCCAGGAGGTGGAGGTTGCAGTGAGCTGAGACTGTGCCACTACAGTCCAGCCTGGGCAACAGAGCGAGACTGTCTCAGGAAAAAAACAAAACAAAACAGTTAAAGTATCTAAATAGACCTTTCTCCAAAGAAGACATACAGGTGGCCAGTAAGCGTAGCGTCATTAATCACCAGGGCAACGCAAATCAGTTTCTGCCACGACTTCTTGAGTCTGCCCTTGTGTCATGGAAGCAGCTGTGGATGCAGTGTGTAAATGAATAGACATGGCTGTGTTCCAGTAAAACTTGCTTTCACAAACAGTTGGCAGCCAGATTTGACCCACTGGTTGTCGTTTGCCAACCCCAGTGTCTAAGCATAAAATGGAAGAAGTTTAAACAACCTGTTCCATCACCCCCATTATGTGTAAATTCTTCCTTCTTCCATCATAAACGCAGACAGTCCTGTTAAGCACAGTGGGAAAGTCAAAATGGGAATCAGGCGGGATGTTTCGCATAATTTGCAAATTTCAACACCTGTTGCCAGTTTTTTTACTTTTGCCTAGGACCTTTTCAAAAAGTGAAAATTTTCTGACTTAAGATTATCCTGAGTGTTTGTTAGATGAGACTATGTCACGAGTAGGCTTGACTAGGGGAAGTCTTTGGCTTTTATTCCTGAATGTTGTATACAGTTTCATAACTGCCACCCATGACCTCTGCTCAGTAGCTTCAAGAGAGTAGCTAACAGAAAAGTAAAATCTTTATGGTATGTAGTTGATGGTTATGAAATTGACTGATGTATTGAATTTTTGGTTCAACATCAGTCTTCACTTTAGAGAGTAGAAACATTCTAGAAAAATAAATTTTAAGGCCGGGCGCGGTGGCTCACGCCTGTAATCCCAGCATTTTGGGAGGCCGAGGCGGGCGGATCACGAGGTCAGGAGATCGAGACCATCCTGGCTAACATGGTGAAACCCCATCTCTACTGAAAAATACAAAAAATTAGCCGGGCGTGGTGGCACATGCCTGTAGTCCCAGCTACTCGGGAGGCTGAGGCAGGAGAATGGCATGAACCCGGGAGGCGGAGCTTGCAGTGAGCAGAGATCGTGCCACTGCACTCCAGCCTAGACGAAAGAGCAAGACTCCGTCTCAAAAAATAAATAAATAAATAAATAAATTTTGTCTTCTCATTGATTTCTATTATTAAAAAAAAATACTTAAAGCAAGCTAGCTTTTGGCTAGAGCTAAGCACAACAGAAAGGGTCACCTTTAAAAAGTCATCATTTTTGCACAAGATTATCAAAGGTGCATGCTACCCACAGTTTTCCCAAAGGCCATCTCTTTAACTGTGCATTTTTCAGTGCCTTTGGGGAAGCCGACTCTTGTTATAGAACCAAACTGGGGTCTGCTTGCCTGGTGCAGTAAGACCAGATATCCACACCACAGTTTGCAGCAGGAGTTTATTTGCAGGGTGCCAAGGAAGCAGAAGCTACAGACAAAATTATAAATCAGCGCATGGAGGATACCTTGCCCTAAAAGGGCAGGATATCTTGCAGCAAGGGCTTACAGGTTGTAGGTAGATTCAGAGACTGGTTTGCAATTGGTTAAGGAAGAGAAGTTTTGTTTAAAATTTTGAGAAAAGAGTATTAGCTCTGGTTCACGAGGCATGACCTCCTCTAGGCCTCTCAGGAGGAAATTAAGAACAAAATTAGAACAAATTTAGCAGTGGTCAGATTTCAGCCCCCAGGTCCTCCTTATCTTAGGTCTCCCTGCCGGTGGACCTGTTTGGTAAAGAGCCAGGTTTCTAAAAAACAACTCAGGGACGGATGTTAGGATGTTATCTTGGCCAGTGCGGTGGCTCACGCCTGTAATCTCAGCACTTTGGGAGGCCAAGGCAGGTGGATCACTTGAGGTCAGGAGTTTTGAGTCCAGCCTGGCCAGCATGGTGGAACACTGTCTCTACTAAAAATAACAAAAATTAGCTGGGTGTGGTGGCACTCGCCTGTAGTCCCACCTACTTGGGAGGCTAAGGCAGGAGAATCGCTTGAACCTGGGAAGTAGAGGTTGCAGTGAGCTGACACCATGCCACTGCACTCCAGCCTGGGTGACAGAGCGAGACTCCCATCTCAAAAAAAAAAAAGGAGACGGGGGGCGGGTGCAGTGGCTCATGCCTGTAATCCCAGCACTCTGGGAGGCCAAGGTGGGCAGATCACAATATCAGGAGATCGAGACCATCCTGGCTAACACGGTGAAACCCCGTCTCTACTAAAAATATAAAAAATCAGCCGGGCGTGGTGACGGGTGCCTGTAGTCCCAGCTACTTGGGAGGCTGAGGCAGGAGAATGACGTGAACCCAGGAGGCGGAGCTTGCAGTGAGCCGAGATGGCGCCACTGCACTCCAGCCTGGGCGAGTGCCCCAAACATCCTGAGTGTAGCTTCCTTGGCTATTGTTTTAGGTTTCTATCACCTTTTCTTTTCTTTCTTTTTTTTTTTTTTCTGTCACTCAGGCTGGAGTGCAGTGGTACAGTCAGCTCACTGCAGCCTCGACCTCCGGGGCTAAAGCGATCCTCCCACCTCAGCCTCCCTCCTGGGCCTCCTAAAGTACTGGGATTACATACGTGAGTCACAGTGCCTGGCCTCCTATTACCTTCTTGCTTATCAAGTTGCTTATTTACTTCTTAGGGCTAGCGAGGTGTGTGGAATTGCCCTCGAAAGAACTCAGGATTTTTCTTTCTTTCCATGCGTGGGGTCCCCACAGGCCCCTGAGAGGGGTCCCTGCCCCATCTCACTCGCCTTGTGTGTTCTGTGTCAATTCTCCGACAGATTAACCTGCACAGACATTCGGAGAAGTGTGGATCAGGGGAAGCAAAGTCGGCTGCTTCAGGAAAGGGAAGAAGAACAAGAAAGAGGAAGCAGACCATCCTGAAGGAAGCCACAAAGGGTCAGAAGGAAGCTGCGAAGGGATGGAAGGAAGCCGCGAACGGAGACGGTACTGATTTTACGCAGATTTGTTTTTACCGCCTCAGTGATTTTCTGGTTGTGACTATCCTGGGTGCCGAGTGTTACTGTCCAGGGGATGTGTCCAGAGCCCCTATTTGTCCACCAGTCGGTCCTGCAAGGTGGCTTGTGCCAGATCTCTCAGAATGGCAGTGAGCATAGCGTGAGAAAGTCAGTGTGAGAGCCCCACGCAGGTCCATGTGTGGCCCCCACCCCGAGGAGCCCTCTTCCATCGCATTGGACTGTCGCCTGCAGCTACAGGGACTGTCCTGGGCTGTTGCAATAGATGACCACAAGCTGAGTGGCTTGGGACAACAGAAATTGATTTTCAAATAGCTCTAGAGGCCAGAAATCCTCAATCCAGGTGTGGGCAGGGCCGCCCTCCCTCGGGGGACCTAGGGGAGGGTCCCTCCTAGCCTCTTGCAACTCTGGTGGCTCCACCATTCCTCAGTTTGTGGCCACATCCTCCAGTCTCTGCCTCTGTCTTTTCCTAGCTCTCTCCTCTCTTCTGTGTGTGGGCCTTCTCTTCTGCCTCTTACAAAGACATTTATCATTTAGGATTTAGAACTTCTTTTGAAAAAAGGAGGTCAGCTATGGGGCTTAGGATATGGACATATCCCTTTAGGGGTCACCATTCAGCCCCCACAGCCATCACAGTCTTCGTCCTCTGGCCTCTGGGAGCTGAAGTGAGTTCCCAGGTTGGCTGAAGCTGGGCCCTGTCCTGTGTGTCCTGTGAATGGCTCTGCTGTAAGAGGGGCCAACCTGACACCTGCACAGGTGAACACCTGCACTGTTCACCTTCTCCATTCCTTTCCTCTGAGAACCTTAGAACCGTAGATGACTGGAAACTGTCCAGACTTTTACGGCACAAGCAAATACCCCACGTTCTCATTCCAGACTCAGTCCCTGCATTGCGAATGTTCCCACAGATGACGGTCGCCCTCCACCTGCCTTTCCTCAAGAGTTACCAGATCAGATAGAGGATGCCCAGCTCAATCTGAATTTCAGATACACAGTGAATCATTGTTTAAATGTGTCCCATGCACTATTTGGGATATACTTATACTAAAAAAAATGTTCATCATGTATCTGAAACTCGGGTAGAAGCGGGCATCCTGCAGTCCTTCCCACTCCCTCTGTGTGGAGTCGGTTCTGGGTCCCTGGTTCCAGTCGCTCTGTCCACAGGCAGCACTCCCCCACTCTTTCTCTGCGTCTCACCATCTGGCAAAGCCCTAAGCCTGGGTGTGCCCCCGGCCTGCCTTTCCCATGCCTGCGTCACACAGCCAGGCCCTGCCTGGCAGGGAACTGGTGAGACTGAGGGGTCCCAGGCAGTGCCCCATCACTCAGCTCAGTTGGAACTCTCCAGAATTGTGCACACTGCCCATGCGCGGAGCACCCTCCTTTCTCCTCCAGGCATCGGCAATTACCACTGAGCTCATGCAAGTCCCTTCTTATCATGACCACAGGCCTCTGCAGGGGGCACTGTCATCCATCTGACAGGGAGAGAGCTCCATCACAGGGTGGGGACGAGCCTGCCCAGGTGCCCAGAGCCCTCATTCTGAACCTCAGCACCAATAACTTTTCCACTGATTTCCAGTGAGCACCTTCATCCCAAACTCCCAGCCCCTGCCTCCCTCCCTCTGGGTGGAGGCCTCACTGACTCTGCACCAGCAGATGGGCTCTGCTGCCCGCTGCCCCGGCATTCCTGTGTCATCCCACTCCCAGCTGGAGTTCCCGCCATCCTCCGCCAGCTCCTGGGGCTTCTCCATCCGGCCCCGCAGGGCACAGGGCTGTCCACAGTGCTCATAGGGGCAGATCAGAAGAAAAACCAGTGTCTCACTGATGGGTATCAAGCAATGAATGCAGCCTGCATTCCATTTGGATTCCTTTATACCAATGATGTTGTAAAATATCATTTTTCACATTTTTTAATGGAGGAAGGGGCTGGAGGAGCCACCCCTCCCATCTAAGGCCCCTTCTGACTCTGAGTCTGGAACCCACCCCCCAGATGAGCAGCTTTATGTCCCCCACCCACCCTCCTCAGCCAACTCACCCCTGCAGGCCTGCTCTTTCCTATCAGCCTTAAACATGCTCCGTATCTTCAGAAAAATAAAAGCACTTCGCGCGACCACCCACCTGGTCCTGCGCTGCCCCTCCTGCACACTTCACGCTTATTTGGTTCTTTAATAAGTGCCGGATTCCCACATGCAGGGCACCGCAGGCTCCTCCAAGGCGGGCCTGGCCCATCGGGTCCGTCCCCAGCTCCTGGCACTAGGCCTGGCCTCAGCATTGCTCGTTAAGTCACCACTTGTTGAATAAACGAGTGAATAGTAAGCACAGTCCTTTACTGGAGAAGACAGACCGGTGAAATTTGACCCACAGTTCATCAGCGCACATTGTAGAAACCCAAGGCCGGGCTACTGGCCACCTCGGCTCTGAGTTTAAGTCAGATCCTAAAGGGTCCCTGGAGAAACGTGACTTCCCCGCTGATTCCGCACCTAAAGGACACTTGTGCAGTTCTCCACACCTTGACACCTAAATGTAGTGGTTTTGTTTTGTTTTTGTTTGGTTTTGGTTTGGTTTTTGGTTTTTTGTTGTTGTTAATTATCTCTTAAACCTCCAGAAGACCAAATGATTTGGGGTGAATTTTGAACATGTCACCCTCAGTCGGTGACATTTTTGCTATGGAGAAGAGTTGAGAAGGTTCTTATAGGCTTAAAAACTGATGATAGGAATTGTACATATACAAACTTTTTTCATATTTTTGATGGTCAGCGGTCATATCCAAAGCAAGTGTGAATTAAGGCAAATAACCTGGCAAAAAATATGACTTAATCTGCATTTCAGGATCTTTGTAGCCTGTGTTATCCAGACAATTGTCTCACTTCTGTGTCTGCTCTGCCGGTACACCAGCACACAGCACCTCCAGTTCATTGACAGATCTCGATGGGTGACTATCTGATAGCACCAGTTTTTGTTTTTGTTTTTTTAAGACAGAGTTTCACTTTATACTCCAGGTGTGATCTCAGCTCACCGCAACCTCTGCCTCCTGGGTTCAAGTGATTCTCATGCCTCAGTCTCCGGAGCTGGGATTACAGATGCCCGCCACCACGCCTGGCTAATTGTTCTATTATTTTTAGTAGAGATGGGGTTTTACCATGTCTCTCACTCCTGACCTCAAGTGATCTGCCCGCCTCGGCCTCCCAAAGTGGTGGGATTACAGGCATGAGCCCCTGTGCCTGGCCTGATGGCACCAGTTTTGTGGATCTCAGTGTTTCTTTTCATATCCAAGAACTGGGTCTTCTTGTCTCCCTCCATCCACCAAAAAAAAAAAAAAAAAAATACTTCAAGGAAGCATGGACAAAAATATCCTCAGACAAGTTAGAACATGAGACAGTCACGTTCTTCAGTGTGGCGCTCTGTGGATGTTTGGGAAAGTAATTTGGAAAATGAGTAGAGCAGGGCTCCCCAACCCCCCAGCCGTGGACCTGTGGGCTGTTAGGAACTGGGCCTCCCAGCAGGAGGTGAGCAGTGGGTGAGGGAGTGAAGCTTTGTATTGACAGCCGCTCCCCATCGGGCGCATCACCGCCTGAGCTCCGCCTCCTGTCAGATCAGCGGCAGCGTTAGATTCTCATGAGTGTGAACCCTGTTGTGAACTCTGCACGTGCAAGGGATCTAGGCTGCACACTCCTTACGAGAATCTAATGCCCGACGATCTGTCACTGTCTCCCATCACCCCCAGATGGGACTGTCTAGATGCAGGAAAACAAGCCCAGGGCTCCCACTGATTCTACATTATGGTGAGCTGTATAATTATTTCATTATATATCACAATGTAATAATAAAAATAAAGTACATAAGAAATGTAATGTGCTTGAACCATCCCACAACCAACCCCCGCACCCCAACCAGTCCATGGAAAAATTGTCTTCCACAAGAGTGTTCCCTGGTACTGAAAAGGTTGGGGACAGTAGAGGGTTGAATATGGGTCGGCTCACAGTGGTCTGTTTTAAACCCACTAAGTTGTGCAGACTGGCTCCTGAGCTGCTGGAGGGGGAGCAGGTTATGGATACACGCCTGGCGCTGGCCCCAGCATCCCTAGCAGAACGCGCAACCCACAGAATCAGTACTCAGTATATGTCGATTGGCCAAAGGGACAAATGTCCTGCAGGCAACTGGCTTTCTTCATGTAGGCAGCATCATTACATGGGTACTGGGACAAGACTTAGGTGAGCAGCTCAGCCACAATATAAATCTCTGAGATCCGCCTCGATATAAATCTGTAAGATCCACATTCACCTATAGCAGCTGATGCCAGCTGGGAATGACTGTGTCCCCCCCCCACCCCCCCCCCGTCACCTTCAGGGGACACTGGCAATGTCTGGAGACATTTTTATGGTTTTTGCAGCTGGAGAGGAGGGTGCTACTGGCATCTAGTGGTAGAGGCCAGGGTCGCTGCTAACATCCTACAGTGCCCAGAACAGCGCCCTGCCCCCAGCAGACAGCTCTCTGGCCCCAAACGTCTGTAGCGCTGAGGCTAAGAAGCCCTGACTGAAGGCAGTAGTTGAGATCAGAATAGTACCATCTTATCAATTAGATTGTTTTCTAACATGCTTGCTGCCGTGTTCAAATTTAAGTGATGGTTTCCAAAATATATTTGCACAGTTTATAAATTCCAATTCCTTAGCTTTCTGATAAATTTGCTCATCCTGGACTTTTTCTCAAGAAGCTGCTGCTGAGGAGGCTTCCACCACGAAGGGAGAACAGTTCCCAGGAGAGATGTTTCCTGTCGCCTGCAGAGAAACCACAGCCAGAGTCAAAGAGGAAGTGGATGAAGGCGTGACCTGTGAAATGCTCCTCAACACGATGGATAAGTGAGAGGGATTCGGGTTGCGTGTTCACTGCCCCCAATTCCTAAAGCAAGTTAGAAGTTTTTAGCATTTAAGGTGTGAAATGCTCCTCAACACGATGGATAAGTGAGAGAGAGTCAGGTTGCATGTTCACTGCCCCTAATTCCTAAAGCAAGTTAGAAATTTTTAGCATTTTCTTTGAAACAATTAAGTTCATGACAATGGATGACACAAGTTTGAGGTAGTGTCTAGAATTGTTCTCCTGTTTGTAGCTGGATATTTCAAAGAAACATTGCAGGTATTTTATAAAAGTTTTAAACCTTGAATGAGAGGGTAACACCTCAAACCTATGGATTCATTCACTTGATATTGGCAAGGTGGCCCACAATGAGTGAGTAGTGATTTTTGGATATTTCAAAATAGTCTAGACCAGCTAGTGCTTCCACAGTCAAAGCTGGACATTTTTATGTTGCATTATATACACCCATGATATTTCTAATAATATATGGTTTTAAACATTAAAGACAAATGTTTTTATACAAATGAATTTTCTACAAAATTTAAAGCTACCATAATGCTTTTAATTAGTTCTAAATTCAACCAAAAAATGTTTTACTCTTATAAAAAGGAAAACTGAGTAGGAAATGAAATACTAGATTAGACTAGAAAATAAGGAATAAATCGATTTTACTTTGGTATAGGAGCAAGGTTCACCTTTAGATTTTTGTATTCTCTTTTAATTATGCTCCTTGGCAGGTATGAAATTGCCCTGGTTACATTCCATTATTGCTTATTAGTATTTCACTCCATAACCCTTTTTTCTGCTAAAACTACTCTTTTTATATTTGTAAAATAATTGGCAGAGTGAGAAGAAACATAAAATCAGATAAGGCAAATGTGTACCTGTAAGGAATTTGTACTTTTTCATAATGCCCAGTGATTAGTGAGTATTTCCCTTTTGCCAGTTGACAAGATTTTTCCACCCTCGAGCAGCGTGAGAGATGCCTCTTTAACACTTGAAATTCATTTCTATCTGGATACAGAGGCAGATTTTTCTTCATTGCTTAGTTGAGCAGTTTGTTTTGCTGCCAACCTGTCTCCACCCCTGTATTTCAAGATCATTGATAAGCCCTAAATTCAAATTCTTAAGATATGGACCTTTTATTGAAAATATCACAAGTTCAGAATCCCTATACAATGTGAATATGTGGAAATAATTTCCCAGCAGGAAGAGCATTATATTCTCTTTGTACCAGCAAATTAATTTAACTCAACTCACATGAGATTTAAATTCTGTGGGCTGTAGTATGCCATCATTGTGACTGAATTTGTGCAATGGTTTCTTAATTTTTTTACTGTTATTTAAAGATGTTTTACATAATTCAATAAAATGAAATGACTTAAAATTGCTATATTTGTTATATGTCAGCATTGGTCTTTAAAAACATCTTCTTTGTCTGGAGAGAATGTGGAGAAATTGGAACCGTTGTGCACTGTTGGTGGGAATGTTAAATGGTGCAGCCACTGGGGAAAGCAGTATGGCAGTTTCTCAAAAAAAAAAAAAAAAAAATGGAAATAGCATTAGTATCTGACCCACCAATCCCACTTCCAGATATACCGTATACCCAGAAGAACTAAAAGCAGAGTCTGAAAGAGGTATTTGCACACCTATGTTCATAGCAGCATTTTTCAAAATAGTCAAAGATGAAAACAACCCAAATTCCATGGACGGGTGAATGGGTAAACAAAATGTGGTATATACATGCAGTGGAATATTATGTAGCCTTCAAAAGGAGGGAGACCCTCACACATGCTACAACATGGGGGAACCTTGAGGACGTTATGCTGAGTGAAATCAGCTAGTCACAAAAGGACAAGTATTATATGATCTTACTTATAGGAGGTATCTAGAACAGTCAGAGTCATAGAGACAGACGGTAAAGTGATGTTTGCCAAGCACTGAGGGGTGAGGGAGAATGGAGAGTTAGTGTTTAGTGGACACAGTTTATTTGGGATGAAGAAAGAGTTCTGGAGATCAGTCATGGTGATGGCCACACAACAGTGTGAATCTACCTAATCATTCCACTGAACCATACATTTAAAAATAGCTAAAATGGTAAATTTTATGTTGTGTTAGTCCTTTCTCACATTGCTATAAAGAAATACCTGAAACTGGGTAATTTATAAAGAAAAGAGTTTTAATTGACTCATAGTTCCGCAGGCTGTACAGGAAGGATGATGTTGGTATCTGCCTGGCTTCTGGGGAGGCCTCAGGAAACTTACAATCAAGGCAGAAGGCGAAGAGGGAGTAGGCGCGTCACATGGTGAAAGCAGGAGCGAGAGAGGGGGAGGCGCCACACTCCTCTGAACGACCAGATTCCTTGAGAACCGCCACTGTCATGAGGACAGCACCAAGCGGATGGTGCTAAATCATTCCTAAGAAACCGCCCCCGTGATCCAGTCACCTCCTACCAGGCCCCACCTCCAACACTGGGGATTACAATTCAACATGAGCTTTGGCCAGGGACAAATATCCAAACTATATCATGTATTTTACTACAACCAAATGTATGTTAATTTCAAAAACAGATAACATAAATATGTTTGAAAACGCAAGCCAAGTTGGTATCTAAACACTGTTTTAAATAAATAAATAAAACTCCTAGGCCGGGTGCAGTGGCTCACTCCTGTAATCCCAGCACTATGGGAGGCCGAGGCAGGTGGATGACCTGAGGTCAGGAGTTTGAGGCCAGCTTGGCCAACATAGTGAAATCCCATCTCTGTTAAAAATATAAAATTTAGCCGGGCGTGATGGCAGGTGCCTGTAATCCCAGCTACTTGGGGGGCGGAGGCAGGAGAATCACTTGAACCCGGGAGGCGGAGGTTGCAGTGAGCCGAGATTGCGCCACTGCACTCCAGCCTGGGCAATAGAGTGGGACTCCGTCTCAAGACGAAAGCTCCTATAAGCACACTTTTATAAATAGTTGCAGTGTTTCGTGTGTGCAACACCTGTTGAGATGTAGAACAAAATTCAGATGAGATGATCAATACCTACTCAGTTACGTGCGTGACTCTCACCCACACCTGGCAAGAAGGTGAAACACCTGGTCCTCAAGTGCAGTTAGTGCTTTTGATACCAAAATAGATGCAGTGACAATAGTGCCCGCAAGAGGGCAGTCGCTTCTGTCTTTTCCGATATTGAGACAGGTTCACTATTCGAGAGTAGGAAGCACGGAAAGTTATAGCAAAGTCTTGGCGATTTTATTAATTCCGCGATACAGAACGAGAACATTTTTTCCTTGGCAAGGAAGAGAAGGGACCTTTGCAAAACCTGGGAGTGAGGACACCAGTTGGCTCTGAGTTCGTGAATGCTTGGTGAGTGACATGCTTTTGCTTAAAATAGTTTTGAGATCCAGCAGGAAATAATTCCGGAATGTACACCTCTTGCACAGTGTAACATCTCTGTTTTGCAGGGAGGGGGTGTTTAAATTACAACATTGTTTGACAACAGTTTTACTATATAAAGGATGGCTTTTAAACAAACCTAAGACCTGGCTGATGCATGTTAACAGCCTCTATTGTTTGAGATCAGTCACTGAAAAGGCTGGATGGGCGTGATGAAACTGAAGTCATTTTATATGATAAAGTTTGACAGCCTACCTTTTGAAAATGGCAAGATATTTTCCAGATATTATTTCCAGTATAAATGTTTAATTTTTTTTCTGATAACCATTGAATAGTCCCTGTAAATGCATTCTTTATGACTATTAGTCACTAAAGGGCATTGTTAGTTCTGCTTAAATATGTTCCATTCAAGCCTCGGGACATTTGGCTTATCAAATCGACTTTCCGCATCTCCTCATGCTTTCACTGCAGTTTATTTTTAATTGACAGTATCGGATAAACACAGATTTTAAGTTTAAGGAGTGAAATGCTCCTCAACACGATGGATAAGTGAGAGAGAGTCAGGTTGCATGTTCACTGCCCCCAATTCCTAAAGCAGCCTAGTTTATGCTATTTTTAGTAACTTTTGAACCATTTCCAAGGCATGGGTGTGATTATGAACCTGGTTCCTTTAAATCATTATCTTTTAAAGTATGCATAATTTAGCATTTTAAGATGCATATGTTTATTTTTCTGTGCATGGCAGATAGATTACTGTATGGGATGCTCACTGCGCTTTGTCAGGACAAAAAGTGCCATCAACAAACTTAATTAGGCTGGGTCTGGTGGCTCATGCCTGTAATCCCAGCACTTTGGAAGACCAAGGTGGGCAGGGTTGCTTGAGTCCAGGAGTTAAAGACCAGTCTGGGCAACATGGTGAAACCATGTCTTTACAAAAAAAAAAAATATATATATATATATATACACACACACACACACACACACACACACACACACACACACACACACACAAATTAGCCAGATGTGGTGGTATGCACCTATAGTCCTAGCTACTCAGGGGGCTGAGGTGGGAGGATCACCTGAGCCAGGGAGGTTGAGGCTACAGTGAGCCTTAATGACCTCACTGCACTTCAGCCTGGGCAGCGGAATGAGACCCTGTCTCAAAAAAATAAAAAATCTTAATGGAGACCAGGCACCCAGCACTTTGGGAGCAGAGGCAGGAGGATAGCTTGAGCCCAGGAGCTCAAGACCAACATGG
Source organism: Homo sapiens (assembly GCF_000001405.40). Classification (NCBI taxonomy): domain Eukaryota; kingdom Metazoa; phylum Chordata; class Mammalia; order Primates; family Hominidae; genus Homo; species Homo sapiens. The sequence continues at coordinate 57,493,914 of NC_000020.11, read as the reverse complement.
GCAACATAGGGACACCCCATTGCTACAGAAAATAAAAATTTAAAAAATCAGCTGGGTGCAGTGACAAGTGACTGTGGTCCTAGCTACTCAGGAGGCTGAGAGGAGCTATTAGCAGCCTTTCTATATGAACTCTGCAGCCAGCTTTCATCCACTGTGGCACAATTAAAGAGTTTTTTTGTTTGAGATAGGGTCTTGCTGTGTCACTCAGGCGGGAGCGCAGTGGTGCAAGCAGCCTCAGGCACTGCAGACTTAACCTCCTGCTTTCACAGATGTTCAAAAAACCGGAGATTCTCTCAGTAGCCAGGCCCTTAGCATTTTATTCTGGGTGGTTCAACCCAAAAGAGCAATTCAGCATCTCTCTGCTGGCCTGTCACCCAGTCTTTGTTCCAGAGCCTCTGGAAGTGACACATGACCCATGCTGTGGAATTTGCCAGGCCTCCTCCACGGAGTGACCAGCACAATTGCATGCCCAGGTGACATGGGAGGGGAGCCAACGAGACCCCAGGTTTGCAGTGGCCAGGCAAGGCCCGGGGGACGGGAGGGAGGCAGCAAGAAGACTTGGGGCCTGACTACACGGTTTCCTCTTCCACCTGGAGGCAGACGCGGTCACGTGGAGTGTGGGCAGGATTCATCAACTCATCTGTCTGACTCTGAGAGTTTGTTTGGAGCTTGTTTGGTCTTATATCTGGGTAATATTCCACCTTTGGTGATACGGACCCATTTCCAAATAAGAGCAACTGGTGCTTTTTAAAAATTAGCCTTACCATGTATTGCCATGAGTAGGATGACTTCAGACGTTTGGATGGATGGATGCAGACAGGTAGATAGTTCCTGATAGATATGTTTTTTTAATTCCATAAAGAATGAGAAATCAGTCGTGAGAAGGCGAGGCCTCCACTTGGGCAAACAGAAGTGAGTTTCCTCACGCAGCTTTTGAGCTCAGTGAAGTGCAAAGCAGAACTCTTCTTAGTGCAACTTTCCAACAATGCATTGTTTTACATATTTTTAAGTCTTTAAAAAACTTTTCTGAGATATAACTTACATACAGTAAAATTCCCCCTTTTAAGTATCTATGAGTTTTGACAAATGAATGGTCACGTAATCACCGCTTCAACCAAGACATGGGGCACCTCCATCACCCCAGGCATCCCACTGTGCTCCCAAAATTAGAACAGGGATCCCCTTTTTAGGGGCCTGTGGACCCCACACATAAAAAGCCCTGAGTTCCTTCAGAAAGAAATCCAGACACCTAGCTAGCCCCAAAAGTAAAGAACTTACTAAAACAAAATAATAAGCTAAGACAATAACTAAAAAAGTTAAAGTCCCCAAAATGTTTACTTTCCCTGTAAAACCCAAAGACACACCTTAACGTATGTTACTGAGTCGTTCAAAACCTCAGAACCCCTCTAAGATCTCCCGTCAGACAGATCCAGACACATAAACCTCAAATTTAAGAAAAGTAAAAACTAATCTTTATTCATCATCCTTTGTTCTAAGCGGTCACTCCCCCTAGCCAGTGAACATTTTTCTACTGACCCCAGATCGTTAAACAAAGCTTCTCTTCCTTAACCAATTGCAAATCAGAAAACCTTTGAATCTGTCTACAACCTGTAAGCCTACACTTGAAGACATGCTGGCCCTTTTAAGTCTAAACCAACCAACAATAGAACCTTCTATATTAATTTATAATTTTGCCTGTAACTGTTACTTTCCACCCACCTTTAAAAATCCTTACCTGCAAGTCATCGGGGAGGTCAGAATTTAAACATTCAGCTGCCTAGTTCTCCATACTTGACACCCTACAATAAAAACCTTTCTTCCTATCACTGGAAACCTTGGTGTAAATGTCCAGTTTAACTATGGCAAACAGACCCCAGTTTGGTTCTGTAATACTCCTTTGTAGTCAAGCACTACCCCTACTCCCAGCCCCCAGCACCGGATTTTGCTTCAATTGTCCTATATAGTTTTATCTTTTCCAGAATGTCACATACCTGGAATCCTACACTATATATTTGCATGTGGCTTTTTTCATTGAACAAATGACTTCAAGATTCTTCCTGCTCTTTGGTGGCTCACTGTTCCTTTCTTTTGATTGTTGAGTGATATTCCATTGTCTGATCGCTCCACAATTGCTTTATCATTCACCAGTTCAAGGACGTTGGCTTTCTTTCCAATTTGAGAGGTTTATGAATTAAGCCATTATAAACATTTGCATACAGGTTTTGTGTAAACAGACATTTTTCTTTCCCTTGGGCAAATACCTAGGGGTGAGATTTCTAAGTCACTAGGTAGATGTATGTTTATACGAAATTGCCAAACCGTCTTCTGACGTGAATGCACCACTCTGCACTCCCACCAGCAAGGTCCAAGCATGCCCACAGCCCCATCAGAAATATTCGCCACCACTTGGCATTGTCAGGCTTTTTTTTTTTTTTCTTTTTTTAGACAGCGTCTCATTCTGTCACCCAGGCTGGAGTGCAGTGGCATGATCTCTGCTGGCTGCAACCTCTGCCTCCTGGGTTCAAGCAATTCTCCTGCCTCAGCCTCCCGAGTAGCTGGGACTACAGGTGTGTGCCACCACGCCCAGCCAATTTTTGTATTTTTAGTAGAGACGGGGTTTCACCATGTTGGCCAGGCTGGTCCTGAACTCCTGATCTCAAGTAATCTACCCGCCTCGGCCTCCCAAAGTGCTGGGATTACAGGCGTGAGCCACCACGCCCAGTCACACTTTTGTTTTCGTTTTTATTTTTATTTTATTTATTTATTTTTCTGTTTATTTATTTATTTATTTTGAGACGGAGTCAGGCTCTGTCTCCCAGGCTGGAGTGCAGTGGCTGTGATTTCGGCTCACTGCAAACTCTGCCTCCCAGGTTCACGCCATTGTCCTGCCTCAGCCTCCCGAGCAGCTGGGACCACAGGAGCCCGCCACCACGCCCGGCTAATTTTTTTTTTTTTTGTATTTTTAGTAGAGACAGGGTTTCACCATGTTAGCCAGGATGGTCTCGATCTCCTGACCTCGTGATCCGCCCACCTCAGCCTCCCAAAGTACTGGGATTACAGGCGTGAGCCACTGCACCCGGCCTTGTTTTTGTTTTTAATTTTAGCCTTTCTACTACTCATGTAGTGAAATCTCACTGCAGTTTTAATTTGCATTTCACTAATAGCCAATGATTTGGAAAATCTTTTCACATGCTTATTTGCCATCTGCAGATGGTTTCTGTGAGGTGCCTGTTCATAGCTTTTGACATTTTGTACTCTGGGTTGTTTGAGAGTTATTTATGTATTCTGGACACAAGTTCTTTATCAGACATATGTTTTGTAAATATTTTCTTCCAGTCTGTGTCTTGTCTTTTCATTCATGTAATGGTGTCTTTCAAACAGCAAATTTTTTTTTCAATTTTGATGAAGTCTAATTTATCTGCCGGTTTTCTTTGATGAATCATTCCTTTTTTTTTTTTTTTTTTTTTTTTTTTGAGACAGAGTCTCGCTCTGTCGCCCAGGCTGGAGTGCAGTGGCATGATCTCAGCTCACTGCAAGCTCCGCTTCCCAGGTTCACGCCATTCTCCTACCTCAGCCTCCCGAGTAGCTGGGACTACAGGCGCCCGCCACCGCACCCGGCTAATTTTTTGTATTTTTAGTAGAGACAGGGTTTCACCATGTTAGCCAGGATGGTCTCAATCTCCTGACCTTGTGATCCACCCACCTTGGCCTCCCAAAGTGCTGGGATTACAGGCGTGAGCCACCACGCCCAACCAATGAATCATTCTTTTGATGTCATTATCTAAGAAATCTTTTGCATAACTCAAGGTCGCGAAGGTCTTTTCCCAGGTTTACTTCTGGAAGTTTTATAATGTTATGTTTTACATTTAAGTCTGTGATTCCTTTTGAGCCAAATAGCGCTTATGACCCAAGGTGTGGATCAAGGTTCGCTTTTCCACACATGGTTGATGTATTGTTTTAGCACCATCTATTTTAAAAACTATCCCTTGTCCCTTGACTTCTCTTCGCAGCTGTATTAAAATGTATTGACAGGCACGGTGGCTCACGCCTGTAATCCCAGCACTTTGGGAAGCCGAGGAGGACAGATCGCCTGAGCTCAGGAGTTTGAGACCACGCTGGGCAACATGGTGAAACCTCATCTCTACTAAAATACAAAATATTATCTGGATGTGGTGGCGCACACCTGTAGTCCCTGCTCCTCAGAGGCTGAGGCACAAGAATGGCTTGAGCCATGGAGGCGGAGGTTGTCGTGAGCCAAGATCACACCACTGCACTCCAGCCTGGGCTACAGTGAGACTTCGTCTCAAAAAAAAAAAAAAAAGTATTGGCCACATGTGTGGGTGTTGTAGCTCCATTCTTTCCCAAGCTAGTCCTTCATCAGAACCAGGCTGTCTTGACAGCGTATAGTCAGCCTCAAACTCAGATAATGCAAGTCCTCCAGCTTTGTTCTTCTTTTCTAAAGTTGTTTTTGGTGATTCTGAATCCTTTGCCTTTCCATCTAAATTTTCAAATCCACTTGTGAATTTATGCAAAAAGAAAATGTTGCTGAGATCTTTGGGGGAATGAATGTATAGATCAATTTGGAAAGAATTTTACACTTTAACAATACTGAGTCTCCCAATCCGTGAACAGAAGAGTGTATCCCTCCAATCATTTAGGCCTTCTTTGATTTCTTTCATCATTGTTTTGTATCTATCGTAGACATCTTGCACAGATGTTGGATCTGTATCAAAGTTTGTCATGGATTTTCCTTTGGGGAGAGTGCTATTATAAATCGTACTGTTAGCCACTGCAGTACATTGAGCTCCATAGAGACAGCGCCGGGGCAAGTGAGAGCCGTACGGGCACTGGGCGACTCTGTGCCTCGCTGAAGAAAAATAACTAAACATGGGCAAAGGAGATCCTAAGAAGCCGAGAGGCAAAATGTCATCATATGCATTTTTTGTGCAAACTTGTCGGGAGGAGCATAAGAAGAAGCACTCAGATGCTTCAGTCAACTTCTCAGAGTTTTCTAACAAGTGCTCAGAGAGGTGGAAGACCATGTCTGCTAAAGAGAAAGGAAAATTTGAGGATATGGCAAAGGCGGACAAGACCCATTATGAAAGACAAATGAAAACCTATATCCCTCCCAAAGGGGAGACAAAAAAGAAGTTCAAGGATCCCAATGCACCCAAGAGGCCTCCTTCGGCCTTCTTCCTGTTCTGCTCTGAGTATCACCCAAAAATCAAAGGAGAACATCCTGGCCTGTCCATTGGTGATGTTGCGAAGAAACTGGGAGAGATGTGGAATAACACTGCTGCAGATGACAAGCAGCCTGGTGAAAAGAAGGCTGCGAAGCTGAAGGAAAAATACGAAAAGGATATTGCTGCATATCAAGCTAAAGGAAAGCCTGAGGCAGCAAAAAAGGGAGTTGTCAAAGCTGAAAAAAGCAAGAAAAAGAAGGAAGAGGAGGAAGATGAGGAAGATGAAGAGGATGAGGAGGAGGAAGATGAAGAAGATGAAGAAGATGATGATGATGAATAAGTTGGCTCTAGCGCAGTTTTTTTTCTTGTCTTAAAGCATTTAACGCCCCTGTACACAACTCACTCCTTTTAAAGAAAAAAATTGAAATGTAAGGCTGTGTAAGATTTGTTTTTAAACTGTACAGTGTCGTTTTTTGTATGGTTAATACACTACCAAATGTGTCTTTAGATGGCCCTGTCCTGGTGGTATTTTCAATAGTCACTAACCTTGCCTGGTAGAGTATGGGGGTTGTAAATTGGCATGGAAATTTAAAGCAGGTTCTTGTTGGTGCGCAGCACAAATTAGTTATATATGGGGATGGTAGTTTTTTCATCTTCAGTTGTCTCTGATGCAGCTTATACGAAATAATTGTTCTGTTAACTGAATACCACTCTGTAATTGCAAAAAAAAAAAGTTGCAGCTGTTTTGTTGACATTCTGAATGCTTCTAAGTAAATACAATTTTTTTATTAAAAAAATAAAAAAATAAATCGTACTGTTTTTGCAATTTCAATTTCCAATTCTTTGGTGCTAGTATAGTTAATTTTTGTTCATTGACCTTGTAACCTGCAGCCTGGCTAAACTCACGTGTGAGTTGAAATTGTTTATTTGTAGATTCCTTGGGGTTTTCTGTATAGATAATCATGCCATCTGCAAATAGAGACTGTTTTATTTTCCCGTTTCCAAACTGTATGTGTCTGTTTTAATTTTCTTGCCATATGGCACTTGCTAGGACCTCGGACATGATGTTGAACGGGAGTGCGGTGAGCGGACATCTTTGCCTTGTTTCCAGTTTAGTGGAAGATCATTGAGTTTTTTGCCATTAAGTATGATGCTAGCTGTAAGTTTTTGTAGGTACTCTTTTTTACATTTTATTTCAAGAGTTTTTGGGGAACAGGTGATTTTTGGTTTCATGGATGAGTTCTTTGGTGGTGATTTCTGAGATTTTGGTGCACCCATCACCTGAGCAGCATACACTGTACCCAATATGGAGTCCTTTATCCCTCACCCCTCTTTCACCCTTCCTCCCGACCGAGTCCCCAAAGACCATTGTATCATTCTTATGCCTTTGTGTCCTCATAGCTTAGTTCCCACTTATAAGTGAGAACATAACGATATTTGGTTTTCCATTCCTGAGTTACTTCACTTAGAATAATGGTCTCCAACTCCATCCATGTTGCTATGAATGCCATTATTTCATTCCTTTTAATGGCTGAGTAGTATTCCATGGTATATATGTACCCCATTTTGTTTATTCACTCATTGGTTGATGGGCATTTAGGCCAGTTCTATATTTTTGCAGTTGCAAATTGTGCTGCTGTAAACATGCATGTGCAACTGTCTTTTTCATATAATGACTTCTTTTCCTCTGGGTAGATACCTAGTACTGGGATTGCTAGATCAAATGGTAGTTCTACTTTTAGTTCTTTAAGGATTCTCTGTACTAGTTATACTAGTTATACTAGTTTACATTCCCACCAGCAGTAAAGTGTTCCCTTTTTACCACATCTACACCAACATCTATTTTTTTTATTTTTTAATGATGGCCATTCTTGCAGGAGTAAGGTGGCATCTCATTGTGGTTTCAATTTGTATTTCTCTGATAATTAGCAACGTTGAGCATTTGTCATGTTTGTTGGCCATTTATATATTTTTTTGAGAATTGTCTATTCATGTTCTTTACCCACTTTTTGATGGGATCATTTGTTTTTTTCTTGCTGATTTGTTTGAGTTCCTTGTAGATTCTGAATATTAGTCGTTTGTCACATGTATAATTTACAAATATTTTCTCCCACTATGTGGGTTGCCTGTTTACTCTGCTGATTATTTATTTTTCTGTGCAGAAACTTCTTGGTTTAATTAAATCCCATCTATTTATTTTTGTTTTTGTTGCATTTGCTTTTGGGTTCTTGGTTATGAACTCTTTGCCCAACCCAATGTCTAGAAGAGTTTTTCCAATATTATCTTCTAGAATTGTTACGGTTTCAGGCCTTAGATTTAAGTCTTTGATCCATCTTGAGTTGATTTTTGTATAAGGTGGGAGATGAGGGTCCAGTTTCATTCTTCTACATGTGGCTTGCCAATTATCCTGGCACCATTTGTTGAATAGGGTGTCCTTTCCCCACTTTATGTTTTTGTTTGATTTGTCAAAGGTCAGTTGGCTTTAAGTACTGGACTTTATTTCTTTATTCTCTGTTATATTACATTGGTCTACATACCTGTTTTTATACCAGAATCATGCTGTTTTGATAAGGATGGCCTTGTAGTATAGTTTGAAGACTATGTAATATGTGCCTCCAGAGTTGTTCTTTTTGCTTAGTATTGCTTTGGCTATGCAGGCTCTTCTTGAATGTAAATGGCCTAAATACTCCACTTAAAAGATACAGAATGGCAGACTGGCTAAAAATCTACCAACCAAGTATCTGCTGTCTTCAAGAGACTCACCTAACACATAGAACTTAAGGTAGAGGGGTGGAAAAAGATATTCCATGCAAATGGAAGCCAAAAGTAAGCAGGAATAGCTATTCTTACGTCAGACAAAACAGACTTAAAAACAACAACAGTGGGGAAACAAAAGACAAAGAGGGACATTAGATAATGGTAAAAGGATGAGTCCAACAGGAAAATATCACAATTCTAAATATATATGCATCTAACACTGGAGCTCCCAAATTCATAAAACAATTACTACTAGACCTAAGAAATGAGTTCGATGGCAACACAAAATAGTAGTGGGGGACTTCAGTACTCCACTGACAGCACTAGACATGTCGTCAAGAAAGAAAGTCAGCAAAGAAACAATGGACTTAAACTATACCCCAGAACAAATGGACTTAACAGCTATTTACAGGACACTCTACCCAACAACTGCAGAATACATACTCTCTTCACCAGCACATGGAACATTCTCCAGGACAGACCATATGATAGGCCACAAAACAAGTCTCAATAAATTGAAGAAAATCAAAATCATATCAAGTACCCTTGTAGGTACTCTTTATCAGATTAAGGACATGTTTTAAAATTTCTATTTCTTTACTCTAGTTATTTTCTCTTTACTCTCTACATACTTATATTTACTTATTTCTATTTTATTTAAATGACATATCTTCATATTTAAAATAGGTGTTTATTATTTATACAGTTTCTTTTTCATCCAGTCCAACCATCTTTGTGTTTCAATTGGTATATTTGGACCACTTACATGTAATGTTATCATTTCTGTAGTTGTATTGTTTTCTCTTTTTCCTTGCCACTTTTTGGATTATTTTTTATGGCCCATCAGAGCCTCGGCTGTCTGCTTTTCCCCAGGAGTGACCACGGGCTGTCCTCTGTGGCTGTGGTGAGTATGGGAGTACAGTGCTTCACACAGCCTGGCACAGCAGTCAGCAGAGGTGAGCCGCTGGTAAGTGCTCTCCTCCGATAACCCGCTAACAGTGGACTTTCAGCTACGCTGTACTCTGTCTGGGGAAGCAACTCCAAGCCGTGATGAACATCAGAGCCCAGAGCAGGCTGCAGTGAGCAAGCTGGGCAGGACTGAAGTCAGTGGGGTCTTTTGTTAGGACCCAGCACGCTGGCAAACAGACTTCCACTGCTCTTGATGGTATCCTTTTTGTAAGTGGTAGGAAGATACACATAAAATTGGCCGTCTTACCGGGCGCGGTGGCTCAAGCCTGTAATCCCAGCACTTTGGGAGGCCGAGGCAGGCAGATCACGAGGTCAGGAGATGGAGACCATCCTGGCTAATACAGTGAAACCCCGTCTCTACTAAAAAAAAAAAAAAAAAAAAAAAAAAAAAAAATTAGCCAGGCGTGGTGGTAGGTGCCTGTAGTCCTAGCTACTCAGGAGGCCGAGGCAGGAGAATGGTGTGAACCCAGGAGGCGAAGCTTGCAGTGAGCCGAGATCACGTCACTGCACTCCAGCCTGGGCGACAGAGCAAGACTCCATCTTAAAAAAAAAAAAAAAGAAAATTGGCCATCTTAGCCATGATACGTACAGTTCAGGGGTGTTAGGCACATTCCCCTTGTTGTACTCCCATCTCCAGAACTCTTTTCATCTTGCCGAACTGAAACTCTGCCCCCATTAAACATTAACTCCGTATCCCCCTCCACCCAGCCCCTGGAGACCTCCATTCTCCTTCCCATCCCTTATGAATTTCACTACTCTATGTGCCTGGGTTATTTCACTGAGCATAATTCACTGAGGTTCATCCATGCTGTAGCCTGTGTCAGAATTTTTTTACCTTTTTAAGGGTGAATAATTTTCCTTTGCATGAGGGGGATCACATTTTGTTTATCTGTTTATCTATTGATGACACTTGGGTTGGACAGTTCTCATTTTTAAAACTTGAAGTTTAATTAAGTGAGAATGAATCGACACTGGAGGGAGAAAGGATCTCCTCAGAGGTGAGCGAAAAGCCCCCCACTCCCAGTGCACATGCCCCAAGGACCACAGCACTGTTGAGAGGTCACCAGAACATGACAGAAGACAAACTGAAATCACGGCAGTGCCTCTCCCCTCTTGCCAGGGTGGGGCTCTGTATTTGCATTGACCAGGACAGGGTCATCCAGGGGCCCAACTCTGAGAATGTTCCCGACCTGTCTGGAGCCATGCCCCCTCCTGCTCTGCTCCATCCTCCCGCAAAGCAGCAGCCGGATGAAACAAAGCTCATGTTTCACCAGGCCCCATGGTAAATGCTATTGGAACCCCCAAAAGTTTTCTGAAGACTGGGTTTGTTCTTATTACTTAAGGTTGATCTAATCCATCCCAAGACTTGCATTGCTGAAACAGACTGTAGCAGAAACACATGATTCTCACCCATTTAGGGATTTTTCGCACGTCCAGACACATGACAGTTAGCGTATTAGTCGGTTTTCACACTGCTGATAAACACATACCCGAGACTGGAAAGTAAAAGTGGTTTAATTGGACTTACAGTTCCACATGGCTGGGGAGGCCTCACAATCATGGCGCGAGGTGAAAGACACTTCTTACTTGGCGGCGGCAAGAGAACATAAGGAAGATGCAAAAGCGGAAACCCCCGATCAAACCGTCAGATCTCATGAGACTTATTCGCTACCATGAGAACAGTATGGGGGAAACTGCCCCCATGATTCAAATGATCTCCCACCATGTCCCTCCCACAACACGTGGGAATTATGGGAGTATAATTCAAGATGAGATTCAGGTGGGGACACAGAGCTAAAGCATACCAGTTAGTAAATGACAGTAGAGAAGCCCACTTTCCCATAAGTCAGCGAGCCTGTCTTTATAAATGGCTCAAAGGTTTCCTTCTAACTAAAAAAAGGGGAGAAAAAAGGGTCCCTTTTGTCCCTGACATATGAAAGCCAGCATTTTCTGAGGCAGCTGCATTCCCTGATTGGGGCCGAGGGCCGGACCCTGGGCTCCTCCCTTCCTTGACCCTCCCTGCCCGCGCCAGGCCTCGGGTTCTCTGGGAAATTGAATTGGATCCTGGTTTCCCATCAAATCCAGCAACTGCCCATCAGCTCAGGATGCCTTCCATAACTATCTGTAGCATTTGCTCCCCAAATTTACTTAAATAATTTTAAAAGAAAACTCTACTGTTACCAAAAATGGAAAATCATTTTCTTAATAAGCAGGAGGGATCCCCCAAAGTGAATGCATTGAACCCTCCTCGTGTCTTTAACTTCTGTTGGAGGCTGGGACACAGGAGGCTGGCTGCCAGTGGAGCCTGCCCGAGTGTGAAAGTCAGGCTCACCCCTAAATAAGAAACCTCTTTGTAATCACAAGGATTGGAAAATAACTGGAAAGGGCAGACCTGCCTCAGCTCGGGACTCTATGTTTTTAAGTACTGTGCCCATGCACTTCCACAATTCATCTTGCAAGGCTGCAAGCCACTTAGAAATGAGTGCTGAAAAAACAGAAGCCTTGAACGTGAGGGATGCGGGCTACAGGGCGTTTCTGTCCAGCCACCTGCACGGCCTTCATTCAGCTGAGGTGTCCGTGAGCACTGCACAAGAAGTACCAATTACAAGGCCAGTCCAGGGCTCCGGAGTCAAATTAAAACTGTGTCCCAGTTCCTGCCCCACCGCTAGGTGACCTTAAGCAAGGCCCTAGACTTCTGGGAGCCCGATTTCCTCAAGCCAATCAATACACGTTAATTGAATGCGCTTCCCAGCTACCAGGGAAATGGGGAGGAGAAAATGTGGTTTTCACCATAAGGATGCCGAAGACCTCTCCTTGCCCTCTCCTCCCCCTCTCCTCCCCCTCTCCTCCCCCTCTCCTCCCCCTCTCCTCCCCCTCTCCTCCCCCTCTCCTCCCCTTCTCCTTCCTGTTTCCTTCCTGTTGCTTGGGGTCCTGCAGAGCAGGTGCCCCCTGGCCTGTGTTACAGGGCTTCTCTCAGAGGCATGCTGGGAAGCAATGGCTTTGGGGGGACCCCTGTTTGTAGCATTTGCCATTTCCATGCTGGCAGATTTCCTGCTATCCAGAGGACGCACAGGAATGCACGTCCAGACCTAAAGCATTTCCTTCCCCCAAATGCAGCCGAGGTGGCACCCCAAGAGCCTGGGGAATGGTGAAGTGCAGTATGCTAATTAGGGAGTGAGGTGTCCTGAGGAGCTATTATCTCTGTTTTTAATGTAATTCCTTTAATTACATGTTTGTATCATTTAATTTTAATATTGGCCATATTTAACAACACATATGCAAATAATCTAGCCATCAGCGTTTGTAGGTTCACTGGCAGGAGCCGGGTGGTGCACACTGTGGCCTGCTGAGCCTGCATAGACAGAAAGTTCCACAGTAGCTCCCCCGACACAGCCCAGGGCAGGGGCTCAGGCAGCGCCTGCACTCCGTGTTCTCCCTGCCTGCTCTTGGTTGCACCTTCCGGTGTCACTCCAGTCTTAGTGGGGCTCTCCTCTCCTGGTGGCACAGAGGTGGACAACAGTCCCAGGGGTCCCAAGGGATCCTTGGGGATCCCAGCTGAAGGTCTCTGGCCTCTGGGTCCCAGCGATGTCCTGAACCAGGGGCCATACGGTGCTTGGCTTGGCCGGCCCTGACCACTCCCCTCCCCTGGGTCTGGAGGTGGAGGGCAGCATTATGTGGACTAGAGCTGGGGGCAGGTGTCCCAGGGAACATCTGGTGGCATTAGGGAAGAGGGGGCTGTGACTGTCCGGCAGTCAGAAACATGGAGGGTCCGCCACAACCTCAGAAGCTCCTGGTCAACTGTGCAATCCTGTTTCAGCATTCTGTCGGAGGCTTTACAATCTCGAGATATTTTTAAACCTTTTGGTGCTTGGGGTTGTCAGATTTCGGAAGTAATACACCCTTGTTTAACAGGGGAAACAGTAATATTCAGCCCTGCATGAGAGTGAGGTAATCACCTCCACAGCCCCTTCCTCCCCCACTTGCGGGGGGCTCCTTCCACGCCCCGCTGCTGGCTGTGCTGACTCAGACACACGTGCACGGTGCAGGGGTTGCTTTGCATTTGCTACCGTAGACCCAAAACACACACAGGATTCTGCACCTGGCTTTTTTTCACTGCACAGTAAAGCTTGGGGTTCCCTACCAGAGAGAGCCCTGCAAACAGGAGGGTTTGCTCTCACTAAACCGGAGGCTGGGAGCCTTTTCATTCATTGCTCCTTCTGAAGGCGTAGAAAAGCAAAGATCTCTTGAGATTTCTAAATTTGGTCAGAGTGTACAGGGCCGTGCAGGGTGCCTGTGTGCTAAAAATATCAGCCCGGGTCTGGGGTGATGGCTGCGCGCTCAGAGAAGGGGCTGTGGGGAAGATGGCTGGAGGCGTACCTGGGGTCCCAGACAAGGCTGCCTCAGCCTCCTCCAAGGGCCTGGGCCTCCCCACACTGACATCCATGCTGCCAGCCATGCGTGCGGCACAATCATGGCTTAGGGAAGCTGCCCCAAATTGAGTAACCCTTCACCTGAGGTCCTACACCCAGGGGTTGAACACCACCTCGGGATTGGGATCCTGTCTAGGATTCACCCGCACCGATATTTACTTATTTCCAACTCACTTTTTAAAATCAAATGCATTTATTTTAAAATAAAATCTCACAGTGCTACAGTACACGGGAAACCCATATCACTTGTCTTAAATGGTAATGATAGGTAGACATCATATATCTCATATATAAAATTATAATAGGCCAGGCGCAGTGGCTCACACCTATAATCCCAGCACTTTGAGAGGCCGAGGTGGGCAGATCACCTGAGGTCAGGAGTTCGAGACCAGCCTGTCCAACATGGTGAAACCCCGTCTCTACTAAAAATACAAAAATTAGCTGGGCATGGTGGCAGGTGCCTATAATCTCAGGTAATCGGGAGGCTGAGGCAGGAGAATTGCTGGAACTCAGGAAGCAGAGGTTGCAGTGAGCCGAGATCATGACATTGCACTCCAGCCCAGGCAACAACAGCAAGACTCCATCTCAAAAAAAAAAAACAAACACCAAAACAAAAATACAAAAATTAGTTGGGCGTGGTGGTGCACACCTGTAATCCCAGCTACTTGGGAGGCTGAGGCAGGAGAATCCCTTGAACCCGGGAGGTGGAGGTTGCAATGAGCCGAGATCACGCCACTGCACTCTAGCCTGGGTGCTATAGTGAGACTCCATCTCAAAAAAATAAAATAAAATAATAATATTGTTATTACTGTTATTAACATTTGTGGGTGTTTGCTCTGGGTCAGGCACTGTTCTGATACACTAGCATGTTAACTGGTTTAATCCTTGCAACAGTCCCTGGGGGAGGTCCAGGGTTGGTGCTCCCTAATAGCCTCATTTTAGGAAAGTAGTTTAGGGCCTCAAAAAGACACATCGCTGCTAAACCAAAGACAGGGACCACTGAAATCGTAGTGAAACACCTCTGGTGGATTTTGGATCTGAATTTGCTTCTGCATTTGCTTTATTCATTCATTCACTGATTCCCTCATTCATTTGTTTGGCAATGTCTGCTGAGAACCCACTCTGTGCCCCACACTGGGAAGGCGGAGAGTGGGTCCTGTCCCAGCCCTCCTTAGCAGGACTGCAATGGGGAAGGCTGCATTAACCAACAGGCATGGTGTGGTGGGCACTTCGGAGCTACAAGATGGGTGAGGAACAGGGTGTTCACCAGCCTAGGCTAGGAGGGTGCTGCTGGGTCAAGTTTCTAAACTTTTAAGGATGAAAATAGGTGAAATTAGGGAAGAAAGGAGGAGGATATGGGTGAAAAAATGAAAAAATGGGTGAAGCAAGTTTCATGTCTTCATTGGATACCCCTATTGTTAACATACTGGAAGAAGAATTTAACCTCATTTTCCTTATCTGTAAAATGGAAACAATGGTACCAGCTTCAAAGCATAACGCCAGATTTTTGTTTTGTTTTGTTTTTTGAAACAGAGTCTTGCTCTGTTGCCCAGGTTGGAGTGCAGTGGCGCGATCTCGGCTCACCGCAACCTCTGCCTCCTGGGTTCCAAGCGATTCTCCTGCCTCAGCCTCCCGAGTAGCTGGGATTACAGGCGTGGGCCACCGTGCCCGGCTAATTTGGATAACATCAGTTTTAAAACATTACAGCTGTGCCTGCCACAGAGTAAATGCTCAAAATATGTGACTGATCATAATCATTATTTTTATTACTGTTGTTGGCAAATGATTGTGTTCTCCATTTATCATAGCTACGTTATAAAGTTTATTGTTTTCATATATTTGATTTTTTAAAGTGAGTTGGCATGGCAGGCTCTCGGCGAGTTTAAGCTCTTATCCGTGTGACCATCTTCGCCCTCATTTGCATGCGCCCTGGAATTTCACGAGCACACCAAAAAATTAACCTGCAATTTCCCCATGTCCCTTTTGTCTTCCTGAGGCTTTATTTAGAAAGAAGTGGAAATCCAAGACCACTCTTGTAAACTAATAACAATTCATTTATTTGATGGGGGATTTAAATTCCTTACCAAATTGTTAAAAGCAACTCAATAAACAGTAATATTTCTAAGCAGCCACAATTCGCAGCATGGGGCGTCCTACCTCTGATTCAGACGGCAGAACATTTATCTTTCACGACCAAAGTCTCTCCCAGCAAAGCAAGGTGGTTTTGCAAGATCCTCTACCCAGAGTAACCAGACTCAACTCGAAAAAGTTTAATTTTGCCTCATCTCTGTCCACCTCCAAATGTGTCCAGCACGTGTGGAAATCGTGACGTTAAGGAGGAAGCGTCTGCTTGGGGAAAATTAAAACTCCAGAATCCCATTTAAATCTGGTGACAGAAGTTAGAGCTGGACTCTGAGTCAGGCCAGCCTGGCCTATTCCAGCCACCACCTCCCATTTGTAAGGAACACCAAGCTAGTCACCGTCTCCCAGCTTCATTTCCTCATCCTCTCTCCGTGCCTCAGTTACTGTCTCTGGAAACAGGCTGCCTCTGTGACCCCGGAGATCTTGAAGTGAGATAATACAGGGACACCGGCTTAGTACAGACCCTCGTATTTAATTAGTGGTAAGCAAATGTTTCCTATCATCATTGTTACTAATACTATTATGATTATTGCCGTCTACAGAATGGGGACAAGCTCACTGCGGCTGCAAGGGGACCTGGGAATACAGGGAGCAACACTGGGTGGCAGCTGCCCTTTAAAAGCAGCTCTAGAAATCTGGACCGAGCTGTGAACAGGCATCCAGGGTGCCGCGGGGAGTGAATGAAACGCCGAAGAAGAGACATCTCAGAAGGGCTGTAAAAGGAAAAGAGAAGGGAGGCTGAGGAGGGCGGAGCACTTGAGGTCAGGAGTTCAAGACCATCCTGGCCAACATGGTGAAACCCCGTCTCTACTAAAAATACAAAAATTAGCCGGGTGTGGTGGCACGTGCCTGTAATCTCAGCTACTCAGGAGGCTGAGGCAGGGAGAATAGCTTGAACTCAGGAGGTGGAGGTTGCAGTGAGCCAAGATCGTGCCACTGCACTCCAGCCTGAGTGACAGAGCGAGACTGACTCAAGAAAAAAAAAAAAGAAGGAAAAGAGAATCCTTAGGAAAGAGAATGGGACTGCAAAGGCAGGAGAAAACAGGGTCTCCTTCCCCACAACACACATGGCCAAGCAGAGCCCACAGTCTATACAACTGAGGTGGGAGCTGGGTGGGGCCTTCTGCTGTCACCTGTCATGGTCATAACAGGAATCGCAGTTACCAGAGCCCCTGTGGATGTCCCAGGCACCCCTTAAGCCAAGTGGTTTATACCAATTATGTTGGATTGATTTCATCTGTAATCTTCATACCTGTCCTGGGAGGAAAATGCCATCATGATCCACCTTTTACAAATGTCAAAAGCAAGGCACAGAGAAGTTAAGAAACATATCCCAGGTCACACAGCTCAAAGATGGAGCTGGGATTTGAGCCTGGGCAGGGTGATGCCAGAGTCCACCTGCTCGACTGCCCTGGATCTGCCCCAGCCGCCTTCAGAGAACGGGTGCTGATGGCCCCCTCGGCTCTAGGTCTCAGTGGAAAACCACCCTTGGCCATTTGGTGTTTAACTCCCAGATTCCACTCTGTCCTCTGTTGCGGCTGGGATCAGGGCTGTGAGGCACTTGCTTGGGCCTTGGGTGGGAGGGGGCGTGTCTGGGGATGTGAGTGCCAGAAAGAGTGAATGGCCTTGGGAGCGGGACAGAGACAATCTAGGGAGGCAGGGACCCCCCGCGGGCCTGAAACCACAACGGCTGAAGCTGGGCGGGGGGAAGCCCGGACGGGCCCAGAGGTCTCCTCGGGATCCACGGAAGGAAGATGCTATGGACACGGCTTTCTGAAGTTTCCTTGGGACCCCAGCTCACAGCTGCCCTTCTGTGTCTGCACTGGCTACTTCAAAAAATTCAGATCTAGCAGAATTTGGAGCATAATTTCCAAATGGCAATTCTGTTCCTAAAACTGAATCCAACCTGTTGCCTAATATAATCCCAGGAGCTCTTTACTGAGCCTCCAAAGAGGTCATTCCTCCAGCCCTGGGACCTGAATTCTGCCAGCGCCCAAGTGGGTAGGAAACAGAGGAACACAGCCCGGCAGACACCTTGCCCTCAGCCCTGTGAGTCTATTTCATGCTTCTGGCCTCCAGAACTGGAGGGGAATAAATGTGTGGTGTTTGAGTCACTACCTTTGTGGGCATTTGTTACAGCAGCAATAGGAAACAGGTGCATTTCCTCTGTCGTTTTTATTAATAGAATGTTAGTAATTTGCTGGTGTTGCTAGAGTTGCTGAGTGGCAAGCTGGGAACTTTACAGTCACTTCATCCGAGTCTGGCCAGCAGGAGGGACCCGGCTCAGAGGAGGAAGGACGTTTCCCAGGCCCCACAGGACCTGAAGCCTGGTCAGTCTGACACAGAAGATACCACACTCAGGCAGTACCCACCAGTGTCTCTACATCTTGATATGGTCTATGGCTAAAAATGAGACAATTCTTAGACCCATAGAAGGATTCTACTGAAGGAGACTCTAAAAACCTTTTAATCTGATTTTAGTTAGTCAGATGAGCAAAAAGAGGCCCAGAAGGATCAGGTGACTTGTCCAAGAACGCATAGCCAATTGCCTTAAATGGAATGATGCTGTTCCATTCAGCTCCTCCCCGTGGCCGGAACAGATCTGATTGAGTAGACTACAGCAGTATCCACTCTTGCCCTCTCTTGCCCTAGTTGTAAGACCCCCAGTTTTCAGGGGGTTGCATGGCCACCCAGAATAAAGACTACATTTTCCTTGCAGTGAGGTATGGCCACGTGAAACAGGGAGGTGAGCAGAAGTTTTCTCAAGTGTTCTTTAAAGGAACAGGGGACATCCTTCTCTGTTCCTTCCTTTTTCCTGGCTGGAAAGAAGATGTGATGGCTGGAGCTCACGCAATAATTTTGGACCCTGAGGATGGCAGAGTCATGAGTCACCCTAAAGACTTTGTGGAACCTCCTCCTGGCCCTGGAATGCTGCCCCGGACTTCATTTTTATAGGAAAGAAAAATATGCCAGGAGAATCCCGTTTCTTTTTTAAAGAGCGATTGTGATTTCTGCTTGTTTTGTTTTCTGCCCCTTGTAGCCAAACCTCATTTAACTAATAAAGGAAAATATTCAAGTGACAGACCTTCTGGGGAGAGAAAGATGTGATGTTTCAAAGACAGCTTCTAGTAAAGGCTCAATGCCAGCCTCCCCCTCCACCATGACTGCTGACCCTTCTAAGATCCCACTCTGGCCAGCTGCTGCCAAAATATGGCAGAAATTGTGCCAGAAAGTGCCAGAAATGGTGCCCTGTCTGCATAATCCAGGATGGTTCACCCCCAACTCGGCCCTCCCCGTGCCTCTGAGTACCCCCAGTGGCCGGATGCCAGCCACAGGACCATATCCAAATCTCTAACCACAAGGGGGGCGGGAAATGGAGGGTGCGTTCTGGGCCTCCACCTGACACTCAGGGGCTTGTTACTACAGAGAGAAAGGATCCTGGAGCCATCTAAGAGTCCTTGCCACATGGGGGCTCGACAGCTGTTGGGCAGACATCAACTTGATGAGCAAATCCCCTTCTTGTCCCCTAGGCCGAGGGCTATACTTCCCCAAACTCATCCTCCTACAAAGAAGCAGATATTGAGATCAGGGTTGTACCAGAAAATCCAGGCCCTCTGGTGTGTCCATCCTTTCAGAGGTGCAGGGACTAGCTCAGATCTCGGGCTCTGCAGTCAGACGGCCTGGGTTCAGATCCTGACACTGTCTCTTATTTAGCTGGGTAGGTGCGTTCATTTCCTGGGGCTGCTGTAAACTGCCACAACTTCAGTGGCTTAAAACAGCACAAAGTGATTCTCTTACAGTTCTGGAAGTCAGAAGTCTAAGATGAGCTAAAATCCAAGTGTTGGCAGGGCTGCACTCCTTCTGGAGGTTATGGGGAAGAATCCATTTTCTTGCCTATTCTGGCTTCTAGAAGCCTGCGTTCCTTGGTTCATAGCCTCTTCCTCCATCCTCAAGGCCAGGAAAGACTGGTCTTGTCTTCCTCATTCTGACACAGACCCTCCTACCTCCCTTTTCCACATTTAAAGGGCCCCTGTGATTATACTGGACCCACCCAGCAACCCATGATAACTTCCCTCTCTTAAAGGCAGCTGATCGGCAACCCTAAATCTATCTGCCACTTAATTCCCCTGGCAAGGAAGGTAGCACATCACAGGTTGCAGGGATTAGGACATGGACATCTTTGGGAGCTATTACTCTGCCTACCTCAGCAAATTGGAAACAATTTTACCTCTCTGAGTCTGTTTCCTCACCTCTAAAAAGAGAATAGGAAATATCTAGCTCCCATGGACATTGCAGCAAAGAAAAAATAAATGGACCTGAAGCAAGGGCCTCAAACTGGGCACCCACAGGCTCCACTCAACCAAGGAGCATGATTCGCCTCCCATCCAATCTCCATGAGTTGCTAATATTTTTTAACTGGCAAATTTCACATTAAAATTCAGATTTCCTGTTTCTCTTAACTCGTAGGAGGCTCTCACCCACTGGATCTGCTTTCTGGGGTGTTGACAATCAGCTGTACTGAGCCGTGGCTGCCCCTTTGGGATGGGCCGTGGTTCCCCAGTTCACCACAGTCCCCACTTTTCCCTATTGTCTCTCCCTCAGTCCACTTCTTCCAATTACACACCCTGCCTGGCCCCCAGAGGGAGCTCGATTTGGGACATTTGCGAAGAAGCATTGGCAGGCAGAAGCAGCTTCATAAAGGATAGTTAATATTATTTCTATTCACTAAGATCCATTAACAGGGCAATTCTCAAGTTTGGCTGTGCATTAGAATTCCCTAGGGAACTTTAAAAACTGCTAGTGCCCAAGCCACACCTGCATGAAATACACGGGAACTCTGGGATGAGGCCCGGTTCAGGATTGCTGCAGCTCCCCAGGGATTCTGGCCAGGGCATTTTCAGACGCTCCCTGGGAGCTAGAGCTCAGGCAACGTGGAGCAGACGGAGCTCAGGTGCAAGGCTGTGGGGCAGAACTCGCCTCCCCAGCGTCCCCCCGCAGGCAGAGAGGAAGAGAGGGCCAGAGTGTGGATTGTGAAACCACTAATGAAACATGCCAGGCTGCAACAATGAGCTATGGCTGTCTGCACATCCGCTTCCTGCTGTGAAGAGCTGAGGGGCTGCCCGGACACTTGTGGAAGCTTTCAGAACTCAGTGAGTCCTTCACAGAGTGGTGGGGGCGAGTCCACAGCTTCCTTTTCTTCTCTCTGTACACTCCCAGGATGTAGGGACCTGTGAGGCCCCCCGGCTGCTTGTGCAGTGATCATCCTCCTCCTGCTCTTTATTCCAGAGATGGGAAATCTCTGCTGCACGGGTACCTGAAAGTTCTGGCAACTCGGATGCAGGATCAAAATGTGGTTCCATTGTTGGCGATGAACCATAAGCCATACCATTTATCATTATTTATTATTATTAGAGAGAGGGTCTTGCTCTGTTGCCCAAGCTGGAGTACTGTATTAGTCCATTCTCATGCTGCTAATAAAGACATAGCCAAGACTGGGTAATCTATAAAGGAAAGAGGTTTAATGGACTCATAGTTCCACATGGCTGGGGAGGCCTCGCAATCATGGCAGAAGGCGAATGAGGAGCAGTCACGTCTTACATGGCGGCAGGCAAGAGAGCTTGTGCAGGGGAACTCCTATTTATAAAACCTTCAGATCTTGTGAGACTTATTCACTACCACAAGAACAATACGGGGGAACCCATACTGTTCAGTTATCCCCCTGTGATTCAGTTATCTCCAGCTAGCCCTGCCCTTGACACATGGGGATTATTACAATTCAAGGTGAGATTTGGGTAGGGACACCACCAAACCATATCAAGTACAGTGGTGTGATCACTGCTCACTGCAGCCTTGAGCTTACAGGCACAAGCAATCCTCCCACCTCAGCCTCCCAAGTAGCTGGGACCACAGGTGCCCACCACCACACCTGGCTAATTTTTAATTTTTTCGCTATGTTGCCTAGGCTGCTATTGAGCTCCTGGGCTTAAGCAATGCCCCTTCCTTGGCCTCCCAAGGTATTGGGATTACAGGTGTGGTCACCGCTCCAGCCCCCATTTATTAAGTGTATTGAACAAATATTTATGGAACACCTGCTGTGTACCAGGTGCTATTCTAAGTGCAAGGAATAAAAGGGATGGAGTCCTTGCCTAAAGGAGTCAGTGAAATACCAGGTGGCACAGAGGGTGTCCATGCTGTGGAGGAAGGGCAGCAATGGGAGCAGGGAGCTCTAGGAAGAGGAGGGTGAGTTAATCATTTCTTAAGGGGGTGGTGAGAGAATTTGACAACTGAGCAAAAGGAGAGAGTCTTGTGAGAGAGGGAGGCCAGGCAGGGGACAGCAAGGGCCTGGGGTAGGGGTGGAAAGGGTGCCTAAGGACCATAAGCCACGCTGGCTCATGGGACCCTGATCCAGGATTCCAACAGGTGCTCACCTAATCCCTAAGCCCAGGCTCTGACCCCCACGCTCAGGTGGTTTTGCTCCATCTCTGCTGAAGTCTAGGTTGGCCCCTCTGCAAGTTCAGAAGTACTGCAGTGGCTGCCCTGGTTAGCGCCCGCCCCGAGGTCCCACCCAGTCCATCCTGCAGCCCTGTAGGGGAGAGGCAGAGGCTCAGAGGGTACAAGCCACTGGCTGGGAGGCCGAGGGGCCTGGATAGGCCTTGCTCTTGTGCCATCCAGCATCGTCCTGGCTCTTGCATTCACGAAGTGTCCCTTGGAAAGAACAGCCTGGGCAGCCAGAACTTCCTTCATTACTCCCTCGCAAGGGAGGGGGACAGGCGAGGCCCAGATGCCTGCCCTCTTCCAGACAGTCCTCACAGAGAGAATGGTCCCCCCAAGCAAGGATGTCTCCGTGATCCTGGGGGCAGGTCCCACCTCTGGGGGTGCATAGCCCAGGCCCCCCGGGCCCACTCAGAAGGCAGACACCTGGGCCAGGGCAGGGGACTGTTCCCTGTTGGCCTCCGAATTCTGGACAGCTGGCTTTTGTGGGGAGGCTGCAGGCCCCAAGCCCATCCCCCAACCTCACCCACCCAAGCATCACCCTAGAGACAGAGGGGAGATCCGGGAAGTGTGGCAGCTGCCACTCCATCTCCACCGGCCAGTGCGGCCACCTTGGACTCATGTGTTAAAGGAAATGGTGAGGGCAACCCCGAAACGTAAATCCTTGTTACCGGCTCCCAACCCACTGCAGTTTAGTTTCCAGGGCAGGAGAAGCTAAACGACCCCCACTCCAAACCCCCACTGGGCACTTGGCCAGCACAATTGTGCCTGCCCTGGAGATTAGGGGAAATGGAAACAAGACGGGAGGGAAGAGAAAAGGAAAGGGGAGAGAGAGAGAGAGAGGATGCAGGGAAAATGAGAGAGAAGGGAAGGGAGGGAGAGAGGGGAAAGCAGGCTATGGCTCTCCCTGCACTGCCCCAGGGAATTAAGGCTTCTCTTCTGCCCTAGATGGGGGTTCCTAACTCAGCCCCTTTGCAGGACCCCAGCAGCTGCCGGACAGGAGCAGTGCTGCCACCCGCACGGGCCTGTGGGCGCTGAGCAGCTCCGGTGCACAGGCAGAGAGGCTCCCGTCCAAAAGGCAGGTGAGACTAGGCTAGGGTCAGGCGGATGCTGGGCAGATGTTGAGGGGTCAGGGACCTTCAGCCCCCACCCCTCCCGCAGAGATCACAGCCCCCTGAAGGAGCCTGGCTGGTTGTCCTTGGAGCCAGGTCTGCAAAATGTATTCGTGCCACTTCCAGGAACCTCACCTAAGGTGAGAGAAAAGTGGGGAGTGGAGGGAAGGGGAAGAAGGGAAGAGAAAAGGGAAGGGAAGGAGGTTGTGGGTGCAGAATTCCAGAGCCCTTTCAGATAACAAAGGACTATTTAAAATGACCTAAATCTTCAGCTGAGAGGCTAAGCTAAGCTAAGGGTACAGCCTGCAGGGTCCGCTGATTTAACCCAGCCCTGCACTCAACCCTCATCTAATGGGAATCCACACAACCACCTGTGAGGTAGGTCCTGTTCCATGTCACAGATGGGGAAAGAGGCTCACTGGTAGGAGGAAGGCCGAGGGCCGAGGGCGCTGATAGCTTCGCCTCTCACACTCTGGTCAGCAAAGCTGTGAAGCCATTGCGTTCACCTCAGGGCGGTGCCGGCAGCCAGCTGTCTGCACTCTTGACAACATTCATTATTCTTCCTGTCACTTTAAGGCCCCTGGACAGACCAGATGCACAACGCCCAGGTGGATCAGGAAGGGAATATGTAAACTGGAACCCGGGTGAGCTGGTGGTGGGATTCTAGCACCCCCTTTTCATTTAAAATGTTCTTAAATTAGCTTTAAACAAAGAGACTTTGAGAGGCTGAGTTCATTTCATGGGAGAGTTCTTTGCATAGAAGGTAGAGCTTTCCACCTAGATGAGCTAGGAGTTCAAAGTGAACCTCATGCCTCATTTGACAGTGAGAAATCTGGCTGCCCTTTGCCATGCAAGACTCTCCTCAAGGAATTCCCCCCCACCCACCCCACCCCCAGCCAAGTCATCCCAGGGCCGAGCTCAAATGTCCCAGGGCCAGGCAAGCCAGCTTCTGCGGGCCAGTGGCCCAGGCGGAGACAGGAGGGAGTGCTCTGTGTGTGCGTGTGTGTAGGGGTACATTTGCATGTGCACCGTGCCATTATTCTTACATAGAGCTGCTAATTTGCGATCTTCAGCAACATTCTTCTTTGCTGGAAGAGCAGCTGGGCTTGCTTGCGATTAGCTGTTCTGGGTTCCCTTCTCGGTCCTCCTCAGAACAGTGTGTCTCCCCGTGGTTTTCCATGACCCAAAATAGCCAGAGGCAGGCTATTTTTACAGGACTCTGATAGAAGCCAGGCCAGGTGGGCGCTGGAGTCGGAATCCCTAATTGTCCTTTATCATCCAGACCTCAGCCATCAGGGCGGGAGCCTGGAGGCACTCGAGAAGCCCCAGGAATGTTCCCACTGGCGACTGTCTGGGGAGAGCCGGGGGAGCCCATGGCCGGCTATAAAAAGGACACTCAGGCAGGTGGGAGCCAGGGACAGGCAGCCAGCGGAAAGGAAGCAGGTCCCTCCAACACCCCAGTCTGGGCTGCTCCTCTCCCAGAGCCTAAGGGGCTCATTTCCCTAAGATTTGCCTGGCAGTTGTCTGGGGTCCGTAGTCAAAGTGCATGCAAATTCAAGTTCTGCGCCCCAAGGTTAACCCTTGATAAGCACCGTCCCTGAGAGCCCTTAACACACGCCCTGGGGAGTGGGGAGCTGGTGTTCTTTCATCCTCCAGACACACATTAAGCACCTACTGTGTGCAAGCAGTGTGTGAGGGGCTTGGTTACCAGGGTGATCCAGACAGCCTGGGTCCCATGGGGCTTAGGCGCGAATGGGGAAGATGGCAATACAGAACAATTCAGTGTCTACCATAACTGGTGAGTCTACGTGCTAGGATGAAATTTAAATCAGGATCACGCAAGAATGTTCTTAGCAGTTTATTTATAGTAGCCCGAACTAGAAACAATCCAAATGCTCATCAATAGGGTTTGGAGAAACAAAAGGTGACGCAACAGACCATGGAATATTCTAGATGGATGAGAACAGATGAGGCACCCGGCCATGGGGATGCACCCCACACACAGTGTGAGCAAAAGAAGCCAGACCAGGAGAACATACTGCACCTCCACACCCGGACCACCCCAGAGCAGGAAAAGTCACCATGTGGAGTTCAGAAAAGGACTGTGGTTGCCCTCAGGTGGGGGAGCGGTGAACCGTGGGCACGACAGGGCTCCTGGGATCATGTTCTAGTTCTTGATCTGGGTGCTGCTTACCCAGGCGTGTTCACTTTGTGAAAATTCACTCATCTGGTTTCTTAAATGTTTTACACTTTTCTGTATGTATATTTCACAATAAAAAGTGTTTATACATTTTGGGAGGCCGAGGCGGGCGGATCACGAGGTCAAGAGATCGAGACCATCCTGGCCAACATGGTGAAACCCCGTCTCTACTAAAAATATAAAAAATTAGCCGGGTGTGGTAGCGGGCGCCTATAGTCCCAGCTACTTGGGAGGCTGAGGCAGGAGAATGGCGTGAACCCGGGAGGCGGAGCTTGCAGTGAGCTGAGATCGCGCCACTGCACTCCAGCCTGGGTGACAGAGCGAGACTCCGTCTAAAAAAAAAAGTGTTTATAAAATACTAAAGCAGGGAAAGGGAGATAGAAGAGGGTGGTCCAGGAATTAGGGCTAAGATAAAATACACAATGCCCAGTTCAACTTGAATTTCAGATAAGCAGTGAATAATTTTTTAGTATAAGTATGTCGGAATATTGCCAGGCTGCCAGTGTTTCTAGGAGCCGCTGCCCCGGGAATGTGGGCCCTATCCCAGGAATCCGGCTTCCTGAGGTTTACAAACAGCACTGTAGATACCCTGTGGAGATGCACATCCCTGGTGGGACAGCAGATGGGCTGGGCTGGGATACAGCCCGGGAAGTGAATCCAAGGGCTCCAGAAGCATGCTGGGCAGCCTGGCTCTGCACAGAGAGCTGGAATGTGGTGCCAAAGAGCAGGGAAGCACCAGCGAGCTGCCCACAGGGACATCCTGTGTTTGCTGGAAGCCAAATGGGAACACCACACAACAGAGCTGGAACAGTGTCACTGGAGCCTCATGGACAATGGCCACGATGTCCTTCCTGAGTGCTCAATGAATGTTATGCAGCTCTGTTGTGATAAGCAGCAGCATTTATTGAATGCCTACTGTGTGCCAGCACTGAACTACATGATCCCAGGACTTAACACAGAGTAGCTGCTTCATAAAAAATTGATCAAAGGACCTATTTGATTCTTACAGCCACCCTCCGAGGGGTCTGTCACGGCCCCTCCACCTACCGTTTGGGTGGTGGCTGTGGAACCCTCCCCTCTTTAAGCCTCCGTTTCCATCTCTGCAAAGCAGAGATCATAACAGTGACCAGCTCACTAGGCAGTTGCACAGTGTTCCAGCCTCGGCCCTACTCACATTTGTGCTGGATCATTCTTTGCTATGGGGTGGAGCTGTCCCATGCTTTGTGGGGGATTTGGCAGCATTCCTGGCCTCTACCCACTAGATGCCAACAACACCCCCACCCTGGGCTTATTCCCTTTTTCTTCAGACAGGGTCTTTCTCTGTCACCCAAGCTGGAGTGCAGTGGCACAATCATAGCTCACTGCAGCCTCCATCTCCTGGGCTCAAGGGATCCTCCTGCCTTAGCCTCCTGAGTAGCTAGGACCACAGGGGCACACCACCACACCCGGCTAATTTTTATTTTACTTTTCTGTAGTGACAGGTTCTCATTGTATTGCCCAGGCTGGTCTCAAACTCCTGGGCTCAACTAATCCTCCCACCTTAGCCTCCCAAAATGTTGTGATTACGGGCGTCAGCCACTGCATCCAGCCCCGCCCCCAGACTGACAACCAAAAATGTCTCCAGACATTGCCAAGTGTCCCCTGGAGAGCAGAACCACAGGTTGAGAGCCACTGAGTTGTTATTTAGGATTAAATGAGTTTTGTATGGGAAACACTTAGCAGGTGGTCCAGCACCTAACAATCACTGCCAAACTGAACACTCAAAACGTGCCGGGACTAGGATGTGGACCCAGGTCCCGTCTCCTGGCAAAGCATGCACCATGCCAACACTTCTCAAACCTGACTGTGCCGGAGAATGCCAGGGAATCTTAGAAATGCAGATTCTGACCCAGAGGGTCAGGGTGGACCAGAAATGCCACCTTGGTACAAAGTATTCATACCGCTACACTCCAAGCCCCTGCTTGGAGCAGTATGAGTCTAAGGTACTATGTCGTGCCTTCAGGTGCTTAGGATCCAGGGTGGGGGATAAAAAGGACAGAGGAGACAGGTGTTTATCCAACTCTTCTCTCCTCTTTTTTTGCATGCTTGAAAGTTTTCATAATAAAAACGTGGGGTGCAGGTGGTGGGGAAAGAGCACACACCTCAAACCTTTATATGAAAATTCAAATCGTTCAACGACGGCCCGCAGGCTGGTCATCTGTTTTTGTAAATATTTTTTTACTGGAGCCAGGGCTGGATGTAGGGAGGGCAAGTAAGGCAGGCGGGTGGGGCAAGGGCAGGGTTGCATCCTGACTTTAACATTTCGATATTTTGTACATCATGGATTTTTTGCATTCATTTGGCATGAAAATGGTATTTATCTTGATGATCAGCTTTCTGTGCCTGAGGGAAGGGCCTCACTCACCTTAAATAGCCCCTGCTCTGCTTGAAGGGCTCTAGAAAGGCTCCAGAAAGGACTCCAGAAAGAAACCCAGGCCCTGAATAGCCACTGCACGGGGTCAAAACCCCACTTCTGCCCCCTACTGGCTGCATGGCTTTGGGCGGTAGCCTAAGTTCTGGGGACCTCAGTTTCCCCCTGTGAAATGGGGCCAGTAACACTCACACCACCACCTGGCAGGGATATTGTGAGGATTAAATAATGTACACAGAAGCTTCTTGGGGGTCTTAAAAATACTCGTTATGTCACCTGGGAAGCAAAGCCAAGTTCAAATCAATGCCATGGAAGCCACAAAGATGCAGGGAAAATCTGCCAGGCGCTGGGCTGGTCATTGAAGGTGAATCCTGAAATGGGTTTGAGGAATGAGAGGATCAGGGTGGGCTGGGAAATCCAGGAAGATGTTCAGGCAAAGTGTTTCAGAGCGAAAGGCTTAGGCAAAGGGATTACTGAGGCAGGCGGGACCCAGGCAATGGTGTTCAGCGAGGCAGCTGGAGAGCTCCCCAGCCCTGTCCAGTATGGAGATCCCACGCATTTGCCAATGAGCGGCTGACACCCATTCTCACCGTGACCTGGTGGGGCAGGGAAGTCCTTGCCTGGCCTGGGTAGCAGTAGTGGACCACTCACTCATGCCAGTAGGACCCTTCCTACATCCACACCCCAAGCAAGCAAAGAAGGACTTCCGGAACACAATCCTCATGGCAACCCTGCACCATTTTGGAGATGAGAATGTGAGCTTTGGAGAGTCTGGGCCAGGAAGGAAGGAGATCCAGACCAGGAGGCCTGGGCACAAGAAACCAACTGAAAATATAGAGCAGAGGATTTGGCCATGGGCATAGGAGAGATAAGGAGCCAGGGTTGGTCAACCCGGGAAACTTCAGCCTCCGATGCCTAGTATTTAGAACCCAAAGGACCTGCGCATGGTCTGGAGGGCAGCAGGAAGGAGTCGGGCTATGCCAAGTCGCTCTCTGGATTGGAAAGCGGTGGATTCCTCCAGGAGAGCTAGTGCCTGGTCTGGGTGATTTCACCCTAAACTACCCCAGTGGTAGTCCCAGGAGGTGCCTCTGTAGTACAGCAAGTCAGCCAGAGGTGGTGCATGCTAGGCTGCCTTCCCTTCATGTCCAGCGTGATGTATTGCACAATTCCAGTGGGTGCTGGGACGGCACCAACACACAGTGCTCCATAGAATGTCAGCATCATCCCTCTTGCACTTCCCAACAACCCTGTGCTACCAGTACCATTATTATCCCCTTCTGCAGATGAACACAGGGAGGCTTGGAGAGGCAGGTGGCTTGCTCGCTCAAGGTCAGTGACGTGCTCAAGGTCAATGGCTCACTCAAGGTCAATAGCTCACTCAAGGTCAGTGGCTCGCTCGAGGTCAATGGCTCGCCCAAGGTCAGTGACACGCTCAAGGTCAATGGCTCGCTCAAGGTCAGTGGCTCGCTCAAGGTCAGTGGCTCACTCAAGGTCAGTGACTCGCTCAAGGTCAGTAGCTTGCTCAAGGTCAGTGGCTAGTACTCAGTGGAGCGAGCTTTGCGGCAGCTCTGTTGCCCTCAGATAAGTTCTTAACCCTGGTCTCTTCCCCACTAGCATCTCCCCTGAGGACTCACTTTTAGCCAAATTCACCCCAAAAGACACGAAACATTCTTTTGTACCCTCTGGTTTCTCCTGCCTGTGTGAACTGGAGGCTGTGCCTAGGAAGTCCCCGGGACTTAGTTCCCAGGACACACACCAGAGCATTCCGCCAGCCTCCCCCGCTTCAGCCTGACAGCTTTCTTTTTTTTTATTTTTTTGGGACGGAGTCTCGCTCCTTCGCCCAGGCTGCAGTGGGTGGCATGATATCCACTCACTGCAACCTCCGCCTCCCGGATTCAAGCTATTCTCCTGCCTCAGCCTCCCGAGTAGCTGGGATTACCTGCACCCACCACCACGCCCAGCTAATTTTTTGTATTTTTAGCAGAGATGGGGTTTCACTATGTTGGCCAGGCTGGTCTTGAATTCCTGACCTCGTAATCCACCCACCTCGGCCTCCCAAAGTGCTGGGATTACAAACATGAGCCACCGTGCCCGGCCGAGCCTGACGGTTTTCTAAACACCCAGTGGGGGAGGCACAGCCTCCAGGAACTCAGGCAGCTGCATGGTTCAATGTTTGTGACGAGGTCTAATTTCATCCAGGAAATTGGTCAAGGCAGATTGCAGGATGTCAGAAAAGTTTCCTCAAAGATCATGTAGCAAGGGAGGTAGCGATGGGGGCGCTACACCCGCCAGGGACAGGGCCTGCAGGAAGGCAGCCGGCAGAGCCAGAGGCCCCTGAGTGTAGGAAGATGTTAACATTGCACTGTCATTGGTCACGGGGAATTTGCACACAGCCCAGCTGTGCTACACTCAGCTGAGATGGGGATGTGCACTTCGGTTGAAGGACAAGTGGAATAAGAATAATAATAGCAATTTATGGTGCCTGTATTAGCTTCCCATGTCTACTGTAACAAGTCACTAAAAAGTGCGTTGCTTGAAACTTATTCTCTCACAGTTCTGGAGGCCAGAAGTCCACAATGAAGGTGTAGACAGAGTCACACTCCCTCCAGAGGCTATAGGGGAGGATCCTTCCTGGGCTCTTCCAGCTTCTGGGGACTCTAGCTGTCCCAGGCTTGCGACCCCATTGCTCCAATCTCTGCCTGCGACTTCACATAGACTGCTCCTGTGTGTGTCTCCTCTTCTCTTCTCTCCTAAGGACACTTGTCATTGGACTTGGGGCCTGCACGAATCCAGGGGGATTTCATCTTGAGATCCTAAACTATATTTGCAAAGACACTTTTCCCAAATACGGTCACATTCACAGGTTCCAGGGGACCATAACTAGTCCCCACCACCCTCCCTCAGAGTTAACCACAGGGGTCCCTTTGGTGTGGGGACCTCCACGACTCTGAGATTGAGTGAGACAGATTGCAGGAGAGTGCAATGTTAACATCTTACCACATACGATGGCTGAGATACAGATACACATCCCATAAGAAATATGCAGTATTGTTGACATTTCCAGAATTTCTTAAAAGTAAAAACAAGGCCATGTGGGTATCATGTACCCTCTACTGATACGACGTGACAGAAACCCATCATCCTGGTCTAACCATGATGAAAACATCAGACATACTCAGATCGGAGGGCATTTCGCAAAACATTGGAGTTGTACTCCCCAAAGCGGTCAAGTTCATCAAAAGCAAGGAACAGTAAGAAACTGTCACAGACCAGAGCAGCCTAGGAGACATGACGACTGAATGGGATGCGGCACCCTGGATGGGATCCTGGAACAGGAAGAGGACATTAGGGAGAAACTGGTCAACTCCAGATAAAGTCTGGAATTTAGTGAATCGTAATGTAGCAATGTTGATTTCTTAGCCTGGACAAATGTACCCTGGTCATCGAGTAGGATGATAACATTATGGGAAATTTAAGCCAAGTGAGGCATAGACGAGGATTCTCTTTACTGACTTTTGCCTCCTCTTCAAAGTTCAAGGCCGCCCCTTGAACTGCTCAAGGAGCCGCAGGGCACTCAGAGGTACAGAAGCACAGAGGAAAAAAATGGAAACTTCCTTTCCAGCCTTTCTTCCCCAAATCCCACATCTCTGTAACTAAAATATGGTGTGTGTTTTTTCCTCACCTTTGGGGAGCTCTTTTGAAAGCTTCTTCCAGTGTCGGAAGATGTGTCCTTTGGAGGAAGTCCCGAATTGAGGGGTCTCTGGAAAGATCCCAACTTGGCTATATTTCAAGTAACAGAGAAACCACAGGGTCTGAGCTTCCACGGGCGCAGGCCCCGTGCCTCCTCACACTACCCCCTCGGGCAGGAACTGTCAGTAGCCCCACTTTCAAGAGACGAAAGCCAAGGCCCTGAGCCACAGCCGCAGCAGAGCTAGGATTCGGGCTAGGACTCATCCCCTTCCACGCGGTACAAACCCTTTCTCTCTCTCTCCCTCTCTTCCTCGCCCTCTCTTCTATCACAAAAGTCATGTTCAGTCAGTCCTCACTTACCATCTTTGACAGGTTCTTGGAAACTTGGACTTTAAGTGAAAGACTGGACTCAAGGCCATTTGGGTCTCAGGCCTCAGCCAGGCACTTAATTGGTGTCCTCCTCTTTCCGGACCAGGAAGTGGTTTTAAAAAGCTCCCTTAGAACCCAGCCCTGGGAACCCTGGCACAGTCAGTCCCTCCCGTCCCCAGGGAGGCCAGGAGGGGATGTATGCCAAGGTCCAGGCCAGATCCTGGCACTAACCACGTGTGGTCCCCACCGAGGGGTCCCTGTGGATGGCCACCCTCGCATCCCAAGCACTTTGGGGACTTGTGCTGTCTAGGGAGGGGAGGAGGATGTGGACACAGCACACCCTGTCCTCTCCCTGCCTCTTCAGGAGGAACCTCTGCCCTTTGTGGACTAGGAGGTTCCGGGCTCTGCAGCCTGGGTTCAGGACCGACTCTGAACCAGAATGAATGAACTGCCCACAGCAGGCCATGACAAGGGACATCACTCAGGAGAAAACAGACATTCCCAAATTGTTGGTAAGAAACCCATGGCGGGGGCACCTCAGGGCCAGGACCGGCTGTGTAATTTGTAGGGCCCAGTGCAAGATGAAAACGAAAGGGCCCTGTTCAAAGGAGTCCTTAAACCAACAGTGACCAGTAAGGCATTAAACCAATCATGAGGTCCTTTGGAGTGTGGGGTCCTTTGGCACGTGGGGTCCTTCCAGAGTGCAGGTGTCTATATGACCACCCAAGTCACATGCCCACAAAGCCACCTTCGTTCAGGCATCTCTTGGCTTTCAGACAATGCAACCCAGAGACGGCTTTCAACAGATGCCTTCATCCCAGGCCTGGCTCCTCCAGCCTCCCCCGGAGTTCCCCTTTGGTCAAAGTGCAAGTCAATCAAGAGGTCAGAGTGACCCACCCCATTGTCAAGAAGGGCAGTGGGAGGAACTGTGGGAAAAGTCAAATTGTCACCAGGCAGCTACAGGAGATAAGCTAGTCAGTGGCCTGCGGCCAGCATGCTGTCCGCCGTTCCCCATGGTACTTCTCTGCATCCCGCATTCCCAGAAGAGAATCAGCTCCCAGGCAGGCCATGTCCACTCTGTCCTGGGCAGCAGCTGGGCACATTGTGCCTTCTACATGCCCATTAACCACGCTGCAGGATGGAACCCAGCACTGGAAGGACCTGCTGTTCCAGAGACATTCCCAGGACAGCCCTGGGACGCCTCTGGCCAATGGCGGCCAGGAGGACAGGCCCTGGCCCGCAGACTCAGGGATGTGCGCTGGGGAAGGCTCCTGCACGATTACACCTGGGGACCCACGGGACGCCTTCAGATGGGGCACATAGGGGAGGGGGAGGTGGCAGGTCCCCCCAGCACAAAGCAAAGGGACCCTGGTGACAGCAGGGAGGCAGTCAGGGGCTAGTGGTGGGGAGGCGGGTGGCAAGAGGAGCAAGGGAGCCTAGGGCAGGGGTTAACTCCTCACCTCACATCGGAGCCAGCCGAGGCAGCCGCAGATGAGGACCAGGCCCCCATCACAGGGTGCCCAGACTGCAGAGCGATTACAGGGGGCCGCACCCCCCATAAAGTACACCCCGGCCATGCAGAAGTTCTCCTAACAGTCACGGTGCCAGGCAACCACCCACCCGATGCTGCTCCACAGGCAGAACAGCCGCTCACCCACAGCAACGGCAGTGTCTGAACCCAGGTTCACGTCCGGCTCAGGTTCCTCTGTCTGAAATGACGGCTGTGGGCTCCTCCTGGCCAGGCCAGCAAGGTTGCGTGTGTCTCCTCTTACCTCAGCGCCAGGAGCGCAGGAGCCCAGGAGAAGTGCCCGGGGTAAAAAGGACACCCCAGTGAGGGCAGGAGGCATCACTTAACTGTTTTTCTAAGTCAAATGAAACTTGATTTCCCACAGGGAAGTGCCGGGCAGCCCCACAGGCCCTGAGCTCAGAGTGCCGCCTTGCTGTGAGGCTCTGCTGCCCCGGCCTGGAAGTCCTCCATTGTTCTGAACCAGAGGCTCCCCGTTTTCATTCTGCCCTGGGCCTTACAAATCACACAGCCAGTCCTGCCCCACTGCCTCCAGGTAATGTAAAGACTCAGGGTCTTGCCCCAGGTGGAACGAACATTCCAGGAGCTGGCTGGTCTTCAGTTCACACTGTCTACCTTTAAGTGCTCATTGTCAGAGGCTGCTGACCCCTAGACAGGGTGGATCTGCAGCCTCTGGCTGAGCTGAGGCTGGAGAACTTGGCAGCACCTGGAGTCCCTGAGACTGGGGGAGGCCAGTGCTGCTGGGCGACAGTGCCCTAGGGAAACGGTCTCCCCAGGCATAGACCCCCCTCACCTCCTCTCCCCTTCCCTTCCCAGTCTTGGGAAGTCTCCTTCTTCCCCTGAGACCGTTGCATTTCTGCTGCCCCTCCCTCTATTCACCCATCTCAGGGAGCGGCTACTAGTTCCCCCTCCCCTCTCCCCGACCCCCAACCCTCCACCCGCAGCCCCACTGGCTTCATAGTCCCCTCAGTCGCTTCTGGCCCCTGGATGGTGTGGGATGGGGCGGTGCTTACACCACTCCACTTTCTCGCCAGATGGGGAAGACAACTGTTGTTTCTGCCACCCCCACCCCCAGTATGCATTGCCACATTTTCTGGAAACAGCACTCAGGATTTTCTGAGAGGGCCCCCCCCCCACCACCACAGCTTGAATTCCTGTAGTCTGGGGAGGTAAAACCCCACTCTCAAAGCCCAAGGTAGACATGTGACTCAGTCCTGGCCAATCAGATTATTTCATCCCGCAGGACTCAGTGATTGGCTTAGGGATGGGAACAGGACTCACATCAGTCCAACAGGAGTTAATTCTGCGCCACTATTGGGAAGAAAGAATTTGACTTTCTATTGGAAGGGGAGGTGGGAGGAAGTAAGCCCTGGGCTGCCAGGGGCTGACTGAAAAAGGTGGGAGAGTAAGAGATGGAGAAAAATCAAGTCCTGATGACAGCATTTGAGCCCCTGGATCCATCTGTGCCTGAAGGCAGGAAGCGCCCAGACCATGTCAGTTACACACAAATCGTTTTTCTTAAACCCGTTGAGTCTGGTTTTGTGTCACTCAAGACAGAAAGAGCCCTTAGCAGTGTGCTATCTCCCTCTCTTGCAAAGGTTACAGCCACACAGGAGCTGAATCCACACTGGATTACCAAACACAGTGCCCAAGACTTGGAGAAATTCCCAAAGCTGGCTGAGGGAAGGCTTTGGAAAGGGGCCCATGCCTCTTGCTAACTTTTCTTTCTGAGGCACTGTGGCTGGGAATCCTTCCAGAGAGAAGCCTTGTCTTCCTTCACAGCACAGAAAGGCCCCCATCCCCTTGTGGGAGGCAGAATTCTAAGATGGCCCAGAATCCCAGCCCCTGCTGTAGACTCCCTGTATAACCCCCTTCCCTGAAATGTGGGCAGGACTGTAGATATGGTGGCGTATCATGCCATGAGAAAATTACTACTTAGTTGACTTGCAGTTCCTCAAAAGGGAGATGGTTCTGGGTGGGCCTGGCTTAAGCAGATGAGCTCTTAAAAGGAACTGAGCCTTTCTTGAAGTCAGAGATTGGACGTGTGAAAGGGCCCCAGGAGGGATCACGTGATAAGGACCTGTGAGTAGCCTCTAGAAACCGACAGCAGTCCCAGCCAACAGCTGGACAGACAACAGGGACCTCAGTCCTATGGCTGCAGGGAAATGAATCCTGCCATCAACCAGAGGGAGCTTGAAAGTGGATTTTCCCCAGTTGAGCCTCCAAATGAGAATGCAGCCCAGCCACCACCTTGACTGCAGCCTTGTCAGGCCCTGGGCAGTGGACCCAGCTAGAACGTGCCAGACTCATGACCCATTAAAACAGATAATGAATGAGTGTTGTTGAAGCCACTAAGTTTGTGATAATTTGTTACACATCATAGAAACCAATGTAACTCTCACCACCAGAACCTAGGAGAGCTTGTCGGCTGGGGTCAGAGGACAGAACGGTCCACTAAACATCTAAACGTAGGATAAACACTAAACACTAAGCATAGGATAATGAATGAAATGCATGGTGCAGTGGTGAGCTCTCGGCTCCTGCAGGCAGGCCTCCTGGGCTCCCATTCCAGTCTGACTGCTTGCTAGCCTCGGTTTCCTCATTTGCAAAATGGGATCTGAAAGAGCACTTCCTTCATGGGGTGGTCAGCGTAGTTCCCACGGAGCACTTAGAACAATGCCTGGCACACGGCAAACACCCAGTCACTGTTATTTGTCGTTGTTGACGTTGTTGTCATGGTTCTAGCAAGCATGTTTTGGTGCTCAGGGTCGAGTATGCCACACGCCTGGGTTAGAGATCTCGCTCCTCCACTCACTCGCTGTGACCACGGGCATCCCCTTCGCCATGGTGAGCCTTGGTTTCCTCCCTGGAAAATGGGACAATAAAGGGATGCAGTCCCAGGGAACTTGCTGAGTGGAGTCCTGAGCCACTGCGTCATGTGCTGAGCTCACTGCCAACTAGGTCAGTCACTGAACCGAACTGGGTCTATTGCCCACATGCAGCAGAAAGCCAAACACCAAGGCACTGCGTTTTTGCAGCGAGAAAGGTTTACTGTGAGTGGCAAGGAGACAGGAGGAAACACTCAAATCTGTCTCCCGGCTGGGGGCTAGGTCAGGTTTTATAAGCATAGGATAATGAGGTGTGATCTGATTGGCTGTTCCCATCAGGTGATGCCAGGAGGTGTGATCTGATTAGATCCTGCCATGGGGTGACGCCAGGGCTCAATCTGATTGGATCCTGGATCCTGCCATGCAGTGTCCACTTCTTAATTCAGTCCCCGCATCCTGGCTCGAGCACTTAGGTTCCGTCCCTGGCTGCATGCTTGGTGTGTCTGGGCATGCCCAGGTTATGTGACCTTCAACCTGGGGGTTCATGGCAACTGAAAACAACTCACAACTTTGTTACATAAAAGTTGAACCAGATTTGTCTAGTGCAGTTACCAGGTTACAGTCCCAGGATTCAATCTCAGAACTTCTGGTTCGAGGAGCTGCCGCTCCCTGGAACGTGGCTGGCTGCAGTGCAAGGCACCCAGGAAGCCTCAGTTCTGAAAGAATCACAGCGAGAGATGAGAAGTGACTTTCCACAAGAAATATTGAACTTCATCCCCATGGAGCCTCTGCATGGAACATGCAGGGACAGAAAGTTCCCATCTGGAAGCTTCACACGTTTTTTCCTTTCTAGAACAAAGGGCGAACTTTGCAAACCCATCCATTCTTCCCAGTTGACAAAGCACCTTCACCTGCCTTGACCTTAGCCTCAATGACAGCCTCCCACTGTGACCCTGGTTGAGATGGAAACGGGGGCCCCGAGAGAGAGTCCCACACCCAGGTCACACAGGTAAAAAGTGGTGAGACTGGGATTTGAACCTAGGTCTCCCAGACTCCACAGACCATGCTCACGGCCCCTCTTAGAGCCATGTTTCCTATATTCTAGTGAGGAAAGAAAGTCAACCAAGAGCAAGAAAGGGCTGGGCGCAGTGGCTCCCACCAGTAATCTCAGCACTTTGGGAGACCAAGGCAGGAGGATCACCCGAGACCAGGAGTTCAGGACCAGCCTGGGCAACATAGCGAGACCCTCCCATCTCTACAAAAAAACAAAACAAAACAAAACAAAAAGGAGTCAAGTATGTCAGATGGGGATGTAAATGATGGGGAGAAGTCAAGTGTTTATGGGGGAGAATTAGGTTTATAAGTGGTGAGAGAGGTGGTCAGCGTACACCTCATTGAAAAGAGAACATGAGAACAAAGACCTAGGAGGTGAGGGTGCGAGACATGCAGCCGCCTGGGGAAGAGCCTTCCAGGCCGTGCAAAGGCCCCGGGGCTGAAATGTGCCCGGCATACCTGGGGAGCGCCAAGGAGGTGGCCGACGTGGCCTGCCTGGCTTGCCTCTGCCCCAGAAACCATCAGCGTCACACCCTGCTGTCATCTCGTCATCTGCATTATATTCTCAGGGTTTCTTAAATCCCTAAGAGAGTTTGGACTGGCTCAGGTCATCTGTTGGCGCCAATGATCGGCTCCCCCTAGGTCAGATGCGCACCCACGGTTCAATATCTGCACCATAGGGGCGGGATTAAGTCTCCCCACACATGGCCACCCTGAGTGAGCTGCCCCTTCTGCAATGGCTGTGGACGTGGTGGCAGTGACTGAGGCGTCCAGTGGCCCAACTGGCTGGTTTATTTTCTTTATCAGATGCTGCGGCCTCTCTCAAATAGCTGTGCCACCATCAGGAATATCCCCTGACCCCCGGGCACTGAACCAAACCTTCCCCTCCAACCAGACCTATCCCTCCACCAGCGGATGTTAGTGACCAGCTATTGGGAGCCACACCCTGTCATAGGTGCTGGGGGCGACATGGCAGGCAAGACAGGCAAGGTCCCTGTATCCTAGCAACAGAGACATACAATTGACAAATAACTGCAGAAATAATTATTTAAATAGATTCTGATGTGTGCAATGATGGGAAAGCATTGGAACTATGAGAACTTATAACAGTGGACAAGCCCAAGCTTCAGGGTCAGGGGGAAGAGCAATCACGGAAGCCTTCTTGGAGAAAGTGACAACGAAGCTGAGAACTGAATGGTGAATCCAAGTCAGCCAGAGAGGAATGGGGGGAAGAAAACAGGATTCCCAGAAGAAGGAAAGAATGCATTCAAAGGCCACCAAGGTTGAGAGGAGCTCAACATGTTTGAGACAACCCAAGAAAGCCTGTGTGTGGCCAAGGTGTCGTGGGGGATTGGTGGGAGGTAGCAGCATAGGGCCAGGCTGGAGGGTAATGGAAGTTCAAAGAACACTTCTCCTTGTCATCTGATTTCTAAAGCCCATTCAAGCCGGGGCCCAGCAGCCCTGGTGAGCTGAGAAAACAAATTTGAATGTCAAATTGCTGCCCTGCCCATTGCATGCACACACAATCTCTCTGGCCCCCAGGGACTCCAAGGGCCCTCCAACAGTGAGGAGATCCAGGAGGCAAGCACAGCCCTGCAAGACCGTGCTCTGAGGAGGAGGAGGCTCATCAGAATCAATGGCAAGTGCCACTCACACCTGTCCTTTCAGGAGGCACTGAACTACTTCTATGTAACAGCCATCAGAGCGTCACTGGGTCCCACGCACGAACCAGCTTTAATCAGGGGTGCTTATGCAAGTTGCACCCCCGTATGCCCTGAGGAGCTCTTACCACCTCATCTCTTTAATCTGGACCTCTCAGGGTGGGTCCCAGCCTCCTGCAGAATCCCCAGGTTCTTCTAACAGGTGCCTGGGGAGGCCCCGGACTCTGACCTCTCGCCTATTCTCTGTTCACCCTCCCTCCTCGGTGTCACATCCAGGACAGTGGCAGACACGCCATGGCTAAGACAATGACTCCCAATTTTGATTTCCAGCCTGGACCACCTGCTGACCTCCAGCTCAGGGCCCACCACCTTCTCAGCAGCGCCAGGCGGGCCTATCATCACATATTAATCTTAACGCATCTGCACCGCCTGCAACGGTGTCCCCCAGAATTCATGTTCATCCAGAACCTCAGAATGTGACCTTATCTGGAAATAGGGGCTTTGCAGATGGAATTAGTTCAGATGAGGTCATATAGGATTAGGTTATGCACTAAATCCAATGACTGGTATCCTTATAGGAGAAAGAAGAGACTCCGAGACACAAGGAGAAGGCTGTGTGAAGACGGTGGCAGGGATTAGAGCGATGCCACCGCAGGCCAAGGAGCTCCAAGGATCTCTGGTGCCCACAGAAGCTGGAAGAGAGGCTGGAACGGATTCTCCCTCAGAGCCTCCGGACGGAAACAGCCCTGCCCACACCTTGATTTGGGATTTAAATTTCTGCTGCTTTAAGCCACCCAATTTTCAGGAATTAGCTAAGCAGTCTTGCAGACAAATGCAACGTCGAAAGCAGGACTCAGAATTTTCTCCCTCATACCTGCTCTTCCCCCATCTCCCATCTCCACAGGTGCACCCTCCGTGCCCCTCACTGCTCAGGCTGAAATCTTTGCAGCCTGCCTGCCTGCCTTCCTCCCTCCCTCCATTCCTTCCCTTCTATCTTTTTTTCTTTCTGTCTTCTTTCTTGAAGGGATCTCACTCTGTCGCCCAGCCTGGAGGGCGGTGGCATGATCATGGCTCACTGCAGCCTCCACCTCCTGGGCTCAAGTGAAAGCAACAAAGGGCTGGAGGTGGTGGGGACGGGAGAGACTTGGGCATCTGCTGGCCTGGAAGAGGGCAGGACAGGAGCTTAGAGGCTGGAGACTCGGCTGCCCAGGTGCATGTCTAGTCACACTCATTCACCTCCTAGCCCTCTGGAGTTTCTGGTTCTCCAACCTCTCTGCCAGTCTGATGACCCCACGTCATCACATATCACCAACTCTTACCTGATAATCAGCCACCCACCCAAAAGCACACTTTTTTTTTAAGACAGAGTCTCGCTCTGTTGCCCAGGCTGGAATGCAGTGGTGAGATCTCGGCTCACTGCAACCTCTGTTTCCTGGGTTCAAGCGATTTTCCTGCCTCAGCCTCCCGAGTAGCTGGGACTATAGGCATGCGCCACCATGCCTGGCTAATTTTTGCATTTTTAGTAGAGATGGGGTTTCACCGTGTTGGCCAGGCTGGTCTCGAACTCCTGACCTCAAGTGATCCGCCCGCCTAGGCCTCCCAAAGTGTTGGGATTACAGGCGTGAGCCACTGCAACCAACTTTTTTTTTTTTTTTTTTTTTTTTTTTTAAGATACAGTCTTGCTCTGTGGCCCAGGCTGGAGTGCAATGGCGCCATCACGGCTCACTACGGCCTTGACCTTCTGGACTCAAGTGATCCTCCCACCTCAGCCTCCCGAGTAGCTGGGACTATAGGTGCAGACTACCACGCCTGCCTAATTTTTTCTTTTTTTGTAGAAACGGGGTCTCACTATGTTGCCCAGGCTTCGCTCAAACTCCTGGGCTCAAGCAATTCTCCCACTTCAGCCTCCCAAAGTGCTGGGATTATAGGCATGACCCACTGCACCCAGCTACTTTAAGTTTTTTTGTAGAGATTGGGTCTCACTATGTTGCCCAGGCTGGACAGTCATTTTAACTCCACCAGGTGTCCTGCCTTCCACAGGCATTCCTTTGTCAAAGTCAGAATCAAGCCCTGAGGTTGTACCATCACATCACCCTGCACCTGGTCACTTCTCACAGCCTCCCGCCCTCGTCATGTGAAGCCACTGACACCTCTCTCCTCCTCACCTCCTCCCTCTTTCTGCCCTTACACCCTAGTCTTTATTTATTTATTAAGACAGAGTTTCACTCCTTTTGCCCAGGCTAGAGTGCAATGGCATGATCTCTGCTCACTGCAACCTCCGCCTCCTGAGTTCAAGCGATTCTCCTGCCTCAGCCTCTCAAGTAACTGGGATTACAGGCACACACCACCATGCCCGGCCCCACTCTACCACTCTAGTCTTTAAAACACAAGGCAGAACAATCTCATGGGCCCCGTTGTCCCCCGTCTCACTCAGTCAAGTCCAAAGCCCTCAACAGTGCGGCACAGGCCCATCCCGGCCCGACCATCCCTCCCCACGACAGCCCCTCCAACCTCATCCCGCCACACTCCTTCTTGTTCACTGCCCTGCAGCCACACTGGCCACCCTGCTGCCGCCCCTGCCTCAAGGCCTTTGCACTGGTTGTTCCCTCTGTTTGGCACATCCTGCGCCCAGGGCCTGGCTCATTCTCTCCATTCAGATGTCTGCTCAAATGTCACCTCCCCAGAGGCCTTCTCTGACCACCCTGCCTAAGGCAGGCTCCTGTCCCATCCTCCTCCTGCCCTTTACCCGGTTTAACTGTCTCTGGCGTCCTTCCACCTGACATAGCATAGACAGCACGTGCTTGTGGGTTTATTCCCGGCATGGCTGTGCAGATGGCCCAGCAACTGGCCTGAGAAGGCTTCAATAAACACTGGCTGAACAAATGAAAGAGTAGGTGAATGAATGATTGAGTGAACGAGTAAGCAGATGAAGACCCATCCTGAAGACTCATCCAACCCTAATTGCTCATGAGTGTTGCCAAGTTGCCGCTCTTGTGAGGGGCAGATAAGAATGTGGTTTCCAAAGTTCCGGTTCCTCTTGAGCAGCGGAAGCGCTCCCCTGTGACCTCTGCAGTGGGAACAGCAGCATCCCCTCTCATAGCCCCGCAAAGACAAGGCTCCTGGGCCTCCTTCTAAGGGGCAGCAGGACTCGGGGTGCCTGGGGAGGTCAGGCCTGCATCCCAACACCAGCACTGTCCCCATGGGCTGTGCGGGCCCGGGCTGGTTACCTGACCTCTCTGTGCCTTGGTGTTCTTATCTACAAGATGGGTACAAAGAGGATTTACGTGGCTGCAGGGCTGTTGTGAGAACTGAATACACTCATACGCAGCCAGGCTGAGAATGGTCCCCCGTGAGTGCTCAGTAAGCAAGAGCAAGCATCACCACGTGGCACCATGGAGAAGGGTGGTCTTCCATTATCTCCTTCTCTTTCTTGGGGCAAGGCGAGGCATGTGATTGTCCCCATCTGGAGCTTGGCCAAGCCAGAGCAGGGGATGTGACAGAGCCCTCAGCATGGTGACATCCCGGAGTTTTGACTATGGGGCTGCAATAGCCACAAGTGCACTGGTGTGCCATGCGGATGTTTCACCTTCGGGGTCTGCCTGGGATGAGCTGCCATCCCCCCTTCTTTGCTGCTGAGGCAGTCAGACCTGAATTGTCTCCACCCCACTGCCAGCTTCACTGAGGAGGAAAGAGAAAGAAAAGGAATGCCGAGGCCCCCAGACAGGAGGCCAAAGATACACAGCCCTCTGGGAAAGGGGGAGGTGGATGCCCAGAGGTGAGGAGTGCTGGCCTGGGGGACTCCTTCGGGGGGCTCCGGGGCTGGCTAGCTGCGGGTGCTGGGCCCAGCCCTGGGCTTGTGTGCCCATAGGGACTGTACCTTCCACATGAGGGGACGTGACCAAGCGGCTGCAACCACACACCTCCCGGCCGGGGCTCGACAGAGCAAGAGGGTCATGAGTATTTCTCACAGAAGGTGAAGTGTGCAGACACAGTGCCATCTGTGGCCTGCACGCTCTCCGGGCCCCTCCAAGCCACCCCCTCCGTCCTTTCTCAGGCCGGGTCCACCCTAGAAACCCAGTGTGTTGGCAGCAGTTTGCCCCAGATGGTCCCTGCTGCTCCCAGCACCTCAGCTCACCCGGCCATGCCCCAGCCTCCAGTGCACTTCATCACCTGCCCTAGAAGCAAGATGCTGAGACCTCGAAGACTGCACTCAGACCCTCAGAGCAAAATATTCGCAACTAATGTGCCAGCAAATTTCCCAAAGCCAAGTAAAACTTAGGATCCAGCAACCCTCCAGTGAGTCCCGAGCAAGGGGCTCGATGATGTGGTTTTGCTCTCCCTCTCCTCAGGCCACTCTGGGCAGGCAGTTTGTCACCGGGAGAGATGACTGCCCCCCCTCACTGGAGCAGGACTGGTGACCACACTGGCAGCCAGATGTTGGCCCAGCGTCGTAAATGATGCAGGACGGCTTATCGGCCACAGGAAGCCAGAGAGCCAGGCTGCAGCCACACAGAGTGAAGAAACAGGCTTGTGGGAGAGGAAGCTGCCCAGCCTCGGTTATGCAAAGTATACGGGGGTGCGGGGTGGGGAGCGGGGGGGCTCTTCCTCTATTACATAATTATCTCTGCATCCCTGCTGGAGGGAGGCTTGCACCTCAGCTGCACTTCCGAGTCACTTGGGGTGTCGAGTGCCACCCTAGGGATTCTGGCACAGTTGGTCTGCAGCATGACCTGGGCAGGAGGGTTTTTTAAAGCCCTCTGGATGATTCTAGGAGCAGCCAATGTTATAAACACAGGCTCCAGATTTAGAACACAGGCTCAGGTTCAGGAGCAGAGCTTCAGCCTACAGGTCCTGAGGGATCCCACCCAACTGCGAGGATCACAGAGACTAAGCTGTGAATAGTGCCCTGGAGTTGTGCAGTTTACAGCCTGTGCAACTGGACACAGCCGACCTGATGGGGGGCAGGGGAGAAAGTGAGCATCCAAACTACTTTGTTGGTGAAGAATGACATGGAGGTGCAGGTTCAGACCCCAGTGCTGCCACCTGTTCAGGGAATTTGTACTCGGTGCCTCCTGTGTACGGGCACTATGTACCCAACCTGAGTCATGCAGATGATATTTATGGGAGGGAGACAGAGAGAAAACAAATAATCCCGCACACAAATATATAATGACACATTTAGTAAAAACAGGCGGCAGGAAAGAGCAAGGGAAGTGTGGTGGGCAGAATAATGCCCTCACCCCAGTCTTAGAACCTGTAACTACTCTAGGCTGCTCG
The DNA here is from genome assembly GCF_000001405.40 of Homo sapiens. NCBI lineage: Eukaryota > Metazoa > Chordata > Mammalia > Primates > Hominidae > Homo > Homo sapiens. The sequence goes on along the minus strand of NC_000020.11, from coordinate 57,449,816 downwards.
GCGAAGGGGAATTTGGGCAGCAGATGGAACAGAGGTTGTGAATCAGCTGGCCTGGAGATGGGGAGATCATCCTGGACCATTGGAGAGGGCCCAGTGTCCTCACAGGAACCCTTCAAAGTGCAAGAGGGAATGGGAAGAGGGGCGGCAGAGGGAAGACTCACCCCGAGGCTGCTGCCTTGGAAAGGGAGGAACCGAGGACCTGAATCCTGCCAACCACCCCAATGAGCGGGAAACAGGTGCTCCTTTGAGCTTCCAGAAAGGGGCACAGTCTGCTGACACCTTGACTTGGGCTCACTGAGACCCTGGACAGAGGGTCAGTGGAGCCCACCCAGACGCCTGACTTAAGGAGCAGGTGAACTAATCAAGAGGTACTTCAGGCCATGGCACTGGGGGTCACGTGTGATACTAGCAAACAGAAAACACACAGTCAAAGCCTCAAGCGAGAGTATGGTCTAGTTTGGGGGTAAGAGAAGCCTTCCTGAAGAAATGGCATTTGGGGTAAGACCAAGAGGAAGAAGAGAAATGAACTTGGCAAAGTAGGGAGGCAGAGAGAAAAAAGCGGGCCAGGGCCCTGGGCAGGAAGAAACCCACTGTGAGCAAGGGAGGGAGAGAAGTCCAGTGCGAGGCACTATTGCACGCTACCAGCCTCAGCTTCCTTGCCTGTGAAATGGGATTATAACAGCATGCCCTCATTGGGAGAATGAAGTGGGCTGGGAAATCGTACAGCAAAGTAGCTAGAGTTCCACAGTCAGGGTTCAAACCCTAGGTCTTCTGGTTACTGCTTGAGTGACCTTGGACAGGCTGTTTTCCCTACCCGAGCCTCCATTTCCCGCGAGCCTGCTGTGAGTCTTAGATAAGACTGTATCCGCAGCATCCTCAATAAATGTGGACTGTTGTTTTTGTTAGGGGAATAAGGCCCAGAGACAGCAAGAGACCTGGTGGCTGAGCCAGGTGAAAAATAAGTCTCTTGTCTCCGGCCTCAACTCTGTGCAGCCTCTCAATCTGCAGGGCCAGGGTCAACTGAGGAAAGCAAAATTCAAGCCAGGTGAGTTGCGGCCCAGGGTGGCTCAGGAGAGGGGTGTGTGTGTGTGTGCATGTGTGGGTGTGCTGGAGTGGCATGTGCATGTGTGTGTGAGTGTGTGAGATTGCAAGAAGCAGCATGCATGTAGAAGTGTGGCTGGGCATAGTGGCTTACGCCTGAAATCCTAGGACTTTGGGAGGCCAAGGTGGGAGGATCACTAGAGGCCAGATGTTCGAGACCAGCCTGGCAACATAGTGAGATGAGATCCCATCTCTAAAAAAAAACAAAAGTAGTGTGTGAGTGTGTCTGTGAATGTACACAGGTAAGTGTGCATGGGTGTGAAAAGTGGGTGAGTGACTGAGGTATGTGGACCCTCCCCAGAGTTACACCTGGAAGGCTCCCGAAAAGGCCTGGCCGCTCACTCGCAGGAGTCGGTTTAGCTCCCTGAAGGGCAGCTGCCAGCCAGGCCGAGGATAAGGAGCAGGTTTAGCTGGCTGATGCTGGACCAAATTAAATGTTAAAACAACATCCAGGCCTGTGGACGTGTGCACTTAAAGCTGTGCCTGCTGCTCTGGATGATCTAGCTGATTCTTGGTGGCCACGTCTGATGTTTCTGCTGAGATTTAGACACCCTGTCCCTACCCCTGCCACCTCCCAGGGTGAAACACCCACCCGGGAGTTCAGGGCCCTGCCACCCAAGAACAGAAACCATGGGGTAAACCCCACCTCAAGGAGACGCCTCACCCTTGGAGGAGACGATGGCGCCCCGCACCTGTCATGACTGCCCCATGGCAGAGGTCCCCTCCCTAATCCAACCAGACCTCGGTTAAAAACTTCATAGCTGTATATCCTAGGACAAGCAGCTCATCCTTCCAGATCGCCATTGCCTCCCTTCCTGGGCTCCCTAAATGCTTTCATCAGATTGCTGCAAGAGGATGAAATGCTTGTAAAGACCTGACCTACAGCCGGGCGCAGTTGCTCACACCAGTAATCCCAACACTTCGGGAGGCAGAGGTGGGCAGAAGGCTTGAGCCTAGGAATTCAAAACCAGCCTGGATAATAAGGTGAAACCCCATCTCAAAAAAAAAATTAGCTGGGTGTGGTGGTGCATGCCTGTAGTCCCAGCTACTTGGGAGGCTGAGGTGGGAGGATGGCTTGAGCCTAGGAGGTCCAGGCTGCAGTGAGAGGTGATCTTGCCACTGCACTCCAGCCTGGTCAATGAGCAAGACCCTGTCTCAAAAAAAAAGAAAGAAAGACCTGCCCTGGGGCCAGCATTTAGTAACCCCTCAATATAAGTGAGCTATTAAGGAGGCTTGGATGTTATTATTAGCAACTAGAATATGAGACAGCCTGAGATTAAGCTCCCCACCCAGCCTAGTGGGATAAGGATCCAATCACAATTCTGTTGATAGTAAGAACAATAAACCAATGCCATATTTATTATCTGGATTGTGACCTGAAGTTCTTACCTTATTACAGGGACATAGACCTGAACTGGTGTGTGTTGCTGTCATTATAACTGTTGGCTCCTTGGCAGCAAGGACTGTGTTGTCTTTTAGTACCACTCTGTCCTCTACACTTAATACGGCACCTGGCACACAGTAGGTGCTTGATGTTGTTGAATGAAAGAGCGAAGACACCTGAATGGCCTGAAGGACAGAAAGACAGCAGTCAGTGTGTCCTGATGCCTGATAAACTTTGATCCTGCTTAACTGGGACTTACTGTTTCTATCACTGAAGCAGAGGGTGAAAGAAATATTTACCAAAAGGCTCCCAGTCCTGGTGGGTTTCTTGCAACTACAGATTGCCTTTTTAGACAGCATTTCTCCAGAGAGCAGCTGACCTCCTAGGTCGTGTTTCACAGGGATAGTGGGGTAGGGGGTGACAAGAAGTAAGCCTCCTCTCAAGGAATCAACACTTACTCTGCATGAGGCACTATGCTGGCGACTTTACATACCTCACCTTATTTAGTTCTCACAACAATTTATAGCTTTTATTTAGGTGCAGTCACCCCTGCCTGCCAGACCCATGTGCATATCTGATTGTTCCCCTACCCCATTTTGTCTGTGTTATCTTATGTAAAATGCAGATTCCCCCATCTTTCCTTTATCCCTTTTGTTTATGTGAAAACTGTGTGTTTCTCAATATCCCACCCTTTCTCCTTTAAATTTGGAGCCCCCAAAATCATCTTCAGAGAAAGACATAGACCTGTCTCCCAGGTGCGTCCTTAACTTTGGCAAATAAATCTCCAAAAATGATTGAGACTTGTCTCATCGTTTTCTCCGATTGACAAGCCAAACCATTCACATGTTACAAATGAGGAAACTGAGGCTCAGAGAGGTATATAGGTACCCAGTGTGGTACACAGATTTGTATAAAATGACCTAAATTCATCCTTCCTTGTATCCACGCCCTTTGCAAAATGGTTTTGCAGCTCTTCCCATCAAAAGGCAGAGGTGGTTTCCAAACTCTTGAGTCAGGTTGGTCTTGTGACTTGCTTTGGCCAACAGAATTGCTGGAAGTGATACCGTGCCAAATCTAAGACCCCAAACTGCCTTGCAGGTTTCTTCTCTCTCTCTCTCAGACCCCTGTCTCCATCAGGAGAACGGTCTGCTGGAGAATGAGAGACCAGTTGTTCCCATCACCCTAGATGATAGTCAGAGCTTCCTGCAGACCTGGCAGCTGACTGCAAAAATGCATGAGGGATGCCAGCCCACACCAGAACCATCCAACTGATGGTTCAGGCTAAATTGTCAACTCATAGAATCATGTTTTAAGCAACTAGGTTTTGGGACGATTTGTTACATAGCAGTAGCTAACTGATACACTCACAGTCACACAACTGTTAAAGGCTGAGTCAGGACTCAAGGCAGGAGTCGGGTTTGTGGGACTCCAGAATCCATGCTCTCAACCTCTGTATTTTGCTGCCTCCCAGAAGGAAAATGAGGATAACAGGGCTCTAGCTGCTAAAGAGCCCTTCTCTTGTGTCCCAACATTCAGCTACATCTTCTAGGGAACGTGCCTAATCCCTGGCTCTCTCCTGCCCTGGCACCTCCTTTCATCCCCTGAGCCGTGCTCTTTCATCTCCTACCCTTACAAGGGTCTGGGTGGGGACAAAGCACTGGCTGCCACTTCAGGTTTCCCTGAGCCCCTACTTTGATCCGCTCCAACCCTGCTCGTTTTCAAGGTTTGTTCAGAATGCTGGCAAGAGCCAATGTTTCTACACGTACCTATCAGCAGCCATGATGAAAACCAGCTGTGAGGTTTAAAAATAGCCCCCAAGGGCTGCCAAAAATGCCAGGTCCCTGACTCGGAGAGGAGAAGCCAATCCCAAGGTGCGGCCACCATCATCAGGGAAGAGTCATAGCCACCACATGCCCAGGAGTCTTCCATGCCAGTCCCACAGGACTTGCCACAGGAGCTCAGCTGAGCCCGAGTCCCTAGGAGCAAAAGCCCCCGGAGAAGCGGGGATGGAGTTCGAGACCAGCCTGGTCGACATGGTGAAACCCCATCTCTACTGAAACTACGAAAATGAGCTGAGTAGTCCCAGCTACTCAGGAGGCTGAGGCAGGAGAATTGCTTGAACCCGGGAGGCAGAGGTTGCAGTGAGCCGAGATCGTGCCACTGCACTCCAGCCTGGGCAACAGAGCGAGACTCTGTCTCAAAGAAGGAGGAGGAGGAGAAGGAGGAGGAGGAGGAGGAGGAAGAGGAGGAGGAGGAGGAGGGAGGGGAAAATAAGGCAGGGCCCAGAAAGCCTCCCAGGGGCCTCTTCCCCCTCCTGCTTCCCACACCTCCTGCTGCCCCTCCCTCCTCCCCCCTTCCATCATTCTCTCCCCTTCCCTCTTTTTTTATTGCGTCCGAAGGGAAGAGACTGGGCTGTGGAGGGAGACTGCCTAGATCCCCCTCGGGAATTCTGTGATCCTAGGCAAGTGACGTCACCCTTGAGCCTCAGTTTCCTCATCTGTCACACGGAGGTCTGGCTTGCTGGGTGTCCTAAGGACCTACTAGGACGATGAGTCGGTGAGAGCACGATGCCGTCATTTCTTCTTTGGAGAAGGATGGGGATGAGGAGAGTGCCCTCCTCTCTTCTCCCTCTTTCTCCCTCCTTCCTGCCCTCCATCCTCTTTCCGCTCCCACACGCCCCTGGCCTGGCCCCCATGTGACGGCCCCCAGGGCCAGGGATCTGCCAAGCTGAGTCTACCTGCAGTGCAGCCCTGTTGCCCTGGGGCGCCCTGGGCCTGGCTCGCTGAGGGAGCCCAGACCAGGCCCGCTGCACCACCCCATCAGCTCCCACATCAGCCCTGTGCTGGGTGTTTGGCTCACAGCTATATCCCAGTGCCTACAATGCTGCATGGCACCTAGTAGGTGCTTAACAAATATTTGCTGAGTGACCGCAGGAACCAGCAGTAATTGTTCCCATTGACAAATGAGAAACTGAGGCTCCAAGAAGTTGGCTAGCTTATAGCAGAGCACAGCCCTTAAAGCTTGAGGGGACCCACATAAACAAAAGGGATAAAGGAAGGATGGGGGAATCTGCATTTTACATAAGATAACACAGACAAAATGGGGTAGGGGAACAATCAGATATGCATTTGTGTTTGGCAGGCCGGTCCTACCCAAGGTCCCAGAGGCGGATTTGAACCCAGTTTTGCTGGTGAATGACACCCCATTTTCTCATCTCTTCTAGCCGGCTTTCCCCTTACAGGCCAAAGCCTGTCACACAGGCGCTGTGTGGCCTTAGGTGATTCACACACCCTCTCTGAGCCTTGGTTCCTGCATTTGTAAAACAGAAAACTGACCTAGCTGCACTCAGGCACAATTTCCCTGGGCTCATTTTTCCTCTGTTCTCAGCATCCAGCACAGGCTGTGGCGTGAGGTCCACACCAAATAAATCTCTGTTAGTTAATTAATGAAAAGGACAAGTTTACTTTAGAGTATAAAAGTCTGCTCCGAAGCTCTCCAGTTACCGTCTCTGGGAGCATATTCTTTCTCTCTTCCATTTCAAAGAAAGAGAAACTGCAAAGGCACAAGATACACTGGAGATGTGGGTTATGCAAGGAAGATGAGGGGACCACCCCAAGCAGCAGAGCACCCCACCCCACTCAGAAAGACCTTTTTCCTCCATCAAAAAATAGGTGAATGAATGGGAAATGCCAGTCTTTCCATTGAAATGCAATCTTGAGGGACGAGTATTTCACAGGCCATGGACCGGCCTTGGTGCTGACTTTGACGCACACCAGCTCCTGGTCCTGAGCGTGTCAGCGGGGAAATGCCCTGCTTCTCCAGCTTTGCAGGATGGTTGTTCACGGCTTCTAGGACAGCGCTGTTCCAGGCTCTGGGAGACCCCGATGAGCAGCCGAACCCTGTCTATCCCTGAGGGAGCGGATGTCATGTGGGGCATCCGGAAGGTTCTGAGCAATTCTGCTTGGAATCTCAGAGGTTCCAACAGAACAGCTGCAAGTTACCAGTTGACACGTTCAAGCACCTGGATGGGTGGTCAGTTTCTGTAGATCCCAGAGAACTTTCTGGAAAGGTGGCAGTGTGTGCCCCTAGGGCAAGAGTCAAAGGTGGTAGCCACCCAGGGAGCCCCAAGGAGAGGTTCTGGCGCTCTCAGGACATCCAGGCCACACCAGTCTTCCAGGCACCCCCCCCGCCCCACCTCCAGGCACACCAGCTCTGCCCAGGTTGCCCAACCTGTATGTGTCCGGGTCATGGCCATCGTCACCCACAGCGTCACAGGCGTCCTGGCCAGCACCTGCCTCCTGCTAAAACGCTAAAAACAGCTGCATTACCTTGCCGGCCTCCAGTCCCTGAGAACAAACTCACCTGGCTTAAATAGAGTGGCTGGAAGAGCACTTTCATTAGGGGCCGCACATTCTGACATAGGGCTCCTGGCTGCTCCCCAGGTTGGGGGCTGGGGGGTGTCACTTTTATAAACTTCCACAGACCCTTCTTGCCAAGCCTACTGGACAACAGAGGCTATGATGAATCCAGGCTGACCGGCAGGTCCTGGCACCACTCACCTCAGAGTCTAAGGCCAGGCTGGAGTGACCAGGCTGGAGTGGTCAGGCCCCGCCCACCTGAGCTGCAGAGGGGCAGAGGGGACAGGGCCGGCTGCATGGGGTGTGACCTGTGCAGTCGCAGAGGGACCCTCACACTCAGAAGGGCCGCCTGTTGGTTTAATGCTCTGCTGTTGTCGTCTTAAAAGTCTTCGTCGTTTTTGAACGTTTGGAGGGGGGGCCACATTTTTACTTTGCACTGAATGCCTCTGAGGGACTCATAAGTGGGCCCCATCCCCCCAGGAGTCCCAGAACTCATGAAGGGGCTTCAGAAATGAGCAGCAGCAGAACCACAGACATCCCCAGGCCGGGGCCACCCTCTCGAGTATCCCGCGCCCTGGCTGTTGGGCTGCACGGTCACGTTCCCATGGTTGTGCTAATAGGGGTTGGGAGGGACATGCGTACACACACAGCCATGCAGTCACATGTGCAATAGCTGGTCACCCCACGCCTGCACTTCCAGCACTGGGAGTGGCTGGGAGGCCTCACCATGCCCCCATCACACCTAAGATAATGAGACAGCAGGGAGGGCAGGAGGAGCTGAGGAGGGGGTGTCAGGGACAGAAAGAGAGCCCTTGCCTCCCCCATCTCCGAGGAAAGGAGAGATCCCTCCCTCGCCCTGCTGTCAATCTTCCAGGAACTCCCTGCAGGGCCCTGAGAGGTGTGCATCTTGTCCCCTTGAACTCCCGCTGCCACCCTGAGATAGCGTTTGTATCACACCCATTTTAAGGATAGCAAAACTGAGGCTCCAAGAGCCAAAGCTGCTGGCTGGAACCAAGGCGAGCAGACACAGGAGCCTCATGCCCCGTAGTGGCTCCTAAGGGAGGACCTGCCCCCTGCCCCTCCCCCTGCCCATTCCTCTGCCCACACTGGCTCATGGTCATGGGGGTCTTCCCTCCTCAACCAGCACGCATGCGCCTTCCTCATCATAGCCACAGTTGGAGGGCAGGTCACTGCCCAAGGGCCCTCAGTGTGCTCCTGAGCCCGGGCCCGCTTCCCAAACCGCTTGGCCAGCCTTGCCCTTTGGCCCCAAAGACCAGGCACCAGGAAGGGGCTGACTGGTGGGACAAGCAACATCCAAATCGGAACACCCTGGGGGATGCAGGAGTGGGAGCGGGGTCCTGGGGGAGGGACAGGTCATTTCTTGGCCTGGCTCGGGGCTCCCGTTGCAGCAGCGGGAGTCCTAGGAATGTTTCTCCACCTTGCCTTCCCTCAAGGTTCCCAATGGAAATTTGCCAGAGGTTCCTCATGGCAGCGCGTCTGGCAGGGGATCCGGGACCGTCTACCCAGGCTTCTTAGGGTGGAGCTCTCCCTTGAGTCGAGGGGACCACAGTCTGCAGAGTCTTTGCTGGGCAGGCAGGGCAGTGCGGGAGGAGGAGACAGGCAGGCCTGCTACTGCTGGCCCAGCTGCCGCCGTCTGAGCCTGGCCAAGCCCAGCTGCCCAGGCCTTATTTGGTAAGAGCCTGTGCTGGCCTGGCCGCTCCAGCTGCCAGCTGATGGGACACCCAGAGCCCCGCGCAGGCCTGTGCGCATGCCAGGCCTCTCACCCGGCCCCTTGGCCAGAGATGGCCGATTTGGAGGCGGGAGATCCCGGGGTCAGGCCAAGGCTGTGGCAGCTTCCATCAGATCCCAGCCCAGGGTGGGACAGGGATTCCCCGGCTTTTGACTATATAAGGCCGAGGAGAGGCAGCGCCGCTGAGCAGGCCTGCAGGCCCCGGAGATATCGTCTTAAGAGGGTGTTTGGCATTGGGAGCGAGGCCTTGGATTCCTGCAAAAACCTGGCAGGGAAATTGTTTGACAGCTTTGACAATGTGCTGAAGTCTCCCGAGGGGAACCCGCCCCCCCGGAGACGGCTGGCCAAGGGCATGTGACGCTTCAGCTGCCTCCAGGCTGAGAGTTCGGGCAGCCAGGCCAGACCTGTGGCCTGAGGAGAGGCCAGCCGTGGGCAGTGGTGCCCGGGAGAAGGCAGTGGGGGTGGCCCCAAGCTTGGCTTCCTGGTCTGTGTGGAGCGTGGAGCAGCACCCACCGCCCATGGGGTCCTCAGGCCTCAGGGAGGAAACAGTGGGGAGGAGTGCCCCCAGGGTGCCATCAGGGGAGCTGCCAGGCCCCGAGTCCTGCTGCTGGCCAAGTGCACTGAACAGACTTCATCTCTGTCCCCTCATTCATGCCTCACAGAGACCAAGGACTCAGATGCTCCTCTCATGCCTGCTGACAGATGAGGAAATCGAGGCTCAGAGGAGGAAAGAGATTTAAGACACTGGGCTCTTTCTCCAGCCCATTGGGACCTCCACAGGTCAATATTCATTTATTCTTCCACTCCACGACCACATCCTGAGCTTTGATCTGGGTGGGGCACCATACCAGGCCCAGGGCAGCCACTCAACCGGCCAAGAGATGACTGTTCCCCAAGGAGACAGATATTCCTTCAAATAAGAGGGACAAAGAAGGCCTCTCTGTGTAGTGACCTTGAAGCTGAGGCCCAAAGATGAGAGGGGGAAGAGCATGGTGCTCCAGGCAGAGGAAACAGCGTGTGCAAAGGCCCTGGGGTAGGGCGAGGCCTGGCCCAATCTCAGGCAGCCAGGAGGCCCACAGGGCTGGAGCAGAGTGAGCAGTGGAGTTGGGGAGATTCGGTCTGAGATCGCAGGTGCTTCCAGGGTCTGTGGGGTGTCACATTTTATTCTGAGCAGCGGGAAGCTGGGTTTGAAGCCGGAGACCTAATAATGTGATCCCCCATGAATCACATGTCTGCATCTGCTAAGTGCTCTATGCTCATTTCCTCACCCAGTTCCCCATCCCTCATCCCTGTGAGGCGGGGAATCTCTAGCATCAGTTTACCAAAATGGAAACTAAGGCTCCCAGAATCAGTGATGTGGGAGGGGGACAGGGATCCTCCCTCGGTTCTGTCTGGTGCTGGAGGGGCAGCACATTGTCCCGGGTGGCTGATCCTGGCCCTGACTCCCTGCTGTCCCTTCTACTGCCCCACCCCCATCCCGCTCAGGTTTTCTGCTGCCATGGTGACCAACTCACCCAGCTTTGCCCGGGACCTTCCCAGTTTTAGAACTGAAAGTCAGGCTTCCCAGGAAAGCCCTCAATTCTGGGCAAACTAGTTGCTGGCCAGCACCACCAGGAGCTCAGGGAGAGAAGAGAGGACAGCCAGGTGCCCTCCCCACCACCCGCCTGGCCCCATGCCACCTCTGCCCACACCAGGCGGGGCCATGGAGAGGAAGGCAAATAGCAACTAGTGCCCAGTGTGCGGCCTGGCCCCACCTCCTGCCAGTGCCTGGGCAACACCTTCTGCTAGGGGGTAAGCAGGACAAAGGCAGGGCCGAGCTGGGGGTGCAGGGCAGAGGGGTCGGGGGTGGGAGGGTGGGGGAGTGGGGTGGCACGGCAGAGGGGTCAGGGGGATGGGGGGTGGGAGGGGCAGTGCAGGAGGAGGGGGGGTGGGAGGGCAGGGCAGGGGGGCTGAAGGGGCATGGCAGAGGGGTCAGGGGGTAGGAGGGTGGGGGTGTGGGGGCGCAGGGCACAGGGGTCGGGGGTGGGGGGCAGGACAGAGGGGTCAGGGGGTTAGGGAGGTGGGGGGGTGTGGGGCAGGGCAGGAGGCTGGGGGGTTAGGAGAGCAGGGCAGGGGGGCGGGAGGTGGGCAGAGGGCAGCTAGGGAAGCCGGAGGAGCGCAGGAGCAGGCCCAGGTACTGGCCACACCAGGAGAGCTCTTCCTCCAGCAGGAGACTCACATAGGCCTGCCTTTGAACCCACAGGCTCTGTGACATTGAACATCTTCTGGTTGCTTCTTGGTTGCCCCCCCTATAATATGGGAGAGCAACAATAGCCAGCAATAGCCAGGAAGCTGCTGGGTGCCAGACTCTGTTAAGAGCTGTGCTTATGACCGCCTCCTGGAATGCACAGGCACCCTTAAGAGGAAAGGCTTGTTTCTCTGTGCAGACAAGGAGCAAATCCCAGAGAGATGGAGACTGCCCTGGGTCACACAGCTGGTCACCGTAGAGCAAGAATTTGAGCCTAGAACCACCAGCTTCGGCTCCCAGCCCAGCAGGAGAGGCAGGGCTCTGCAGGGCGGAGTGCACCAGCTCTGGGGCCAGCTCCCCAAGGGCTCAACTCTAGGCTGCATCAGCTAGAGGTCCCTGTGTCCCCAGCAAGTTGCCGAACCTTTCTGGGCCTGTTTCACAACTAGAAAGCAGGGCTAACAGGGGTACCCACGTCGTAGGGTTGGCCATTTACTCCACAAATACTTATTAGGCATCTACACGGTGCCAGACACGGTTGTAGATCTTGAAGATACAGCAGAGAACAAAACAGACAAAAATTCCCACCTAGAATGTATATTCTGAGTGTAGGGGATGCCAACAAAAAAATGAATATCTGTCAGTGGGAGGCACATAGATTTTGTTTTTTTTTTTTTGAGATGGAATCTCGCTCTGTTGCCCAGACTGGAGTGCTGTGGCATGATCTCGACTCACTGAAACCTCCACCTCCCGGGTTCCTGCCTCAGCCTCCCGAGAAGCTAGGATTACAGGCACCTGCCATCACGCATGGCTAATTATTGTATTTTAGTAGAGATGGGGTTTCACTGTGTTGGCCATGCTGGTCTAAATTTCCTGACCTCAAGTGATCCACGCGCTCCTCGACCCAAAGTGCTGGGATTACAGGCGCGAGCCACCGCGCCCAGCCGGCACATGATATTTATGTTTCCTTGTCACACTTACTCTTGGCTGCACTCTCAAAAGCTGTTTCTTATTTCTTCCTTTGCTACCAAAATAGCAGTTCTGTTGGGCCAGCCACATGCCTAGCCCTAGGGATGAATCAGGACTGGCCTAATCATAGGCATCCCACTGCCCTCTGCCCGAGACTTGCCTTTCAGCCTCCTTGCAGCTGGCGGCAGCCATGTGACCCAGTTTTAGCCACTGAGATGCAAGCCCTCTCCCTGCTGTCCTGCTGGTGCAGCTGCTGTGATGTCAGGAGCCTCTGAGCAGCCGCAGCCACTTCGTGACCATGAAGCAACTGAAAGACACCACACTGAGGGTGACCGAGCAGAAATGTGGAAGGAACCTGGGTCCTTCAGGGAAGTGGAGCTGGGCTTCTATGCTCTGCAGCCATTGTTCATCCGCCCGAAAATGAACCCCTGGGCGACAGGGACAGGGAAACACTCCTCCCGTCAGGCCAGGCTCCTTGAAGGAGAGAGTTGTTAGGATGTCCCTCCACCAGGGATTCTGACTCAACTGGCAGGCGGTTAGGCCGGGGCATCTCCTAAGAGCCCCTCAGGTGACTCTGATGGGCAGCCTCGGTGCACTGGGCAGATGAAGGAAGATGCAAGCGGGGTTGAGTGGGGAAGTGGAGACTCCACAATCAGGACAGGCCAACCCTGTCCCATGAGGAAAGCCTCAAAGCAAGATGGGATGGGAGGGGTCTGCGGTGGACCTGCTGGGTGCTTCTTGAGCTTGATCAGTGAAGAAGGAGAAGGAGGAACAAGGAGAGAAAGAGGGAGAAGCAGAGGGGAGGGCAAAGATCCCAGAGACTCAAGAATCTGCCACCCAGGCCCTGGCGACTAAAACAAGGCCAGGATGAGGAGAGGCTGGTAAGACCCACACCATCCGGAGTGACCTTGCCAGGGGCTAAGGAGGGCCCTTGCCCAGGGTTCCCAAACTTCATGCATTCTGAGGCTCCCTCTGTGACCTTGACCATCTCATCTGGTCTACCATTTGTTTCATACTTTTCTTTAAAATGACTCAGATTTTTTTCTTTTTTTTTTTACTTAAATGTTTATTTTAGCCCTTTGGGAGGCCGAGGCCTATGGATCACTTGAGGTTAGGAGTTCGAGACCAGCCTGGTCAACATGGTGAAACCCCATCTCTACCAAAAATACAAAAATTAGCTTGGCATGGTGGCACATGCCTGTAGTCCCAACTACTTGGGAGGCTGAGGCTGGAGGATCACTTGAACCCAGGAGGTGGAGGTTGCAGTGAACCAAGACTGCACCACTGTACCCCAACCTGGGGGACAGAGTGAGACCCTGTCTCAAAAAAGTAAATACAATAAATAAATAAATGTCTATTTTAAAAGGAAATTCTGTTGCACCAATGTAAATGGAAAACCAGTATCACTTGCTTTGCAGATGACTCTGAAAATAAGCACAGTGGCCATCAGTCGTGTTTAGTATTGACCAGGATTTCAGATGCTGTCACAGTGTGTTCGTAAACTGCCACCTGCACACGCCAGGAGCCTGGGGCCTGCTCTCTCAGATGGAGCGGGGGGTAAGCAGGAGTTGGCCAGTATTAAAGACACATGAGCCCCCAGCTCAGCCGAGAAGAAGAGAACAATCATTGGAGACAAACAGCTATTCCCCTGGACACTGTGCCTACCACACAGGGCACCCAGTGGACTGCGATGGCCAGAGTCCCATTTCTGGCACACTCATCCAGGCCAGCCAGAGTTGGGGAGACTGGACCCCAAGAGCAGAGGTCACATCAACACCCACACCAGCCTCAGGCACGTCCCCTTGTCCCCTTGTCCTCTCCGCACAGGCAAGAGATCCCCAACCTCTGCCCTGTGCCAAGAGCATGTCCGAAATTTCACAACTACCTTTATGTGGCAGGTGCCTGGAGCTGGAGCTATCCTTCCAGCACCTACAACCACGAGGCCCCCGGGCGTCTTCCCAGAGGGAAACACTGGGTTTAAGGGCATCAGTTCAACTGTTCAACTCCCATGAAGGCAGCGTGAATGGTCTGACTCCGCTCCTGGGCAAGCACAAGAGTATGTGCCAATCGGGTGTGTGGGCTGGCCTGGCCACCAACACAGGTCTCTGGGGACGGTGGCTTGCCCGCATTCCAGAACCACAGGCTGGGGCATGCCTGCCGGGCGGCCGGCTCTCTTACCGCCAGGCAGAAGGGGACAGAAGCCCTTTGTCTTCCCGTCACATCCCAGAGTTGGCACATCCCCAGGAGCTGCGGTCACCTCCTCTTTCGCAGACAAGGTTGCCTCATGTTGCTAAGAAACAGCTTGGAGGGAGGGGAACCCAAGCTCCAGGTGGCGCTGAGGTGCCTCAGCTCTGAGCCCCTGAGCGGCTGTGGAGGGAGGGCTGGCCTCTGTTGTGTCCCCTGCTTATTGTAAAATGGGAGGTTCATAAACCACAACTCACAGAGCAGTGGAAAGGATCAAAGAGCTAATGCGTGTCCGGCACCTCGCGTAGTGTGAGCGCTCCACAAGTGTGAGCAAGGGACGTCTGGGTTGTTTTCTTTTTTCCACCTCTCAGTTTAAATAAGGTTGCTGTGAACGCTTTTCCTGCTGAGGGTTATTTCCTCAGATGCAGAACCCCGCCTCAAGATAATATTCGAGGTCGGGGGGTCAGGCAGCTGCGTGGGGCTTTTTCCATGCAGACAGAAGCATCTTCAAAATCGGAATCTGTTTACAGCAAAGGGATGTGTTATTTTCCCCGCATCCTTTGCAGCACTGGGCTTGTTTTATCGATTTTTTTTTCTCATTCGATCAGCAAGGCTGTGCATTCCTCCGTGTACTGTTTAACTGTCTGTATTTCCTGAGGGATTCATGGTTTGTTCACTGCCTTTGATTGTTTTTCAGGTGGTGTCTGGGACAGTGCCTGGTGCTGTCAGCTGGAGCTGGCAGGCCCACATTGGAAGCATCTTCTAAGTAGGAAGGGGAGACAAGGGCTTGAAGCTGGGGGAGATGGGGAAAGCCTCCCGCCCCATCCACGCCATTCCTGCCTTCCCCTCGTCCTGGGTATTTTGGAGCCTGCCAGCTGAGGAGTGCTCTCCCAGGGTTGGGACTGCAGGCGCCTGACAAACTGAAGAGCACTGAAGCTGGAGATGCAAAGAAGAGGGAGCATTGACTATGTTCTTGGAGCAACGAGCAAGTCAGTGAGGCACGCGTGTGACAGGTGCCTTTCCTGAACCCAGCAATCCTCCTCCCCTTTCCCTGGCTCTCCTGGGAACTCCTAATGAAGTCAGAATAAGCCACTCCATCAATTTATGATCCCCAGATGACTGTGTCCCTTTGCTCCTTAATCACTCAGGTACCCAGATTCTCTATTAGCAAGAAGCCCAGAACCCCCTTCTCGAGTCCTCTCTCGTTTTCAATCTTCCAAGGACACCGAAGTCTTCCTTAACCCACTGCTGGGGGTTGACTGCCGAAGGTCACTGATGCCGGGGCATCTTGCCACCACATGGGGGCACTGCCAAAGATGTGTGCAGAATAGTCCTGCAGACACTGCGCTCGGCAGCGGAGCTCATGCTAGGCGAACCCTTGCCTGGGTGTTGGAGGTCACCCACACTTGAGACTTGAGTTTACAGCTCTCATGGGTCACTCTTAAATACTCAGAGCAGAATGCCAAGTGACTCCTCATCCATGCTCCATGCACCCTGGATCCCAGAACGGGGCACATCACTTTCCTCCACCACTGTCGCCCTGCTCGCCACCACCTCCTCCCGCTAGGCCGGGCTTTCTCAACCGCCACCCCTTTGACATTTGGGGCCAGATCTTTCTCCGCTGTGGGGACATGGCAGGATGCTTGGCAGCACCCCTGGCCTCTGCCTATCAGGTGCCTGTAGCACACCACCACTATGACAAGAAAAAATGTCTCTAGACATTGCCCAACATCCCCTGAGGAGCAGAATGGCCCCAGTGGAGAGCCAGTGCCCTAGACTATTGGGGTACCACCCCTCCACGCTGGCCTGGACCCCCTCTACACTGGCCTAGACCCTCTCAACACTGGCCTGAACCCCCTTCATGCTGGCCTGGACCCCCTCCAACTGGCCTGGACTCCCTCCCCTGGCCCCTTGCCTCCCTTTCTTGACATCACAGTAGGGGTGAGCTTTAAAAAAACCACACAGCTCGTGATGCATGTCACGCTAGGTTCAAAAGCGCTGGGTGGTTTCTCTTGGTATTTGAGATCCACACCTCTGCCTTAGTGCCCGGGCCCTGCAGGGCCTGACCTCACCCCTGTCTCCAGCTTGACTGGCTCCCACACCAGGCACAAGAGCCCTGGCTGTGACATCAGCACGCTCTGTCCTCTCTGCCTTAAGCCCTGTTCAGTCTGTCGCTGCATTCCAGGCCCTTCCACACCCCAGGGGCCTGCAGAGGCCCTGGGACCCCGCCCCTGGTGTTGCCCACTCTACTACGCCTCTTGGTCCATCTGCCTGATTTATGCCTTCATTACCTTTCCTTAGTTATATCCGGTTTCTGTTTTATTAGTTTATTTTTATTGTATTTACTTCTGTCATTCCCATTAGACTGTCAGCTCCGTGAAGGCAGGGGCCTGTCTTGTTCCCTGCCGTATCCCCAGAGTCTAGAACGGCACCTGGGTTGTGGGAGGCACCCAGAAAACACCAGGTCCCTGAAGGAATGAATGAAATGGGAGTGGGCTTCTCTTGTCCTGGAAATGGGCCTTGTCCCCCACATGGCTGTGGAGCTGCAGAGGGGGAGGCTGGAACTACTGTCCTATGGGCCCCTGTGGGCTCAAGAATCCTGCACTCAGCCTAGGACCTGCAGGCTTCGTGTCTCTGGCTCTTGGGAAACAGGTGGAAACTTCCTTCCCGAGAGCCGGAAGCAGCCGCAGGCCCCGCCACACCCAGCCCTGGCCCAGCTCAAGGCGAGGCCCTGGGTCTAAATATAGAAAGTGGGTTGTGAGAGGGCGGGTTTCTTCTCTGGTGAGAGGAAGTGGCTGCTCTGATTAAAACCGGGGTTTGTTCACCCCTCATTGAGACAGTCCTCCCCACCAGCCAGGAAGAAAGGAAATGTGGCAAAATGAACCCAGCCAATGGGGCCTTCCAAAAAGGCCCGGAGAAAGCACCCGGGGGGCAGATGGTCTCTTGTTCCTCCCTGGGGAATGGCTGGGAACCCTGCAGTGAGACACAGGGGCTGCGTGTCCCTGAGCCAACTCTAGCCGCTCTGGGTCTCAGTTTGAAAAAAAAGGGATTGGCCAGATTTGATTTTCAAAGCTGATGTTACCTGGTATTGCCTGAATCAGGAGCTCTCTGAGTCTCAGTTTCCCTATCTGCAGAATGGGTTGATGATGACCATGCCTGTAACAGAACGGCTAGTAGGATTCAAGGAGGCAGTGTGTGTGGCTGGCCTAGGGCAGAGCTGGCACATGACCAGGGCTCCGAAGGTGCTCGCTGTTGTCAGATGTCCACATGAAGTTTGACAAAATGAACGCAGAGCCCCTTGTTGAAACATTACCAGGAATTTCAAGATGGGCTGGGCGCAGTGGCTCATGCCTATAATCCCAGCACTTTAGGAGGCCGAGGCAGGCGGATCGCTTGAGGTCAGGAGTTCAAGACCAGCCTGACCAACATGGTGAGACCCTGTCTCTACTAAAAATACAAAAATTAGCCAGGAATGTGGTGCACGCCTGTAATCCCAGCTACTCAGGAGGCTGAGACAGGAGAATCACTTGAACCTGGGAGGCGGAGTTTGCAGTGAGTGGAGATCATGCCCATGGGTGACAGAGTGAGAACTCTGTCTCAGAAAAAAAAAAAGAAAGAAGAATTTCAAGATGGTAACAGCAGAGCAGGAAACCCTGAGCAGGGCCCTTCCGAGCCCTGCGTGACTGTCCTGGCTTCTGAGCCCTGAGTGACTGTCCTGGCTTCTGAGCCCTGCGTGACTGTCCTGGATCATGCATCCTGATAGGATGATTTCTATCAGAGGAGCCTCGGGGAGCCTACAGAGCAGTGCACAGCCCCCAAGCCCACCCCCAGCCCAGGCCCACGCTTCCCCCACCCCCGACCCGCTGCCCTGCTGCAGTTCCACGGATGGCCCGTTTGAAGAAGGTGATGAAAGTAGTAAAAAGGTGATGATGCCCAAATGCCAGTCCTCGGGGGACGGGTGTGACAGGGCTGAGCCCTGGGGTGGGTGGGGGCTGCTCTTCCAAGAATGGGCCTCACCTATACCCCTCCTCCCTGGACCTCAACATGTCATCAGTGGAAAACACAAAATCGAAGCACTGTGCACAGCGCAGATCATTCTCATGTGAGCTGTTTCACTGGTGCACACAAAACTATGGTCCTGCAAATTGCTGTAATCATAAATAGGCAGGTGAGGCCAGGCGCCGTGGCTTATGCCTGTAATCCCACTCAAGCCCTGAGCTTGACCCTGGCAAGCCAGGACCACCATCTCCAGAAAGAAAGAAAAGGTGCAAAGAGAGTAAGTGCAGAGAGTTCCCATACGCCCTTCACCCAGCTTCTTTCCTATTAGCATTTTACAAAACCACAGGACAATCAGCAACACTAAGGCATTCACATTGATGCAATAATTTTTTTTTTTTTTTTGAGACCAAGTCTTGCTTTGTCACCCAGGCTGGAGTGCAGTGGTGCAATCTCATCTCACTGCAGCCTTCACCTCCCAGGTTCAAGTGATTCTCCTGCCTCAGCTTCCCGAGTAGCTGGGATTACAGGCACGTGCCACCACGCCTGCCTAATTTTTTGTATTTTCAGTAGAGACGGGGTGTTACTATGTTGGCCAGGCTGATCTTGAACTCCTGGCTTCAGATGATCCACCTGCCTCGGCCTCCCAAAGTGCTGGGATTACAGGCGTGAGCCACTGTGCCCGGCCGATGCAATAATATGAATCAGACCATAGGTCACGTTCAGGACTCACAGCTTCTTCCTGATGTCCACTTTCTGCTCCAGGATCTCACGTCACACTGCAACCACCCAGGGGCCTTTCCCTGGGCTTTCTTTGTCTTTTGTGACCTTGACATAGTGAAGAGTATTACGTATTTTGCAAAGTGTGCCTCAGTTCGGGTTTGCCTGATGTCCTCTTGTGTTTTAAAATAGTATGTAATTCATATTCCACAAAATTTGCTCTTTTAAGTTTGTAAATTAGGCCAGGCACAGTGGCTTATGCCAGCTCTTTGGGAGGCTGAGGCAGGAGGATCACTTGAGCCCAGGAGTTTGAGACCAGCCTGGGTGACATAGGGAGACCCCGTCTCGAGAAAAAAAAAACGTTTTTAAAAAATTAGCCAGGCGGCCGGGCGCGGTGGCTCATGCCTGTAATCCCAGCACTTTGGGAGGCTGAGGCAGGTGGATCACGAGGTCAGGAGTTCGAGACTAGCCTGGCCAACATAGTGAAACCCCATCTCTACTAAAAATACAAAAAATTAGCCGGGCATGGTGGCATGTGCCTGCAGTCCCAGCTACTTGGGAGGCTGAGGCAGGAGAAACGCTTGAACCCAGGAGGCAGAGGTTGTGGTGAGCTGAGATTGCACCATTGCATTCCAGCCTGGGCAACAAAGCCAGACTCCAACTCAAAAAAAAATTAGCCAGGCATGGTGGTGAGTGTCTGTGGTCACCAGCTACTTGGGAGGCTGAGGGATAGCTTGAACGCAGGAGTTTGAGGCTGCAGCAAGCCATGATCACACCACTGCACTCCAGCCTGGGCAACGGAGCAAGACCCCATCTCTAAAACAAATCAATCAACAAAAGTACACAATTTAGTGGGTTTTAGTGTGTATGCAAAGTTGTGCAACTGTCACCATGATCTAACTCCATAACATTTCCGTCACCCCAGAAGGAGACCCTGTCCCCAGGCCCCTCTCTGTTCACCTCAGTGTCACTCTCTCTCCTGCCTGTCTCCCTCATTCTCTCTTGCCTGCATTTCTGCTTTTCTTTCATGTTCTGTTGGAGTGACTGCCTCTGAGTCACGCTGACTACTCCACCTTTGCCTCTCTCCGTCCGACTCCCTCCACTTCTCACTTCTCGTTCTGTGTCACTGTTGCTCATCCAGCACACAGCTATTGGTCACTTTTATTCATCCAGGGCACAGCTATTGGTCACTTATATTCATCCATAGCACAGCTACTGGTCACTTATATTCATCCATAGCACAGCTACTGGTCACTTATATTCATCCAGAGCACAGCTATTGGTCACTTTTATTCATCCAGTGCGTAGCTATTGGTCAATTTTATTCAACCAGAGCACAGCTATTGGTCACTCGCTCACCCAGCACACAGCTATTGGTCACTTGTTCATCCAGTACACAGCTATTGGTCACTTATATTCATCCAGTGCACAGCTATTGGTCACTTATATTCATCCAGCACACAGCTATTGGTCACTTATATTCATCCAATGCACAGCTCTTGGTCACTTATATTCACCTAGTGCGCAGCTATTGGTCACTTTTATTCATCCAGAGCACAGCTATTGCATGCCCAGGGTAAGCACGGATGGCCTTGGAAGGGACAGCCGGTGCTCACAGCACAGTTTCTAGAGTAGAATGACATGAGTTCAAGCCCCAGTTCTACTGAGTATAGCTGAGTAGCTGAGCGGCCATGGGTACGTCACTCACCCTCTCTGAGCCTCAGTTTCCTCCTCTGTAAAGCAGGCTGCCGTGAAAGCTAACAGAGAGAATGTCTGCCAAGTGCTGAGTTCCCACCTGACATGCAGAGCGCTCCTTGCCCAGCGTTGGGTTTATCACCCCGACGATGGTTGCTCTCCTGGCTGGTGGGGAGAGCTGCCCAGGCCAGGAGGATCCCAGGCAGGCTGGGGACCGGGGCATCCTTCCCCAGCGACACAGTTTAGGCGGCTGGGGGTGGGGCAAGGCAGCACGTTCAGCAGCTGGATCCTGGCCTGTGTCCTTGAGTCACCGAGGGTAGCACCAGGCTGGTGCCCAACGGCACGACTGTGCCTCATTTGTGATGCAAATGGCTGGCAGTGGCCACGGATGGGCGAGGGCACAGCATCCTCAGCCAGGACCCCGGGAGCTTTTATTCTGAGCAGAGCTCAGGGAGAGGAGGAGGGGGAGGCTGCCTCCCCAACCAGCCCCAAGGGATCTTTCTGAGTGGGGCAGGGGGCAGCAGGGACCCCGAAGCAGGAGTGACACATTCCTGGCAGCCGACAGGGAGGGCTGGGGCCACTGGAATGAATAGGAAAACGTTGGCTGGCAGAGGGCTCAGTCCTGCTGGAACCCAAGGGTCATCTCGCCAGGCTTGCCCTCTGGACTCCTGAGAGACCAAGGCCACATTATGTCATACCTGGCACTTCCTGGTCCGGCCTGTTGGGCCTCCAGCCTCTCCTGGATCCCCTGCCAAGCTGCAGTCACACAGAACTCTCCCGGCTCTTTGCCACCTCGAAGCTTTTCCGCGGCTGTTCCCCCTGCCTGGAAGAAGGTTCCTGTCATCAGCGCCAGTCTTTCTTTCAGTGTTAGCTCACATGGGGTTCACCCTGAGGCTGTCCAAGTTTTAGCTTAGGGGAAAGGCCCTGGCCCTAATTCTGTACATGTAACTGTATCTCTTTTTCTTAAAGATTGTGTCCAAAATTGACATAATTTCAGGCTTTGAAAAACCTGAGCCTGGGCCAGGCGCAGTGGCTCACGCCTATAATCCCAGCACTTTGGGGAGGCCGAGGCGGGTGGATCACTTGAGGTCAGGAGTTTGAGACTAGCCTCGCCAACATGGAGAAATCTTGCCTCTACTAAAAATACAAAAAAAAAAAAAAGAAAAAAAAAGAAATTAGCTGCTGTGCTGGTGGGTGCCTGTAATCCCAGCTACTTGGGAGACTGAGGCACAAGAATCACTTGAACCCGGGAGGTGGAGGTTGCAGTGAGCTGAGATTGTGCCACTGCACTCCAGCCTGGGTAACAGAGCAAGACTCCGTCTCAAAAAAAAAAAAAAAAAACAAAACAAAAAAAAACAAACTAAACTAAAAAAACAAAAACCTGAGTCTGTCCCCAGTGGTGGGAAAATGTCCCCTGACATCTTCCTCCTGAGCTGCTGAATCACTGAACAGGTCACATGCCTTAAGGCGGTTCATTCATTCAGCAGCTATTTACTGAGCAGCTATTATGTATTGGGGACTTGCCTAGGTACTGGGGAAAGAGCTGCAAATAAGACAGACAGAATGCCTGCCACCTGGATTCACATTCCTTGGGGGGACCGGCAATCCACACACACATAAATGACACACAAGCAACAAGTGAGCAGCACCTAGAGCAAGCAAAGGCCAGGAGGAGTGACAAGGGCTATGGTGAAAAGTCAAGCAGGCCGGGGAGAGGGGCTGCAACTTGAACCAAGCAGCCAGTGAGATGAAGAGACCTGCAGGAGGTAAGAGGTGAGCCGTGTGGACACCTAAGGGAAGAACATTCAGGCTGAGGGAACTGCACGTGCAAAGGGCCTGAGGCAGGGACGCTGCCTGGGCAGGCTCAGCACTTCACTGTGGCATTTATCAGACTGAAGTTAAACATTATTCCAGAGATTACTTACATGGCTTTTTTATTTTTAAGAGACAAGGTCTCGCTCTGTCACCCAGGTTAGAGTGCGGTGGTGCAATCATAGCTCACTGCAGCCTGGAACTCCTGGGCTCAAGTGATCCTCCTGCCTCGGCCTCCCGAGTAGCTAGGACTGCAGGCATGCACCATGATGCCCAGCTAAATGACTTATATCTTTGTCTTCTCACCAGGACCTTGTATTTGGTTGGTGTTCAATAAGTAAATGGGGAAAGATTGGTTGAATGAATGTGTTTAGAGGGAGAGGTTGGGGCTGGTGAAGTTGTCAGAGGCGCCCACCCTGCAGCATGACCAGCTCCTGCTGGAACAGATGACGCTGTTTCTAACCCCCTCCCCCACAGGCCCACTGTCTCCATTCATGCCGTGGAGGCCTTGCTGTGGGGTGGGTAGCAGTGAGGTGGGTGCTGTGATGGTCAGTAGGGACCCGGGGAGGTGGCTCAGGACTGCACACTGGAAGGAGGCTCCCTTCCCCGACCTTCCCAGGGGCCAGAGCTCTGCAGCTGCCTGCAGGTAGAGACCTTGGTGTGGACACTGGTGTCCTGGGATGGGGGCCCCAGGCAGCCTTCTCCAGAGCCTTGGGGTAGCAGGCACAGGCGAGTGAGAGCATAGTGGGAAGAGGGCAGGGAAGACACACAGTGGCTTCCAAGGACCCACGGTGACTTCCGAGGACCCACAGTGGCTTCTGAGGCTGGTTTGGAGGCCTAGGGGATCCCCCTTGGGAGACTCTAGAAATAACAGTGAAACCACGTCAGGAGGCACAGGTCCTGCTGGGTCACTGAATTTGGGGAAAAATTCAGGAAAGTGTGGCCTGAGATCCAGTGTCTCTGCATCCCACCATGCCCTCCTGGGGGTGCTGTGGGAGGACTAAGGAGGAAGGTGCAGATGAAATGACGGCCCACAGATGGGCTCACTGCTGAGGTGATGCCGACAGACCAGCACATGTGACTGTGTTCCAGGTGAGCCTGAAAGAGCTCCTGCCTCCATCGCTGGGGATGGGAACGCCCACCCCACCTGCCCCATGCACGCCACAGATAGCACGCAGCTGACGGCAAAGAAAGAGCAAGCCCCGTGTGTGCTAAGGGGCCTGGTCAAGATGCATTTAGTGGGAAAGAGACAGGTGCCGTGCAGAGCAAATGGCCTGTGCTCGAAGCGGGGAAGAGTAAACATCCATCTGTGCAGACCTCAGTGTCCCCAGCTGGAGGTGCTGCACGCCTCGGGAGAAGAGAATTGGAAGGGACAGGATGGGAGGGAGACTTTCCACGACAGTCTCCTGGATCCTATCAATACCTAGGGAATTGAAGCTGGGCTCATTCTCTGTGTTGAAATGCCACCACCGGGCCAGGCAAGGGGGCTCATGCCTGTAATCCCAGCTCTTAGGGAGGCAGAGGCGGGAAAACAGCTTGGGCCCAGGAGTTCAAAACCTGCCTGGGCAATATAGCGAGACCCCGTTCTAAAAAATAAAAATTGAAATGCCACCACCATTAGCAGCAGGAAGCTGATGTCTGAAGGCTGGATAGCTCAGAGGCTAGGGTGCAAAGCAGGGGATATGGAGTCCATCTCAGTGGGACCTATCTGTCCTCCCCCTTCTCACGAAGCCAACCATCCCAGCACCCACTTCTCCACCAAGAACAATGGTGCTCCCCCTCCTCTGGGAGCGGAAGGGCGCAGGGTGTGGTGGAGGCAGTCTGCAGCGCCCGGGTGCTAGGGGGGAGATCCGGGGAGGTCTCAAGTACTCTGTGGAAGACTGGGTGCAAGTGAGACTGGAAGTCACGCTAGGATGGTCTCCGTGTCAAGTGCAGCTGTGCTGGGGGAGGGGAGGAAGTTGCCAGGAGTCAGGACCCCTGTTTCCAACCCCCAGAGAGTTGCCACTCCAAAGCCGCCAGCAGTGTCTGTGTTGTAAGAGGGTGGGAGGATATGAAGTCATGCGGCCCCATCTGGGCCCCTCCCCAGCTGGCAGCCTCAGCCTCCACTCCCTGACCACGCTCCTGCCCTCCCGGCCTCCCTGCAGTTCCTCAGCGTAGCCGAGCATGTCCAACCTCCAGGCATTTGCACAGGCCACCACCTCCTCCGCAATGCTCTTCCCCTGTGCCTTACTGTGGGACCTCTCCCCAGGCTCTGCTGGCCCTGCCTCCCACCTGGCCCCTCCTGACCCTCCAGTATCCTACCTGCCCGTTTCCTTCACAGCCCTCCTCACACTCTGTAACTCAGTGCTGAGCAGTGAGTTCCCAGAGGACAGTAGCCACGCCCAGCTTCTCACTGCTTCCCTGCTGCTTCCCCCCACCCCCAGAGGAGCAGCTCAGGTGTCATTTGTGGAAAGAACAAAAGGAGACTCTTTGGGGCTTAATGCACTGTCATTTAGGGGGGAAATATTGAGTGGTTATGAGGCTTATCAAAGGGAGAGCCAGAGTCCAACCCAGGATGGAGAGTTTTAGAACAAAAAAAATAGGCCAGGCGCGGTGGCTCACGCCTGTAATCTCAGCACTTTGGGAGGCTGAGATGGGTGGATCACGAGGTCAGGAGATTGTAGACCAGCCTGGCTAACACGGTGAAACCCTGTCTCTACTAAAAATACAAAAAATTAGCCGGGCGTGGTGGCGGCGCCTGTAGTCCCAGCTACTCGGGAGGCTGAGGCAGGAGAATGATGTGAACCTGGGTGGCAGAGCCTGCAGTGAGCTGAGATGGCGCCACTGCACTCCAGCCTGCGCGACACAGCAAGACTCCGTCTCAAAAAAACAAAACAAAACAAAACAAAACAAAACAAAAAAACAAAAAGACTGCCCTGCATGATAAAAAGGGTTAAATTTGTTTTAGGGGCCAATGGAAGCAAGTTATATTTTCTTTCCTGTGGACTAACCCAGAGTGGGAAAGCCAGGGGCACCTGTAGAGCCTTGGCACAGAACCAACACTGGCTGAGAATGGTGAGAATATAAGTCCTTATAACAGTGTCTAAGCTGCTGGATTCAGTCATTCCTGCCAGAACTTTATAGCCGCATGAGCCAATCCAGTCCAACCATTCTCCAGGAAGGGTCAGCCAGTCCAGGTGGAGCTGTTCCCGGGTTCCCTACCAAATGACAGAAACCCCAAGTCAAACTGCTGGGGTGGACAGAATAATGACCCCAAGACATCCATGTCCTAATCTCTGGAACTCGTAAATAAGTCATATGGCAAAAGAACTTTGCAGATGTGATTAAGGTTATAAACCTCCAGATAGGGAGATGATGTCTGGATTATACAGGTGGGACCAATCTAATCCCATAAACCCGTGAAGGCAGCGAACTTTCTCCAGCTGGAGGCAGAGACCGGTGGGTAGCAAAAGGGAAGCTGCAGAGATTGAGTGTGAGAGGCGCTCACCTGCTGTTGCTGGTGGGGCCACGTGGAAAGTGCAGGAACGGTCCAGGCGCGGTGGCTCACGCCTGTAATCCCAGCACTTTGGGAGGCCGAGGTGGGTGGATCTCCTGAGGTCAGGAGTTCAAGACCAGCCTGGCCAACATGGCGAACTCCTGTCTCTACTAAAAATACAAAAATTAACCAGGCATGGTGGCGCACACCTGTAGTCCCAGTTACTTAGGAGGTTGAGGCAGGAGAATTGTTTGAACCCAGGAGGTGGAGGCAGTGAGCTGCAATGCCACCACTGCCCTCCAGCTTGAGTGACAGAGTGAGACTCCATCTTAACAAAAAAAAAAAAAAAAGAAAAGAAAAAGAAAAAGGAAAACGAAAGTGCAGGAAGGAACCTGGCAGTCCCCCAGGGCAAAGACCTGCCCCAGCTCCCAGCCAGCAAGGAAGGGAGACCTGAGTCCTACAAATGCAAGGAACTGAATTCAGCCAGCAACT
Organism: Homo sapiens; assembly: GCF_000001405.40. NCBI lineage: Eukaryota > Metazoa > Chordata > Mammalia > Primates > Hominidae > Homo > Homo sapiens. The sequence goes on along the minus strand of NC_000020.11, from coordinate 57,423,656 downwards.
GAATGAGGCTGGAAGTAGATTCTTCCCCAGAGCCACCAGTAAGTAATCCAGCACCACCAACACCTTGATTTCAGCCTCAAGAGACCTCAAGCCAAGGTCCCTTTTGGGGCATGACCTACAAAATTGTGACATAATGGATAAGTGGGGTTTTTTTTTGTTTTGTTTTTGTTTTTGTTTTTGTGTTTTTGAGACAGAGTTTTGCTCTTGTTGCCCAGGCTGGAGTACAATGGCACGATCTTGGTTCACCGCAACCTCCGCCTCCCAGGTTCAAGCAATTCTCCTGCCTCAGCCTCCTGAGTAGCTGGGACTACAGGCATGCACCATCACACCCTGCTAATTTTGTATTTCTAGTAGTGATGGGGTTTCTCCATGTTGGTCAGGCTGGTCTCAAACTCCCGACCTCAGGTGATCTGCCTGCCTTGGCCTCCCAAAGTGCTGGGATTACAGGCGTGAGCCACCATGCCTGGCCAGATAAGTGTTTTTTTAAGCCACTAAGTTGGTGATAAGTTGATAATAGAAAATCAAGACACTAGTTTAATGAAAAAAGAGAACTGACTTGCTCTCTCACTGGTCTGGCTTCAGGAATGGCTGGATCCAGCAGCTTAAACACTGTCACCGGGACTTGGTTTCTCTGTTTCCCACACCTGCTATCCCCCAAACTAGCCTCATGCTCAGGGTCCATAGGGTCATCCTGGCAGCTTCAGACTCTAACCCCCCAGGTTAATGTCCATGGAAAAGGGGTCCTGCCTCTCTCCCAGCCACCCCAGCATAAACTTTATGGTATCTCATTGGCTCTAACTGGATGATGTGCCCATTCCTGAGTTCATTACTGAGGCCAGTGGCATCCAATGTTCTTATTGGCCAGGCCTGGGCCTCACGCCCACCCCCATAGGGCCAGGGGTAGAACTGGACTCACCTGAGACCCAGGGACCTGGAGTAGAGAAGGGAGAGTTCCCCCAAGGAAAACCTGGGCACAGTTCCAGGCTGTCTGGTAATTGGCCTCGGAAGCCCCAGTGCAGAGGGCCAGGGAGTCTATTCTCGAATTTTCCTTGTCTTACTTTCCGGAGGGAAGGCACTCTGTGAGGTGACCTGGGTGGAGCAGCACCCCCATAATCGGACACTGCACCCCATCCCCCACTGTGCCTTTAGCCGAGCCTGCCACAGTCTCCTGTCCCAGGGCCACATTTCCAAAATTGTACACTAGCAAGCAGGAAACCTTTGCTCCTTGGAAGCATGCTTTGCTGAGAATCAGAGTAAATAAACTGGTATTTATACCACGACCCCACGGGGTGGCTGTTTTTCTCTGAGGCAAATATGGTCAAAATTGAACCTTGTGGCCCTTGAAGGAGAGCAAGGCTGTCCCAAGAGGATCTCAGAGGGAGGCCTCCACATCCTACCCTCGCACGGGCATCTCTGAACTCTACTGGAAGACTCCCCAGGAGCAGGGAACAGGGGAGGGGGCCTGGCTGCACCCCCACAGGCCTTTCCCAGGGCAGCTCCAGGCAGGGCCCAAGTCTGTGTCTGCAGCATTCCTATCCCCCAGTGCACTGTCTCATGAGGACTCACCCGACGCAGGTGACTGTGGGTGGCAGATGCTGCTTCGGCTGACTTTGAAGCTTGGAAGGTCGTTTAATTTAAATTCTCTAGAATTCACATGAGCAGCAACTATTGTAAGTTCCCTACTTTGTGCCAGACACTGGACGGGCGGCTGGGCACTGTCATGGATGGGTCGGAAACACCCTTGCCTCCTGAGTTCACGTTCAGGAAGGAGGCAGATGTTAAAATGAGCAAATGAATAAATGCACTGAGTGGCACAAACCCTGAGAAGCGCTTGGAGGAGGCAGGCAGTGTCAGAGGGTGGGTGGAGGAGGGCACTACATCAACACCTGCAGGGAGGTGCTCCAGGCAGTGGACACGGTATGTGCGAAGGCCCCGCGGTGGGAAGGAGTTTCAGCAGGGCCACCTGTGCACTCAGGACTCCTCATGCATCATTCCTTCCGCAGACATTTATTGAGTGCCAAGTGCATGCCAGGCAGGGTGCCGGGCACTGGAGTGACAATGGTGGTGAGCAGAGCCTGGCCTGGCCCTGAGCCCCTGGAGCTCACAGTCTAGCAGGGCAGACAGACCCCAATCACATCACCCTGGAACCTCTTTCGTTTCTGGTGAGTATTGGCTGGAGAAGCGCTGGACACGGCCCCGTGGCGGTTTCCCTGGCCTCTCCATGGCATCTCCTCTCTCCGAGGAGGCGGCCCCTCCTGGAAGGACCAGCTTCAGGGTGAGGTTAGGGGCAGCACGGCTCCCGGGCCACCTCCCGCAGAGTGCAACCTGGCTGGGTCAGCGGCTCTGGAAGGAGCTGGGACCAGGGCTGTTTCCTTCCCTCCAGAGCCCCACACAGGGTGGGTCCCAGCTAGGGATCATCTTCCCCTCTCCTCCACCTGCACTCATTCCACAGGCAGTCTCTGCCGGCTGAGGGTGGTGACAACCTCTGTTTGCTGGAGATGCCTGGAGTGGTCTCTGGGGGCTCTCTCTCCCCTCAGCACACCGGAGGGCTGCACCTCCCGCCCTTAGGAGGTGAGGTTTGGCCGTATGACTGGCTCTGATAACACGTGGGCTGAGTGACATGAGTGCTTTACTTCTAGGCAGAGGCACAAAGGCCACTGTGTGCCTTCCCTCCACCATCATGACCACGTTGTTCCCTTCAGCCCCAGCTCAGCCTGTCCGGGGTCCTGCTCTGAGGGCCACAGTGACACGGAATGGCCTCCAGCTTCCACAGGCGTGTCCTGGATGAGAACCAGCTTGTGTGCTTTCAGCCACTGGGCCCTGGGGGTTTGCTTGTGGCAGCATCACCCATCCGTCCCGCTCAATGCAGCGCCCTCGGCCCCTGTAGCCTGCACCCTCCCAGAGCCCAGCTCATGCTCCAGGCACCGCCTGCTGCCCACCAGCCCACACTCAACACGGCACAACCGGACTCCCAGTTTCCCGCCCCCAGCACCCTGCTGCTCACGTGAACTTGGCTGAGTTCTTCCCCAGTTTGGTAAAACTGGAAGTCAAGGCTTCTAGTGTAGCCTGGGGGCACCGCCGGGTGGCTCACTCCCTGCTTCGGGATGCGCCTGCCCCTGGTCACCTCCAACCCAGTATTCCTGCCAAGTGGAGACTTTGGGGACAAACAGGGAGAAGAATGAAGCACCCCGCCATGCACACCATCCAAAATAAAAGAGATATTAAGCTATACATACGCATAGGGAAGGCCCACAGAATTCTGATTTTCCCATGGTGACTTCAGTTGCTTTTTTTTTGAAATATTCTATGGATTTGTCTATTCTGGACATTTCATAAGAATGTCCATGCAAGATGTGCTGTTGGGTGTTTGGCTTCGTTTATTTTGCAACAGGTTTTCAAAGTTCATCCATGTTGTGGTGTGTGCCGGTCCTTCATTTCTTTTTACGGCTAATAATTTTCCATTGCGTGGATATGCCAGTTTGTGGATCCATTCTTCAACTGGGGAACATTTAGGTTGTTTTCACTTTTTGGATATTACAAACAGTGCTGTTAAGAACCTTTCTGTCATCAAAACCACAATGAGACACCATCTCACACCAGTTAGAATGGCGATCATTAAAAAGTCAGGAAACAACAGATGCTGGAGAGGATGTGGAGAAACAGGAATGCTTTTACACTGTTGGTGGAAGTGTAAATTAGTTCAGCCATTGTGGAAGACAGTGTGGCGATTCCTCAAGGATCTAGAGCTAGAAGTACCATTTGACCCAGCCATCCCATTACTGGGTATACACCCAAAGGATTATAAATCATGCTACTATAAAGACACATGCACACGTATGTTTATTGTGGCACTATTCACAATAGCAAAGACTTGGAACCAACCCAAATGTCCATCAATGATAGACTGGATTAAGAAAATGTGGCACATATACACCATGGAATACTATGCAGGCATAAAAAAGGATGAGTTCATGTCCTTTGCAGGGGCATGGATGAAGCTGGAGACCATCATTCTGAGCAAACTATCACAAGGACAGAAAACCAAACATCGCATGTTCTCACTCATAGGTGGGAACCAAACAGTAAGAACGCTTGGACACAGGGCAGGGAACATCACACACACCGGGACCTGTTGGGGGCTGGGGTGCTGAGGGAGGGATAGCATTAGGAGAGATACCTAATGTAAATGACAAGTTAATGGGTGCAGCAAACCAACACGGCACATGTATACATATGTAACAAACCTGCACATTGTGCACACGTACCCTAGAACTTAAAGTATAAAACAAACAAACAAACAAACAAACAAAAGAACCTTTGTGTCCAAGTTTTGGTGTGGAAGCTTTTATTTCTCTTGGGTTTTTTGAGGAGTGGACTCTCTGGGTCACATGGTAGCTCTCTCTGTTTAATCATTTGAAGAACCTGCCAGCTTGTTTTTTCTATTTTCCATTCCCAGCAGCAGTGTGTGTGGGGGTCCAGTTCCCCCACATCCTCGCCAGCACCTGAGTTTCTCTGACTTTTTCATCCCATCCTAGTGAATGCGAAGTGGTAGCTCATCTCTTTCCTTTGATTTGTGTTTAGTGTTATTCTTTTAAACCAGTTTACCTTATAATAAAATTCAGCCCCACATTGTACTCTGCGGAGGATTTTGGAGCCCTGTAAAGTAAGAGGAAGGGGCTCCCAACCCCCTACTCTAACCAGCTGTAACCCAAGGGGATTAACAAAAAACATATTTTACACTGACCCATCAAAACCCTGAAAGGAAAACAAACGTGAATTCTTCATCCAACTACAGACAGCAGAGTCTGTTTTCACTGCCGAAGAAACTAAACAGAAAAGTAAAGAAAAAATAGAAACATTTTAAAAAGAAAAGAAACTAAACACAGAGCTTCTTTTATTCTCAGGCCAGGCTTTGCCTTAGTATCAGTCAGAAGCGCTTAAAAAAATACTCATGCCAGGCGCTTCTCCCAAAGACTGGGTTCCGGGTGGGGCACAGGCAGCATTGCTTTTAGCAGCTCCTGCAGCTCAGTTCTCAGGTGCAGCCAGGGCTGGAAGCCCTGATAACAGGATTGCTCTGCGGCAGGGCTGCAAGGAGCCTTCTCAGGTCATGGTCACGAAGATGCGGCTGTGGCTTTGGGCGGGGTCTGAGAGTCCGGTCGAGGTTGGAGGCAGTGAGCAAGGGGATGCTATTGGTATTAACACCAGTCCAGCGAGATCCCAAGATCCTCAGAGCTGGGGGTGGGGAGGTGGGGAACCCATCGAGTCTCCCGAGCGATTAACCAGCTCAACACAAAGGGCCCGGAAGCAGAGAGGGCACTTTCTCAGGGCAGGGTTGATAGGACCGTAGCAGCAGCACGGATCCTAATAAAGGTGGGCCCACCTTCAACTTCTCCCTCAAACCTGGCCCTAAGTGCTTGTTCTACTTCGTGTTCTAGGAGGCACTACAAAGTATTATTATTTCCTTTCTATTAATGAGGAAACTGAGGATCAGAGAAGGTGAGTGACTTACCTAAGGTCACACAGCTTGTCAGGAAAGAAACTCAGATTCACATTCAGGTCTGATTCCAAACACTTGAATTATTAACCCTTGTGCTAGATCATCCCCTGAGGCAAAGCTAACTCTGCTGGAGTAGAAGGGCTGGCACATGCCACAACATGGATGAACTTTGAAAACCTGATGCAAAATAAAAGAAGCCAAACCCCCAAGATCACATATTGCATGGACATTCTTAAGAAATGTCCAGAATAGGCAAATCCATAGAATGTGGATTATTATTCTATTATTATTATTATCTAGTATTATTATTTCCTTTCTAATAATGAGGAAACTGAAGATCAGAGAAGGTGAGTGACTTACCTAAGGTCACACAGCTTGTCAGGAAAGAAACTCAGATTCACATTCAGGTCTGATTCCAAACACTTGAATGATTAACCCTTGTACCAGACCATCCCCTGAGGCAAAGCTAACTCTGCTGGAGTAGGGACCAAGGTTGAAGATATCTCTATCTTTCCATTCATCCCCCCATCCATCCCTTCCTTTATCCATCACTCCCTCCCTCCCTCCATTTCATCTTCCATCAATCCTCCCAATCACCCTCCCTCCCTCCATCCATTCCCCATCCATTTCTCCATTCATGTATCCATCAATCCTCCCATTCACACTCCTTCCCTCTATCCGTTTCTCCATTCATCTGTCCATCAATCCTCCCATTCACCCTCCCTCCCTCCATCCATTCCCCAACCATTTCTCCATGCATATATCCATCTATCCTCCCATTCACCCTCCATCCATACATCTCTATCCATTCCTCCACCCATTCTTTTTCCCTTTCTTCAGTCCCTCCCTCCCTCCATCTGTCACATAATTGCATAACTGTCCTCTAGAAAGACGTCAAGGGGGATAAAGCACGTGTGTACACGGTTCCTGCTTCCTCCTCTACTTGGCTCTCCTGTGACTCCTAACCGACAAGTTAAAATGCCTGCCAGGGTTCAATGAGAGGCACAGTAAAGATTGGTGGGGACTGGAGCAAACTGGAGAGCACGGGTGTCACTGCTGCTGTGAGGAACTCTGGGCCCAGCATTGTGAGAAGCTTCTGTTCATGGTGGCTTTTTTCCTTCCACCGTACTCTGTGGCCATCTCTCCGTGTCGGGAAATAGACTTCCACAGTATCATTCTTAGTGGCTCTGTGGCCTTTCTCCCTGTGGCCACACCAGAATACAGGTCATTGTCTCCTCCCATGGAGACCCCAGCTGCAGGTTAGGAGGGCAGCTTTGGCATCAGATCCCCCGGGGTTTGGAGCCCAGCTCTGCCAGCTACTCACTGTGTGACCCTGGGAAAACTCCCTGACTAGCCTGAGCCTCAGTGTCTGCATCTATAAAGTGGGTTGTTGTGTGGATTTGATGAGCCCATGCTGCTGAGTGGTGGGCACAGGGCCTGGCACAAGCCCAGTGCTGGATAAGTTCAGGCTTCTCTGCCCTGCCCACCCTGAGGATGAGGACTACAGCTCCCCACGCCCCCGGTTACCTTGCAGGCTTTTGCTAAACCTCAGCTTGAGATTCAGGACTGTGGCCTTCATGGGCCACACCTCCACCTAGGCCTGTGGGAGCCAAGCAGCCTTTGGTGACGTTCCGCTCTCCCGTGGTTCAGGAGGGCTTGTGCTTGCAAGCTGGGCAGAGGCTGTCCACACCTGCGCAGGGCGAGCCATCCCAGGGCACGCTGGCTGCTGGGGAGCACGGTCCTGCCACTGCGTGGGAGGGTAGGAACCCCAGGCTCAGCCCATTTCCCAGGAGCGAGGTTGTCAGGCCCAGGGAGGAGGAAGAAGAGGCAGCCCAGACTCATGCCTAGGACGCTCTGAGGCCAGGCCCTTATCCCAGAGACAGCTGCTTGGAAAGAAAAACAAATGAGAGAACAAGGATGGGGTTGGAGGTGATAGCTTAGATAGGGAGGTCCCAGAAGGCATCTCCAAGGCTGACATTTGAGTTAGGGTTCAGGGACAACAAGGAGAGAGTGACTCCCTCCATCTCTCTCTCTCTCTCTCAGGATCAGACAGGTGGCAGGGCCAGTTCGCCCTGGCCGTGGAGGCTGTGCAAGGAAGTGGGATTTAGTGGAGAGTCACAGAGGGCTTGTATTGTGTGATTGTGTGTGTGCCGGGAAACTGGGTTCTGAGTCACACGGTTGAAGACAGAGCGGGTTCCCATAGACAAGCGCCTGGACCCCAACCCCACCCCGCTGCAGGCTCAGGCCTATCAGAGAAACCCAGAAAGTCAGCAGAAGAGAGGGGCACAGACACCACCCACTGGAACCTCTGGAGCGTCTGGAGTGCGCACACACAGATGCAAGAGCAAATGACCAAACGCCAAGCCTCATTCGCTGGCTTTCATTTCTCAGCTGTGAAAAATAGAGAGCCGTGTTAAGAAAAAATAAAAGCCTCCTGTCCTCCTACGACCATTAACACCTGGTCTCTTTCCTTCCACTCCTTTTTATACACATATGCAGATTATTTTAATAAATTAAAGGAAATAGTCACATTTTCCCCCCAACAGTCTTAATTTTATAATTTAGAAAAAAAGATCTTTATTTTAATTTCTCTAAAAACGCCCCCATCACTGGAGCAGGGAGCCAGCAGGAGGCACCCGGGAACCCTCTGAGTTGTTTCTGCTGCACCAGGCTCAGCTGTCTGGTGGGCCGGGCTGTGGGCGGAGGGTGGTTCACCCCATCATGATCTCCAGGCCACCGTGCACCCCAATGTGTACACCAGGACTTGAGGCGGGAGCAGGCAGGGCAACGGGGCTGATAAGCAGAGCCAGACACTTATCGGCCCCTGCGGGAGGCCCAGGAGGTATCTGGAAGCCCAGGTGCCCACCCCAGGCTGTGCCCTATGCAACACCCAGCCTCGGGGCACGCTGGAGAGCTGCCCCTGTTATTCGCTCAGCATCTGGAGGGCTCCCAACCTCCTGCCCAGGGGGCTCCTGGTTGGATGTTTACGTCTCTGGGGAACAAACACAAGTGTGACTCAGCAGCCAGGGCAGGGGTGGGGAGGACGCCCGGCTGACTTTGGCTGAGGAAGGTGGAGGATGGGTGCGGTGGCCAGAACCCAGTCCTCAGGGTGCAGCGGCGTGTGGCTCCAGGTTCAGGATGCATGGGTCCAACCCCCAGCTCTGCCCTGGCCCTGCCACTGTCCAGCTCTCTGGCCTGGAGCAGGCGGCCAAATCTGCTCAGCTTTGGTTTTCCCATCTGTGAAATGGGCACAGTCAACTTCTCACAGGCTGCTGGGAGAGTTTAGGGAAATGACAGGTGTAAAGCCATGGCAGGTCTCCAATAAATGCCAGTTTTCATGCATTCTGGGGCTTTGAGGACAACCTCGGTTCCAGAGGTGGGGAGACTGAAGCAGGAGGGTTTGTCTTGTTGGATTGGCAGCATGGGTCCGTCATCCTCAGGCAGCACCCTGAAAAACAGCGGGTGGCCTTCCAGGAATCAGGGGTCTTCTCAAACCCACCCTCCATCGCTTCGCTTACCCTGCTAGCAGTGGGGGCTGAGGGCTCCCTGAGGGGCGCCTACTCCACACCAGGGCTGCACGGGGCACCTTACCTAACTCATCCCCTGTAATCCCGGCCACAGCCCTGGGAGGCAGGACCTTGGTTATTAACCCATTTCTAGGTGATGTAACCGTGGCTCAGTCAGTCACCTGAGGTGGCCGGAACATCCGGGCTCAGTCAATCGCCTGAGGTGGCCCAAGCATCCAGCCCCTCCTGCTGCCCCTTGTTGGCCCTGCCTGCAGCTGGCCCAGGCTGGGGGTCTGCACCCCTGAAGGAGGCATGGGTGGGGCTTAGGAGACAGGACTGAGCCCTGGTCAAGGTGTTCCACGCAAGCTCCCCAGAGGCCACATAGCCAAAGACCAACAACACAGGCTTTGGAGGCAGACCGACCCGGGCCCGAAGCCTGGATGGGTCAGCTATTCCTCACCAGGCCACCTCCCCGCTCTGAGCCTGTCTTCCCCTCTGTAAAATGGGACCATGACTCCACTCCTCGTGGGAGGATGCTAAGGAGAAGGAACCAAGCCAGCACACTGGAGCACATCAGAGGGCACCTCCTGGTGGCCCCAGGCCCAGCTCCCACTCAAGGACCATGAATGCGAAGGCACCTTGGGCCGCCGGTCCTGTAGGAACGTGGGCAGCCATGTCCGATGAGAACTGTTTGCCAAACTTCCAACACCTCACTGAGGCAGAAGCTCGAGCTGTCCTCCTGGAACTGCCCCTAAGGAACCAGGTGACCTCAGGCCATGTGCAGTGAGCGCTCTGAGCCGCGATCTCCCCCTGGGTGAAATGGGCATAAGGATAGACCCAGCGCACCCCACTGGTGTGAAGGTAAAGAGGTAACAGGCTTGGTCAGTAACAGTCTCCATAAAGCACGTATGAATGGGACATGACTCTCATGGACTCAAAGCTTACTGCTGGAAGGACCTGAGGCAGAAACTGCAAGTTGTCTGCATAAGGACATTCCCGTGTCTTCCTTGGTAGCAGAAGGCTTTCTGTGTTCCAGGTAGCTATATCCCCAGCTAAACACCGACATTCCCCACCATCCCTTGCAGTTAAGTATGGCCATGTGACTAAGTTCTGGCCAACGAAATGGAAGAGGAATGTTGTGTGCAACTTCTGGGAAGTCTCCTCGAGAAGTCTCGGCTTGAGATACTCTAGCCTTCCCCTTTCTTTCTTCTGCTGCCTGGCACTTGAACATGATGGCTGGAGCTCCAGCAGCCATCTTGGTCCCCAAGATGGTCTTAAGGAAGGAAGCCATGCATTGAAATGGTTCACTGGGATGATGGAAGGGGCCTAAGCTCCTGATGACTGTGGAGCTGTCATCCAAGTCCTGGACTGCCTGCTTCAGACTTATTTTACATGAGAAAAATAAATGCATTACAGGTAGCTAAGAACCACCCTAATTTTGGACTTTCTATTGCAGTTGCTGAACCTAATTCTAAGTAATGCCAGCCCTTTGAGGTTGTATATGTCCAGAGTCTTGGTTGCCAGGGACAAAAAAATCAAATCAAATAGGCTTAAGTAAAAGGGGGAAAGTATTAGCTCTCAAATTAAAAAGGTCCAGGATCTAACTTCAGGCATAGCTGGATCAAAAGCCCCCAGAGATGTCCCCAAGACCCTATCTCTGCTCCTCTCTCCTCCTCAGCTCTCCTTTCTCCTGGGCTGGCTTCCTTCTCAGGCAGCCTCTCCATAAGCACAAACTCCTCTCTGCCCCCAGCTGCTTCAGGCTTATCTGCTCCCAGCTTGGCTTCCTCAGCAGAGGGACAGCTTTCCTCCCCCAGGAGGACTGACTCGCATGGACCCACACTGGGTCACACGTCTATCCCTGAACCATTCTGAGGGTCCAGGGGAGTAGAATATGCTGACTATTTGAGCTGCAGAGCCAGGGGTAGAGGTGGCTCCATTGAACCACCTGGCCTGAGGGTGGTGCGGGGGCAGCTCCCTAAGGAAAAGCAGGTGCTGTCACCAGGAAGGGAGTGGATGCTGGGCCGGCAGGACCTGCGGGGCTACCCAGGGGTCAGCTCAATGCATGCAGGGAAGAAGGTGAGGTTCAAGGAGGATGGCAACCAGGCAAGCTCCCCACCAGGGCAGAGCAGAGCAAGCCAGGGCTGTGACACGGAGGTGACCTCACCATTGTGTGGCTTCTTCTCGTGGGCTGCGGTGGCTGTGGTTCCCACACCTTGTCCCAGCCCAGTCCCTCTGTGATTACACCCCCAGAAGGGGAGTGACAGCCCAATGGCCTTGGAGAGCCCCTTTTTCCTCTCTGGGCCTCAGTTTGCTCAACTGGAAAGTGGCATGAAAATGGGGCTCTAAGGGAAGCACCTCTCACTCACCACTGCCCCTCCCCAGCAAGAAGTCTCCAAATCAATGCCATGGGGCGGGGTGGGGTCTCAGGCCCCTCTGGATCCTGCGTGCCTCTCCCAGCCCCCAGCTGGCTCACACAGCAGCCACGTGCCCCGGAAGTTGCGCTCAGCCTCTGCTCCCAGGCCTGGTCCTCTTGCCTGCTTGGAGGGTGACAGCTCAGAGGTGGATCAACCTGTGGGCAAAGCCCGCCTAGTGGGATGGCCCTGGCTGCACTGCTGAGGCTCTCTGGGCTTTGTCAGCTCCTTGAAGAAGGGGAAGCAGGCGCTTCTCCAGGCCCCACAGGACTTGGGCACCCCACTCCCGGGGACGTTGAGTGCCTGGCCCACGCTGCCGTCGTTGAGGTCTCTCACGGCCGTCTCAGCTGGGTGTGCAAACCCCACAGGCAGCTGCTTCAGGAGGGGATCCCTGGAAGCACAGCAGGGGATCGAGGACGTGAGGCAGTGAAGAGAAGGGGGAGTCATGGACTCAGGGCACCAGCGCAGGGCACACACCCCAGAGTGACTGCCGAGGGTGGCAAGGGAGGGGCGTCTATCCCCTAACTGCCCTCTGGCCTGCTGAGGGCTGCCCTGGGGTGTTAGCTCCCCGGCCCTTCCTGCCTGCCTGTGCACTGGCCGAGCCTGGGCCAATGTCCAGACAGAAACCTTTTCGAGGACTAGGGGGCTGGCAATGAGCGGTCTTCCCCCGCGCCAAAGGACACTGGCAGCCAACATCTGCCGCCCAGCCAAGTGAGCGGCCAGGTACGGCAACTCCCTCACTGTGCCCGTCTCTTCTCCCCCCGAGTCCTCCGGCCTGGACCTGCTCCACTTCCCTCTCTCCCAAGCCAATGAACCCTCAAAACCATGGCTGCTGCCCCCCGCAACACCCTCACTTGTTGTGGAGCCAAACGATGGGGGTGGGTCTTGTACTGTCACTCAACACGTGTGTGCACATGTGTGTCTGGGTGCACATATGTGTGTATCTTTGTGTAGGTACATGGGGTGTGTGCACGTCTATCTCCACATGTATATATGTGTGTGCACATCTGTGTGTGCCTTGAAGGTAATTTTGTGTGCAAGCGTATCTCCGTGTGCATGTGCATGTACTGTGTGGGAGCCAGGGTGTGTACGTGTGTATGTGTGATGGTGTGTCTGAGTGTGTGTCTGTTTCTCTGTGTGCATGTATCTCTGAATATCGAGTGGGAGTGTGTGTGTAGCACATACATGTTTGTGCTAATGTGTCTGTGGATGCATGTCCATGTGGATATGTGTATCTATGCACAGGTATGCCTGTATCAGTGTGTGTGTGTGTGTCTATGTGTCTGTGCATATGGGGGTCTGGGATAATGTGTGTTAACGTGTATACATACACAAACATACATCTGCATGCATGTGTGTATGACATCTGGCCCTCTGGGCACAGGCCTGTGCCGGCTGCTAGGAACACAGTGGGTAGGACAGAAAGTCCCTGCCTTGGGAGGACACTTGCGACCGTCTTGCACAGTGAGGCTCAAGGCCGGGGAGGACCTGGCTGGGCTCAGCCTGCATGTCTGGGCACACCCCGGCCACCTCAATCAGGCCCACGCCCTTCAGCTCCAGGCAAGCCCCTCTCACCGCATCTCTTGGGGGCCCAGGCAATGTGGGCTCCACTCCTAAGCATCTTAGTTCACCGGTCTGATAATGGAGATACCTGGAGGGTAACTGAGACCATCCATGAAAGTGCGTGGCACAGCGTGGGGACCTGAGTCAGTGGCGGCAGATGTTGGTGCTGCAGTGCTGGGGTTTATGACCCTTGTTGCTGGGGCTGGTGGCCGCGCTCTGCATCCCTGCTGCCCTCAGCCGGCCCCTCTCCCCACCCAACTCGGTGACTTAGAAATTCCCTCTCCTGGGTTTGTCACTATCCAGAGCCTTCAATCCTGGGACCCAGGAGATGTTTTCAAGGCCTCAGGGCCTTCCCGAAGGCCTGTCCCAGAGGCTGTCACCAGCTGATAGTGACAGGAAACTTGCAGGCTGCGAGTGGCCTTCACGATAACCCTGGCAGTACCCGTAGCCCCCCTCCGTGGATCCCCAAGTTCTTATCAGCTGCAGCAAGTCTCCTCCTCCGGGCTGAAAGCCCCATGCTGCCCTCCCTGACCCCTCACAAGCGTTTGCAAACTGAGACAGTGGGAGGGAGGGGCCAGCCGGCAGGGCCTGGGAAGAAGTGCAGACCCCCACAGAATCCCTATCCCCTCCCTGCCGTAAACCTGTCAGTCTCCATCACCCTGGGGCATTGTTGTGTCTCCCCCAGCAGATGATAAACCCAAAGGGCAGCCCTGTCTGCTCTATCCCCAGCGCTTTGCGTGTGACCCAGCACACGTCTCGGGATGACACAGTGAGTGAGCAATTCAAGGAAGGAGTTGATGGATTCTCCAGCCCTGACACCTCCTCTATGAAGGCCTTGTGATTTCCCCAGCTCTGAGTTCCAGATGCTGGGACTATCCAGCCCCAGACCAAGGCTTCCCTCCCAACTCTACCCTAAGGGCAGCTGTCCTGGACACCTGCCAACGTCCTCTCAGGAACCCACATTCAGGGTCTTCTGGTGGCAACCCCCCTTCTCTGGGGGAACTGTCCTCCTATTCCACAGGGATCTGGTGGGGCTGCCAATCACAATCCACGTCCAGGCCCCTCCCCAGCCACAGCGCCAAGAAGTAACCCAAGCGCAGTCCTCTCCGGGTCTGAAGCTGATGCTGGATGATGCACGGCGGCTGGGACGCCAGGCCTCCCCTGCATTAGCGGGTGTGAAGAGGGGCTGCGTCTGTTCTGCTACTGAGGCTCAGCGGCCGGTGCAGGCCAGGCGCTCTATGCACGGCTGCCAGTGAAATCCTGGGTTCCTGAGCCAGGAGGGCGGGGCATGGGTGATGCCCACAGGCACGAGGGGAGCTCTGCGTTTTGAGAAAAATTAGATCAACTTTTTCTTTAAAGAAAACAAGTTTTATTTTTATCATCAGAACATTCTAATAAAAATATTATGATGAGATTAGCTACCTTTATTCTCTGAGCCTTGACTCTGTCCCAGGCCTGCCCTGGAGCGCCTGCACGCTCAGCTCCCTGAGGTAGGTCCGGAGGGAGACCCCCCGCTGCCCCCCGCCCTCGGCCAGGATACCTCTCACCTCATGTCCCCTCCTCCAGACCCCCACAGCCCTGGATGCCCCATAGCAGCCCTGCCACGGCTGGCAGAACTGCCTCCACCCTCCACCAACCCCCAAGACAGGCAGGAACCGTCTCAGGCTGGCACACAGCAGGTGGTGCGGGGGTAGAGGGAAGAGGCGCACCCTTCTGCACTCAACCGCTCCAGCGGGCAGAGCTGAGGGCCACTGCCCCCCCCAGGCTGGCACCACCATGGTCTAGACCCCAAGTGGCCTGAATGCTGTGGATCACTTCCTTCTCCCCTTCCACAGTGTTTGGGGAGTTGGGGAGGAAGGGAAGGGAGAGGAGTGTCAACGTCGCAGTGACGGGGTCCTGAGACAACTCACTCTGCCACCCCGGCAGGCGGCAGCAGACAGTGGCCCGCACGGGCCTGAGGGGCCTCCTGTCTGTGGTGCCCATCCCACCGAGAGGATCCTGGCCCGCGAGCCGGCAGACACTTTATTATACAGAAACACTATCGTCGTCTCCACGGGCGGAACCAACAAAAGCAAGTCTCTCCAAGTCAAAAATAGGTTTTGGATTCTTGGTGGCGGCAGTATCCGCTGAAAAAATAGACTGAACTTCTGAAATTATCTTAGTAGCAAAACAATTACAAGAAAAAAGTTGCAACTTCAGTGCTATGACTGGAAAGGGGCCTTTGGCCGGCGGCCCCTGTTACCGGCGGCCCCTGTGCGCCTGGGAGCTCCTCCGGGCTTGAGGAAGCCGCCCACGTGCCCTGATGGAGAAAATGGGACTCCAACAGGAGGCCGTGTCCTCACACCTCAGACTGCGCTCACAGCTCGGGAGGATCAAGTTACAATAAACAGTCCATTAACTTCTTGCTTTCAGGTTTCCCTGGAGTCAGGCATCTCTGCACAGTCCAGGGCAGCCAGGGGCTGCAGAGGGTCTGTGACACCCCGCCACGATGCAGCAGTGGGGACACAAGCCTGAGGGAACCTGGAGTGTGGAGAGGCAGGAGAAGGTGCAAGGAGAGGCTGCCATGGTGTGCAAGGAACCTGGGATTGCGTCTTTAAATAGTTCTCAGTCATTCTTAAAGTCCTCCCTCAAGACACAATGGGACCTAGATTAAAGAGAAGCCGTCTCTCCGCTGTCCCAGGGCGCAGGCGGAATGCCCGAGCGGTCTTCGGAGGCACGGGTGCTGGTGGCACCTCACTGAAGCTCAGCCGGGCTGTCGCCAGCCCATCATGGCCTGGCAGCTCTGTCTGCTGTGAAGGTGACAATGCCACAGTCCTCGGGGCAGGAACGCCCCTCACTGCATCCTGTCAGGCTGCAGCTGCGGCGCCTGGTACTGCACGAAAGTGGTGCCCGCGGGTGCTGCGGCTGAGAGGGCCTGGGGCACGGCGGCAGGGTAGCTGTAGCCCACGAAGCTGGCAGCCGTGGCAGGCGAGGCGGCGTATGGGTACTGGTCATAGGTGGCCGGTGGGTACTGGGCGTAGGCCGGGCTGGCCGGCGTGTACTCAATGTAGGGCGAGGACAGCGACGGGACAGGGGCGGCTGGGATCACCACGCTGGGCTGCACGATGGCTGGTGGGTAGATGTAGTGCGGGGTCAGCCTGTGGGGCCAAGCAGAGCAGGTTAGGGCCAGAACGGAGTTGGGGAATACAGCTGGGAGAACAGTGGGGTACACGATGCGTGCCGCCCCCCACCCCGAGCCCCGACTTTCCTCATCGGTCAGATGGGCACAGAAACAGCACCTGGCCAGATGCTGCCGCCTCAAGGCCTTCGCACTGACTGTCTGCACTAACCACCAGGCTCCCTCCTCCACTCCATGTCTCCTTCTCAGCAAGGCCTTCCCAGACTGCACCCCCGCATCCCAGCCCTACACCCCACATCCCCGGAGCTGGTGCAAAAATAAAAATCTTGAATGGTTGTTTTCAAATGATTGAGAGTTTGAAGCCACGACGGCGGAGCATGCGATCAAGAGCAGGGCCCGGTACGAATGTCCTGGTTGCATGTCTGGGAGGCCAGCCCTGTCCCCCTTCCCTGCTCATCTCCCTGACACTCAACACCCACCAAGTGACACTGCACACTTGGCTCATGTACACGCCTGCTCTCCCAGCCAACACCTGCTCCTCACAGGGTTTGTTTTTTTTTTTTTTTTTGAGACAGAGTCTCGCTCTGTTCCCCAGGCTGGAGTGCAGTGGCGGGATCTCCGCTCACTGCAAGCTCCGCCACCCGGGTTCACGCCATTCTCCTGCCTCAGCCTCCTGAGTAGCTGGGACTACAGGTGCCCGCCACCACGCTCGGCTAATTTTTTTGTATTTTTAGTAGAGATGAGGTTTCACCGTGTTAGCCAGGATGGTCCCGATCTCCTGACCTCATGATCCGCCCACCTCGGCCTCCCAAAGTGCTGGGATTACAGGCGTGAGCCACCGTGCCCAGCCCTCACAGGGTTTCTTTCTGTCCCTGCCAGCATGGACTCTGGCCTGCAGCAGCTCCGTGAGGATGTGAGAGTGACTGCGTGAATGCTGGAGCAAAGGAGTGCAATGGCGGTGACCACAGAGATGATGGCGCCAACAGCTGCCATACTCGCCAGCGCCCACGCTGGGGGGAGACCCGTACTGTGACTGGGTGCGTCACCCCGTCGGCTTGGTCTTCCCATCATGAGGCCCATTTCACACACGGGGCCAGGTGAGTTGCCCAAGGTCCTACAGCTGATGAGGTGGAGGGGCCAGGAGTCAGCCGGCCTCAGAGCTGTGCTCTTAACCCTACCTGGGCAGGCCACTGTGGAAACGCATTGAGGCCAACACTTCCTGCCTGCTGTGGGCTGGCCATACAACAGCATGCCCAGCCCTCAGCACAGGGGGAAATGAGGCTCAGGGAGGCAGCTCTCCTGGCGTGTGCCTGCTCTGCCAACCAGCTGCTCGGTGGCCTGGGGCAAGCCGCTAAGCCTCAGTTTCCCGTCTGCAACAGAACAGCCACCTCCGCGGCATCAGAAGCTGCTGCAGAGTCCGAGGCACGGAGTGGTCTTCCAGGGCACGGCACTGTGCCCTGGGCATCAGTATCTCCTCTGCCTTGCACGCCTGCGTGTTACACAGGCCAGGCCCGCCTGGGGGGTGACTTGGAACCTCAGCTTCCTTCTGACCTGTAGGCAGGGGCCCCCCTCAAGGGAAGCAGCTCTGGAGAAAAAGTACAACATCCTTCCCTGCATTCTCCTGCGTTCGGCAGGGACAGAAACTGGGCAGCTTTCTGGAGCGCGGTTTGGCAACATGTGGGCACTGAAAACACAGTGCTCCCTCCCCAGAGCCAGGGACCCTCAGTGTCAGAGAGGAGCCCTGCGAGCTCCCTCCCCAGAGCCAGGGACCCTCAGGGTCAGAGAGGAGCCCTGCGAGCTCCCTCCCCAGAGCCAGGGACCCTCAGGGTCAGAGAGGAGCCCTGGCTTCCAGCACAAAGGCAGGTGCACTCAGTGGATCCTGCAGCCCTACAGCAACGGTGGAAACCAGGAAAACCTGGACGACAGGGCCTCTTGCTCCCCCCACCCCATCTGGGAAGTGTGTGGGAAGTTTCTACACTGCGTCACCCTCTCTACTACTGTTTACCTTCCAAGGTTGAGCCATCCTAGTGGCTGCTGTGGCCACACCTGCAGCCCACACGGCCAACCCTCCACAGCATCTGTCCAGAGGCCCAGGCAGCTCCTGCCAGGAACCCCGCAGTGGCGCCTCCTGTCCCTCTCCCCAGGTTAGAAGCCTCTGCTGTCCACCCTGCATCCTCCATGGGAACAAGGGCCTCGCGCGGAGCCAGGCCTGGGTTTGAATTCTGACTCTCGAGCTGTGACGCCTTTCTCACATATCTGCCAGGATGCAGAGAGGAGCAGACCACAGAGCCCCTGCCCTCGAGGGGCTTAGCTTCTAGGATGGGAGAGGCACCAAAATGCACCAACCCATAAACCAGAGTGGGGGGCTCAGGGGAAGTCAAGACAGCAGAGGGCTGTGATGTGTGGACAGCGATGGGGGAAAGGCCAGGGTGGCTTCTTGAAGGAGGGGATGCCTGCAGAGACCTAATGATGAGGCAGAGCTGGCCACAGGGGAGCAGCATGGCGGCACAAGGGCGGAGGCAGGCGCCAGTCTGAGTGTCTGAAGAGTGGATGAGGGCAGCCGGCAGCCTCTGTGCACAACCCTCTCGTGGCACCTCCACCATGGGGGCGGCCGGGTCTGCTGACCCCTGGCTTCCACTGCACACCCAGGTCCACCCTGGTGCCGGCCCATGCCCCACAGCGCCTCAATCCCTCGCATCCTCCCCACCTGGGCCTGGCACCTGCCAATGCCTCTGCCTGGAGCCCTTAACCTGGCGAGGCCCAACCCCACATGGAGGCCAGCCCCTCACCTCGCTACGCTGCCCGATGCCCCACTGGATGGCGTTCTGTCAGGGAGATGGCTCTGTCTGGACTCCCAGCTCTCTGCCAGGACCAGGCCTGTAGGAGGCACTGGGCACATGGTGCTGACGGAACAAAGGCCCGGTGGGTGGCACAGACCCCACTGAGAAGGATGAGGAGCTCTGGCCAGCGGAGGCAGGGGGCCCCAGAAGGGTCTCGGAGGCCTCCCTTGGGAAGGGGGCGAGTGGAGACACAGCAAGGACTGTCTTGGGGCTGTGCCCAGCAGGCTGTCCCTGGCATCATCAGTGCCCCCCCGACCCAGCTCTCAGAACCTCGAAAACATTCCTTAGTAGGAGGCTATGGAAGCTTTGAACCCACACACCTTCTCCAAACATGGGCAGTGATGCCCCTGCCTCAGACATCTCCCCGCAAGGTTTTGCTAAAAATGTGGATCCCATGCAGACTGCAAAGGCAGATGGGGCCCAGGAATGTGCAAGAACAGGCCCCGGGGTCCTGATCCACAGCTGCATTCAAGAACCGCTGCCCAGACCAGGGACACAGAACACAAGTGCCTGGGGCTGTGGGGCAGCTGGGTTCCGGCCACACTCACCTCGAGGGCTGCGTCATTTCTATCGGGTTCTGATGCCCCACATCATCGGGGCCAGAGCGCTGCCTTGGCCACCAAGGAGCTGCCCTACTCAGGGACACTCAAACACAAGCGTGGGTGAGCAATGTTTAGGCTGGGGAGGAAGGCGGGGCTCTCCTGTTTCCTGACCCTTGCAGACACTGCATGTCGGTATCTACTCATCTTTCTGTACGTAAAGGGCCTGGGATAACTTACGAAGCATTTTCAAAGCCACGGAAGGCTGGGCGCAGTGGCTCACGCCTGTAATCCCAGCACTTTGGAAGGCTGGGGCGGGCAGATCATGAGGTCAAGAGTTCAGGACCAGCCTAGCCAACATGGCGAAGCCCTATTTCTACTAAAAATACAAAAATTAGCCAGGTGTGGTGGCGGGAGCCTGTAATCCCAGTTACTCGGGAGGCTGAGGCAGGAGAATCGCTTGAAACCAGAAGGTGGAGGTTGTGGTGAGCTGAGATCATGCCACTGCACTCCAGCCTGGGCGAAAGAGCAAAACTCTGTCTCAAAAAAAAAAGCCATAGAAAAGATGCTAGTGTTAGCCCATCTCCCAGAGAGGAAATCCGAGGTTCAGAGAGGCCCCAAGCGACTTGCCCCATCGCAGAGCAAGGGACTGGTACAGTGGGGCCTGCTGCTGGTAGCTGTGCCTGCAAGGACTGGCTGGGGCCCCAGGTTCAGCTCAAAATAAAAGGAAGGCACAGCACGGGCCACACCTCAAGCCCCAAGGGGGAGTGAGAACACCGGCTGAAGTTAAGGTAGAAGCAGCCACGAAGCCCCGCCAGGCAGGAGCTGGGTTCCAGCAGCTTCTCTCCCTCCTAGGGTTGCGCCTCGCCCCTGCACTTGTCTGAGTTACCAAACAGGTTTCAAAACTTCCAAGGCGCAGTTTCCTCATCTGTAAGTTGGGTCCTACAGAGGCTGACCTCAAAAGCTTGCTGTGAGGCCTAGAGGTGCCACTAGAACAGCGATTCCCAACCAGGACAACTGTGCCCCCAGGGGACACTGGAAAATGCCTAGGGACGGTCCTAGTTGTCACAACTGACAACTAGGAATATGAGGTGCGGGTGGGGGTGCTGCTGACATTAGGGGTCGAGGCCAGGGGTGCTGACCGCTTCCTACAATGCTCAGGGTGCCCCCACAACAAAGAACGATGCCGTCCTAAAGGTCCGCAGTGCCAAGGCTGAGACGCCCGACTGTGGACCATCAGAAACCACATGGGGAAGGGGAAGGGCAAAGACAAGGGATCCTCACTGCTGCTCTGACCACAGGTGCCCACGCCGGGCGGCCACAAAGAAGGCAGGTGGGAGCAAAGAGAGACAGAGGGGCTCATGCAGCCACGCACGCATGGGCGAACCCACTGAGTGGTCAGGTGAGAAAGAAAAATGCAGCCAAACCACCGGCCCTGCACTGTCCAAGGGCGGCCCCGCCCCGGCCGCAGGCCCAAGGCTTCACTGCCTGGCAATGGGGAGCGGGTGCACGCACCAGGCAGGTTCCTCAGCATCCCCACTCACACGCCATGCTCAGAAAGCTCAGGTGCCACAGCCTCTGCACACAAGGGCACAGCCTGGTAGCTGCACGCCGCCCCACCCACCAAGTGTGTCCCCTGCACAGGCTCGCCTGCCAGGGCACGTGTCTGCCTGGCCCTGGTGGGACTCTCCTGCACTCTCCACCTCAGTGAAGAGCCCACCAGGCCACCCAGGCACTGCCCTGCCCACTCACCCCCACTGCAGCCTATGCCCACACCATCCAACAGGGAGCTCCCTGCTTCCATCCCTCAATTCTCCGATCCTCCCTCTCCTTCATCACCGACTCTCCAGGCGGGCGCAGTGGCGTGGCCCTGCCTTGGTGGTGGTGGAGACCTGCCTCCATCCCTGAATCCTTCACCCAGCAGCAGTTGGAGCTGTCTTAAAAACATCAAGACCCACGCCTGGAATCCCAGCACTTAGGGAGGCCGAGGCGGGCGGATCATGAGGTCAGGAGATTGAGACCATCCTGGCCAACACGGTGAAACCCCATCTCTACTAAAAATACAAAAATAGCTGGGCGTGGTGGTGCGTGCCTGTAATCCCAGCTACTCAGGAGGCCGAGGCAGGAGAATGGCTTGAACCCGGGAGGCGGAGGCTGCAGTGAGCTGAGATCAAGATACTGCACTCCAGCCTGGAGACAGAGCGAGACTCCGTTTCAAAAAACAAACAAACGAAAACATCAACACCCCATCACCTCCAGAAGCAGAACCCTCCAGCTGCCTCCCACTGTACCCAGAAGAAAACCCAAACTGCTCCCTTGTGGCTTCCTGCGTTATTAGGCCTCAACCTACCTCTTCTAACTCATCTCCACTTGCACTGCGCCCTCCCTGGCCACACTCCCACTGCCCTGGGCTCCTTCTGTTCCCAGATTCGACTCCTTCCCACCACAGGACCTTCGCACCTATGCACTTGCTTCTTCCCACAGCTCAAAGCTCACCCCTCAGGGGTCCACCCAGGCGGCTCTGTTTCCTTATGATCGGAAGCCCCTTCATCATCTACCTTGCACAATGTCTTCCCCACAAGAGCAGGGTCTCAGCTGCTGCGTCCCAAGTGCCCCAGCACAGCAGGTGCCCAGTGCTGAGCATCTGAGGCAGGCCCCGGCTTTGCAGGTAGCTGGGAGGCAAAAGAGCCCCCCCGTGGAATGGCCTCTGCTTCCCAGGCCAAGAGTCCCTGCCCCAAGAAGGCAGAGAAAGCAGTTCAGCCTTGAGCAGCCAGGGCTGGGCAGGCTGGAGGGACAGGCAGGCACGGCTCCACCCAGCAAGTCACAGCTAGACAGGCACAGCCCGCCAGCCTCTGCTCCCCGACCAGGTGCCTGGCGGCCCCGGGTGACCTCATCACTGCCTCTGGGGAACCACACGCCCCAGGGGGCTGCTGTGAGGATCTATTGCTTCTGTGCACCCCAGAGACTTCAGCAGCATCGACGCCTCCTTGGGCCTGAGGAATGCTGGGAGGGACAGAGGCCCTCCCTCTCCTAGGACTTTCAGCCCCAGGTCAGGGGGCAGCAGCCAAGAACCCTTGGTGAGCAAAACAGACCAGCGGCCAGGCGCAGTCAGGTAGGAGCCCAAAGGTCGGGGGACCCAATGCTCATCAGGGCTGCTCCTGTTTGGCCAGGGCCCACCGGCCTCTTTGGGCACACGGCACTTGCTCCCTCCTCTAGAAGCCACTTTGGAATCGGCCCTCTGTACGGCCGCTGCTGGAGTCCCACGCGCTCCCCAGGGTTGCAGAGCCACAGCCCAGCTGTAACCTCAAAGGAGAGGGCAGGAGCCTCCTTCCCTTCCAGTTTCCTTCCAAGTTCCGGCCTCAGAACAACCGGGCGTCTGTGCCTCCTCATCCTCTGCAGAAAACTTCTATCCTCCCACCAAGACCCCAGAGAAGGGTCTTGCACCAATCAGAGGCGGATCTGTTTACCAGAGAATTAATCCCACCACGTGTGCAAAGTCCAGGCAGAGCCAAGGAAGAAACCACAGGAATGGGTGGGACAGACCCCCCACATGCCACCCAAGCCCCACTGCAACGCTGGACACTGGGCACAGGCACCTAGCTGGGGTCCGGGGTGTCTGCGGAAGGATGACTCAGGGGTTCTCTGCTTCCCTCTAGTGCCGGAGCCTGGGCAACACCAAACCCCCAAATCACGGAGCCACTGAAACGGGCCACCATTAGGGCTGGAAAGGCCAGGCCATGCCGGGAGGGTTGGGCATGCAGGAGGAGCTGGCTCTGCCACAGCCCAGGAGAGGACAGGGGGACCCCGAGCCTGGTCCAGACTGGAAATCTGAGGTGCCTGCCTCCCTTCCCGTTCACACGTGGCCCAGGCAGCATTTGCACCCCAACACACCCAGGGTCAGCACACAGTCAAGAGCACCCCAGCTGACTCTGTCCACAGAGACTCAGGGGTCCAAGGGCAGGAAGAGCCCCAAGCCCGGATCCTGGCCATGCCTGTCCAAGTCGCATGGACCATCACTCAGCCCCTCCGGCCTCTGTTTCCCCATCTGTAAACTAAGGATGCTGCAGAGTCCAACAGATTGCCCCCAAGACAGAGGGCTTGGGCCTCCGGCAGAGTCTGAGAACCCCGTGGTGGGCGGGAGAGAGAAGTACAGATGGTGCTGGGGACACATGCTGCCCACACTCAAAGCAGAACTCGCAGCGAAAAGAACTGACCACGGCCCAGGAGGACTCATTTTCTGAACATAAAGTCGCCTCTGAAAATAAAAACGAAAAAGGCAAATGAGCCCATTTCACTTTCCCTGCTCTCCAGGGGCCTTGCCCCACCTCGGCAGAGACGGACCGCAGCTCTTAGGGTTCTGACTCCCGCCTGGCTGGGTGTGGGAAGGTCCCCGAGGCGCCTGGCAGGCAGGAAGCCAGGCCATGGCCCTGCCTCCCGGGAATCCCCAGTGACTTGTGAGGGGGAGGGCCGGGAGGTCTAGGGACATTCAAGTTCTGTGGGGCAGCCAGCCACAGGACACAGGTCGAACGCCCTCTCTGTGGGGCAATGCCAGGCCCGGAACAGCATCTCCACCTGAACCGGCCCAAACTCCAACTCCTGACCTTCTCCCCAAAACTGTACTGCACAGCTGCCTCCACCCCAGTCAGGGCCAAGCCCATCTCCCATTTCAAAGGCCCAAAGCTCCAGAATCTTCTTGGACTCCTCTTTCTTTCCCAGGTTCTTTAAAATAGACACCCAGAATCTCACTGTATCTCACCAGGGCCGCTGGTGCAGGCAGCACCCTCGTCTCATGCCTGGATTACTGGGCATCCTCTAAGGGCCTCCAACCACCACAATACCCTCGGCAGTCCAGGCTCAACCCAGCAGCCAGAAGCAAAAACACTCTGAAAACAAAAATGCAGACTGACCCATCCCTCCTCCGCTCGGAGCCTGCGTGGTCCGGTGTCACTTGGAGGAATGTAGCAGTGCCTCCCTGGGTCATCAAAGTCCTCTAGGAGCTGAGGCTACCCTGTCGGGCCCTGAGCCTCCCCGGCTGCTCCCTTCCCCTCCCCAGCTCCTGTCGCCTTCTGAGGCATGCTGACCTCCTTTGTCTCTGTCCTCCTCTCAGCACCTCGCTGCAGAAAGCACTGTGATTAGGAGCTGGGACCGGGTCTCCCCTCACCCCCATGGCAGGCATCCCCAGCCTGGCACAAAGCAAGCAAAGATCTGTCAGACAAGCTGACCCAGTGTCCAGCTCCCTACTCTATCCAAATGAGATCAGCAGGAAGGTCCTGATGCCCGCAAGCACACTGCAGAGTTATCAGCCTGTCCACCCTGGACACAAGGTGAAACTGAGGCTAAACGAGGAAAGCTCGAGCTTGGGCCTCCACTCAGTCTGTGATCAGGCTTCTACCCTGAGACAAAGCTGTGCCCCTTGGCCCAAGGCTTCCAGAAGAGGCTCCCCAAGCCCAGCAGCGAGCCAGGGTGAGAACTCATGCTCGGAGAAGAGCCCCCGCCACCCAAAGGCTGCTTTCTGTTTCAGCAGACAGGACAAACAACAGGTGCGGCACGGGCGCCCGCCCAGGAGGGCCACGGTGCAGCCCACGCCTGGCTCCAGATGAGCTGCCAAACAGGAAGCCTTGTGGGGGGGCAGGGGGGCGGCGGGGCCACCACGAGACACCCTGAGGGTGAAAACGTGACGCCACAGTGTTGGGGGGAGTCACTTCCTCCCAGCCCCCATGCCGCCTGGCTCTGACCTCAGCTTCTGCCCCTGCCCTGCGGTGCTCACCCTGTGCCCGCCACGGCGACCTGCAGCTGGCCTGTCACCCTGGGCCTGGGCTGCTCGCTCTTCCCCAGAAGCCAACAGGGCCCATTTCCGCCATCCTCAGTGGAGCCTTCCCCAGCACGCCCGCACACGTGTGCGTGCGTACACACACACACACACACACACACACGCCATCACCTGCAAACAGCTCCTCTGGCTTTGTTTCACTTTGTATTATAAAATAATAAAAGACTCCCAAGAAGTTGCAAAAACAGTACAGAGAGATCCTGTGTACCCTACCTCCTCCATCCCCCAAGGGCACATCAGAGTAACTAAGGACATGAGCAAAACCAGGACACTAACCCAGGCACACTGCTATGACCTGGACTGCAGGCCTTCAGCACGCTGCATCATCTTCTACACACACCAACATTCTTACATGTCATGTGTAGTTACACACAAACTGTGAAGCTTTATCACACACACAGACACATCTCCCCACCACTGTACTCGAGACGCGGAACTGTTCCGTCCCCACGCAGGCACTCATTCCGCCAGCTTCCTGTTTAACTGCACGCATCACCATGTGGGCCCACGAGTGCACAAACAGAATGTGAGCACGAGATCGGGGACCGTGTCTTTCTTATTCAAAGGATCCCTGGCACCAGGTCTGGCATACAGCAAGCACTCAATAAACACCTGATGAATGAATGATGCTGGGAGTAGCTGTCGACATTCTCCCCAGCTTGTGCATCCCATGCTCTCAAGGAGACAGACATCTTCCCATCACTGCCTCCCCAGTACGTCCTCTTGCTCTGGGGACCCAGGTGCTCTGTCCAGGCCCCGTGGTGTGCACACACCAAGGCCCCGTGATGGTAAGGGCAGCCATCTACTACCCAGTGGGCACCAGAGACCTTCACACAAAGGACGTAGGGGTCCCTGAAACTATACATGCAGTGGGGCAGGCACATGCCTGGGAGAGGGTCTCACGGTCATCATCAGTCTCGAGGCCTTGTGCTCTGAATCATCCAAGAGCTGCCATCTAGCCAGAGGGAGGCGTTGAGTCCTTGTGGGAGGGACAAGAGTCTCGCAGCCCACAGCTCAGGCCCCACCATCCTGGGATGTGTGAACTCAGCAAGTCTCTCAGTTGCTCTAAGCCTCGGTTTTGCACAGGTAATCAATCAACAGACCCTGAAGCAGGGCCGGCAAGAGATGCGTCACTGACAAACCGTGACTTCCCAGGGCCAGGCCCTCCACACACAGTCAAGTTGGCCCTGTAGGGAAGGCAGTGTGACCGTTCTCACTCACAGATGGGGAGGAGCCTGCAGAGACAGGCTGGGCCTGGCCTTAAGCCCAGGCAGACCCCCAGGGCTCTTGCTCCTGGATACAGCCTGTACCTGACACTCCGGAGTCCGAGGAGCCTGTCTTCTCATCTCAGAGCCCCTGTGGTGGCCGTGTCCTGTCACCCAGTTGTGGCCAGTGAGACTTAAGTGGAAGCCTGTTGTGGCCTCTGTGAAAACTTCCATTTTTCTGCTAAAAAAGACAGAGGCAGTTCGTACTGGCCCTTATTGTCCTTTCTGCCCTGAACGTGGGTGGGATGTCTGGAGCCGTGGCAGTCATCTTGTGACCATGAGGCAAGGTCCAAGAGACTCACAGATACTGGTCCTCATGCCACTAAATCCAGGGGACATTTGGCAATGTCTGGAGACATTTTTGGTAGTCATGACTTGGGCGAGGCAATGCTACTGGCTTCTAGGGGTGGAGGCCAGGGATATTCCACCCCCTTCAAACGTTCTATAATGTACATATGAGGCACTCTGTGAACGGGAGTCAAGGCCACAGCCAGGCCCCCTTAACAGGCAGGGAGACCCGCACCCAGGGAAGCAGCTGGCCCTTCAAAAATAACCCAAGGAGAGGCTCTGGGTGCAGCTAGTCCCAGGACAAACCTCTGCTCCCGGTGCCCTCAGCCCAAGAATGGACAGACACCCCTTGACACAGGGCACCGTTCCAGGCCAGACTAAGCTCTGCCTGGACACAGACCCTCTCCAGACTGCTGCACCTCCCCTCCCACCGGCAGGTGACAGACACACTCAGCTGGCAGACACCCTTGGTGGGCCACGGCCACCGGCTCCTGCTGTGACTACCACGTGCTTGCCACTGCCGAGGAAGGCTCCTCCAAACCGCGGACAGTGGCCACATACAGTTAGGTCAGAAATGCACAGGTGAGTTAGGTCTCACAGAGCTTGTTCAACTTAAAAAAAGGAAAAGAGGCAAGGAAACTCCGGCAAATAGCATAAAGTGTAAAGTTCTTTGGTAAATCATTCTAAACTAACATTTAAGACCCAGCCAGGCGAAGAAGATTCCACAGGGTCTTGCCTAAAAGCAGAGCTGTGGGATCTTCAGAGTTGTCCAGGGCAAGGTATAAAAGGTCGGGGTCAGAAAGTCAAGGAAGAGTTCAGCCAGGCACGGAAGGGGTTAACTGGTGGACAACCCTCAGCTGCCTGGGCTCCTGGCTCCCACCTCCCTCCATGCCCTCAGCCAACAGCAAGTCGCTGCCAGCCCAAGGCCGACAAAACTGGCCGCTGAGTCAGGCCCGGCTGTGCTCCCGGGGCCTGATTGTTCACAAAGACAAAAGGGACGCTGACGGCCCAGCTCTCCAGCTCCGGCCCAGCTCTCCAGCTCCGTCAGCGGGCGGGGGCTGGGGGCAGACAGCTGACCCAGGCAGCCTGCCCCGCTGCCTCCCTGGAGCTGCACCCGGGAGCCTCCCCCTACCCACCTCAGTAAGGCCCAGGCAGGGGCAGGAGGCGGCGCGATTCTCAGAGGCTTGAGTTCAGATCTCCCAGGAAGCCAAGAGCGGATGGCCCCTCTGACACCGTCCCTGTTTGGGTCTCCACCCTTTGGCAACCAACAAATAGAGTCTGCGGCCTCTTCATCGTCACAAGTATTAAATGGCCAGCCAGCAGATTTAGTTACAAAACACCGTCGCCTGAAGTCGGGGGCACACAGTGGCAAACTCTGTGACCGATCCCAACTGCTTCTGGATGGGTGGTGTTCACAGGACTCCAGGACAGCAAGGGAAAGGTCGGGCCAGGGCCCTTCCCACCGTCCCCCACCAAGAAAGCATGCGTTCAGGCACCCACCACCTGTGTTCCAATCTCCTCCCGGACGTCTATTACCTCACGCCTCCCCACCCTGGCCCTGCCACCCGCCCCCAGGCCCAGACAGGTGGTTAGCCTTTCTCTGCCTCAGTTTCCCCATCTATAAAGTAAGAATGGTTTCAGTCCCATCCTCAGAGGCCTGCTATGAGGACAGGAGAGGACTTCTGAGGAGGCCAGAGCACCCAGCCCACATGCCTGTGCACTGTTTTAAGCAGTTAATGTTCCTGTTTTCCGGATGAGGATGCCACTGCCAAGACAGACCCAGCTGGTAAGGGGCAAAGTCAGGATTCGAACCCACCTCTGCAGGCCCCAGAGGCCAAGCACTGATGGGTATGGAGTCCCAGAGGTAGCTGTGTGGATCAGAGCGAGCCCAGACGCACGTGGGAAGGCCTTATCCCACTGTAAGCAGAAAAGAGCTGCAGGCACTGGAGGCACACACCCTCACCTCTGGGCAGCTGCTCCCGCCCAGTCCATGCCCCCAGGCGCCTGCTGTGGGCCTGGGGAATGGAGCCAAGGTTCTGGAAAACAAGGAACACCCTCTTCATGTGGCCTGAACCCCATAGGAAGAATCTCGGTGAAGGCATGAAGGCTACAGTGTCCCCAAACACCCTCTAAGACGACTCTAGACATCTACAAAACAGATTCCAGGACGAGACGGACAGGGCCGCCTGCTCCCACCACCCTACACGCTCCCTTCCCAGGAGGACAGAGGCACCCCGGCAGGAACCTGAGCTGCCCGGCCACTCGCACAGGCTAGAAGGGCCCCGGCCACCCTCCAGCACCCCTCAGCCAGCGGCTCCTCCCACTGCTACACTTGCACACATCCACCAATACACACGGAAGCCGGCAGGGAGCCCCCGAGTCACCCCAAGCGTTCCCAAAAAGTGGGCACAGCAACTTCTGCTGGGGCCTCTGACCCATTCACCTGGGAGCCAGGCCCCAGGGGACCCATTCACCTGGGAGCCAGGCTCAGCCGGGTTCCACAGGATCCTTGTCCACACTGCCCCAGTCAGGCAGGTTACTCCTCAAGCTGTGTCTCTCTCAATGGAATCTACGTGGTGCGCACATGCGTGAGCACACACACGTGATCAACTGGCATTAGGGATTTGGATTCAGAAAGTTCATGAAGTGCCAATGCCCTGAAAGGGGTGGTGGTCTCTGAGCTGCCTTCCCCTCCAACTCCAACCCCATCAATATGCCACGGCGCTAGGGCAGACAGCTTCCATCCATCATGGGGGTGGGGAGGCAGGCCGCAAGGCAGGACTCTTTGTATCCCTTAAGTGTGTGTGTCCCTCCCCAAGCAGCTGCCAGGACTTACTAGATGTTTTAAAAAAGGGCAGGGAGGTGGGAGGCGTTTTAGGATGGAGAAGAGTGGGCTGCGCTGCTTGTAAATGAGTCAGACTAGAAGCCCATAGGCCAGGCCACTCAGGCAGGTGGCCTCCACCCCAAACACATCGTATCTACAGCAACGTTCACAAACATCAGACCTTGGTAGCAATGACCTACTGCCACCACCTGCCCCAGCACTAGAACAGGTGAGAGGAGTGCCTGGGGAAGAACTCAGCCTGCCAGTCCCTAAGAGTCATCAGCAAACACTTCAAGAGGGCGTTACCTGCACCAGGCCCACCCTAGGCCCTCCATTCAGAGAACTCAGATGTGCTGTGACCACTCCCATTTTACGGGTGAGGAAACTGAGGCCACACACCTAGCGAAGGGAGCTGGGGTGTGTACCAAGGCAGGCAGGCTCCAAGGCTCACCATCCCCTAGGTGGTATGGCCTCTGCCAGGGATGGAGAAGTGCAATCTGCCTTCTCTTCACTCCCTTGGCTTAAACGCAATCAAATGTCTGAAAACTGTCATTTCCCCAGCCTTCCAGACCCAGGAAGCCCAAGGCCCTCTCCACTTCATCTCCACGGACTACCCACCCCAAGCCAGCCATGTCCACTCACCCGTAAGTCCGCTGGATCAAGGTGGGGTGCAGCTGCTGCACCCCAATGGCAAAGCCTAAAACGAGAGAACAATCAGGGACTTGGCCTTGCTGCACGAGCCACGTCTCAAGGGCTGCACACAGGGTGGCAGAATCCCACAAGCCACACACCTCTAGTCAAAAGGGATCATCCGCTTCCTCTCCCCTCCCAGGCCTCCCCCTTGTGAACCCCAAGGCACACCGCTGAAGTGTGGCAGTGAGTGACGCAGGTGTCAGCAGCCACTGGTGTCGGCACTCCCAACCTCCAGGCCCCATGGCCACTTCCTCCCTCCTGCGAGGACAGCTGGCAACTGGGGTGCAGTACCCTCCCTGCCCCCCGCCCCCTTCTTTGGGCCACACGCTGTGAGAAGGGGTCTAGATCCTCGAGGGGGGGATGGCTGCCCTGTGCCGGCTCTGCAGGCACATGATAGCCGACTGCCACTGCTGGGGCGAGGAGGGGGGGCCTCTTTCCACCCGACAGATACCGACACCCAATATAGAAACCGAGAAGAGCCAGGCAGGAAAACACAAGCTCTCACCCGTCTGGAGGCTCCGCGGCTTGGCGCCCAGATATGCCAGGTTCACGTTGGCCTTGCGGCCGTCGATGATGGGGTTCGGGTCTTTGCAAGCCCTCTCAGCTGCCGCCCGGTCGGCCATGGTCACCTGGTGGAGCAGAGACACATCAGGGGCTGCCGTGGGGGGAACCAGGGGCGAAAGGGGCAGACGGCTCCGCCCTGGCACCGGATGCTGCCACCCCTCTCTTCCCTTCCTCTGAGGGTGCCTGTGACCCAGGGTCCTTGAGCCAAAGCTCCTCTGAACCCTACCTGGGGCTCTCCCACAAAGATGCCTCCTGGATTCCAGCTCCTCCCGTCAAAGTTCAAGGCCTGGGAAATGTGGCCTTCAAGGACAAAAATAATCCCCTGCGGGGATAGGGCAAAAATGAACCCCGAAGGGAGCTTGGGGGGCCGCCTGGACTTGCCCACCAGTGAGGGCCGAGACTTTCCTCTGAGAAGGAGTTTGCGACGCTATGCTTGGAAGGTAAGCAGGAAAGTGTCTTCAAGACGTTTTTACTTAAGCTGATGTTTATTTGGGGCGGCTGAGAGGGCTGTTAAAAATATGGGGGAGGCCGAAGAGCTCCTAACACCCCGGGGTGGAGCCATTGCTCCTCACCCCCCGCTGCTCCAGGAAATCCCGAGTGCCCTCTGGCTCCAAAACCTCCCCACCAACTTAGGAGTCCTAATTGAACACAGCGGCTCTTCCTTTTAAACCGGGGGTGGGGGTGGGGGTGGGGGTGGGGGTGGGGGCCGGGGCCTGGGGTGGTGGGGGCGGGACCGGCAGGAGCGCGCCCGGGAGAGGCGGCAGGTGCGGGCGCCGGCTGGAGGCGCCTGGGGCGGGGGCGGCAGCGGGCCGTCTGGGCGTGTGCCCCGGAGTGGACTCGGCGCCCGGGCCGCGATAAGGTGTGCGGCGGGGTGCGGGCCCGGGCGCGGGGGCCACTTACGAAGCCGTAGCCGCGGGACTTGCCCGTCTGGCGGTCGGTGATGACCACGGCCTCCTCGATGTCGCCGAAGCCCTCGAAGTACTTCCTGAGCGAGGCGTCGGTAGTGTGGTACGGCAGGCCGCCCACGAAGATCTTGGTGAACGTGGTGTCCTTCTGCGAGCCGTGCATGGCGCCGGGGGCGGCCAGGGGCCGCGGGAAGCCCGCGCTCGGGGCGCACGGCGCGGGCTGCAGCAGCATGGGGGGCGCCCCGCCGCCTACGGACCCGGGCCGCGCGGGGCTGCGCTCATGGGGGGCGGCGGGGAGCGCGCGGGGCAGCGAGGGGCGCCCGTCCAGCCGCCAGGCCCGACCACTCCGGCGCCCGTCCCGCCGTGCGCGCCGACGTGCGCCGCGCTGCGCTCCCGACCGGCGCTGCGGGGACTCTGCGCCCCGGCACCGCCCCCGGGCTTTGTAGCCTGCCGCCCCCGCCAGCTCAGCCCCGCCCCCAGCCGGCCCCGCCCCGCCCCGGGCGCGCGGGGACCGCCGGGAAGCGTAGTTCTAACCCCGCCCAGCCGCACCCGGGCGCGCGGCGATTGGGGGGAGGGGGGAGGGGAGCGCACGCGGGCTGAGGGCGGATCCGGGCCTGGGGGCGCTGGGCGCGCCTTTCTCTCCTGGCTGCCCCCGCGGGCCCGGCCGGTTGCAGGCACTAAGCACAACCCTGAACTAGGGAGGCCAGGCCCCTTCCCTCGTGGAGCGCACCGTCTGGTGAATTAAACGTAAAAAACGTAAAAAAACGTAAACGGTTTTTAGC
Organism: Homo sapiens; assembly: GCF_000001405.40. Classification (NCBI taxonomy): domain Eukaryota; kingdom Metazoa; phylum Chordata; class Mammalia; order Primates; family Hominidae; genus Homo; species Homo sapiens. Next base: position 57,391,031 of record NC_000020.11, on the reverse strand, counting down.
ATCTTGTTAATTGAGTCGGTATTTAACCCAGGGCGACTTAGGGAAGAGCCACGTGCCATATTAAAAAAGGGAAATGATTTCTGTTTTATATGTAAGATTAGTTCATCCGACCGATATTTACTCTGGGCGCGAGGCTGCAGCGGAGCACAGATCATATTCCCTGGCCCCACGGAGCGTCCAGGACTGAGAATTCGGCTAGTAAACATACAGCATACGACCCCGGAGGGAGCTACACCACGGTGCCGCGATAGAAGCGGGTCCCGGGCGGTCTCAGAGGCCCCGCGGGAGATGAGGTGGGCAGAGGAAGCAGGTGTGGGCTCTTTCCAGCTCCACCCCGTTCTGGGCTGGTGTCAGGGACCCTTGGGGCGAGTAAGAGCAGACCCGGGTCCCTCATCCGGCCCCCAGCCATAGAAAGGCGGCGCATAGTGGGGCTCTGTGAGCTTCACACCAGGCAGGGCCAGCCACAGAATTTTCGGGGCCCAGTGCAAAATGCAAACGCGGGGCCCCTTATTCAAAAGCTAGGAATTTCAAGTTGGCAGCGGTTGAGCATGAAACTCAGCCCCGGGCTTTCCTGAGCGAAGGGAAGGGCCGTGTGACTGCACAGACCCCGGGATCCCGGACCTGCGGGTCACACCCTCCACCTCTGAAGCCGGGACTAGGGGCCTCAAGCCCGCCTCATCTCCAGCCCCCGCGGTTGGGACCTATGCAGCTGGGAAACAGCAGCTCTAATTGGGGTCACTCCCGGCCCCAGCCCTGCGGCCTCCTCTCAGCACAGGGCGACGCAGGTGGGGTCTGTGGGGACTGGGAGTGGCACTCCGTGGGCTGTGGGGGACCGCAAGGCCGGCGAGGAGTTCCCCTCGTTTCCTCCAGCACCGAGGAGTTCTCCGCGTTTCCTCCAGCCCTCTGCCCTGGCTGCCGGCGGGGAGGAGTCTGCCCGCCCCCTCCCCCACTCCACGGCCCACGCTCCACGCGGCAGCCTTGACCTCTGACCTCTCCCTCCCCCAGCTCCCGCTCTAGCCCTCTGCACAGTGGGGATGGGACCCCCGAGTCTTCCGGAAGCCTGGGCGTCCTTTCCTCCCTTCCCCCTTCGTTCCTCGTTCCTGGCGCTCCTGCCCCCGCTTGCGGCCCCCGTTGCCCTTCATCCCGCGTGGTTTCCTCTCCTTCCTTCGCGGAGTTTCCCACCTCCCCGGCCCTGTGTGTTCGCCTGCCTGGAGCCCCTCCCCTGCTATTTGGGCGCTGCGAGAACAGGGACCTGGGATGTTTTGCCCAAGCTGGAGGGCCTGGCAAGGAGAGGGCTCTGGGATATGTTTGTTGAGTGTATCCACGATGGAACAAGGTGGGGTGGGGGAAAGCTCTGGCCCAGCCGGAGGCCCTTCGAAGCGACTTTGAAAACTTTCATTTAAGTGTGACCTTCACTTGCCCCCTAGAGGCCGGGGGAGGCGGCCACTGCGCGGCCGCGTGCTTTTGCGCCAGCTGGATCCCTTCACCAGGCCTCGGTTTCCCCTTCAGTTTTTCCAAGGCTGTCCCCAGCCGTCGCGTTGCCTGGGCAGGCTGGAGCCGCGTCGGTGGCGTGGCCACGGGCTTCAGCCCGGAGGCGCCCGGGCTCCCGGCCTACAAGTCCCAGCGCCGCCCGGGCCCGCCTCGCCCGCGCCCCTCCCGGCACGACAGCCCCACAAAGGGGTGCGGCCGCTCGGCTGCTGCCGCGGGGGCCGGGCCCAGGCGGCAGGGCAGCCCCGGGGCCTCTGCCTGCCCGGAAGGGGGCGGGACAGGGCCGTGGAGGCTGGAGACGCGGTTGCCCAGGTGCGGGTCCAGTCGCACTCCTTCGCCCCCCGCCCCCGGGCCCCCTTGGGTATCTGGATCACCAATCCCTCCCCCCCTCCGGCGGCCCCATGTCTCCACGGGTCACCAGCTTCTGCCTGACAATCAGTCATTCACCCAAACACACACTTTTTTTTTTTTTTTTTTTGAGACAAGGTCTCTCCCTGTCGCTGGAGTGTAGCGATCATAGCTCATTGCAGCCTCGACCTCTCGGGCTCCAAGCCATCCTCCTACCTCAGCCTCCCAAGTAACTGGGATTACCGGTGCGTACTACGATGCCGGGATAATTTTATATTTTGTGTAGAGGCTGGTCTCGAACTCTTGGGATTAGGCAATCTTCCTGACTTGGCCTCCCAAATTGCTGGGATTACAGGCTGAGCCACTGCACCCAGCCTCAAACACACATTTATGTGCACCACTGCACTCCAGCCTGGGCGACAGAGCAAGACTCCGTCTCAAAAAAAAAAAAAAACTACAGTCTCATCAGCGCCACTACTTGACCTTGTTGTTGAACGCATTGATGAAGAAGACATTGCTTGTCTACATTGCTACATCACATATTTGTTTTTTAAATATTTTCATAGCCGTTTTTATTTGTTTTAATTAGAGATGGGGTCTCTCTATGTCGCCCAGGCTGATACAGAACTCCTGGGCTCAGTTGATCCTCTTGCCTCAGCCTCCTGAGTAGCTGGGACTTCAGGTGCATGCCAACACACCCAGCCTATATTTTAATGTGATTGTTTTCCTTTGCTAATCTAAGCATTTTATTTGTTATTATTATTTTTTATAAAGACAGGGTCTTGCTGTGTTGTCCGGGCTGGAGTGCAGTGGTGTGATCATAGCTCCCTGCAGTCTCAGCCTCCCGAGTAGCTGGAACCACAGGCATGCGCCCAGCTGATTTTTTAAATTTTTTTTTGTAGAGTCAAGGTCTCCCTTTATTGTCTAGGCTGGTCTCAAACTCCTAGCCTCAAGCAACCCTCCCACCTCCGCCTCCCAAAGCACCGGGATTACAAGTGTGAGCCACCGTGCCTGGCTGGTAAGCATTTTAAGTGTTTAATACTATTACCTTAGGTATCAGCTGACTGCCAAGGGTTCCATGGCCCACAAAGGGCCCCTGGAAAGGGAACACAGTTTTGTGAGACTAGGCTGGGAGCCAGGCTGGGCAGAGGTGACTTGGGTCCCTCAGGCCTCACTGGGGAGCGGGAGGGAGGACTGGCAACTGTGTGTGCTGGGTGAGAAAATGGAAATTGCAGGAGCTTGGAACGCAGAATTCCTGCTCAGTGTGAGGATGAGCCCAGCACTTTCTGTGTGTTATCTTAGTTCATCTCACAAAAGCCCTAGGAAGAGATGACTACGATGATGCCCATTATATAGCTGAGGAAACTGATGCTCAGAGAGGTCCTCTCCTGCCTCCCTCGCAAATGTGTGATGTGTGCAGGGCACAAATGCAGAACTGCCTGGCCTAGGCCTGCTCTCTGCTCCCAGCTGTGGCTCCAGCTGCCCTGCAGAGGAGGGAGAGTGAGTTTACCCTGATGAGGATGTGCAGAGAGGAGCAGGTGAGGCCGGCCACTGCGATCTGAAACAGCACAGCCCCATCCAGGCAGGGCTCTGGTTTGAGTCTTCAGGCCCCGCGCTCTTGGGCCTCCTCTTTTTGTTTGTCGTGTTGGTGTTTATATCAAGGCTCTTCGGGGACTCAGCTTTGGGCTGAGCTTGGTGCAGGTGGCCTGTACACCCCCAGCCTGCAGCCCAGCTCCTTTGAATCCATGGGAGCCCCAGGTTGCCATTTTCATCTGCCAGGTGCAGAGCAGTGAGCCTGGGAATCCCAGCACTTTGGGAGGCCGAAGCAGGTGGATCACCTAAGGTCAGGAGTTCGAGACCAGCCTGGCCGACATGGTGAAACCCCGTCTCCACTAAAAATACAAAATTAGCTGGGTGTGGTGGTGCGTGCCTGTAATCCCAGTTACTCGGGAGGCTGAGGCAGGAGAATCACTTGAACCTGGGAGGCAGAGGTTGTTGCAGTGAGCCGAGATTGCACCACTGCACTCCAGCCTGGGTGACAGAGTGAGACTCCATCTCAAAAAAAAAAAAAGTTTCCCCATACTACTGGGCACAGAGGCCAAAATGCACCAGCAGGCACTGGTACTGGGGAGAGGAAAGGTTCAGCCCCTCTCCAGGTGGCAATGACAGGCTCAGTCGATGCTGTCACAGGCCGCCCCAGCAGCATTGGTGGACAGCTCCTGGAGCAGCAGAGTGCACATGCCTCAGTTTCAGCTGCAAAGACAGAAAGACACTGGCCTGTGTGCATGGCCGAATCCTGGCCTCTGCATCCTAATCCCTGGAACCTGTAACATGGCACCCTACTTGGTGACAGGGACTCTGCAGATGTGACTAAGGATCTGGAGGTGAGGAGAGTATCGAGGGTCATCCAGAGGGACCCATTGAAATCACAAGAGTCTCCATCTGAGGACGGCTCCAGATTTGACTAAGGAACGGGAATAGATGTGAGCCCAGAACAGGAGGCTGGAGTGATGCGGTCACAAGCCAAGGGTTGCTGGCAGCCACCAGAGGCCAGGAGAAGCAAGAAATGGATCCTCCCTTCAGGCCTCCAGAAGGAACCAGCCTTGCTGCCACCTTGATTTTAGTCCCCTAATAGTCATTTTGGATGTCAGGCTTCCAGAACTATAAGAGGATTCACTTTTGTGGTTCTGAGCCACTAAGCATGTGGCCATTTGTTACTGCAACCTCGGGAAACAACACAGCTCACATTGAAAGCTGAGCCCTCATCCCCTAGGGAAAGGAGTGTAGTCCAAGTGGCAAACTGGGGGTGCAGAAGAATGAGAAAGTGGGGAAGAGCCTGCTACTCCCTGTCAATAACCAAATGACCTGATTGGTCTCCTGTGCCAAAAGTTGTTCGTTGCCCCAGGATCTTTCTCATGAAGAGGGAGGTGGCCTTGCTATACAGTGTGGACAGGTGTGTCTGCGAGGGCAGGGGCTGCATAGGGGGCCTAGGCAGGTGCTGGCGCCAGCCTGCATGATGGCACTTGCCCCTGGGCTCGGTGTCCCCTCATCCTTTGGCTTCAAGATGGTGATGAGAGGCTGGGTGCTGGTGGGTAATCCCAACACTTTGGGAAGCCAAGGCGGGTGGATCCCTTGAGGTCAGGAGTTCAAGACCAGCCTGGCCTCCATCTCTACAAAAATTGTTGGGCGTGGTGCCTGTAATCCCAGCTACTCAGGAGGCTGAGGCAGAAGCATCACTTGAACCCAAGAGGTGGAGGTTGCAGTGAGCTGAGATCACGCCACTGAGATCACGAGATCACACCACCGCACTCCAGCCTGGGTGACAGAGGGAGACTCCATCTCAAAAACAAACAAACAAACAAAATGGTGGTGATGAAAGCTCTAGGAAAAGGAAGTGCCACGAAGAACAAGAATTCTTGCGAGCTGAGCTGGGCGGCCGAGACGTCAGGTAAGAAGCTGGACAGCTGCAGGCAGCGCCTTGATCAAGCCAAGGAAAGCAGCCACTGCTGGCAGGAAACGTGGGGCACAAACGCCCCAACTCTCTCAGGGACGCTACTGCTTCTGGTTTTCTGGCACCTTGCAGGTTAGCAGGTGAAGGGAAGCCTGCAGCGAATCCCCGAGCTGTGAGCTGCACGTGGCGCTGGGGCAGCGAATCCCCGAGCTGTGAGCTGCACGTGGCGCTGGGGAAGGCTGAGTTTGTTTCTGCAGTGGCTGTGAGGGTGGCACAGGCCGGAGATCCTGCCCCCACCAGCGCCGCTACAAGACGCTCAACACTGCCTGCCCTGGGAGCCCGGTGCGCGGTGGCTGGTGCTGTGGATCCTGCAGACACCAGGTCATGCAGCCCAAATGCAAGTGGCCACTGCGGAAGACTGTAGTGGTCACCTTGAGCTGCTGTCACAAACTACCACAGGCCGGGAGACCGAGCGACAGAAGTTTATTCTCTTAGAGTTCTGAGGGCACAAGTCTGAGATCTGGATGTCTGCAGGGCTGGCTCCTTGCAAGGCCTTCTCTGTGGTGTGCGGACCTCGCCCTCTTCCTGTGTCTTCATGCGGCCCTTCCTCTGTCCTTGTCTGTGTCCAGATTTCCTGGTCTAGGATACCAGACCTATTGGACCAGGGCCCAGCCTAGTGACCTCATTTTATCTGAATTGACTGTTTAAAGACCATGTCTCCAAAATACAGTCCTAATCTGAGGTACTAGGAGTGAGGACTTCAACATATGAATCTGGAGGACGACAGCTCAGCCCATAACAAATATTAATACTGATTTTCCTTTTGTAGGCAACCGTCAGGTGCTAAGCAGAACCATGCTTGGGCCTTCCACACCAGTCAAGGTACTCTCACAGCAAAGCCCCACCGAAGGGGCCCACAGGTTGGATTCGAGGTACGTGAAGTCCCAAGAGATGACATGAAGCCCCAAATGGATGCCCTGGCTCCCCAGCACCAGAGGGAAACGCCCCCTCACCGAAGACAGTGGCAAGTGCCATGCTTCAAGTAACACAGGGAGCGGCCTCCAGTGCACCTGTTTTAGCAGCCAGTCCTGGAGGCAGAAAGATTTACAAGGGAGTGGAAAGGCTGGCAAACACAGGACACATGGAGATGCCCAAAGTCAGTGGGGGTCAGGGTTCAACCTGGAAATGCAGTCTTCTCAGCTGAGGAAGGCAGTGAGTCCTGGCCAGGAAGCCGGTCCAAGCCCCTGCCTCGTCCCCAGTTCACCTCGTGAAAGCTGATGAATGACCAATGCTTGCAGAGGGGTCTGGAGTAATGGCGGCACCGTATTAAGGGGCGATCAGGCTGTATCTTGACACTGGGATTCATAAGAGGAGGAAGAAACCTATCATGCTGACGGGTAGTGAAGAAGAGAAATGAAAGACAAAAGACACAAGAGAAGGCCAGGTGCAGTGGTTCACTCCTGTAATCCCAGCTACCTGGGAGGCTGAGACAGGAGAATCGCCTGAACCCGGGAGGCAGAGGGCGCACTGAGCTGAGATCACGCCACTGCAGTGCAGCCTGGACGACAGGGCGAGACTCAGTCTCAAAAAAAAAAAAAAAAAAAAAGACACCAGAGAGTGCTGCCGCCAGTGAGCTGACGGAATCCGCAGTGTGGATTCGGGCCCGTAGGATGCTGGGGATTGTCAGTGCCTTCTTTGAGCTTTGTCTCCTCCCATACTGCCTCCTCTGCACCACAGTCAGGAGGGAAAAAGAATAAAAGATTAAGAATGCAGGTCAGTTCTTTTTCGGGAGCCGATTTACATTTTAAGCAAGTATGCAACAGGTGTTTCTCATTGGCTTTCGAAACAGCCCTCACCTGAAAAAATATTTTTCAATAGATTGATGCAAAATTCACAATAGGCTCTTAGACTGTGGTGATGGTTTCATGGGTGTATGTTTATCTCCAAACTCATCAAGTTGTATAAGTTAAATATGTACAGCCTTTTATATGTCACACTTCAATAAAGTGTAAAAACTCACACAGTCGGCTACGAAACTGTTTACACTGCCCATATTTGCCTTACAGTGACCTAACACCTGTCATAATAAAACCCTCAAAGGTGCAGCCACAACCTCTCCTGGCTTCTCCCATCTCCGTGGGATAAATGTAGGCCGTGAGATAGGGGAACCGCAGTGAGCAGGAAGACCTCGCAGAGCTGTGAAACATTGCCAGGCTCTGATTAACAAGCCAGTACCTTGCAAGGAAATACAATGCTTGTGTTGAGACTGCCTTTCCTAAACACTATAGCCAGGCCCTGGGGTCTGGGGCTTATACAGCTTTTTAAGAGCCTACAAAAATGTTGAAGGGCAGAGAGGTAGAAAGAAAGAAAAAGAGAACTGGCTTGAAGATATTTAAAAACAACAACCCCAGCCTGGGTGTGGTGGCTTACACCTGTAATACCAGCACTTTGGGAGGCCAAGGCGGGAGGACTGCTTGAGCGCAGGAGTTTGAGATCAGCCTGGGCACACACGGTAAAACCCTGTATCCACCAAAAATACAAAAAAATAAAAAATAAATAAAAAACAGAGCCTGGTGTGGTGGTGCACACTTGTAGTCTCAGCTACTCAGGAGGCTGAGGTGGGAGGATACTTGAGCCCGAAAGGCAGAGGCTGCAGTGAGCCGAGATTGCACCACTGCACTCCAACCTGGGAGATACAGCAAGATGCTATCCTCCCCCCAAAAAAACCAAAAACAAACAAGAAAAATCCCCAAATTAATCCGTTTAAGTAAAGGCCTACAAATGTAATACTGGAGACCTCACAAACTATTTAGTGTTCTAATATCCAATCAATTTGAAAACAATTTGTAGCTTTGTAGGAAACGCTGCACTTTGTGAGAAATTCCCTATTATTCGAGGTCATGATTAAGAAATCAACATGGAGTGTACGCTTACGGCCAAATCATTTCAGAAGTAAAATAGGAAAGTTTTTCAAAGAATTTGCCTTCAAAACAATGTGTATTTAAAGCAGGATGTGGGTGCATTTTAATATTTGGTGTGGAGTGGTGGGTGACACCTCCAAAAGTCAGATGACCTAGTGCAGTGATGTCCCAGAGAAAGATGAATACAACATGAGCCACGAATGGAATCTACAATTTCCAGTAGCCACATTTTAACAAATATAAGCAGGGGAAAGTTAAATTATCCAAAATAGTATCATTTGAATGTGTAATTGGTATGAAAATTAATGGCATTTACATTAATTTCAAGAGCATGTGTTTAGTTCATTTTTTTTGGCGCTAAGCCTTTGAAATCTGCTGTTTTAGGTTTACATCTCAATTCCAACGGGCCACAGAGCCTCAAAGTTACTAACACGAGTCTTAAAGTGACCTGTTTGCCACCACCAGGGATTTGTGTTTCCCATATCACGGCAGGGATGATGCTATGGGGCACGGGAGTGCTCAGAGGCCCCCACACCGCGGGCGCCAAGGCTTCAGTGTTCCACGAGGAAACCATCGCGGACATTAAGTTTGAAACAGAAAAATCAGGGTCCCACCTCTGACAAATTATCTCCTTTAGCATTTTCCAAGGAGGCCTTCAATCTAAGTGTGTTATTTTTAAGACGATTCTTCTGACAGCATAAGCAATGTTTTGATTCTACTTCCCAAATATCCTAAAAGCTTAGCAACACAACAAAAAATGGAAGGGGGTGGCCAACACTTCATTTCTTTTAATGAACTCAAGTCTGTGAAACTGAACACAGAAACACATGCTCCAATGTTGGCATTGGGGCCATTCGCGCCATCTGCTGGCCAGACCTAAGCACAACACCCGGCTCCTGGGGAAAGAATCTTAGAGACAAGCAAGATCTCCAGTCACTTGGTCTCTGGACCTTTTTGTCCCGCCTGTATACCGACAGCACAGCCCCATTGAGCAGGAGACTTCTCATGGATGTCATCCTCACTGGCACTCGTAGTAGCAGCTACATTCAAACTCCACATCACGGGCCAGCCACAGGGGCACTTTTACGCTTTAACTCTTTGACTACTCACACAACCATTATGATAGCTACTTTTAATGTCTCCCATTTTACAGATGAGGTCACTGAGGCTCAGAGGGTTAAATCACAGGCTTAAACAAAGGGTAAATCACATGTTAGCAAAGTTGGTGACAGAGTTGGAATTGAAGGTGGGCAGTCCAATTTCAAGTACATGTTTTTTTGTTTTTTGAGACGGGGTCTCACTCTGTCGTGATCTAGGCTCACTGCAATCTCCACCTCCTGGGCTCAAGCACTTGAGCAATTCTCACGCCTCAGCCTCCCCAGTAGCCGGGATTACAGGCAGGTGCCACCGTGCCCAGCAAATTTTTGTATTTTTAGTAGAGACGGGTTTTGCCTTGTTGGCCAGGCTGGTGTGGAACTCTCGGCCTCAAGTGGCCCGCCTGCCTCGGCCTCCCAAAGTGCTGGGATTACAGGCATGAGCCACCGCACCCAGCCCCCTGTTCTTAATTGCAATGTTATAAGGTTATTTCAAATATAATTAATATAATCATCCCTCCCATTTTGGGGAGACCTCAAGTGCAGTTATGGCTTAGTACTTGAGGTCACCGAAGCTAAGAACTCATCCTAAACCATACAAAAAGTGACAGGCACAGAGAAGAATCCCACCCCAGGATATGAAAATATCTCATACATACATAGATTCTGTGATTTTGTGTGGCTCCACTAAAAGAAACGCTCACTGCAACAACTACGTTCATTTCACAACCTACGAATGGGTCATGAGTGAATTCGGAAAAGGCTGGCTTAGGCACTCCCGAGTGTTCAAGAACATGTGTTTAGTTCATGTTTTAGAGTCTCTCCTCCAAAAGAGACGAAAATTTTGGTTGAATGAGAAAAACAAACATTTCCTACATGACTCAATAAAATTTCTTTGAGACAGGGTCTTGCTTTGTTGCCCAGGCTGGTCTGGAACTCCTGGCCTCAAGTGATCCTCCCGCCTTGGCCTCCCAAAGTGCTGAGACTCCAGGCGTGAGCCACCACGCCTGGCCCTTGCTGTTTACCTTCTCTTGGTGGTGATTTTCTGGTGAAAGTCAGCAAGCTCACTGCCAGCAGGCCAGGCACTTGCCGCATCCTTTGTTCTTCCTCTGCCAGAGGATCTCTGGTGTGAAGCTAACCCGAAAACGGGGTGAGGCAGGCGGGTTCAGCTGGCCCCTTTGACTGAGAGGGTTTTCACAGGCAGGCTCACATGCACACGTGCACACACGTGAGCACAGGCTCACAGACAGGTGTCTCACACAAACCCACCACAGCTCCATCCTGCTTCCAACCAAACATGACAGGAACCGAGTGCACCTTCCTGTGCCCACCCTAAATCCCTGCCACCTTGTTGCAGCAGCATCTTTACACAAAGTTCTTCCCATGAGGCCCTGTTCCCACAGTGAGGAACCAAGGAAGCGATGTTACAACAAAGACTGGGAGGAAAGCCAGGCAAAACCAAGCAGAAAATCAAGGGAAAGGTGAGTGTTCATGGTGGCATCCTGGTGGCAGGCAGATGGCAGGTGTATGTTCACTGCCAAAACCCTTTCCACTTTTGTGGATGTTTTAAAATTTTCATATGTTGGAAAAAATTAAGTGAAAGAACACAATTTGTCTTCTCCATGAGGTTTATATACTTTACTTTCAACGAAAGCAGCTCTTAACAGGGTGTGCAGTCAATATTTAATGGCAGGACGGCTTGACATTTAGTGAAACAAAGAGCCAAGATTACACTAGTATCTCTTTGAAGTAGAAGATGCCATCAAACTTATGAATACTTAATGAGCACCTACTGCATGCAACTTACAGGTGCCTGCAAAGATGCTGAAGTTTAAGATGAAGAGTTCCTCTAAGACTTCATATGCATTTTAGGAAACATGAACATAAATATTTGAAGAAGCTTAACGATCTCAGTGAATACTTCCTAGATCCTCATTAGCAAACATGTAGTGTGCTTTTATGCTTTAGGTCCTGGGCAGCAGAGAAATGAGCCTGGGCCTCATCTAGGGTTCACATCCTGGTGGCAGCAGAGCTCCCTCCCAGGTTCTGACAGCCCAGTCCAATCTTGGATTTATGCAAATGTTTTAAATTTGCCAATTACAAAAACTATCCCCTTGGGGAGGTGGCAAGGTCCCATCCTGGGAAAGCGCACTCTAAAAGGCCTGCAATTTAGACTCATTTTCCACCCTAGCCCGTCACTAGGGGTGGTAAAAACAATGAAACTCTGGCTAAGCTAAAGCTGAATATGAAAGTTGGCTGCTGAGATAATCAAGCTTCAATCTCCCCTCACAGCAGTCTTATGCTAGCTAGATCTTCCCCACGTTGATAAGACCACAGGCTTGATTCATAAAGTGAAGAGGAAAATGAGCTGGAAACCGTTAACCTGAAAATTCAGATATTTTTCTAGTGCACCTGCTTTTTTATCTCTAAAAAATAAGTTTTCGGGCTAAAAAAACAGGGCTGGAGAGTGGGTGGGTCTGAATTCATTGTGACCTACCAAAGAATTTAAACCACTGAGTGCAGGTGGTCTCTTCCAGTAGAAAATTTTATTTTCATTGTTTTTTATGAGTAGGCAAACACATCTTACAACACTATCGATACTAGAATTTTACACTCAGCAAGTCAGACTTCACACATTAGTCCAAACAGAAAGGCCTAAGAAGCATTTGAGATCACAGGTGAGAAATACAGTGACAGACCCAAAAGTCACACTTTTTCTCAGCCCAGCTGAATTTCATTTTGAATACTTACCAACCAGGAATTTTAAATTACACAAAATACAAAAGAACAGCCAAACAACCACTACTGAGGGTTCAGGGCAATTCCCATGCAGGGGACCGGGGTGGGTAAGAGTTCAGGGCAATTCCCATGCAGGGGGCTTGGGTTCTAACTTGAAAGTCACGCAAGTGTCACCCACTTGGGCCTTAGGAGGTTACCCACAAATGGCCTGTCACCCAGCACAAGTAACAGTCCCCATTTGAGTCACTCGGAAATCTGAGCAGCAAGGCCAGAAAGCACTGGGGATTTTGAAGATGGGAATGAGGGAAGCAAGGAAAAACACATTCAAACTCTGCCCACCAGGGCTCACAGAGGCTGCCGTTCCGCGCAGCAGAAGTGAGCGCAGCTGGGGACTCCCTTTCCCCTAAGGTTGCCGCATTTCCCAGAGGGTGTCTGAAATCTCAACTCAAAACCCCACGCTGATGCTGGGCAGGACGCATGTTCCTGAGGTTACGGGGTGGGCAAGGGGAGAAAAGGACAAAGGAAGCTCGGGAAGCAATCTGCAAAAGACTTTATTACAAAATACAGCACGGGGCTCACAGACGCTTTTCCAATATTCTCTAACACGTACACTGAAGCGCTGCAAAATCCCTGGCGGTGCCCGCAATCTAACGTCTACAATAACCTCAACCCCCTTAGTTACAGAAAAACTCTGCAACAGGCAGTGGAATGGAGAGACGGCAAGTCGCCGCGGACGCCTGGGCTCTCAGCTGCTGAACAATGACATCGTTTTCTCCAGGGGTTGAAATCCATGTCCATGGCTGACAACCCAACAAGGCTGGGACCCAAATTCGTACAGAGATGAGGCAGAGTGGAGAGAAACAACTCTGGCTGAGCCAGAGTCTCCAGCCACTACTTCTTATTCCTGGGCTTTAGCTCTTCGGCTGCATTACGCAGGAAAATGTAATTTTTTTTCTGGGGATTATAAAATTCATGTCCCTAAAGAGAGCAAAAAACACCAATGATCTTATTATTCAAAAGAAAGTTAGCATTTGTAGGTGCTTTTTCTAGGTGAAGTCCTGTGCTACAATACTGGAAACATATAATCTCTCAGAGAAATAAAACAACAAAGATAAAGTCAAATGCGAAGCAGAACTTCAGTCCTCAGAGAAAGGCCTAAGGATGTGGTTGGTACCAGTGTGTCATCAATGTCCTACTGAGAGAGTCTGTGAGTAGGAACCTGTGAGTTCCTTTTCAACACTGAGCCCCCTTTTAACACCCCAGGACTTTAACGCCAGGATAACTGCCTTGGGTCCCTTGGTCAGAATTAGTTCTGACCTGAGAATGCTTCACAGAAAGGAGGACATCTGACCTGCGGGGTATCATGGGGATGAAGGAGGACACCCCGCCCCACATGGAAGGAGCAACAGACACGGAGCACAGCAGAGGCATGAACGGTGGTGAGTGAGCCAGAGGCGTGTGCGGAGGTGTGCACGTCTGCCCGGGCCCACACCGGAGGGGATGCAGGGCTATACAGCATCGAAAGACCCCCGAAATCAGGATGAGGCCAGACTACAGGGCTGTGAATGGCAGAGGGAGGCCTTTGAACGTTATTCCCCAGGGAAAAGGAGGCTGTAGGCAGGTCAGTGATGTGATCACATTTAAGTTTTAAGAAGAGAGGTGAGTGGGGTGGGCCAGGCAGATGATCCGGAAGAAAGACAGCAGGCAGGAGCCGCAGGTGGGCCAAAGGACTGGAAGAGGGAGGTGGGGCATGGCGCTGGGTGCACTCTGTCACCTGTACTCTGATGACACATTTTTATTCTCTTCCCAACAGGCATGCCAAGAAAGCTCTAGAAGTTTTGCTCAACAGTGACCACTAATTCTCATAATATACAAAGTGTAGTTTTTCTGAACAGTAACTCAAGCAGCAAGCTAATAACATCAATCATATGTGATCATGACTTTGCACTGGAGATAACTGTCCTTGAACTAAGAACAATGAAAAACCCCTGAAGCAAATTTCTCTTTTAAACTAAAAAGATGCTAATTTATGTAACCCCCACAATAAGCTGACATTAACTGCTTAAATGAATGAGATTTTACTTCAATTTTTAAACAGCACTCAAAGCAATTACCTTTCTCACTGCTTTCAATTTACTACATTTTTTAACGCGTATAACGTATAGAGTCCCGCGTCATTTAAGTTAAAATGCAGAATTTTGATGCAGCTGCTGGGATGAGTATGCAAAGAGGAGATTCAATGAAGAGCCCGATGTGGGAGCTGAGGCCTCGGGCTCCACGCACGCCACAGCCTGTCCACCCCCAGCCAGGCAGAACCAAAAAAGTACACTCTTGTCACAAAACTGAGTGCATGGCTTACACAGGTGAATGGATAAACAAATGGCACACCCCACCCGGGAATACTACCCAGCACTGAAAAGTAACGGACAAGTGATTCACTCAACAGCATGGGTGAATTTCAAAATCCTTATGCTGAGGGAAAGAAGCTGGGGCGAGGGGAAAATGTAGCGTAGGGCTCCACTTATATAAAATTCTAGAAAATTCAGACTAGTCCATAATGCCAGAAAACAGATCCATGGTTTTGTGTGTGCGTAAGGGAAGATTACAGTAATATACACAAAAACCTTTCGGGGAGATGACTATGGTGATAGTTTCATGGGTATTTACAGATGTTGAAACTGATCAAATTGTACACTTTAAACAATGACTGTATTTCAATTGTACCTCAATAAAGTTGCTTTAAAAAAAGAACACAGCTTCATGGCTCACACAGCAAACCCTCAAACAGGGAAACACAGAAGCAGCAGCAGGCCTGGAGGGGTCAGAGGGATGGAAGGCAATCAGCTGGACTTCTGTGTCTAAGTTCGGGGCCTCAGGGAGACTCAGGTGCAGCCACGCTCCTGAGACTGGGAAATACTAAAGGTGGAGCGGGCAGGGCCCGAACCAAGGGACGTCTCCAGTCACTGGCTTGTGTGGCAGCAGGTGTCTTGGGAATGCAAAGCGCTGTTTAGAGCCCTGTGGTGGCCCCCCAGGCTGAGATAGCGGGGGGCCAGCAAGGCAAGAGGGGCAGGAGACAGGAGCTGGCAGGAGGACAGGAACCACAGCCCAAAGCAGAATAAACCAGGACATGGCCAAGAAGCAGGGAGGAGAGCTGTATGGAACAGGAAGGGACGGGTGAGTGACCGGCACAGACAGAAAGGAAGCTTCTGGACTGGATGAGGAGGACGTGGCCACAGGGACTCTGAGTACAGCTGCAAGAGGCCAGAAAGTACCTGGCAGTGGACTGAGGAGGGGCCAGAGCACAGGGAACCAAGAGGGTAGGTGCTGACACCACTCTCTCGATAGCCTTAATATACATGGAAATGGTTCCTCGAGCCTTCCATGCTTAGACAGAGGGGAGGAGCTGGTGGACGGGGACAGAAGACAGTGGGAGAAGGCCCAGAAAAGAGCCATGAGGGTGGAAGGAGACGGGGTCAGCGCAGGCAGACATGAGGTGAGCGGGAAAGACACTGCAGGCCACTGGAAGCCCCTCCTATGTGAAGCAGGTGACCTCCCCATCGGAAGCCAGGGCAGGGTAGGGAAAAGTCTAGAAGGCTGTTGTGGGCAAAGGGCAGAGTGGGGTGGGAGGAGAATGATGAAAACCACAAATACAATGATGACAACCTCTCCAGAAGAGCTGAGCAGTGGAGAAACACGCAGGCTGGTTGAAAGCCAACACACTTCCCATGGGGTTGGGCAGAGTACCCGAGTCTACACATTTCACCATCATGCCCAAAGGCCTCAAAAATGCAGCCCCACTCCTGCCAGCTCCTAACTCCCCCTGCCCAAACCACCAGCCAACCAAGCAACCAACAGCACCCAGGCGAAAGCTCCATGACCCGCCCTGCCACCCCCTTCATAAAGTGCAGCCCCCGGCTTGCCTGTGCTTCTGTGCCCAGGAACAGAGCAGCCCGTAATGGCTCACACTGGCCGAGCACTTCCTGTGTGCTGGGTTCTGGCCAAAGGCTGTACTGAATCCCCACAACCATTTGAGGAAGTCCTGCAATTTCCCCTTACAGGGAGGGGACGGTGACCTGCCCAAGGACACACGTGAGTCCTGAGAAGAGTCACAACTCAGGCCTAGGCCTTCTGAACCCAGAGCCTGGCTCTGCTGCCTTGGAGCACCCAGAGCAGGCCCGGGAGTTCTCACCTTTGACCAGTCGTAGCTGGAAGCGTATGCAAATATGTTTCCATTGTGATTGAAACAGCAAGCTGAGATGGGCTGATCTAACTGTTCCGAAGTTTTTAGTTTTGTTCTGGCATCTTTGTCCCAGAAGCTGAATCTACCATCAGATCCCACAGTTGCAAGGGTGCCATGAACAGGATGGAACGCGATTCCATTTACCTGCAAGGATTGACATGCACAATGAGAAGCCAGGCAGAGGGGCGCAGAGAAGGTTCCACCCACGCACACTTCCTGCTTGAGTTAGGAAACAAAGCGCACAGGTACATTTCCTTCCAGCTGCTGCCCGCTGATAGCAAGAGAAACTATCCAGGCTTCCTCCATCAAATGCCAGCCCAGAACCCAATCTTGCCTCCTGTGAGGGCTGCACACCAGAGAAAGTGAGCATGTGGACAGCAAGAAACAAGGAGCAGACCTCAGGAAAATGTTTCTTTTGAGCAAACAGATTTCTCAGTCTGAGCTGTGGGTGTGAACTGTCTACCAGCGCTCCTGAGGGAGGGAGAAGACTCTCGGCAAAACATCCTAAGCTTATGTTCAGAAACAAATACACAACACTGCTAGTTAGGCGGCACGTTAACACAGAAAACAAGGCCAAGTGCGGTGGCTCACGCCTGTAATCCCAGCACTTTGGGAGGCCGAGGCGGGCAAATCACAAGGTCAGGAGTTCGAGACCAGCCTGGCCAATATGGTGAAACGCCGTCTCTACTAAAAATACAAAAATTAGCTGGGCGCCTGTAGTCCCAACTACTTGGGAGGCTGAGGCAGGAGAATCGCTTGAACCCAGGAGGCGGAGGTTGCAGTGAGGTGATATCACGCCACTGCACTCCAGCCTGGGCGACAGAGCGACTCCGTCTCAAAAACAACAACAAAAATCCACAGAAACCTGAAGCCTACAGCATAAGCCACTTATCTCCGGACATGAACACACAAGCTCTTCAGTGATGAGTCTTTTCTGATCCCACAATTCCTCAGCCACCTCCAAGTCTGGTTTCCAGATGTATTACCACGGTTAAAGTGTCTAAAAACGTACCGCATAAATGTCCTGAGGAGCTGAAGTGTTGGTTCCATTAGATCGATGACATTTAAAGGTGAAGTTATCTTTGGCGCTGAAAGACAAAGGTTCATGTAAGTCTTCCTTTGTTAAAAAAAGTCCAGTGAAATCTGCAAGCTGACAGAGTCACACTTACGGGTTCGGGGGGTTGATATAGTGAATAGCAACTCTCCCCTCGATACTTCCCAGGGCAAAACCAGTAGGCTTGTTCTGTTTGTCTTTAAAAATAGCCACACACCGATGCTACAGTTAAAATAAAAAAGAGACATAATCACAGCATAATATAAGATTTCATGACTAACGTGAAGGTAAGTCATTTTTACCCCATGTTTAGGTTTTAGAAGAACCAGAAAAAATCACTCAAATATGATACAGCAGTAAGCATTGCTTTCTAACTCCTTAGTAACTCCATCTAAGCAGTGAGTTTATGACCCAACTGCACACCCTGTGCTCCTCCCCCGCCCCCGCTGCTCGCTCTCCCTCTGCCACCCTGCAAGGCCGCGTTCACGCCAGCAGAGCCCCATGGGCTGCGAGGCAGACAGCGGCCCTGCCTGTGGGGAATGGAGACGTCCCTGGCTAGGCAGACACCCCTCAGGAGGTCACCCGAAGCTTCTGCGCTTCTGCCTCCCCAGCTGGAGGAGGGATGCAGGCTCTGCCGCACCCGTCTCACAGGGTAACAGGGTGAAGGGGACGGTGGGTGCAGTGGCCATGCTACAGACAAGCAACACGCTGCACTTCGCCCAGTGTTGAGTGTGAGGGCCCAAGGGCAGGTCTCTATTCTACAGAAGAACCCAGAAATTCCACTACCCAGCCTCCTGGGCAGAAAAGCCGACCACCCCGAGGAGAAGCCAACTTTGGAGTTACCACTTCCTCCTTCCAGTCGTGGCAACCTGGCCAAAGCTTGGAGGGCCATCCACCCTGCCTAAGCTGGTCATCTGAGCTTCCGTGTGAGTTCAGGGGAAGCCTGGCAGGACCCAGGCAGGGGCCAGGCAAGACGAAGGGAGAAGCAGCCTCTGGCATCGTGACAGCTGCTGGTGATGCACGTTTCCTAAGTACGAAGGAAAACGGCCTCCTCTTTCATTCCTGTACTGTTTGCTCCCCTGCCTTTTTAAAAACTGCCAGACCATTACTTTTGTGAGTACGAAGAAAAAAAGTAAAGCAAACTGACAAACATCTGTAAGTTCTTAGATGACAGAAAAGGCCATGGCTGGTCATCAGCACAGGGTCTACTGTGCGGCACACCAGGAACTGCACAATGCCAGGGGTGTCACTTGCACCAAGAGCCACATGCACTGGCCCTGTGCAAAGGCCGATGGCAATCAGTTCTCAACAACGGAGAGGCCAGGGCGCTAGCACCGGGTGGCAGGAAGTGAAGCCAGATGGGACCAGGTTTTTTTTGGATTCAACCAAAAGGAAATGGGGAGGCAGGGAAGGGCTTAGGCTGGGGTCCGGCAAGGCCAGTGGTGCCGCTTACAAGAGCCCCTGCCTCAGCTCCGGAGGACGCCTTGAACCAGGGCCAAGGTCTAAGTGCTGATTTTACTGTGGTAAGAAGAGTGAACATGAGAGCCACCGCTTAACACATTTCTAAGTCTACATTATTGTTGACTACAGGTACCATGTAGTACGGCATATCTCTAGAACATTCTCATCTTGTTTAATGAAATTTCATCCCATTGATTAAGTAGCTCCCCATTTCCCTCTCCCCCAATCCCCTGATGACCGCCATTCCACCCTTTACTTCTGTGAGTCTATGCTGGATATCACATTTAAGTGGAACCATGCAGTTTCTTTCTGTGTCTGGCTTATTTCATTTTGCATAATCTCCTTCATGGTCACCCACGTTGTCACGAATGGCAGGATTTCCTTCTTTCAGGCTGCACGCACAGCATCCTACTGCAGGTATACACTTCATTTTCTTTATCTGTTCACTTGGCTATTGTGAACAGTGCTGCAAGGAACACTAGCAGTACAGGTCTCTCTTCAAAATACCCATTTTGATTCTTTTGAATCAAGACCTGTAAGTGGAACTGCTAGATCGTATGGTGATTCTGTTTTTCATGTTTTGAGGCCTCCAGTTTTCTGTAACGGTTGTGGCATTTTGCATCCCCCCAACAGTGCACAAGGGTTCCATGTTCCCCACACCCTCCCCAGCGCTTGTTATCTTTGGGCTTTCTGGTAACAGTGGTCCCATCAGCTAGGAGATGGTATCTCACTGTGGTTTTTGTTTGCCTTTCCTTGATAGTTAGGATGTTAAGCACATTTCCATACACCTGCTGGGTATTTGTATGTCTTCTTTGGAGACATGTCTATTCAAGTCTTTGGTCCATTTTTCACGTCACCAGTTTTCTCACTATTGAGTTGCAGGGGTTCCTTACGTATTTTGGAAATCAATCCCTTGTCAGAAATAGCCTCCAGATGTTTTCTCCCATTCCACAGGCTGCCTTTTCACTCTTTTCCATGGTTCCCTCTGCTGTGCAAGAGCTGTTAGTTTAACACAGTTCCACTTGGCCATTTTTGCTTTTGTTGCCTGTGCTTTTTGGTGTCATATCCAAGAAATTACTGCCAAGACCAATGTCATAGAGTTCTGATCTAAGTGCTTTCCAAGATTTGAATTAGATGTGGTGGCAGGAGGGAGGGAGAAAAATGAACAGATTCCCAAATAATTTCAGGGTAGAGGGGAGGAGACTGAGGATTAGTGAGACAGGAGAGGGAAAGTTCCAATCAGGGGTGACCTCAAGATTTCTGGCTATAACAAAGGAGATGGAGGTCCCATTGAATGGGCTGTGAAGCACATCAGGAGCAACAGGCTGGTGGTGGCCGAGAGGGGCAGGTTCAGATCAAATGTTCACTCTGCAAATATTCACAGAGCACCTTTTACACTTAAGGCCCTCCTCCAAGTGCTGGGAGGCAGCAACAAATACAAACAAAAATCTCTGCTCTCATGGAGTTTACATTCTAGTAGGCAAAAGAAGGGAAATATTTAGTATGTATATGACATCCATACATACGTATAAAGTAGATGGTACTGGTGGCAGTAGCAAGGGAGAATCCTGAGGCAAGGGTAACATGTGAATAAAGAGCTACAGAATGTAGTCTTGGGTTTGGTGTGGGATACCGTAGCTTCAGACGCCTGGGAGACACACCAAGGAGCTGTCCGACTGGGTGTCCATGTCAGGAGCACAGGAATGAGGTACGAGTCTCCAGTCCACAGGGCGTGGCTGAGCGACAGTGGATGGGAGATCAGTTGTGCTTGGGTGGAGGAGGCAGCGGCTTAGGGAGATGTCTGTGGAACCTCCACATTCAGCCAAGAGCCAGCAAGGATAGAAGAGCCACAGAGGTAGCGGGTAAGAGGCTGGCAAGACAGCAGCCAGGGGAAATGTTTCTTGTAAGAACAGTGAATGAAGCTCTGTTCCAGTAAGAGGATGGGTGTCCAGGGTCCCCTGGAATTACCAATGAGGATGCCACTGGTAGTCACGCCAAAAACAGTTCTGGTGGAACAATGGGGGGCAAAGGTCTCACTGAGTTAGAAATGAGTGGGAGGTGAGGGAATAAAGGACATTTCATCCAAGATGCCCCACTGCGGAAGGAATAGGGACGCGGGCAGTACTGGAGGAGGATGTGGGGATCAAGGGAGGTGTGTTTTCTAGGATCAACTAGACTTGAGCTAGTGTCAGTGCTAAGGGAGAAGTACTACGCGGCAGGAGAGACGGGTGTATGGGAAAGAGGTGATACTCTGCATACGGTTCCTGAGAAGGCTGGAGGGCATGGGTCCCACCACAAAACTGGCCTTAGCAGGACGGCTTCCACCTCATGGGGGAAAAGGCAGGGGAGGAGGCAAGCACGGGCAGATTTCTAGATCTGGCAGGAGAAAGAGGAGGAAGTTCCCATTAGCTTCTTTTTTCTCTGAGCAAGAGCTGATCTGATTGGCTGAGACAAAGACTAAAGGAAGGAGAAGCTGACAAGAGTGCAGGCCCAGCAGCCCTGTGGCAAGTGGAGGATTGAGCTAAGGTGAAAAAGCTAGCAAGCATCTAGGCATGATGCAGACAGAGTTGAAGTTGGAAGCTAGGAATTTACAATGGAACCAACCCATCCAGATGTGTAATTTTATTCTCAAGGAAACCAAAATATTTTGCCCCAAAATAGACTTCTCTGACATATTTCAAGATGGCTATACAGAAGGGCTGGAAATAATAGCTGAAAAGCTATCTTTGGTGGGGAGATCTGCATCTGCAGAGAAAATCGGCATTGATGCAGCCAGGCTTTCTCCAAGGCCCTTCCCTTGTCCTGATTAGGGAAGATTAACTGCAGTCTGATGCCGTTAAAGGTCTCAGTTCTCTCCGAGGGTGCTACCTGTGGGGTTTCCTCCACATTAACAAGACCACCTTTGCTACACAGACCTCTTCTTCTCTTCTTCCCATAACCTGTCTTGCCACGAGAACCCAATTTACCATGAAAGCCTGTTTTGGGCCATGCCCTGAGCCCCCTTCTTTCTGTGACCTCAAGATGGTATGAAAGCATCAACCATATTGCCTTTAAGATCGTTGTAAGACGCTGTGCACATCAATACATTTGTATGCCATTTCTCCTATTAATCTGTCTTTTACCAGCTACTTTTCAGTGAACCCCTTCAGAGGGCAAAGGAGAAGTTTTCCCTTGGCCCCTACAATTCAGTAGCACTCAGCCATCCAGGGGCATGTTTGGAGAAGACATAAATTCAGTTCATCCAGGGATACCTTAGTATTACTTAATATTCACTCACTAAGTATTTGTGTTTATATCCTTCAATTCACCCCTCTTTGAACATACTTACAGGTTTTACAAAGTACAACTGTATTCCAGATGTGAGCACAATCTTGCATACAACAGGTGCTAAATACATACTTCTTGATTTGACTAATGACGCACCTGATGTTTCAGTGGAGATTCTATCCTCCTGAATTCAGAAGGTTGATTCTCTAGCTGATAGACAATCAGGCCCCTCTCTGCAGTTGCCACCACAGCCATGGGGTATATCTAGGGAATGGAAGAAAACAGAGATGCGCTTCAGGTGAAGGAGTGTGCTGTTTTTATACTAATGTATTTGATCAATTTTTGGTTACAACATTAAGTCTGGATTTTAATAATCCTGGGATTATATTTCACTAAAACCTAGAGAAATAGTATTTGAAAGTAGAACATTCATATATTTTAAAAAGTCTCGTGTTTTAAAACTAACTATAAAATATGTGGATATTTAGAAAATATACTCAGGAACTAAGAATAAATAAAAATCCCCTACACCACTCCTTCAGTTGCTGTCACTATTCCAGCCTTTGTTCTCAGCGTTATACTTGGTATGTAGCATATTTCTGTACAGTTCATATCCTTTACTCAAAACATGTTTCATAAGGTCCACGTCACACACTTTTTCAAGTACTAGCAGTGGCTTCTAACGTCCCCTCAAATGAACCTACCACAGGGTTTATTTATCTGTGTCTTGGTGGCCCCTTAGGCCACTTCCAATGTTTCACTATATTACATAAAACAAAGACCAGCCGGGCATGGTGGCTCACGCCTGTAATCCCAGCACTTTGGGAGGCCGAGGCAGGTGGATCATGAGGTCAAAAGATCGAGACCATCCTGGCCTACATGTGAAACCCCGTCTCTACTAAAAGTATAAAAATTAGCTGGGCCTGGTGGCACACACCTGTAGTCCCAGTTAACGGGAGGCTGAAGCAGGAGAATCGCTTGAACCCGGAAGGCAGAGGTTGCAGTGAGCTGAGATCATGCCACTGCACTCCAGCCTGGCGACAGAGCAAGACTCCATCTCAAAAACCAAACAAACAAAAAAAACAAAGACCATCTGTATCTATGATTATTTTCTTGTGATAAATTCCTAAAAGTGGAATTACGGGATTGTTGGTACAAAACTTTAAGATGTGACTAAACAAATGGAGAAAGTTCCATTTCTTTTTCTTTCCTTTTTTTTTTTTTTTTTTGAGATAGTATCTCACTCTATCACCAAGGCTGAAGTGCAACAGCGTGATCTCAGCTCACTTCAACCTCTACTTGCTGGGTTCAAGCAATTCTCATGCGTCAGCCTCCCGAATAGCTAGGATTACAGACGTGCGCCACCATGCCCAGCTAATTTTTGTATTTTTAGAGATGGGGTTTCACCATGTTGGCCAGGGTGGTCTCGAACTCCTGACCTCAAGCAATCCACCCACCTTTGCCTCCCAAAGTGCTAGGATTATAGGCGTGAGCTACCATGCCTGGCCGAGAAAGTTCAATTTCTATCCCACTCAGAAACAGTCCCCAAAGACCTGGTACCACCTCACAAACTTACTGCAAGTTTTCCTACTGCCATGGAAAGGACATGATAGATGTCACACTAGAGATGGCATGTAGCTAGCTGCATATGTTCAAACGAGTGGCAGGAAAACTTGACATCCAGCATTTAGTACTTCTAAAAGAAACGCAGCACAAAAATCTCCCAATTGGAGACGACTGAGGCAATCTCAACTCGATCCTTTATATCTATTACTAAAGCTAGCAGGATTTTTATATTATCCACTCACTAACTGCAGGACGCCACAAGGTGAGAATACTTATTTTGTTTTTTTTTTAAAGTAAATACATATTAAGTTGAAATCCCTTACCACGTCAGCACAGTAACACCTTTCAGGGAGTTGCAAAACCATCATAGGATTTGACGATCGAGTATCCCAAAACTAAAAGCAAAAAAGAGAAGCCAGTATGTGACCATTCAGAGCAGAAGTCGAAATGGTGCAAAAATAAATGACAATCCTGATGGGGCCAAACAATGCCTCAACTGCACATTATACCTTTAAAGTCTTATCCCAGCTCCCAGTCATCACACAGCTGTAGTTTGGAGCTTTGATCCAATGGATGGTTTTAACAGGAGCATCATGCTTTCAACAAGACAAAAACAAAACAGATCAAGGTAAATGTAAGAATGTGCTGAACAGCTTTAGTTGTGGCAATTCAAAGGGAAGAAACTAATTTAAATACTGGGGCCATACCAAACAAAAACCAAAACATACTTAGCATTTTACCAATCCTTCCTCACTGACAGAGTTTGCATGTCCCCACCAAATCCCATGTTGAGATGTAATCCCCAGTGTTGAAGGTGGGGCCTGGTGGGAGATGTCTGGGTCATGGGGGCGGATCCCTCCTGTGTTAGCACAGTCCTCACAATAGTGAGTTCTCTGAGATCTGGCTGTTGTAAAGTATGGCACCTCCTCTCTCCCATAGCTCTCTTTCCTGCTTTTGCCATGTGATGTGCCTGCTCCATCTCCTGCTCCCTTGGGATTCCCCAGAAGCCGAGCAGATGCCGGCACCATACTCATACAACCTGCAGAACATGAGCAAACTAAATTTCTTTTCTCTATAAATTACCCAGTCTCAGGTATTTCTTTATAGCAATGCAGGAAGGGACTAATACACCCATAATCAAAACAGTCAATTTAACACAAAAACATATATCTACCTTCCATTCTAGCAAACTTTAATTTTTTTACTCATAATTAAGACATATGTGCGAGTGAAAGTAAGCTCCTCCTTAGGGAGATATTCAGAAATAACAAGCAGGGGATTCCACCACAGTTTTACTCACTGAGGTGATGGGAATTAAGAGATCAATGAGATGTTTCTAGCACACAGCACTGTGACCTGAGTATGCAGTGCCTTCCTGAAAATGTTTCAGCACTGTGCTCTTCCTGAAGCCCCCTTAGCAGGCTGGACCCTCTGGTTCTAAGTTCTCTTATCTTCATTACTTCTGCCCTTGGCATTCTTCACACAGTACCTGCCAGTGGTCCCTGAGTAACGGTAAAAGTTCCACACGTGTGGGGAAATGCCCCTCTTACTCGCTGCTCTATTACTGGCCCATAGACAGAACACTTGCTGAATGAGTAAGTGACCAAATGCAGTTGGTAGAAGACCAGCCATGCACGAGGTCACAACGTCCAACCTGTGAATGGCAAGGACCACCTATGACCTGTCTTTCATAGATTTTAATGTCACTAACTCCTTATGACTCCATCCATACATATATGAAGATCCATGACAAGACAATCTGTGAACACTAGTTAAGAATGAGAATGGTTATAAAATTGTTATTTTTGTGCTAAAGAGGTTTCTGTTATATTGTCTAATTGATTTGACAGAGTCTAACTGCACGTTTTCTTATTATAATTATAATAATTATTTCACTTAAAGAGCCATCACAGTCCTGGGTACCAGTTGTGCCTAGCCTTTCTGCAGAGGCTTCTGTTACCTGTGCGATCTGTATCGCTTGGTTACTGCTGAGGTCCCACATTTTGGCAGTTTTATCACACGATGCCGTAAACACTTTGCTCCCATCCTAAAATAAAATGGAGAAAATTTTGCATTTTAAGAAAAATTAAATCTTTAACTATATATATATTTAGATACTACGTTGAACATATTGAGGCAAACTTTGGCAATCTTTATTTTTCCAATTGTTTGGGGACCAGTGTACTGCAAACTACAGCATCATACAAAAAATTCATTTTCATCTATTTCATGATTGACTTACTTTTCTAAGCGAGAACATATAAACAGGATTTTAAAAATCAGAAATCACAAACTAGTGAAAACAAACTCTTTCTCTTGTCCCTGATCCCAGGTCTCCTCTCAGCAGCAACCATGGACCACTTTAAAATTTTTTTCTTATTTTGATAAAATTTAAGCCTTCAGAAAAGTTGCAAAAATACAAAAAATACCCATAAGCACTTCACATAGATTCATCAATTGTAAACATTCTGTCACATTTATCTTTCTCTCTATATACAAAACACATAACTATAATCTTAATTACTTTTATTCGGTCCCTATCTAATAACACTTCCAAGTACATGCAATAAAGCTATGCCAATTTACAACAGTCATTGGTCCTATCTAACTTGTCAAATAGATTTAAAAATTAGTGGTCACTGTGTGATGGTTTCACAATATTCACACAGAGAACTCAAAGTAGGTCTTCTCTGTCACTGCAGCTTGAAAGCACCCAGACATATTATGTCAATGAGTGTGGCTGCATTTCAATAAAACTTTATTTACAAAAATAGACAATGGGTCAGGTTTGACTCATGGGCCATAGTTTGCTGAACCTTGGCCTAGTCTATATTTCATTTTTGGTTCCAGAGCTCAAAAATTGACCACCATTCTCCTCTAGCAAAAACTTGTTCCATTGAAGTGACTTCATTTGAAAGAAGAGATAAAACTTGCTCCTCATGCTTTTAATGAGGTTGTAATTCTACAAATCCTTGAAAACACAGCAAAGGAAAGGTATGAGTGTATGGAGAGGGCTGCCCTGAGTCCAAGTGAACACTGGCCTCTCAATCTCATAATGCCAGCCCCACCACGTCATCAGCATTGTGGAGCAGAGCATGCCAACCTCAGTGGACACGTGCAGACATAAAGGAGAATCCAGCAAAACACTGGGGAGAGAAAGAGTATGTGTGAATGCTCCACCAGCTGCTCTAAGTCTACCTGCTTCAACTGCAGAGTTTGAACCATGTCCTTAAAGTACTGAAGATTCAACTTTACCAAGTTTGGCTTTTATGCCTCCAAGGTAACTTTGGGTCTTTAGCGCCCCTGTGCCTTTACCTACATGTCTTTCTCTCCCGGGTAGCTCCGACTCTTCCTGTAAAGCTCCATGAGGGAGGCTGCTAAGCACATGGGCTCCATCACCAGGAAGGTCTGGGCCTAGGCTCAGCCAGTCACTTTTGTTCTCACAGGCAAGCTCCTTAACCACTTTGTGACAGCACTGTGCTAATCCTTCCGTGTAGGTTTAATCTAGTCATCACAATTTTCCACTATCGAGAAGTTGTATTTGTTCTTCTTGTTTGTCCTAAGAGATCATGAGTTTCAGAAGTGTAGGTTTTGCCTACTTTGATTTCCACTTTATCTCCAGGATTTAGCATACAATAGGTGCCTGACAATTATTTGCTGAATTAATAATGTTATTATGTGTTATTACCTTCATTTTATTATTTACTTTATTATTGTTATTTATTATTTTTTTAGAGACACGGTCTTGCTCTATTGCTCAGCTTGGAGTGCAATGGTGCAATCATAGCTCACTGTACTCTCCAGTTCCTGGACTCAAGGATTCTTCCCACCTCAGTCTCCTGAGTAGCTAGGACTATAGGGATGTGCCATCACACTCAGATAATTTTTTTTATTTTTTGAGACAGGGTTGTTGCCAGGCTGGAATGCAGTGGTGTCATCATGGATCACTGCAGCCTCAGTCTCCTGGGATCAAGTGATCCTCCTGCCTCAGTCTCCCAAGTAGCTGGGACTACAGGTGTGCGCCACCAAACCCGGCTAATTTTTCTATTTTTTGTAGAGACCGGGTCTCCTTACGTTGCCCAGGCTGGTCTCAAACTCCTGACCTCAAGCTATCCTTCATCCCAAGCCTCCCAAAGTGCCACTGCACCCAGCCTACCTTCATTTTCTAAACAAGAAAACAAATTTAGAAAGATTAAACAACTTGGCAAAGTCAAAAGCCTGGAAGAGACAGAGCTGAAATTTGAACCCAGGCCTCAATTGGATGAGACAATGCTTAAAAAGCTATAGGCAAATGGTTTACTTTTCAAGAATCAGCTCTGCTGGCCAGGCGTGGTGGCTCATGCCTATAATCCCAGAACTTGGGGAGGCCAAGGCGGGTGGATCACTTTGAGCTCAGCAGTTTGTGATCAGTCTCGGCAACATGGCGAAACCCCATCTCTACTAAAAATACAAAAATTAGCTGGGTGTGGTGGTGGGCGCCTGTAACCCCAGCTACTTGGGAGGCTGAGGCAGGAGAATCACTTAGAACCCAGGAGGTGGAGGTTGCAGTGAGCTGAGATCGCACCACTGCACTCCTGGGCTACAGAGCAACACTCAAAAACAAACAAACAAACAAAAATTTACCTCTATTCTTGTCTTCTGTAAAGCATTCACAGAAGCCTTTCCAAACTTTACAGCTGCTTTCTGTATTGTTTTTCCCACCCAGCACCAGTTCATCCTGCCTCCCCGTCAGAACGTACAACTCTCATTCCTGTGTCTGATCCTCCCACTAGATGCTATGAAACTTAGATTCCGTTTTATAAATTCCAATAGCCATTAGATAACATTTGAGCAAAAGGATTCCTGCATTAGTTAATTCTATTTCTTGCCGTACTTTATAAGAAACTTTCTAATTCTGACCCGTTGCCCGATCAGTAAAGACAGACAAAATACATTAGAAATGTTTCAAATCTACTCATGCTGCTACTTTTCTGTGTGTAAACTAAAAATAAGTTGCATATGAAATGAATGCTTCACTTTTCAAACTTTTCATATATCTATTAATGTAGTGTCACAATAACTTAATCAGGTATGTCAGGAAGACATTTTACAGGTGATAAAAATGCCTCAGAGAAGCTGATCCTTGCTACTGAATAAAATGGGAGCAACTGTGGCCCCTAAACTATGTCAAAATGTTTATACACAGAATTATTTCTTATATATAAGCTAAATAAGATCACATTAAAGCAGCGGTCCCCAACCTTTGTGGCACCAGGGACCAGTTTCATGGAAGACAATTTTTCCAGACTGGGGTGAAGTGAGGGTATGGTTTCAGGATAAAGCTGTTCCATCTCAGATCATCAGGCATTAGATTCTCATAAGGAAGACACAACCTAGATCCCTCACGTGTGCACTTCACAACAGGGTTCGAGCTCCTGTGACAATCTAATGCCGCCGCTGATCTGACAGGAGGCGGAGCTCAGGCAGTAAGGCTCACTGGCCCACCATTCACCTCCTGCTGTGCAGCTTAGTTCCTAACAGGCCATGGACCTGTTCTGGTCCACAGCCTGGGGGTTGGGGACCCCTGCATTAACGTATGGCCATAAAATTAAGATTGCCCATAGGTTCCCTTTAAATAAGACATCTTGATGGATTAATCACTACCACCCTATTAGCCAGTCACGGGAGCACTGTCATGCATTTGGTATTTTTTAACTTTGGGATGCTGTGACTCAGCATGGCAACAGCCTGACTCCTGCCAAATCCATTGTAGCTGAACTTATACTGAATATTCCGGACTGACATAACAACCATAAGGTGTTAATTCATGGTTGAAGGACTTAACAATTAATCAATAGATGCTCACGCATGCACGTATGCTCAATTTCAAGAACTATTTCCGAATAAATCCGCAAACTCCCCCCTCCTAATCTGACTTTACCATCAACCTAGGTAAACATACCTTTGCCAAACCCCAAACACAAGAAACTAAAATGCAACCCAGTCAGAGCCCAGACATATTTTAACCACGAACACCCCAACAGCTACCCCTCGATTGATGTAATTTTCTAAAAAATCTTAAGGCTCCTCCTACCCAATAAATCCTCCACTATGTATAATAGATTAACTAAACTTCTGCCCTAATACTGATATGATACCTTGAGCATAACCCTCTGAAAGTGCTGCCCCAGTACACCATAACCCTAAATCAACCATACTCTAATTATGAATAACCCTCTCAGCCAAACCTCTGCCAATCCAACTTTAAAGACCCTGAATTTCCAGAACTGTAAGCAACTATTTCTATTTCTTTCTTTCTTTCTTTCTTTCTTTCTCATACTTTAATTTTCCACTTAAGTATTCTACACAGTTAATGTAGCTTAACCACTCAAAGCAAGACACTGAAAATGTCTAGATGGGTCCACAAAACCTTATAGATAGGTTTGGTCCTGACCTTTTTATTAGTTCTTTGTAAGATTACACATGCAAACACCCCTACCCCAGTGAAAATGTCCTCTAGATCACCCGGATCAAAAGGAGCAGGTATCAAGCATGCACAAATGCAGCTCAAAACACTTTGCTCAACCACACCCCCACAGGAAACAGCAGTGTTAAATCTAGTAATAAACAGAAGTTTAACTAAGCTATACTAATATTTAGGGTTGGTTAATTTCGTGCCCGCCACCATGGCCATACAGTTAACCCAAGCTAATAGAACTTGGCGTAAAGAGTGCTAAGCTCCATCTAAGTTGTAAAAAACTCCAGTTGAAATAAAACATACTACGAAAGTAGCTTTAATACCCTGAAGACACAGTAGCTAAGACAAGAACTGGGATTAGATACCCCTCTATGCTTAGCCCTAAACCCTAACAGTTACATTAACAAAACCATTCGCCAGAGTACTACAAGCAACAATTTAAAACTCAAAGGACTTGGTGGTGCTTTATATCCCTCTAGAGGAGCCTGTTCTATAATCAATAAACCCCGATACGTCTCACCACCTCTTGCCCCTGGCCTATATGCCCATCTGCAGCAAACCCTAAAAAGGTTATAGAGTAAGCACAAGTATACACATAAAAACGTTAGGTCAAGGTGTAGCCCATGAGGTGGCAAGAAATGGGCAACATTTTCTATGTCCAGAAAATCTCATGACAGCCTTATGAAATCTAAGGGCTTAAGGAGGATTTAGCAGTAAACCAAGAGCAGAGTGCTTGGTTGAATAAGGCCATGAAGCACGCACACACAGCCCATCACCTTCCTCGAATACTACTCTAGAAATCACTATTACTGATAATTTTCTACACAGGTATAGAGGAGATAAATTGTAACATGGTAAGCATACTGGAAAGTGCGCTTGGATAAACCAAAGTGTAGCTTAACCCAAAGCATCCGGCTTACATCCAGAAGATTTCATCATGACCTGACCACTCAGACAACTCTAGCCCCAAACCTCGCTAAAAATATTATCAAACTATCTTAATCAAACCATTTACCTTAAACAAAAGTATAGGCGATAGAAATTTCTACCCTGGTAGATATTTCTGGCAATAGACACAGTACTGTAAGGGAAGGATGAAAGAACTGTATTGAGGACTAAAAAGCAAAGACAAGCCCTTATACCTTCTGCATAATGCATTAACTAGAAATAACTTTACATAGAACTATGGCCAAGTCCCCCGAAACCAGACGAGCTACCCAAGAATAGCTGAAAGAGCACACTCACCTATGTGGCAAAACAGTGGGAAGATTCATGAGTAGCGGTGACACGCCTACCGAGCCTGGTGATAGCTGGCTGGCTTAGTTCAACTTTCAACTTACCCACAGAATTACTTAAACTCCCTGTAAGTTTAACTGTTAGTCTAGAGAGACAGACAGCTCTTTAGACCCTTCCTACAGAGAGTAAAAAACATTACCACCACAGTTGGCCCAAAAGCAGCCACTAATTAAGAAAGCATTTAAGCTCAATATCTAACTATCTTAAATTCTAACCAGTCTACTGAACTCCTAACATCACATTGGACTAATCTATTACTTAATAGAAGCAGTAATGTTAATGTAAGTAAGATGAAGACATTCTCCATTGCATAAGCTTACATCAGACGGGAGTAACCCACTGACAGTTAACATCCCAATATTAATAAATGATATAATAAACACCGTATTATTTGCACTGTTAACCCAACACAGGCATGCTCTAAGGAAACATTACAAAAAAATAAAAGGAACTCAGCAAATCTTACCCCGCCTGTTTACCAAAAACATCACCTCT
Organism: Homo sapiens; assembly: GCF_000001405.40. Taxonomy (NCBI): domain Eukaryota; kingdom Metazoa; phylum Chordata; class Mammalia; order Primates; family Hominidae; genus Homo; species Homo sapiens. The sequence goes on along the minus strand of NC_000020.11, from coordinate 57,359,154 downwards.
AGCATTACCAGTATTAGAGGCACTATCTGCCCAGTGACATATATTCAACAGCTGTGGTATCCTGACCGTGCGAAGGTAGCATAATCACTTGTTCTCTAAATAGGGACTTGAATGAATGGCCACACGAAGGTTCAGCTGTCTCTTACTTTCAACCAGTGAAATTGATCTATCCGTGAAGAGGCGGATATAAACAAATAAGACGAGAAAACCTTATGGAGCTTTAATTCATCAATGCAAATAAAAACTCCAACAAGCCTACAGGCCCTAGCCTCCTATCCCTGCATTAAAAATTTTGGTTGGGGTGACCTCGGAGCATAATTCAACCTCCTAACAACCTAAGACCACACAAGTCTAAGTGAGTTATTACACATCGACCCAATAATTTGATAAACGGAGTAAGTTACCCTAGGGATAACAGCGCAATCCTATACTAGAGTCCATATCGACAATAGAGTTTACGACCTCGATGTTGGATCAGGACATCCTAATGGTGTAGCCGCTATTAAGAGTTTGTTTGTTCAATGATTAAAGTCCTATGTGATCTCAGTTCAGACCAGAGTAATCCAGGTCGGTTTCTACCTACTTAACATTCCTCCTACTACGAAAGGACAAGAGAAATAGGGCCCACTTCATAAAGTGCCCTCACTCCATAGATGATGCCATCCCAGTCTCTTAAATCATCACACATCCTACCCAAGAACAGGGTTTGTTAAGATGGCAGAGCCCAGCGATTGCATAAAACTTAACACTTTATAATCAGAGGTTCAACTCCTCTTCTTAACAACATGCCTGTAATTAACCTCCTCCTGCTCATTATCCCCACTCTTATCGCGATAGCGTTCCTTACACTCATCGAATGAAAAATCTTAGGCTATATACAACTATGCAAAGGACTCAACATTGTAGGTCCTTACAGACTGCTTGAACCATTTTTTGATGCAATAAAACTTTTCACCAAAGAACCCTCGCGGCCCTTAACATCTACTATCACCCTTTATATTATTGCTCCAATCCTAGCCCTCTCTATCGCTCTCCTCTTATGAACCCCCCTCCCTATACCAGATCCTCTAATTTTAATGTAGGCCTCCTATTTAAACTAGCCACATCAAGCCTAGCCGTCTATCTATTCTATGATCAGGATGAGCATCTAATTCAAAATATGCACTAATCAGCGCACTATGAGCTGTGGCCCACACGATTTCATATGAAGTCACCCTAGCTATTATCCAGCTATCAGTTCTACTGATAAGCAGCTCATTTAACTTACACATACTCATCACAAGAATTCCTCTGACTGCTCCTATCATCATGGCCCCTAGCCATAATATGATTTATCCCCACACTAGCAGAAACTAACTGAGCCTCTTTTGATCTAACAAAAGGAGAGTCAGAGTTAGTCTCAGGCTTCAACATCGAATATGCCGCAGGCTCATTTGCCCCCTTCTTTATAGCAGAATACATGAATATTATCATAATAAATGCCCTAACTACTACTATTTTCCTAGGAGCACTACACACTGTATATTTACCAGAACTCTATACCACAAATTTAATTACCAAGACCCTTCTAAACCACTCTCTTCTTACAAATTCGAATGGCATAACCCCAATACCGCTAAGACCAACTCGTACATCTTTTATGAGAAAACTCCTACCACTTACATTAGCATTTTGCAGATGCTATATCTCAATGCTTGTCCTAATTTCCAGCATCCCACCCCAAACATAGGAAATATATCTGACAAAACAATCACCATACGTTAATGCAACATGCTGAGCGCAAAGGTTGCACCCTATAGGATTTATTTAGATGATACTCTTGTAAAAGCAAAACTATAGGGACAAAAAAAACAGATGAGTAGTTTCCAGGGGCTGCGAGCTGGGAAGGATTTGACGACAAAAGGAAGGAAGAGAATTTGGAGGCCGATGGATCTGTTCTATATCTAGAACACAACTCTATGCATTTCTTAACACTCACAGAGCTGTATACCAAAAAGGTTCAGTTTTACAGCAGGCAAATCAGACTCAATAAACCTGACTAAAGGAACAGGTACAAGGCCTCGGAAGGGGCCTCAAGGCTTAGCTTCTTCAGCACTGCAGTGTGTCTGCCTGTCACCAGGCCCCTTAACATTCTCACTACTGTTGGGTTCAGCCACCAGCAGCAATGGCAGGAGAAGGGAGGAGAGAGGCTGGGGTGTTCAACCCCTGGCTCCCCTCGCCAGGCCGAGGCCCGTCTACAGCTGTTCATCCCCTGGCTCTCCCGCGCCAGGTGGAAGCCCCTCTACAGCTGCAGCTCATGCTGTGCTCCAGGAGGCCCGCCCACTGCAGCTTGGCACCGGTGTTTCACCTTCCCTGCTGGCTTCTTCATAAATTATCCCTTAATCATTAAACTCTCCTCAATCACACACACAAAATTTAATACAAGAAAAGCTTTCAAAGAAAGTGGCTAACTAAAGCCAACATTAAGAACATCAATAAATGACTATATTTATGTTCAGAAACTTAGAATTCCTACAATATGAACACATATATGCTATTTGTGTTTGGATTATTAAATATTCTAAATCATTCTGTACTTTAAGTAAAATGGAACACGAGAAATGGAAGGGAACGTACGTCACTCCAGCAGACATCAAGCACAGGCCCAGTGTGCATCTGCTGGGCTTTTGGAATGGTCTGTCCACTGTCTTGAACTTCCCAGCAGCGAACCTGTAGTAACAAAAAAATTCAATGCAAACAAAGCAATTACGATGTATTGCTTGCATTTAACACCTAAAAACTAATGGGGTACACCTTAACCATACATAGACTTCTCATAGCAACCTAATTATCTAACTTCAAGAACAAAGGAATTAAAATATCTATGAAAGCAACTGTTTTCTTCGCCTAAGCTATTAAAATAAACAAATTCTATTGCTTACACATAAAATTGCAGATAATTTTCTCAATGCATCTATGAGATATGTCTTTTAAAGTAGAATATCACTTACCCATTACCATTCAGAGAATCAAGACCAAAGTAGAAACTTACCTCTTTTCTGAATACTTTATATAATCTCCCCTCCGTTAAAAAAGTAATACATTTTAGAGATTTTGTAAATATGGCAAAAAAATAAAAATCACCCTAATCACACCACAGACAACCACAGCTAATGGTTCTGTGTGCTCTTAGTCTTCTTTCCATGTACGCATATTTTCTGGAAGACACTAGATTATACAGTGTCTTCACTTTTGCAGCTACAGCTTTCCTCACCTGCATCACTAGCCTGTTCAACTTGAAACATCCTTTTTTTAAGCAGCAAATAATCTGAAATCTTTCTAAAAATTACATGTAGAAAGCAAGCTTGCTCAACCTTGACTACCATCCTCCCTCCTGTTCTCCTAACCCCTGCTGCCCCTGTGCTGTAGGCTACAGTTCAAAAGCTTTTCCAAAAACTTACAATGGTATTCCATCATACAAACATACTATACATTGCCATTACTACTGGATATTAAAATTTTCAAAATTTTCACAAGTTCACAGTGCTTTGGCTGTTATAAAGGTTAATTTAGATAATGCAGATGAAGTACATTATCAGATTTCCTACTCAAGTCCCAGAAGGGTATCAGTGAGATAAAGGGTATAAGCTGAAGGATTTTTGATAACTATTGCCAATTATCCTGTGGAAAAGCCAACTTACATACCTACCAGCCATACATGCAGGGTTTCAGCTTATCCTTGCTGGCACTATTATTCTTTTAAACTTTTAATTTTGTTAATTTAATAAAAAAAAGTCTTAAATTTGCATTTATCTGATTACAAGCATGGATGAATGGTTCAGGTTTATTCTTTCTTTTGTGAAGTCCCTCTTTACACCCTTTGCTTATTTTTCTACCAGAGTTTTCTTTCTTTTAGTAAACTGTAATTTTTTTGTCTTTCTTTTTGTACATGATGAGTAAGTATCTAGGCAAATCTGTGCTATTATTTAACGTTGAAAAAGTTTCATACATGCCTGAGGAACACTGTCAGGATGCCAAGAAAGGGAATTTGTTGGTGTGTGCCACTGGGTATAATGTTCACTCTGGATGAATATGATATTTGATTTGGGAATAAACTTCAAGAGACTGAACTAAAGTAGAAAATTTCGAGCAACACATATGATTGTGCTTTCCTAACAAAAACGGGTGTAAGAATAATGTCTGCCATTCAGAAGGGTTCACACCCCCTAAATTGATTTCTCAAAAAAGGCCATAAATAAGTCCAACTGATTCATTTACTTGGGAAACAACGGAGCTAAAGCTAACCTTGGCCATACAAAGAGAGATGATTTCTAGAACACGTATTTAAGGAGCACTTACATCATTAGCCCATGATCCTGCAATAAGAAAGTTCCCCGGCAAGGTTGGTGGGCTAAAAGACAGACAACCAATGCTATCATCAGGAGATGATGTTACTTCAATATCCTGCGGGAAAAAAGTCAATGTTAAAATGTATGCACGCTCACAACTTCATTCCAAATTGTTTTCTTTCTCACTAATTACCTCACGGTGGCCTTTCCTTGTGTACAAGAACTAACTGAATTAGACCTTTCCTTACTTTGATCAAAGACAGGAGTAAAAAATAAGCTAGAGAAAGTACCAGCACCACCAGGACTAGCAGTAGCAGCTGCTAATGAAATGCCCATGGTCTTGTTTTCTAAATGACCAGTTCACTCTGGCCCCACAGTGCTAGATCACAGTTTTCACCTGCCATCCCCTCTCTCCAACCATGGGAATTCTGAGTCAACAGTCCTGGCTGGGCCAGGCCCTGGGAATCTGCACCGGAATCTGCACCTTGGGTGATTCTGGAGACCTGGCAGGCCAGGAAGAACAGGACACAAGTACGGGGACACATTTTCTGTGCTCCAGTGTTTCAGAAACATGAGTTAGACAAAGTTTCAAAGCTTTCAGCCTAAAGGAGGCTCCCAAGTCATCTCGGGTTCTGTCCTTGATGGGAGAAACTCTGCCCAAACTCTTCCTACAAGCCCCAGGAAGCTTTTCGTGGTACCTTCATGGGATTGTGATTGTCTGTAGTTGCACTGCCAAACATGCTGGTCCCACTGGTTCCAAAACCTGAGGTTGTTCCAAACAGGCTCATTTTGAACCTAAAAAGTAATGAAAAATGTTAAGGATGGGTTTTCTCTTAATATCACTGAGAGGCAATGGTAAGATAATTAACTGGCAGAAGAGAAATACTCAAAGTGGCTTGAGGCCAGGCTTCACTTTTCAGACAAGAGCGCAATGAGCAGAGTGCTTTCAAAACATAAACCTTCTATTTTAGAGTAGTTTTAGGTTTCCAGAAATAGTAAAGATAGAATTCCCATACACTCCATATCTAGTTTCCCCTATTATCTCATATTAGTACGGTTCATTTGTTACCATTAATAAACCAGTATGGATACATTGCAGATTATTTTGTAGGCACCAGCTAGAAAATAAATTCACTCATTTTTTACATAGAGACCCTGAGCTGCGCAGCAGGAATATAACAGTAAACAAGATCGCAGGTCCCCGTGCTTTCAGGTTTCCACCTAGTGGGCATTCACTTTCCTACTAATTTCTACATTCTAGTTTAGGTCAGCATCCGCATGAAACTACCTAGAACAACCAGTCCGGGAAGCGAATCAGCAATTTCTTCGTAAAAGTTTTAAAAAGGTCGGGCATCGTGTTTTGGACATTTACCCAGCAAGAACCTCTCCCACCCTGGGTTTTTTCTTGAATATCATAATCTAACAGGCCCACCAGGGTTTGGTCAGGGCCTCTTGCCACTCAGGAGTTGGGACTCTAATCTCACCAGTCTTCATTTTCCTGCTCTGCAAACATAGAGAACATTAACACATTCTCCAGGGCTGCTCTGGGGATCAAATCAGATTATGTAGAAAATGCAGTATCTAGTTCATAGTGGGTACAATAAACGACTTTTCCCTTCTTTTTTCCTTCCAACTCCCCGAGGAGTTACGTACACTGAAACCACATTTCAATCCTACTACCTGTTACGCTGAAAAGTCCTCCATACCAGTCACCTCTCCAAAGGGAGCCAAATGGCTGAGTGACATCCTTGCTAACAAGACAACACAGAACGGAGAAACTGCAAGGAATTTGGGGAAGGCATTTGAGTTTCCTCAGCTTCATGAAAAATAAGTGCAGAACAAAAGGTCAGAGCAACAGCTACAAGCACATGTACATTTTAGTGAACGTGAGGGGATGTGGTCCTTGCCGGCCACACTTCTGCCCTCAAATGCAGAGGTACTTGAAACACCAGTTGGCTGTATGAACGAACAAAGGCATGACAAGGCTTCTGCAATCAGTCCAGGTGCTGGTTACACGGCTTTGGACGGGTCACTTAACCTTGATTTTCTCATCTGTAAAACAGAGACACTAATATCTACTTCACAGAGTTATGAGAACTAAATGAAGCCACACACACACACTGCCTAAAGCACTACAGGTTCTTAATAAATATTACTTTCACTCTATTCCTCTACCTCAACCTTCAAGTTGGGAGAGAACATTTCTGCCATTAGGGATGAACTTAGGAAAAAGAACATGGTAGGTGAGAATCGTTCGTGTTAGTCAGTGTGGACCACACCTTATGCTGAGCACTGGGAAGCTTCCAAAGTTCAGAAGGCACAGTCATCTGTGGGACCCACCTAATCTCTTCCCGCTCTCTCCCGCCTTGCTGCACCCCAGCCCTCCTAGCTCTGCTGGCTTCCTTTCTCCGCTGAACACAACAAGCTCATCCCTGCCTTGGAGCAAACCTAGTGCTGTTCCTTCAGCTTGGGATGATTTGCTTCTCCCTCCCCACAGCTACCTCCGTTTGAATCTTCATATCCCAGTTCAAAAGTTGCCTCCTCCGAACTTCTTGGGGTGATGAAAATGTCCCAAATTTGAACTTGCCATGTTTACGCAACTGCATAAAATTTCCAAACTCACAATATACACTTTCAATGGTTGAAATTAATGTTATTTTATACTTCAATAAAGCTGTCACACGTATTCTTTTTTAAAGTCACCTCCTCAGACGCTTCTTTGCCAACTTTAACATATCTAATCTTCCATCACATCCCCTGGAATTTCTTGTTTACACTCAAAATCTCTTCCCCCCCAGAATGCTGGCTCCAAGAGGGCAGCCACTTGCCTGGATTCTTCCCTTAATGCATACTGGGTCCCACAGTACAATGCCTGGCCCAGGGCGGCTGGTGTTTAATACTACTTGCCTGGAGAAGTACTGCCTGTACGGTGGCACCTATATACGTATACAATAAATACTTGGCGGGCTAAGACAGAAACAGACTTAGTTTCAGAGACTGGTAACTGCTACGAAAGAAATGGAGCAGGTTGACGTGGAAGAGGCTAAAAGGGGACGCCCTTCTGCAAAGCGGCCAGGGAAAGCTTCTCCCAGGAGCTGACATGTATCTGACGAGACGCCAGACGTGTAAGGGGGAGGGACAGAGGCGACACACACTGCATTAACGCAATGTGACCCTTCCCAGAGGCTCAGTTCCCCCACAAGAGAAACGATGGATTAGGCCCTAGGTGACCCCTAAGGCCATTTCCAGCTCTGACCTCGCTTCCAGGGCCCAGTAACGAAGCTTAGTCAACAGTCCCGCTCGCGCCCCAGCATCCCGCAGAAGCGCGCTCCCGGGAGGCAACTCGGCCTCTGCGGGAGCCATGGCGGCGGTTAACGACGGGACGCGCGCGGCACGGGGCCTACCTGGGGGTCTCGCCCCGGCGGAAAGCGGCGGCCGGGAGCAGAAGGGTCTGAGGAGTTTGCGAACCTGCTCTGGCGCGAAGGACGAGGGCCAGGAGCGCGGACAGAAATCCCAGGAGCCCGAAGCCTCCTTAAGCCTGCGGTAGAAACTGCCCTGACTACCGCGGAAACAACGCGCGTGCGCCCTGGAGCCACTTCCTGCGTCGCCCGGAAATCGTCGAAGAAAAAGGCTCCTTTTCCCGCAAGGCGACAGCACATGCGCAAAAACGCTTTACACCAGCAGTTTGCGAATTGGTCCAAAGTTGATGTAGCCGCTGCAAGTTACTAAGCGACTGCTTTTATAAATCCGCAACTGGCCAGGCGCGGTGGCTCACGCCTGTAATCCCAGCACTTTGGGAGGCCGAGGCGGGCTGATCACCTGGGGTCAGGAGTTCAAGACAAGTCTGGCCAACATCGTGAACCGCCCCGCCCCCCGCCCCCCCCGCCCCCCCGCGCCGCCCCCCCCCGCCCCCCGCCCCCGTCCCCCCGCCCCCCCCGCCCCCCCCGCCCCCCGTCCCCCCGCCCCCCCGCCCCCCCGTCCCCCCGTCAGTACTAAAAATACAAAAATTAGCCGGGCATGGTGGCGGGTGCCTGTAATCCCAGCTGCTTGGGAGGCTAAGGCAGGAGAATCGCTTGAACCCAGGAGGTGGAGGTTGCAGTGAGCCGAGACCATGCCATTGCACTCCAGTCTGGACAACAAGAGCGAAACTCCATCTCAAATCAGTCAATCAATCCGCAACTAGGGCTAGTGCAAGGTAGCTAGCTGTTTTCTCTTGTGAATTAATTATTGCATTTATCATGTATAAACATCTAAAAGATTCTGATTGCTTCCAATTCACGTCCAAGGCCAACCTCCGAGAAGCTGCTCTAACGCTGCCTCCGAACAAGGCGAGGTCGGCCGCGGGTTTCCCGCCCTGGCCTCTCCCTGTTTGCCCACTGGGGTACCCTGAGCCCACCTCGGGGCTCTTTGGGCCTCAGTTTCCTGCTGCATGGTGGGGAAAATGATGCCAGGGCTGTTCCTAATTAGGGTCAAGTGAAATCATACGTGAACTACTCTTACTAATAGAACTGTCTGTAGAAATGTTAAGGGATTCTTATTACTCACACACGCCCACTCCAAATATTTCAGTTGGTTGTTTCCTCCCAACCCCTACTTTTAGGAGCATCTGAAGAAGGAAGTGAAGGAAAAGACAGATCACAAGGAAGGGATTTCGTGAGGTTATGTAGCTACCCTGGATTCTCTCCTTCACTACTCAGTGTGGTCTGCGTGCCTTGACCTTCTTAAGGAGGTTTAGGATCTGGGGTATCTTTTTATAAAATGCAGATTCAGTAGGTCTACGATGGGCCTAAAAATCCACATTTCTACCAAATTCCCAGCAGAGGTTGCTGGGCCGTGAACCAGAGTTAAGTACCAAGGCTGTAGATCATTTGGAATCCTGGGCAGCTTTTTAAAAACTGTGATGTTTACACTGCACCCTTAGAGATTCTGATTTAGTACGCCTGGGCTAGAAAAGAGGAAATTAATATTTTTTAAAAGCTCCCCAGGTGATTCTAAGATGCAGCCAAGACTGAGAACCTCTAGTCTAGACGATGATGGTAATAATAGCTCTTTTGAGCATCACCCTATGCTAAGCGCTTTAGATGCTCCATCTCCTGTAGTTTCCAGACCAGCCCTAAAAGATAGGTATTGTGATTATCTCCATTTTATAGATATGGAAAATGAAGCTGACAGAGGTGATGTTGTGTCCGGAATTGGTGGGTTCTTGGTCTCACTGACTTCAAGAATGAAGCTGCGGAGCCTCGCGGTGAGTGTTACAGTTCTTAAAAGCAGCGCATCCGGAGTCTGTTCCTTCTGATGTTAAGATGTGTTTGGAGTTTCTTCCTTCTGGTGGTTTATGGCCTCGCTGGCTCAGAAGCGAAGCTGCAGACCTTCGGGCAGTGAGTGTTACAGCTCTTAAGGCGACGCATCTGGAGTTGTTCCTTCCTCCCGGCGGGCTCGTGGTCTCGCTGGCTTCAGGAGTAAAGCTGCAGACCTTTGCGGTGAGTGTTACAGCTCATAAAGACGACGTGGTCCCAAAAAGCGAAAGAACAAACCTCCCACACCGTGGAAGGTGCCCCGAGCAGATTGCCACTACTAGCTCCGGCAGCCTGCTTTTATTCTCTTATCTGGCCCCACCCACATCCTGCTGATTGGTAGAGCCCAGTGGTCTGTTTTGACAGGTCGCTGATTGGTGCCTTTACAATCCCTCAGCTAGACACAAAGGTTCTCCAAGGCCCCACCAGAGTAGCCAGATACAGAGTGTCCATTGGTGCATTTACAAACCCTGAGCTAGACACAGGGTGCTGATTGGTGTGTTTACAAACCTTGAGCTAGATACAGAGTGCTGATTGGTGTATTTACAATCCCTGAGCTAGACATAAAGATTCTCCAAGGCCGCATCAGAGTAGCTAGATACAGAGTGTCGATTGGTGTATTTACAATCCCTGAGCTAGACATAAAGGTTCTCCACCTCCCCACCAGACTCAGGAGCCCAGCTGGCTTCACCCAGTGGATCCCGCACCGGGGCTGCAGGTGGAGCTGCCCACCAGTCCCAGGCCGTGCGCTCGCGCTCCTCAGCCCTTGGGTGGTCCGTGGGACTGGGCGCCGTGGAGCGGGGGTGGCACTCGCGTCGGGGAGGCTCGGGCAGCACAGGAGCCCATGGAGGGGGTGGGAGGCTCAGGCATGGCAGGCTGCAGGTCCCGAGCCCTGCCCTGCGGGAAGGCAGCTAAGGCCCGGTGAGAAATAGAGCGCAGCGCTGGTGGGCTGGCACTGCTGGGGGACCCAGTACACCCTTCGCAGCCGCTGGCCCGGGTGCCAAGCCCCTCATTGCCAGGGGCCAGCAGGGCCGGCCGGCTGCTCCGAGTGCGGGGCCCGCCAAGCCCACGCCCACCCGGAACTCCAGCTGGCCCGCAAGCGCCGCGCGCAGCCCCGGTTCCCGCTCGCGCCTCTCCCTCCACCCCTCCCTGCAAGCTGAGGGAGCGGGCTTCGGCCTTGGCCAGCCCAGAAACGGGGTCCCACAGTGCAGCGGTGGGCTGAAGGGCTCCTCAAGTGCCGCCAAAGTGGGAGCCCAGGCAGAGGATGCCCCGAGAGCGAGCGAGGGCTGTGAGGACTGCCAGCACGCTGTCATCTCTCAATGTGACTTACCAGAGCTCACACAACTGATACAGAGTAGGTCCATGATGTCTGTCCTGTGCCTGACCCTCCTACCAGCAAAGCTTTGGACTCATCTCTGAGAAGTGCTTCAACTACATTTTCTTATCCTTTTTCAATGGAACTCCTCTTACTATCTTTCCTTTAAACTCTCAAAAGCCCTCCCAAAGCTCTCTCAGGGTTTCGAGGCATATTCTGCCTCATTAAATAGTGTATTTGTCTTGTCTAGATTCCTAGATTTAAAACTTGTATCTACTTCCATGTATATGCTTTGCAGCACCAAGCAGAGTATCTTACATGTGTTCGTTATTAATACTTGTTGCATTTTATGTTTCAACGCCCAATGTATCTTCCAGAAGCCTCTATTATGATACAGATTCCTCTATAATCCTGGTTATTCAGCATGCTCTATAAACTCTTCCCGCTGTTTAGGATTATGTAGTTGACAAACTGCTTTTGCATATACCATCAGTGGAACCACTGAGGAGCAGTATGCTCGCCCAAATATTATAGCTGATATTCCAAGACTCTTGTTAAATGGATAATCTCATTTAATCCTCACCATGACCCTACCAAGTCATTATTATTGTTGTTATGCCCATTTTATGGTTGATGAAACTGAGATCAGGTTGTAACTTGTCCCAGCCATAGAGGCAAGGAGTAGACGTAGAATTGGAATGCAAGCAGCCTGCCCCAAAACCTAACTCTACACTTCCACAGGTGGCAGATTATGCTGATTTATGTTTTGCCTCCTAGAAACAAAAAGGGAGAACGGTATTTTATTTTATTTTTTTTTGAGATGGACTCTCGCCCTGTCGCCCAGGCTGGAGTGAGTGCAGTGGCGCGACCTCGGCTCGGTGTAACCTCTGCCTCTAGGGCTCAAGCGATTATCCTGCCTCAGCCTCTCCAGTAACTGGGATTACGGGTGCACACCACCATGCCTGGCTAATTTTTGTATCTTTCGTAGAGACGGGGTTTCACTATGTTGGTCAGGCTGGTCTTGAACTCCTGACCTTGTGATCCGCCCACCTTGGCCTCCCAAAGTGCTGGGATTACAGGCGTGAGCTACCGTGCTCTGCGAGATCAGTAAGATTTTATCCCTGGGTATGATTGTATGATTATTGAGCCATACAATATAGGTGAAAAATAATTAAACAATAGAAAAATAATTAAATTTTGGTAGTGACTGTCATTCAAACTGGTAAACTTTTCTGCCATTTTTACACAGGGAATATTTATGAATAAGTACAGTTTCTATTAATTGCTAGATGAATAGAAACTGAACATGCCTATATTCTTAGCATGAGTTACTTTTCATTTTGAATTTTTAATAAAAGAGATGTAATATGTTGGCTTAAAGTTTTGTGAATAGCTAGGTTGCAAAGAAGCACACATTAAGTGTAGCTTTACAGGGAATTGGGGCATCCAAAGCTGATTAACAAAGCGGATTCCTGTTGAGTGTATCACATAGAAACCCTCTTGGTTTTCCCCAAACTCTTTTGTTGTGACTCAAGACTCTACCCCATTCCTTTAGACAATGACTTGAAAACATTTCAAAGAAATTTCCACCCAAAATAGTGGAAGGAGTTGAGAGAATAATGAGCGTTTGCCAGCAGAGGGCGACCTTGGCTTGTTTCTACAGGATTGTTTCCTTGGGATACCTATCTGTGTAACAGTGAACAGAGAAGTTCATTTAGCAAACAGAAGTGCACGTTTCTCAATATTTCACTACAAAAACATTTCATTGAAAATCTTTTAATGTACATGTATATATAGCTTAGAGAATATGTTCTTTTCAGCACCACTGAACAGATTATCTACATCAAACTAGCAGCTCAACTGAGACACTCAGTAAGGAAGTCATAGATGGAAACCCTGGAGGGTTTTCCTTATTTTTATAAAGTGCACTATGGTTTTTCTTCCCTATGAACTCATAACTTCTGAAATCACTTAGTATCACCAATTATTATAATCAAATTTCTCAGAAAACGGGGGATACTACAAGCAACTTTTAGTTTGTTAGGGTAATTATGAACCCTTAAGGGAAAACTAAGAGTCTCTGAGCACCTTTTTGTTGTACTAGTTTTTGTTGTTATTGTTGTTTGAAACAAGGTCTCACTCTGTCACCCAGGCCTGAGTGCAGTGGTGCAATCATAGCTCACTGCAGCATTGAACTCCTGGTTTCAAGTGATCCTTCCACCTCAACCTCCCTAGTAGATGAGCCTATGGACATGTGCCACCATAACCAACTAATTTTTAAAAATTGAGATGGGAGTCCCATTATTTTGCTCAGGCTGGTCTTGAACTCCTGGGTTCAAGCAATCCTCCTCCTCAGTCTCCCAAAGCTCTGGGATTACAGGTGTGAGCCACCGTGCCCAGCCTTGTTGTATTAGTTTTTATACATTTTAATTTTAAAGATTCCAATCTAATGTTTTCTTGATTAAAATTATGGAAATATCCAAATTAGATACAGTTAGATGATGGTAGATGAGATTATTGTTATCAGTTACCATTTTAAATGCTAAGTATTATGGTAATCCTTTTTAGAAAGAAATCTTTAGAATTAGAATTCTAGATGGTTCCCAAATAGCTACTAGCATTAATTTTTCATTTTCATCTAATAAAGATAGGTAGTAACGTCAAACTATAGTGTATTTTGCTCTCTTTCCATTTTCATTTCCCAAATAATTGAAAATTATTTTAAGTAAATTTGCAATAATAAACTTGAGATGACTTAATTATCCAAACTGGAGGTATCTGTCTTTTTCAAATTTATTTTTAAATTTGAATGACTATCGTAGATTTGTCACTCCTTCCCATTTTGATAGTATATCCTAAGCCAGATGTGTCGTGGGTTAAACATATTTTTAAGTTAGTAATTTCTTCCTTTACAAAGCATACCAAAGTTAAGTGACACTGTTACATGTTAAAGGAGTAAGTATGGTATAAATTCAGAGGAAATTTTTTCTTATTTATAAAAATGTTTTTAGAATTTTTGATAGTCTCACGAGTAAGTAAAATTAACAGCATACCAGAATGTTCCCAAAATGAAATGTGTGGTTCCTATGTGACCAGGGAATATAACATATTTGTTAATTGTAGGTATGGTATCGGGGGATCTTGATTTGACACTAGCCAACAATAAGACTTGCAGACCTTTCCATGCAGTGAGGACACAGACCACACGTGAAGTACTTTACCTGTACTAGCGCCATGGTACCCACACTTTCTGGTTTGAAGTCCCAGCTCCACTGCTTATTAGTTATGTGACCTTGGGAAAATTATTTAACCTTTCTGTACCTTTGTTTTCTCACCTGTAAAATGGGGGTGATTTTTTAAAAGTACCTAGCTCATAAGGTTTCTGTGAAGATGCAATGAGTTATTGTTTACAAAGCACCTACAAAAATACCTAGCACATAGTAAGTGCTATGTATGTATTTTCCTTTATTATTATATTACCTTCTTCAATCCTTACTACATACAACCTCTTGGGCAGGCCCAGCCTCACAGGTGTACCACCCGTGCAGTCACCCAGGACCCCAGGCTAAGAAGGGCCTGTGCTTGGTTTAATTCTCTGCTGCTATCATCTTGAAATTCTTAATAAAAAGGGATCCCACATTTACATTTTGCATTGAGACCCACATTTTCTTGAGGTAGGTAGTATTATTGTCCCCTGGTATTATTGTGGCTTTGGACAAATAGCATCCTCAGTGTTCTCACCTGAAAACTATGGTGTAGTTACCCAGTAATTACAAGGTCCTTGGGGGAATTAAATGAGATACTGAATCAGCAGTGATTGGCACATGTAAGTTCTCAGAAATGGTATATATTATTATTATTGTTACCATTTCTCTTTATAAAATAGCTAACCTAATATTACCGTGCTTCTATAAATTCTTATTCTTGCTTGCAAGCACAAGAAACTTTCAGTGCAGTTAAAGGTTTACTGAAAGTACAGAATAAAATCATAAAACTGACCTCTGGCAAAATTAAGATAGGTTTATGGAGGGAAAAGGTCACATATTTACTGTTGGAGAAGTACCTTATTAAAATCTGAGGCTTCTGTAGATCTTAAAACTGAAGAAGTTTTTTGTTCTATAGACAGACTAGAGAAGCATTCAAGACCTTCGAGAAACTTTTCAAATAAATAATATTATCAATAAAAAATAGGCTCAATACAAAATAAAGCAAAACACTGAAGACTACATCAATCCAAATATTTATTCATACTGAATTTTACTAATGTAACAAATGAATTAATGGAGTAAGACCCCTAAAGTATAAAGGCAAAGGAAAATGTAAGAAGAAACTACCGGACACCACAATTCATTTGCAACATCTCAAATTCAGATCATTATGATTTTTGTTACCAGTAAGATACTTTATGCGTTAACATTAGTTGTATCGTAGAAGGTAAATATTTTGTAGACTTTGATGACATGTATAAAATATTATTTTTTCAAAAATAATTTAAAGGTCAAAATAACATATTCTTTTATAATTTGCTTTAGAAGATAGGACAGAAATCTGTCTCTATAGAGGCAAGAATAAGGCCTTGCAAAGAAAATTGGAGTACAGCATTTGTTTTGACAAAAATATATAATTAACGGAAAGTTATTTTATTTCACTTTTACAGAATTAAGAATATAATATATGTTCTTTCCACAATAGTATTTGCCAATCAAAACAAAACTAATGAAAAGCCTCTGGCAATCAGAAGTTCTTCTGATTTATTTTTATATCCATCCTCCAAATTTTAATTTGTTAGGTAAGTACACTCTGGAAAGATAATCTGATGATAGGAAAGTCAAAGCTTGAATTTCTGCCTTCATTTTAGAGTCTGCCATTATTTCCATCTGTCAATAAAAGTAAAATGTACTCATACCAGAGTTCTTAGTTGCATTTCTGTCAATTCAACAAACTAGTAATCTAGAATTGCTTTATTCTCCAAAACCAGGGACAATAGTCTTAAGGGTCAGCCAGAATATTCCAGAGCTGCTACAGCTAAAAATATCTGGAGTGAGAGTACTCTGTATGCTGTCTTCAATAATTAGGGATAGTCTGAAATCTTTATGATTTCTTCTTCCTTTTTTTAATCCCACAAACTATGATACAGCCATCAAGAATGTGTATATAACCATGATAAGGATACAAACAGGCCAGCTCCATTCACTGATCTCATCTATTAGCATTCATATGACTCAATTTCAACAACTATTTACTGCCAAACAACACTTATGTTAGTCGTGTCATATAAAATTTCAAGAGGGATATTTTCAAAATACGATGTGAATAGCCACTACTAAAGTAAAAGACAATTAAACATGCAACACTTGAGTTGTAAAAGGAAACATACTTCTTTTCTCCAAAATGGTTGGCAGGTAACATAAGGTCTCCTCAGGATACTGTCAAGTTTCATTTGGTCCCTTTTTGTCAGTGGAATCAAACTATCTTTAGGTACATTTAATCTGGAAAAAAGTAGGTGAAAAAAATCAGTAAAAAAGTGTTTCTGTAACTTGAATGTCCTGTATTTTGCCTGTATTTATGGTACTACTTCAAGAAACTCAGAAATAAGAAAATTAGTACAGATCTACCTCTTACATCCAGGATTGAAGGGATCTGTCATGTCTTAGACCAGCAAGTTTTCAAGTTCATAGTGGAAGTTTGTGTTTCCACAGTAAGATTCTAAAGTTTTTGTTTTCCTTCATGTCACACTCGTGGGATGATGACAGGATGACAGGAAGACTGATATTGGTTATTAAACAAATGCCAATAGCACTACCATCAGGTATACAGATACCAGGGCAGCTTAATAATGTACATTAAGCCTCTCAGAGCTTCACACTCTTCTGGCAGTGAGCTCCAATATGCATGGCCAACGGCTGAGATTCACTGAGGGACTTTAGGTTCCATTGAGTATTTAATTCTTCATAATTCATTTGAAGATTCTGGGCCATGGAAGTTAGTGTCTCACTTTTATCATTTTACACACACACACACACACTTTTATCACTTTACACACACACAAACACATTCTTACCTATCTAGTTTTAAATTTGAAAAACGTGGAATATAACTTTATCATGGTATGTGTTTTAAAAATAGAACATGAGAGGTCCTGGATTTATGGTGTGGACTACCTTTTGAAGTCACAAATCCTAGATTTCCCAGGAGAGTCTTTTTCAATGTGTCCATAATTATGACCATTTGCCAGGGGCAGTTCTTGGATAGGGGTGACAATTTGATTGAAAGGGAGGCCTGGAGGATTTCCCTTGCAGCCTGGCTTCTGTAGCTACCATAGTGTTTTTCCTTTGATCGTATATTCATTTGGAGTGGCTTTTTAGTGCACTGATAGAATTTATGAGATGCAGCTAGAGTTTCTTGAAGCTATTCACCTTACTAATTATCAGATCATATGTCTTGAATTTGTGTTAAAATTGTTTTTATACAAACAGATCACCCCCAAGGGATTCTGACCATGACACACATACACTAAATTGAACACGTTAATCCAGTGGAGTGTGAATATTCAAAAATAAAGAATGAAATGTTTCCTCTTGGACCCTCATTTTATAGGAAGTGGCTGATCACCCAAAACCTGTTCACATTCCATATTTAGGAAACAAGCAACTGTTATCAAGGATTGCTCACCACTTAAAGAAATCCAATAAACATGTTTAAATTCATTCTTACTGACCAATTACAACAATAAAACATTTTAAAATATCACATTAGCAGAGGTGAAAAAAAATGTTAATGCCATAAGCTGAGGGACAGGTGGACTCTTACTCTTCAGAGAAAGCAAGAAACTTAATCTATCCAGACAACAGTCAAACCCTGATTATGGGGATCCTCTTTGACCCACCAGTTCTTCTGGGAATTCAGCCTAAGGGACTAACTAAGGATGTGCATAGAGATTTAGTTACAAGAGACTGCATCAAAGCACGACCTATCAGAATAGAGATTTGGAAACCACTTAAATGGCTATGAGGGAATGGCTGAATAAACACTAGCACATCTAGAGTTAAAACTCAGCAACAAAAGATGCTAAAATAAGAAATGTACTTTATTGACATGGAAAAGTGATCACATTATTTTGTTGTGTTTTAAAAAAAGCAGATTATAAAATAACAGAGTATGATCTCAGTTTTGTGAAAAAGTTATGGCTATGCACAGAAAAAAAATCTACAAAGGTAAGGCTGCTGATCTGTAGGTGATATTTAACTTGTTGCTTAATATTTTTTTCTATAATGAACATATATAATAAACTTGCCAAACTTGAAGTTCCCAAATTTTAATACTCTTAAAATGATATTTTTCTTTTGAAGTTAAAAATTTAAATCTATGACAAAAATTGATTCATATGGCAAATGATGTTGTCAATGGTTACAATTTAATTGGATTTACTATATTGTACTTTTTTTTTTTTGGAGACAGAGTCAAGCTCTGTCACCCAGGCTGGAGTGCAGTGGTGCGATCGTGGCTCACTGCAACTGCCGTCTCCCAGGTTCAAGCAATTCTTGGGCCTCAGCCTTCCCGGTAGCTGGGATTACAGGCATACACCACCACCACACCCAGCTAATGTTTGCATTTTTAGTAGAGACAGGGTTTTGTCACGTTGCCCTGGCTGGTCTCAAACTCCTGGCCTCAAGTGATCCGCCCACCTTGGCCTCCCAAAGTGCTGGGATTACAGGCGTCAGCCACCATGTGCCCGGCCTACAATGTATTGTACTTTTAAGTATAAAAAGTGTATAAAATGTCTTAACCATAAAAGTAAAACAGAAAGTTTTAGCTAGCTGAAAGTGTAACACATTAACCAAATTCATGTGTTAAATATTTTAGTAGTTGAAACAGAAACATTAATGAATTTAATTCATAATTACATAATCATAAGTCATCGTGGACAATATAAATAAAAAACATTAAGAGCTTTCCCTTGTAGTGACTTTTTAGGCTTATTGTTACATATGATAATGAACTGTCATTTTAAATATCCTAGTTCTGCTATACTATCTAACCTTTTAAGATCAGAAGGGAGAAGACCAAGCCATCTAATAGCTGGAACTGTGAGATGATGAGCTTCAAAAGACATAGACTAAAATAAAGAACAAAAGTATATTAGGTGAGGCTAAATTGTAGAAAACTAGCATTCTTGTTTTTCAGTCAAATTTTTCACTTATTAAGAAGGACAAGTACTAAAGCTGGCTTCACATGCCCAGAGCCCACAGAAGTAAGAAAACCATCAGGGGCTATGCTAAGCTGGGCTTTTAGTGAAGGTGTTAAAACTTCTCTGGGTTAAGTGCGGTGGCTCATGCTTGTAATCCCAGTACTTTGGGAGACCAAGGCGGGAGGATGGCTTGAGCTCAAAAGTCCAAGGTTGCAGTGAGCTGTCACTGCACCACCGCACTCCAGCCTGGATGACAGAGTGAGACCCTGTCTCAAAACAGCAACAAAACAACAACCACAACTTCTATATAGTGTTTCTGTATTAATTTTCTAAAGCAAACTATAAATGAAGCCCTCTGACCTACATTTCTTATTGTTCATGATTCCCCATCTTACACCCTGCTCCACCATCCTTTTCATCTGCTATAAATTTCACCATGCATCAGAATGCTTGGAGGATCCCACCCCTAGAGATTTTGGCTCAGTAGTTCTGGATGGGGACTGAGATTTGCATTTCTAAGAATCTTCCAGATGATGCTGATGCTCCTGGCTTAGGACCACACTGTGAGACCACTGGTATATGGTAATTGTAGACACTGGTGGTGACATTTATTGTTTCCATTTCTCCTTATGGTGGGAGAAAAGGGATTAGAAAAGTCAGAATTCAAGGCTCTATATAATATTTCGAGTATATTTGGTGATCAGACAGCGTTGTTGTCACCCCAGAGCCCCACAGTTCCTTCAGTATGCCAAGAGAGTGCAGGATAATAATGCTGCTTGCCCACAGCTAATCCCACTCTGTCATCTGTGTTTGCACTGGTCATACTGGGAGCTGGAGTCACAGCCACCGACACACAGATTGCTCCTAGAATAGGATACTAGGCCCTCAGGTACACTTTGGGCACTCTCAGCCTGCTTGGGGGTGATTAATAAATGCAGAAATCACCTCAATGAATATAAAATGTCTAAATAATAAAAAAGGAAAACTGCTTTTCTATACTTACCATAGATCCATACTTATAGATGCACATTATTTCTATGCCTGTTAAAAGAAAGTTAACTATAAAATTAGTCTCCTTACATATTACAGGTTAATTTGCACTCTCAAATTTTATCTATCTATAATTTTAATTTTGTGGACATCACCAGTGAAAAATTTATCATTCTCAGTTTAATATGACAAAGTAACGATAAATTGTGTCAAATAATTATAGACCAAATTTTAATGTAATCATTTTCTTTTAAAATGTTTCATAAGTGTCCCGAGAGTAGAAAACACAACTACAGGCTGGGCACGGTGGTTCCTGCCTGTAATCCCAGCACTTTGGGATGCCGAGGTGGGCAGATTACCTGAGGTCAGGAGTTCGAGACCAGCCTGGCCAACATGGTAAAACCCCGTCTCTACTAAAAATATAAAAAATTAGCCAGGCATGGTGGCATGTGCCTATAGTTCCAGCTACTCAGGAGGCTGAGGCAGGAGAATCACTTGAACCCAGGAGGTGGAGGTTGCAGTGAGCCAAGATCGCGCCATTGCACTCCTGGGTGACAGAGCAGGACTCAATCTCAAAAAGAAAAAAAAAAAAAGAGGAAGAAAACACAACAACAAATATGATTTAGTTATGACTATTGTTGTAAATAGTCCAGTGATAAATTACCATGTGGATCAGCATCTACAAGAGTGAAAACAGGAACATGAAATGTATCCCACAGTTTCTTGACTAAAAGTCTTGTGTTTAGATCAGGAACTCCCTTTCCCTAAAAGGAAGATGAAAATTAAGAATTTTAACTTCAGTAGAATAAAATGGTTACAATTATACTCTTATTAATAATTTAAAAGTTAGGCTGGACGCAGTGGTTCACGCCTGTAATCCCAGCACGTTGGGAGGCCAAGGTAGGGGGATCGATCACCTGAGGTCAGGAATTTGAGACCAGTCTGGCCAACGTGGTGAAACCCCGTCTCTACTAAAAATACAAAATTAGCCAGGTGTGGTGGTACACGCCTGTAATCCCAGGTACTCGGGAGGCTGAGGCAGGAGAATCACTTGAACCTAGGAGGCAGAAGTTGCAATGAGCCGAAATCACGCCATTGCACTCCAGCCTGGGCAAAAAGAGTGAAACTCCACCTCAAAATCATAATAATAATAGTAATAATAAATTATAGGTTATGCTCATACAACGGTTAGTACTCTGCATGTGGCCACAGCAACCCTGGTTCATATCTGAGTCACAGCACCAAAAAAAAGGGTTACATCTTCCTACCTTGGATTTCAGGTGCTGAAAGACTGGTGTTGACTGTGAAAAAAAAATGTACATTATATACAAACAGACTGAAGGACTGGGAATTATGCCAGTCCTAGGAAATGGTCCTAAGGAAATATTTCAGCAAAAACAGAAATAATAAACATCCTACATATTTAAAGATGCTCACTGAAGTGTTATTTAAAATGGCGCAAACTAATATAAATAGCCAAAATATCTAACAACAGGGATGTGGAGAGGCAGCATAGTACAGCGGTGATCTGCAGCAGTTGCGGGGCTAGGCAGCCTGAGCTCGCATCTCAGCTCTGCTACTTCTTAGCAGCATGAACTTGAATGAGTAACAAAACCACTCTGTGGTTTGATGCTCTGTAACAACATATGAGATTATTATAGGAATTAAATTATTTAATAATCATAAAGCACTTAGAAGAGTACCTGGCTTAAATTTAGGGTTTAATAAAACTTAAATGGTGGGATAATATTATGAAGTCATTAAAATAATAATTATGTAGAAAAGTAAATTGAAGAGTGTTACAACAATGTTAGAGAAAAGCAGAAAACCAAATGAAACAGAGAGCAGAGGAAGAGCGCAGAGTAGCCCTAGAGATTCAGAATGGGCTTCGGGTCACAGCTCCGAGTTTGAATTCCCTCTCTGCCCATCATCAGTGGTGTGATGTTGGGCAAGTTTCTTAGTCTCTTTAGGCCATGGCTTTATCTATAAAATCAGCATAAATATGCCTATCACACCAAGTGATGGCATTATAGCAACATGGATTTCAACTATTCAAATCCAGTCCTGGTTTTGAATAGCCATAGAGACGTGGTAAAATACCTTCCTGCATTCCAGTACCCCATTATTAAAGTGACGATGATGTTAGTACCTACCTCCTAAGGCCATTGAGAGCCTATACAAGTTGACATGTGATAAACACCAGTAAATGTGAACTCTTACTATGTCAAGTGCTTAGCAGGGGTCCTAGCTCATCGTGAGTATTTAGTGTATTTTCATAATGTTCTTTGGGAAAAATAATAGCACATGAACACAGTAGAGGAGTCAAACAGGGTTAAAGGACCTGGTGAAAAATGGCTCTTCCTAATATGGCCCTCGAGTCCCAGCCTCTTCTTGAGAGGCATTTGCGAGAGATGTTTATGGAGGCAGTGAGGAGCGCTGCCCTGGAGAGGAGGCGGAATGGAGTCTTAGAAGGGCTGACCAGTTCCACAGAGGCATCCAGATTTGGAGTAGAAGTATCAGACAAAACCAAAAGTTTTTGAACTGGCAAGGAGGGAAATGACAAGTCTGGTGTGGCAGGGATGAGAGATAATTGAAGTCAGGGGCCTGTCTGGAGGCTACCAGGTGGTTGTCTTGTGTAAGAATGAAAGGGGAAGGATTAAGGAGAAAGGGCTGAAATGAAAGAGATTCCCAAGGCCAATTCAAAAGGACTTGGTGACCATGGGATGTGAGGAGTAAGTCAAACTGACTCTGACGTGTGGACCTCATTGCAGTGTCTGCACTGATAGCCACAGGACAAGTGGCAGGAACACTCAGCTTTTCAAGGAAGAAAGCTTTTGAGTGTGGTTTTAGAAACATGAACTTATCAAGGTTACAGTGCTCTATGATCATGCCATGGTACTTCGGCCTGGGCAACAGAGCGAGACCCTGTCTCTATTAAAAAAAAAAGAACTTGAGGTGATAGCCAGCTTTGAGGATGTTTAAATAAACACATTGGAAATTCCCGTTCTATGATCCCAAAGGATGCATTATATTGAAAACAGGACATTGTGTAGATAATATTGTAAATCCTCTTACCAATCACCATAACAGTATACATTAGTCTTGGAATTGTAGTAAAGTTAGATAATATACCGTAATCATGATGCAAGGAGACAATTTGTTGCAAAAGTTGTCATCTAGGAGCCGCTGAAATGTTGCATCTTTTTCTACAATTAATACAAACTTTGCATCTGTAACTAAATCTGTGAAGTTAAGGCTGATAAATTGAAAGCAAGAGTATTTCAATTTAATCACCAACTAAATTAAGGTGCCATATAGATAATTCAAAAGCAGCTATAGATACAACATTTTAGTTTGTACCTTCAAACATATAAACACATCTATTCATATATTCAGATATCTGTCTCTTCCACTAGATGGTGAGCTCCTAAAAGAGTACTAAAGAAGGGACCATGGTGTGTTCATCTTGACTGCTACAGGGCCTAACTTGTTCCTTACACATTATGAAGGCTTGGCTTACCAAAGGAATTAATGAATGAATGAACATTCCAAAAGTTTAAATAGTTTTCCCACTTAAAGGATACTCCGAATTCCTTGAATATTCGATGGCACAGCAACAGCCTTTTAAAAAAAAAGTTTTTATCTTACATAAAAAGCAAAATAACCACATTTTTAGTTTATCACAAAGCCCTCTGTTTTTATTTTTCTTTGACCATACCAGTCATCAGAGACTTCTTCCTCTGTTAAAAAATAGTAGAAAACAGCTTTACCCCTCAGTAAGAAAACCGGCACATGACTCACAGCAATTCTCCCAACAGGGGTACTAAGTTTAGTACTGTGGGCTCTCTTTGTATCAAAGCCCAGCAAATAGTTTAGTATTAAAAATATTACTTTCAGAACCAGAAAATTTTATGAACATTACTAAATAACATGCTAAAATGACCAAGCCACACTTTATCTGAAAATAATAGTGCATTTTTAAGAGTTATATTTGTATGTTTATTTCAATCTGACATTTGACAATTAGCATAATTTGAAACTATGTAATGTACAGTTCTGTAAAGCATATTCCTATCCATCTTTCAGTTTTATTTTGAAATCTTAAGCTCTAGGTTACATAATAAAGCAAGAAATAAAATTATGCTTCAAAACTGAAGGAGCTAGAAGAGTTAAAGCTGTGAAAACTTCAATGATGCTTCTTACCGTTGCACCACAGGTACAATTCACTTTGGTGCCATCTTCCTCGATGTATCTTAAGTTGCCAGCAATTAAACCTTTTGATGTAGATAACTGCAAAAAATAATAGACATATTTGAAACCTGCTTCACGAATATGTTTTATGCTATTAAGTCACTCCTTGTGTTCATCTGCTGAATTACTGGCATTTTCACTTGGATTGAAATTTCAGAGATGAAAGAGAAAATATGTAAGGGATTTAGGAATTAAAAATATTTGGTAATTCATCAGTTTGGTCCATTCACCCAAAGGAATATATTGAGAATCTATTACTTAAATTTATAGTGAGAAAAATGCAAGCATCAAATAATAGCAAAAGAAGACTATATTATGTTTTAAAATTATGTTTTGTCTGGGCGCGGTGGCTTACGCCTGTAATCCTAGAACTTTGGGAGGCCGAGGCAGGTGGATCACGAGGTCAGGAGATCGAGACCATCCTGGCTAACACAGTGAAACCTAGTCCCTACTAACAATACAAAAAATTAGCCGGGCGTGGTGGCAGGCGCCTGTAGTCCCAGCTACTCGGGAGGCTGAGGCAGGAGAATGGCATGAACCCAGGAGGCAGAGCTTGCAGTGAGTTGAGATCGCGCCACTGCACTCCAGCCTAGGCGACAGAGCAAGACTCCGTCTCAAAAAAAAAAAAAAAAATTATGTTTTATACAAACATTTTGTTTTAAAATAAAATGTTTTGTATTAGGTACTACTTACTATATGTAGACTCCTCCTTGACACTTTTAACATGCAAGAAATGTCATTGATAATATTGTCGACGACAGTCTGGTTACCAAAGAGTTGACTGTCAGTGTAATATATGTCCCTATGAAAATTTAAAATACATATTTTTAATTAACTATATTCTTTTTGAATATGACAAGTATTACAGTGTTAATTGAAGAAAGCTTTAACTGGATGAAAACACAACATATAAAGAAAGTAAATTATGAGCTATAGTTTAGTCTTATGTAACTTTTCAAAGCATATAATAAAAGTTAATCCAACTATTTCTCACATTACATTTTGAAGAGTAATTTACTAGAACAATA
This sequence comes from Homo sapiens, assembly GCF_000001405.40. Classification (NCBI taxonomy): domain Eukaryota; kingdom Metazoa; phylum Chordata; class Mammalia; order Primates; family Hominidae; genus Homo; species Homo sapiens. The sequence continues at coordinate 57,333,760 of NC_000020.11, read as the reverse complement.
TATTTACCTTTTGGTTGCATAAGTGTTGCTCTGTACTAATTTATAAATCATGGACAATATTTTAAGGATTAGAGCTGGAAAATAAAATTCAACAAACAAGTTACTCATCATTTCTCTTACTGATTCAAAAGATACTGCTATCAAGGATTTTAACTTAATTTTAGTTAACATTTAAAAAATTATCTTTCCAAAATGGGAGGGTTAAGTACAGAACAATTACCTGCAGAATCAGTTAAAATTAATTGCTCTATGGATAGCAAAACTGAGAGGATAATTATGCACTGAACCATATACCTTGAAAAATGTTTATGTTGATAACCTACTTCCATAGTTATTGACAATGAAAAATTATAGAAATTTATTTTATGTATGAAAGTGATCTATTAAAAACAGGTAAAATTATTTAACTAGCAACAAATAAAATTGAGAAGATAACAAAATTTATTTATCCTTTATTACCAAAAGCTAAGAACAATTAACTTACAAAATTTTTGAGCTGATTTTGGTGAATCACTTTTGATCTTTCTGGTGGTGCAATGGGATACCATCTGAAGACCCACAGAATCTTCAAACCTGTCATTTTGTTTAAAGCAAAGGAAAAAAGTGAAAAAGACAACTTCTAAACACCAAACAATATATACTTATGGTCTTCTGCACATCATTTAAAACCCACATTTCTTCTCAATTTAAGCACTGAAGCTTTAGGATCAACTGGTTTGAGAGCATAGATCATTCCAGGTGATAACTAGGAAATTAGGTTTGTGACATACAGAGGCACTAAGATAAACCATTTAACATAAATGAGCTAACACCTTTGATTAGGGGGTGTGGGAGTGTGTTTGTGTGTGTGCATACTTTTTTACTGGGAAGACATTTTTAGTGTATGTAAAATGTTTTCAAATATTTCACAATTAGTACTTTACTCATTTTAATAACCTACTCATTTAATAATTTTACTCAATTTAATAAGCTTTGAAATGTTTCATTTCTGATTTACCTGCAAAATTACATTACATAAAATAACAATTTTATTAGGTTAAGTTGAACTGCCAAGCTTCCCCTAAAGGTGGCAGAAGGCACCAGGTGGATATGTCAGGTGTAAGCTGCTTCAAAGCTAGATAAAATCCATCTTTCAAAACATGACTGAAAAGTATACAGCTTATATTACTTATATAGATCATAAAACAACAGTGATGAAGGAGACTCAAAATTCCTTTCATTTTGTTTCTGTATCTCTTAAAAAATATGAGAGGCTGGAAAAAACCGGTATAACTAGGTTCAAGAATTCTGATAAAGCTGTTTGCTGATTTTACCCTTTTTGGACACATGATTTAGCAGGGGCAGAAGATCTGTCAGGAGAAAGCCTTAAATGTGCTCTATGTTCAGGATACTTTTATTTTGGTCTGGTATCAGGATTGGTTATATTTCCCCTGAGCAAGTGGTTTGCTTTTGTGGCATATGTGAGAATTGCACCCATGACATCTCCCCCTCTGACTGCTAGAAAGCTTAGCTCCAAGTATGGTGCCTATTCTTAGCAAAATTATGAGACTTTATCACATGCATTTGGAATTCTAACCTCTTCTGGTGCTCCATTCTGTTGGTGCTAGCATTGTTTTCCTTTGCCTCATCTTTCACACCTACTTCTAGTTTACATAACCTCTCTGTATGGTATGTATTTCGTAAACTTCCTAAATCCTTTTTTTTGGCAAGGTAAAGGCAATAAAATGAAAAAAATATGACCAGAACTCTAATTCAAATAATTTTAATAATGACATAGATATTGCATTTAAAAAATAAAAATGCAAAATGCCCACTTTATGTTTTCCCAGCTTGATCTGTTGTCTATCGTGAATGCAGGTGCTTCATTTCTTGCCAAGCTTGTGATTATGTCTTGGATAATATTTTCTATAGATGCAAGAACCTCAGAACTGAAACAATAAACAGAGCATGATTCCATCTTAATCATAAATTTTGACTTTTTAATATGTAAGATTTTCCCAGATCAATACTAAAGTAACTTTTTATTTTATTCTTTTTTAAGACTAGGTAATTGGGGTGGGGTTTTAAAAAAAGACAAAAAAAAAGACTAGGTAATCCATGTCAATAATTATCTCTCCCATTAAACCTTTACTACTGCATTAAAACAACTGTATTTACAAATAAATTTCATTTGCTTGTAATTTTACTTCTCAAGCAATTACCAATGGAAGGTCTCCCTTTTACATTAATGACTAAATTTACAACTGTAATTTTATCATATTAACCTACTGTAATCTAGCTGAACTTGAATACAAACTAGACTTGACATACTACTGATATATGTTTTAATTAAAAAGTGATACAATATTGGCTTTGAATTTCTTTCCCAAAAATGCAATGCAAAAATTTCAAAAGAAACACCTTTTGTGGTCGCACATTACCCTAGTTGATCTCATGCCTTAAAATCGGCTCTTTTGAAATTTAGCGATACAAAAAGGAAAACGTTTAATCACTACCCTGGAAAGAATAAATTGTGAGTTCTGCAACAAACGGTTGACTTGGCAGCTATTACGCCACTCTACAGCAAAATGCGAAGACTAAGCCCAGTTTTCTGTCAGCTGACTGTTAATTTCACAAGCCATCAGCTGCAAAAAATGTTGTTCTGTTATAAACACCATGAGCTTATTGTCTAGGAAGAGAAATCAAATGCACTCTAGAAAACGGGCAAAATGTTGAGAGTTTTAATTTCCACAGGAACTTCAGAATTTTTACTGAAAACTTGTGTTTCAGAAAATGAATTTTAAAACATTTAATCTATTCTAATATTGGGAGGTAAAAACTGACCCAAATACTCATTTTTCCTAGTTTGGAGAAAAAAAGTGTTGCAGGATAATACTGTAACCAACTTTAAGATACAATCAGATTCGTCTACATCTGCGATATTAACAAGGGACTTGCCACTCTCCTTTTCCCTCACTCTCCCAAGTTCTCCCTCAAAATAAATTCTTTTGTAAAAATTGGTTTGTTTGTAGGTTTTTCAGATTTTTTGGTGGTTGGTTTGGGCTTAAAAATAAAAGGCTGAAAAACTTTGCTCAACCAAGAAAGCAAGTCGAGGAAACAAAATAAAGTATTTTTAAGTGAAAATGGTCAATAACGTAGTCATGTTTTCTGTGGTTAATTCTAACATGGATAGCTGGAGGGTTCCTGTAATTGATTTTAAATAAATCATTTAAAATATGTACATTCTCTCCACTTGCAAAACAATTAAACATGTTGTCTTATTATAAACCACTTAAAATGTGTTGATGTCCTTGTTAATTCTGAGAAAACCATTCGCTTACTGAGAGAAGACATACAACACTCATTTTCTTTCTAAAAAAAAACCAAAAAATAAAAACCAAAAAAAACCCTTAAAGTTTAACCAAAAATTTTATCCCAAAAAACGTTTAAAAAATACAAAGCTAACTGTACCCCAAACTCCCCAACCTATAAGGATCTTAGGAAACCTTCCAACCCAGCTGCAGGGAGCCTCTGGAACGTTCTAGAAGGGGAACATCCTAGAAGCCACAGAAGGGGGGCTGCCACCTGGCTTTCTTTTTTGAGTTCAAAATAAGGGTTCAAAGCAGGTCACGGGTACTCAGGAAGGATCTTTTTGGGGGTTCCTGGCTGGCCCGCCAAGGGGTGCCTCCTCAGCCTCAACACTAGGAGGCAGCCCGGGGCCAGGAAGAGCGCCCGACTTTTCTACAGAGTGGCTGCGTCGCGCCTCGGCACCAGCTCCTGTACCTGGAGGCCAGGCGGCTTCCCCCAGTTGGGGGCTCCCTGCCACCTCTCCTCAGGGCAGCCAGCAGGGACTCCCTGTGTCGGTCCAAAACGTCGAAGAACGAGGCCTCGGGCCCCATAGGTGCAAAGGCCATGAGGGCAGACGGCTGCCAGAAGCTCCAGAAGCCCCTGTCCTAGGCTGCGCCCTTGGGGCGTGGCTGCGTGCCTTTCCCGCGCTTTCTGAGCGGCCGGCGTGCCCACGCCACACACCCAGAGGCGGGGCTGGACAGGCGTATGCGTAGAGCACGGCGTGGAGTGCGCAAGCGCAGGGCTCTCAGGCGCGGTCCCACCTGTGAGGCCCTGAGGCGGGCGCCTCCCTGAGTGTGGGTCGCGCAGGCATCGGCCCTGCGTGGCTGAGCTGAGAGATGTTTGTGTGGCGTGCTGCGGATATTGGACCTAGAGTCCCTTGAGGTGATTTAATTATTTTGGGGGTTGGCTATTTAGGGACAGCAATATCAGCGATTTTTCATTAAAACACATAATGATGAAGATCCAGCTGTGTGGGATAACAGTTCTCGGCAATGGGTTCAGCTGTGATTGAGGTGAACGCAATCCCTGTCCTTACTAACGTTTCATAGCAGTTGAATGCCTCCAAAGCCCTTTGCACTCAGGTCCCTCTTCTAATTCCCTTAAGAACCCCAGGAAGTTCCTAACGTGTCATCCTAATTTTGCAGGTGCCAGGAAAGGTCAGCTCAGAGCAGGCAGGCCTGGGTTAAAATCCCAGCCCTCGCACTCCGTAGGGCAGACCAATTTGGCAAAGAAAATCCAGGACAACCAGTTAAATTAGAATTTCAGATAAACAGCAAATCCTTTTTTTTTTTTAGAGTAACTACGTCTCGTATAAAGTTTGGGATATACTTTTACTAAAAAGTTATTTTGTAGCCTTGCACAGTGGTACTCACCCGTAGTCCCAGCTACTAGGGAGGCTGAGGCAGGAGGATGGATTTAGAGGCTCCAGGAGTTGAAGGCTGCTGTGCGCTAGGATTGTGCCTGTGAATAGCCACTGTACTCCAGGCTGGGCAACACAGGGCGATCCCTTCTCAAAAAAAAAAAAATAGTTCTTTTTTTTTTTAAGTGAAAGGTCTCACATATTTATTACTGAACCCAGCCAACCAACGCATTCATCACAGATTCAGAGAGAAAAAATATATTCTCAATAAAACATGTACAACTCTCCAGAGAGCGGTGACATTTTCAGCTTGATGTGGTAACATGACTGTGACCTTCAGACAGCATAAATATGTGTGCCCTCTCATGTGCAATTCCTTATAGGCCCAGCTCGGTTCTTCTTCAATGTCTCCTTTTGGAGTTGTACCTGATTTTATTATCAGTTTTCATCCGAATCCACTGGGGACGATTTTGCTTTTGTTTCTTGGCCAGGAATTGCTTAATCCCAAAAGTCTTGTGGGAAAGACATGGCGAGAAGTGGAGTCAAGCACACACCACGATGGCAGAGAAAGGAATGTTATTTCATTGTTTATGTGAAATTCAAACTTAACTGGCATCTTGTATTTTATGTAGCTCCTCTCCCTCTATACCATGTCATCCCCTGACAGACTTGGTGAGTGGTGCCTTTCCCCCACTTGCTCCAAGCCTTCTAGAGCAGAAGATAGGAATTCTGAAGCCCAAGGAAAGGAGTCCTGACTTTGGGAAGGAGGAGAGGACAGTGGAGCGAGACCCTGGAACAAGGTGGTTCCAAGGCCTTTGGGGGCCTGGTCCTGCATGGGTGGGGTGCTGGGGCTTGGCCCCAGAAGAGCTACTTGGGAGAACTGTTTTGTTCTTTCCGTTCCTGGTAATTTGATAATTTTCCAACTAAAACTAGTTTCCCATCATAAATAATGCACTCCCTCTGTTCACAGGGATGGTTGCCTGTGTTGATGGCTGTTCTGCATGTACCAAGCACTGTGTTGATGGCTTTACATTGCTGTTATCACAAATACTTCCTCACTGCCTACCTTGCACCGGGCAAGGTTTATTACCGAGGACACAGCTGTGAACAAGGCAGGTAAACCCCTTCCTCTTAGGGAGCTCGGAGCCTAAAAGGAGGGGAGAACTAAAGGCAATCAGGTGAACTTTTTTTTTTTTTTTTGAGATGGAGTTTCGCTCTTGTTTCCCAGGCTGGAGTGCAGTGGCACAATCTCGGCTCACTGCAATCTCCGCCTCCTGGGTTCAAGTAATTCTCCTGCCTCAGCCTCCTGAGTAGCTGGGATTACAGGCAAGTGCCATCGCACCCGGCTAGGTTTTTGTATTTTTTAGTAGAGATGGGGTTTCACCATGTTGGCCAGGCTGGTCTCGAACTCCTGACCTCAGGTGATCCATCCTCCTCACCCTCCCAAAGTGCTGGGATTATGGGCGTGAGCCACTGCACCTGGCCAGATGAACTCTTACATAATTAAGTTGGCAGGGTAAGAAATGCACTGAAAATAAATCAGTGACTTTAAGAGGTGAAAAATAGTACACCCAATTCACATATGAAGAAACTGAGGTTTGGAGAAATTAACCCTTTTGTGTAAGATTGGACCTCCAGTAAGTGACAGAGCTGAGAGTTAAACCTTGACTCCAAATTCATGCTCTTAACCACTTGGATATGAGGCATCTGTGGGGGTCTGGCTTGGAGTGTGTCATCGTTCTCTGGGGGCTTTGGTGGTGGTCTTAGTTTTCTCATCTTTCAAATGAGGGTGTGCGGCAGGTGGGTTCTCATGCGTCATCCCCAAAGAGGAACAAACAAATGAAAGGATCTTGCAGGCCAGGAGGTCAATGACACTGTCAAGGCTTGTCTGCTGGAAGGTGCCTCTCCCCTGGGACTAGAAACATTTCTGTCCACTTTTCCCTGTCCCCTGAGGACAGAGCCTTTGGTATCACTTAGCATTAGACTCAACCAGAAGCCAGCAGCCTTGCTAGACCTGACACAGAATGAAAGGTCCTGAGCTGGGTGGGGGCACAAGGAGAGGATCAGAACAGTGAAGTGAAGTGAGCAAACCCGTAATAAACCTGGCATTCCTAAGAGGAGAAACCGCAAAGTGCAAGGTGCGACTTGAAAGGACTTGGCTGGGGTTCCCACTGCGCTGACAAAAGCAGGAGGGGCAGCTCACCCTCCAGCAGCTAGGCTCTGCCTGTGCCCTGCAGGTATCCTGCTCCACGGCAGGACTCATAGGCCCTCCCCCAGCAGCTGTGTGCACCACCTTCACATCAAAGTCAACAGTCCCAGCCCCAGGCTGTGAGCAAGAACCAGAAAAACATATTCTGCTCCTAGCAACACATTGCAAATGAAACTGACAAATGCCAACTTGCAGGACAGTCTCAATACTGAGTTCTCCCTATGGGCCAGGAAGCTTCCCCGCAAACCCTACTAGCCGGTGTTTCCTCCAAACTCATACTCAGTCCCAGAAACACAGTAGAGGGCCAAAATCTTTGTGCAGGCTGGAAAGGAGTATTGTTTAAATTAGGTGCAAAGATCTGTTCCACCTCTAACACATCCAAAAAAGGGAAAGAAGGGAGGCAAGGATGGGGAGGCCCTTTCAACAAACCAGACAGGAGAGGATAGCATACTTCTTACATTTAAACAAGGTGGCTTATCTAGCAAATGTAAGTGAATTTTAACATTTTGTAGATTCATGGCAGGGCGCGGTGGCTCAGGCCTGTAATCCCGGCACTTTGGGAGGCCGAGGTGAGCAGATCACTTGAACTTAGGAGTTTGAGACCAGCCTGGGCAACATGGTGAAACCATGTCTCTACAAAAAATACAAAAATTAGCCAGGTGTGGTGGCCTGAGGTGGAAGGATCACTTGAGTCCTGGAGGCGGAGGTTAGAGTGAGCTGAGATTCACGCCACTGCTCTCCAGCCTGGGCCACAGAGCAGAACCTGTCTCAAAAAAAAAAAAAGAAAAAAGAAAAATATATGGTAGCTTCTTGTTAGACAAGAAGTAGAGAAAAGGCCATAATATTTTCTTTACTTCTTGAGGGTTTATAGCCATTTTTCCTTTGCATTTTTTAGCTTTCGAAAATTGTGAGACTGCTACATGCTTCTCATAAGATATTGACATAATTCAGAAGTGTGTGAGATGTGAGCGAAAGAGAAAGAGACCTCCCCGCTCCCCATCACTGCAGCTGCACTGGCTCCACCTTCTTGGGTCCTCCTTTTTTTTTTTCTTTCTTTTTTTTTTTTTTGAGATAGGATCTCCCTCTGTCACCCAAGCTAGAGTGCAGTGGCGCCATCAAAGCTCACTGCAGCCTTGACCTCCTGGGCTCAAGCAATCCTCCTGCCTCAGTCTCCCAATGTGTTCGAATTACAGGTGTGAGCCACTGCTTCTGGTCTGGTCTGCTCTTCTCGCTGCAACCTTTGCATCTTGGAATTGTTCCTTCCTGCTCTAAGGCCTTTGCACTTGCCTTTCCCTTAACAGCTTGGGACCCCTTGTCCTTTTTCTTTCCCTACTCCCCTCCCTTCCCCTCCCAAATCCAACCTGGCTAACTCTCCTGCAGCCTTCAGATCGCCCTCTGAACATCTTCCTGGGCTACACCCCTGTGTCTTGACTCCTGGTTACCATGTGCCCACAGCTCCACGTGGCACATGGAATGATTGAATGAGTGACTCCTCATGGGGTTACCTCTGTTACCTATTCCTTGTATTTTATCCCAGGCATTTTTCTATTCATGCCCAAATTAGCAACGTGTCCAGAGTAAGACTTCACTCTGCAGACTGGTATTGCTGCTTCTGGTAATAATAGGAACTAAGGTTCGCTGACGGTCAGACACTGGGCCCAGTGCTTCATGCATAAAATCTCATTTACCCCCTCCCATTTTACAGCAGAGAAAGTTGAGTACCAAGAAGTATAAAAATTGCTGGGTTTCATAGAGATGCAAGTGATAAGGTGCTGACAGGAAGGGTTTCTTTGATCTAAGCCGCTATACGATATTGCCTCAAAGTCAAGGCAACTTAGTATTGATGAATTAATTTGCTTGTTGTTGTAGCTAGTGATCATGTACCAGGATGTGTGATGTAAAGCAGATCATATCCTGGTGTGAATAAAATGAAATCTAATGTTAAGAAGATCACCAAAATATTTGCAAGCCTATGGGTCATCTTATTAACAAAAGCAGGATGTTCACTTATTTTTAGAGAGTGCTGTCATGCACTACCGTGGACCCAACACCAGCTTCCATGACTGTCAACTCATGGCCAACATTTTGTCACCCACATCCACCCCCTTACCTACCCTCACACCAGATTATTTTGAAACCAATCCCAAGAATCATATTATTTTATTAATAAGTGTTTCAGCATGTTTCTAAAAAAAAAAAGGACTCTTAAACACATTATAATTCCATTATCATACTAAAAGGTATGTTAACAATCATTCTTTATATCACCAAGTATTCTATCTGTTGAAATTGCCCCAATTGTTTCAGCAATTGTTTTCTTCTCATTTAAAAAAGTTATCTATTTTAATTGACAAATAAAAATTGTGTATATCTATCCTATACAACATGTTGTTTTGAAATCTGTATCCATATTTAGCTTGATTAGCTAAATCATGCTAATGAACATACACCTTAGCTCACATACTTATCATTTTTTTGTGGTGAGAACACACACAGGTAGTCCTAAAATGTACTCTCAGCGATTTTCAAGAATACAATAGCTTGTCATGAACTACCTAGGCACCATGTTGTACAGTAGATCTCTTGACCTTATTCAGCCTGTCTAACTGGAATTTTATATCTTTTGACCCCTATCTCCCCAGTCCCCTAGCCCCCACTCTGTTGCTTACCATGCTACTCCCACTTCTATGAGTTTGGCTTTTTTAGATTTCACATATAAGCGAGACCATGCGGCATTTGTTATGTTTGTTTAGTTTGTTTTCATCAAGATGCGAATAAGGTCCATCCACACATGGCTGTTGGTTGATATGACTCTTAAGTCTCCTAAATTCTATAGGTTCTTCTCCAGTTTTCTTTCCTTGCAATTTACTTGTTGAAGAAACTGAGTCATTAGTCCCAGAGAGTTTTGTGCAATTAGGAGTTTGGGGATTGCATCCCTGTGATATAATTTACTATGTTTTTCTGTTTCAGGTATTTCTTATAAATTGAGAGTTGAATTTGGAGGCTTAACTGTTTCTGGTTTGATTTTTTTTTCATAAAAATATTTCGTAGGTGGTTTGAAATATTTATTTTTTATTTTTAGGCAGAGTCCTGCTCTGTCGCCCAGGCTGGAGTGCAGTGGTGTGATCTCCAGCTCACTGCAACCTCCGCCTCCCGGGCTCAAGTGATTCTCCTGCCTCAGCTTCCTGAGTAGCTGAGATTACAGGTACCCACCACCATGCCCAGCTAATTTTTGTATTTTTAGTAGAGATGGGGTTTCGCCATGTTGGCCAGGCTGGTCTTGAACTCCTGACCTCAGGTGATCCGCCCACCTTGGCCTCCCAAAGTGCTAGGATTACAGGCATGAGCCACCGTGCCCGGCCTAGGTTTAAAATATTTAGAACCTCCATTGTAACCTTCCAGAACTCCTCTGGCTGGGGCTTCCAGGTTGAGAACTTCAGAGCTAGCCTCAATCTCAGCCTCTCATTCACTGAAGTAGCAGCCAAGCCCGGGAGGATAAGTCATGCTGAGCAAAATCTCTGCAGCCTGCAAAATCCCTTCACAGACTACAGACCCAGATGGAGAAAGCTGAGGAGGGCTTTAGAAAAAGCAGCTTCCCTCTGCTGCACTGAGTCGCCCTGGGGATTTGCAGGGGAGGTTCCCCGACCTGGTTCGCTTTCTGCTTGTTAGCACGCAGGGTGGCTTTGTGCCACAGCCCAGCCTGACTCATCCTCTCTGCTCTTTATTTCTTTCCTCCTCACACCCTCGCTGAGCTGCTAATTGCTCTCCTCCACCCTCCCCCTTGGTTGGAATCCTGAGGCCCTGACCTAGAGACACCCCATCACAAGTGTTTTCCAGCTAGCTCCAAAACCTCATCTCTGCTTTATTTGAAAATCAGTCAACATTAAACAGAGACTTGCTCTGATTTAAGGAGACTTTTAAAACTGAAGTAATTTTCCTTCTCTCCCTTCGCTTCTTCGTTTTCTTTTTTATTGTTTGTTTTCCATTTTTTAAGACTTCTTGGCAACTGGTTTTGGGAGAAAGAGGCACTTTTGCAAAGGACCAGAAGGCATGTCCAGTGTTCAAACCCAAGGCGATGAAACCCCAAAAGGTGTTTTCCTTTCCACATCTCTGTCTCTTCCACTCCTAGGCACACACCAGAAGGGCTGCCCAATTTACACATTGGCAGGCTTATGATTCATCCAACAAATGGTTTAAGCACCTTCATGGTTCCCAGGGCCCTTCTTAGTACTGGAGATTCAACCAAGCTTGGCATCACCAAGTTCCTGCACACACATTGCTGGGGAAGGCAGATTAAAAAAAAAAAAAGTCCAGGAACAGTGGCTCATGCCTGTAATCCCATCGTTTTGGGAGGCTGAGGCAGGAAGATCACTTGAGCCCAGGAGTTTGAGACCAGGCTGGGCAACACATTGAGACCCCATCTCTGCAAAACATTTTTTTAAAAAATTAGCTGGACATTGTGGCTCATGCCAGTAGTCCTAGCTACTTGGGAGGCTGAGGCAGGAGGATCACTGGAGCCCGGGAGGTTGAGGCTGCAGTGAGCTATGATCAAGTCACTGCATTCCAGCTTGGGTGACAGAAGGAGACCCCATGTCTAAAGAAAAACAAAGAAGGAAAAAAAATACACAATTTAAGTTCAATCACAGTGTGTTAGAGGGAAAAACAATCTGTGTGGTAGGAAAGTGGGTGACTGGGCAGGAAAGTGCAATGAAGGTGGGAGAGAGGAGGGCAGAAGAAACCTGTCTCAGGTGAGGGCCTTGGAGCTAAAGCCTTAGCTATGAAGAAGATCTGAGGGGACGAGCTCCAGGCAGAGGGAGCGAGGAGCTATGCAAAGGCCCTGCGGAGAGATTCACTGGGAGAACTTAAAGGGCAGAGAGCAGGCCAACGTTGATGGAGAGATGAGCGGGGACGTCTATCGGCCACAGTGAGGAAACAGGACTCTGTTCTAAGGCAGTGATTCCAGTGGGGGCGATTTTGCCCCTCAAAGGACATTTGGCAATGTTGGGAGACATTTTTGGTTGCCACCCATTTGGGGGCAGTTGCTCCTGGCATCTAGTGGGAAGGGGCCAGGGATGCTGCCTATGTCCTGCAAAGCACAGGACAGCCCCTACCACAGAGAACTCATCAGTCCCAGATATTGATAGTGCTGAGGTTGAGAAACGCTGGTCTAAGAGTGGTGGGAGGCCATCAGAGGGTCTGAAGCAAGGGAAGGATGTCGTGTGTGTTAAAAAAGGAGAGTGCAGTGTGGGGAGGGAGAGTGGAGGTAAGGAGATGGGGAAGATGTTGCACTTGTCTCAGTGAGAGATGCTTCTAGATCCAGGAGGCAGACCTCAAGGATGGAGAGAAGGCAGATCCTTTGAGATTGTTCCTATTCAAGTAAGCTATGGTCAAACCTGTTTTGGAAATGTTGTACACTGTACCAAGATAAGCAGTCTAGCGTGAATCCCAGAGCAAGGCTATTTAAGTTCAGATCTTGGCTTTGCCTCTTGTTAGCTGTGTGATCTTGGGCAGGATTCTCAACCTCTCTGTGCCCCAGTTTTTCCATTTCTAAAGTGGAATAATAGGGTCCATCTCAGAGGGCTAATGTGAGGAGTAAATTAGTTAATATACATATAAATAAGCTAATAGATGACTAGAACACTGCGAATACTCAATAAGCATTATCTGGTATTAGTACATACTCCTTTTGGGAGTATCACTAGTTATATCCACAAATTAAAGTCTCTGAGAAGACCTGTATCAAAACTGTTGCTGGACTTGCTTAGCCTGCATTCACTAAACTTATATTTTCATGACACGTCCCCCACCCCCACCAACTCCCTGAACACTCTGAAAACCAGGGATCCTCAGAAAACATTTATTTATTTATTTATTGAGATGGAGTGTTGCTCTGTCCCCCAGGCTGGAGTGCAGTGGCGTGATCTCGTCTCACTGTAACCTCCATCTCCGGGGTTCAAGCAATACTCGTACCTGAGCCTCCCGAGTAGCTGGGAATCCAGACGTGCACCACCACACCTGGCTAATTTTTGTATTTTTAGTAGAGACAGGGTTTCACCATGTTGGCCAGGCTGGTCTTGAACTTCTGGCCTCAGGTGATCCACCCAGCTCACCCTCCCAAAGTGCTGGGATTACAGGCATGAGCCACTGCACCCAGCCCCTCAGAAAACATTTTAAAATCATCTTTATTGAGATCTAATTCACGCATCATAAAATTCATTCTTTTAAAGTATACAATTCAATGGGTTTTGGTGTATTGAAAAAGTTGTGCAATCATCCTCACAATCTAATTTTGGAACATTTTGTCTCCCCCAAAAGAAACTCTGTACTTATTAGTAGTCTCACCTCATTCTCCCTTCCCCCAGCCCTTGGAAGCCACTCATCTACTTTCTGTCTATGAATATGTCTGTTCCGGACATTTCACATAAATGGAGTCATACAGTATGTGGCCTTTTGTGATTGACTTCTCTCACTGAGTGTAGTGTTTTCAAGATACTGCCACGCAGCATAGATCTGTGTTTCATTCCTTGTTATGGTCAAATGCTATTCCACTGCATGGAGAGACCACATGTAGTTCATCTGTTCATCAGTTGCTGGACACGGGTTGTTTCCAGTTTTGGGTTATTATAAATAATGCTGCTGTGGACATTCAGGTACAAGTTGCAGTGTGGATACATGTTTTTATTTCTCCTGGGTAGACACCTAGGCGTGGAATTGCTGGGTCACATGGTGAGCTCGGTGTTGAGCTTTTTACAGAAGAGAGCACTCTGAGGCTTGTGGATGCTGGCATTTTGTTTGCTCTGCCATTTCCCCTTCTCCTTTCTCTCTCCCCCGTTCCCCCTGTAGTCCTAGATGCCAATGAGAACTTTGCCTCTTCCCAAGTGTTTGATCTTGAGGAAGTGATTTATCCTTCTCTGAGCCTCCATTTTCTCACCTGTAAAATGGGAATAAAGATGAAATGGGATTATTTATGTAAAGTGCTTGCTCTAGTGCCTAGTAGTCAGCTGGTTGAAGCCGTATTGTTGCTAGTGGCATCTGTGAGTGAGCATTGTGAGATCTCCTTGATGTAAGCAGTATGTGGATCGGTAGATGCAGTTGCCAGCAATGCTGTGATGAAGATTCCTGTGTTTGTCTTCTGGGCAGGACGTAGGATACACACATCTTCACCTCCATTGGAGTTTGCCAACTGAATCTCTAAGGCAGTTGAACCAACGCACACTCCAATGGAAGAGTTTTCACCACACCATTCTTGCCAAGCCCTGATAATTTCTTACTTTTTGCCCATTTGGTGGGTATGACACAATGTCACCTTATGGTTTTGATTTGGATGCCAGATACTTTATCTGGATTATGTTATTTAGCACTTGCAGACACCTTGTGAGGTTCATACTGATACGATCCTTTTTTTTTTTTTTTTTTTTTTGAGACAGAGTCTCACTCTATTGCCCAGGCTGGAGTGCAATGGCACGATCTTAGCTCACTGCAACCTCCGCCTCCTGGCTTCAAGCGATTCTCCTGCCTCAGCCTCCTGAGTAGCTGGGACTACAGGCGCCCGCCACCACGCCCGGCTAATTTTTGTATTTTAGTAGAGACGGGGTTTCACCATGTTGACCAGGCTGGTCTCAAACTCCTGACCTCGTGATCCATCCACCTTGGCCTCCCAAAGTGCTGGGATTACAGGCGTAAGCCGCCGTGCCCGGCCATATGATCCCCATTTTGCAGAGGAAGAAACAGACTTTGAGAAGTAAAGGGCTGGCCCATAAGACATGAAGCCAGGCAGTCTGTTTCCAATGCCTAGGTTCTCCATCTGAGCTTCACTCTCTCTCCCTGGGGCCAGGGGCTGACAAATAAACATGGGAAAGACCCCAGGGTGACTACTGAGACTGCCAAGAAATTGAAGAACTACATTCATTCTTTCAGTCAGCAAATACTTATTTGTGCCAGACTCTGTGAACAAAATAAAGTCCCTGTTCCCAGGGCTTCTGGTCCAGTGTGGGGAGACAGCAAATAGATTTGTAACATCACATAAGCTCTGGGAGAAAAATCAAGCAGGTAAAGGGGCTGTAGGGTGATGTTTATGTAAGGAGGTCAAGGGAGGCTTCTCGAGGAAGGGACATTTGGACAGAGACCTGGACATTTGTACAGGAAGGGACGTAGTGAGGGTGCGAACCACGTGGCCAGCTGCAGGCAGAACCTTTTTGGCAGAGAGAACAGCACGCACAAGGCCTGCATGGTGGCATGATTGGGGCGTTTGAGGAATACCAAGGCAGCCATGGTAGGCAAAACTCTAGAGCTGGCTCCAGATTCTCATTCTCCGATTATTCAACCAAACAGGAATCCAGGTGCTGCTGCGAAGGGTTTGCAGTTGAAATGAAAGTCCCAAGTCAGTTGATCTTAGGATATGAAAATGATCCTCATGGCCCTAATCTAATCAGAGGGGCCCTTTAAGAGCAGAGGATCCTCTCTGGCTGGTGCAGGAGAGGTCAGAGTGTTTGGAAGCACGAAAAGGATTCCAGGGGCCCTTGCTGGCTGAAGATAGAGGAAGCCATGAGACAAGGAATGCAGGTGGCCTCTCCAGGTGCTGAGAGCTGCCCCTGGCTGAAAGCCACCAAGGAAATGGGGACTATCGTCCTGTAACCACAAGGACCTGGATCCTGCAGTTAGAGAAATGAGCGCAGAAGAGAACTCAAGCTCCTGGTAAGAGCACAGCTGGCAATATGTAATTTCAGCCTGAGCAGAGAACCCAGACGCACTGCACTAGACTTGTGACCTACAGAACCGTGAACTTATAAACAGGTGTTGTTTTAAGCTGCTAAATCTGGGGCAGTTTGTTACACAGCATAGAAAACAAATATAGAAGTTGTGTGGCTAGGACAGGGGGCACAAGGGGCAGAAGGCGGAGATGAGGCTTGGGAGGGACTGATTGCTGTGGTGAGGACTTTGGCTTTTATGCTGAGGGAGGCGGGAAGCCGCCAGAAATGTGTGACTCTCAGACCGCCTGGCCCTCCGCCACACACTCGCCTTCTCGCAGGTTCCATCCTGCCGAGTTTTTGTTCCACCACCGCAGCCCACTTCCTTACATTTATCCGTCTATCAACTGATGTGTGTATGTGAGTCAGTCAGGCCCTGTTGATTGCAGGGGACGGGAAACCAGAACAAAGTACTTATCCTCCAAATCCAGGGACTTCAGGGTGAGCTGGATCCAGGAACTCAACTATTACTTTCGGAAACCTGTGTCCTTCCATCCCTGCCCTTCGCCCTCTTCTGTATGTCTGCGTTTTCAGGAGGGCTCCCCACACGGTGGCCAGGATGGTCGCCAGCAGCTCTTGCCTTCACCCTGCCATCCCAGTGATCCAGGCAGAAAGACCCCCACCTTTCTCTCAATGGGTCTCGTAAAACTCTTGGAGATGACATGCCTTGGCCCAGCTGGGTCACAAGGTCACTGTGAAGCCAATCACAAAAGGTGGGCAGCTGTGGGGAGAATACATTTAATGGCTGGGCCTAGGCCATGCACTTCCTCCAGGAGGCAAGTGGGGCAGAGGGCTCCAGGCCCACCCTGAAACCCCCTGGACTGTGAAAGTGGAGAGTGGTCCTTTATGGGGTCACTGGGGTGCCACCTGCAGCAAGAGAGGAAGCAGATGCTGGCGGCCAAAGCAGCAGATGCCCCTGAGAATGGCCAGCTTGGTCCACACCTCTGGGTGCCGTGGGTGCCTGCACTCAGACACAGTTTGGAGATTCCAGAGTGTCGCGCTCTGCTGTGTTCAGGTCACCCCCCTATCTCTGCATCCTATTAGGTCTTGGCACAGGCAGCGGGACTTGTGGAACTATGACAGAGCCCTGCCTTTGACCTGGTTGTTTACTGGAGAAATAAATAGAGAAAATCAGCTGAACAGATGCTTGGACAAACGGAGCAGCCCTGGGAGGCACATGCAAGAGTCACCTTCGTAAACAGACGTGGCTCGGAAAGTCTGTCTGAGCCCCAAACAAACGAGGCCTGCAGCCAAGCATGAAGCCACCTGGGTTCCCTAGCCAGCAAGGACAAGGCCCCCTGGAGCCATGGGTCCACTGGGGCTGGGGGATTGCCCAGGATGCCCCAGCCTGTAGGGGTGGTGGGGGTGCACACTGACACTTACATTTTCCTCTTGCTGTTTTTAAAATGCAGTATTGGCTTTGGGAGGCCGAGGCGGGCGGATCGTGAGGTCAGGAGATCGAGACCATCCTGGCTAACACGGTGAAACCCTGTCTTTACTAAAAATACAAAAAATTAGCCGGGCGTGGTTGTGGGCGCCTATAGTCCCAGCTACTCGGAAGGCTGAGGCAGGAGAATGGCATGAACCCGGAAGGCAGAGGTTGCAATGAGCCAAGATTGCGCCATTGCACTCCAGCCTGGGTGACAGAGCGAGACTCTATTTTACATATATATTATATATATATATTTATATACATATATATAATAAAATAAAATGCAGTACTGGAAACAGGTCTGGGAGGAGAGGGACTGGTTGGCTTGGAGATTCCCCTCCCCAATACCAATAATCATTACAATCAACCTTGCAACAGCCTGAGGAGTTTATCGGGTCCCTTTCTCCCCGGTACACATGTGATTCTCTCATGACATCTCCTCTGCTTGAGCTCCAGCCATACAGGCCTCCTCGGTGGTCCTCAAGGACACCAGGTATGCTTGTGTCTCAGGGCCTGCGCACCTGCTGTTCCCGCAGCCTGTGATGCCCTCCCCACCCCAGCCCTGTGACACCCTCCCCACCCCAGCCCCGTGACACCTTCCCCACCCCAGCCCCGTGGCTTTTTGGCCCTCACTTCCATTAGGTTTCTGCTCAAGTGCTACCTTAAAACACAGGACTTGTATCAGACTCTGTTTTGCTGCAGCAGCAAACAACCCCAAGTCCTCCATGCCCCGACACACCAAATGTTTATCTCTCACACACACAACACCTCCAACCTCATTCTAGGGGGTTCTGAGACCCAAGTTGCCACAGACTCATCTGCACTTTCATGGTCACAGCATCAGGGGAAAGGGAGTGTGGCAAGTCACACAGTGACACCTGTCACTTCCATGCACGCTTTGTTGGCCAAAGCAAGTCACAGGTGTCTGAGAGGAGAGCCAAAAACATGAGTGACTAGCTCAGTGTCACCTCCTTTCTTAGTCACCCTAAATAAGCAGTCCCACCCTGTTTTAATGCCTTTCCTATGCTGCTCCCCACCTGACGGTATGGATATTTAGCTGTTGTCCCCTCGCTTCCCCCTAGAATAAGGTCTTCCTGAGGGCAGGACTTTGTCTGGTTTTGTTCACTGGTTTGCCTGCAATATTTAGAACACTGCCTGGCATTCAATATGCATTCAAATAAGTGTTAGTCAAATGAATCAAGAGCAGTATGAGCAGTTAATATCAAAGGGTACTGACCACGTGCCAGCTGCCATGCTAAGAGCTATTCGTGCATTTACTCATTTGATCCTTGTCTCAACCTTATGGGGGATGTAGGTCTATATGACCCCCATTTTCCATATAAGGAAACTGAGGCTCAGAGGGGTCGAGACAGTTGCCCAAGGTCACACAGCAAGTGAGTGGGCAGAGCCAACCTCTTGACCTACCTCTGAGGGGCCCTCCAACCCAGCCGCTTAGTACCAAGAGGGCAGGGTCACTATGTCTAAGCACAGAAGTGGAGACAGGGCCTGGTGAGCATTTCAGAGGGAAGAGCAACAGTGGCAGAAAATAATAAAAGTATCTCTAGTTCTTGGGCACCAGGCATGGTGCCAAGGGAGGCACATACGCCTTCTTATGGTCACAAGCATTGTTGGAATCCCTATTGAACAGAGGAGGAATCTGGAGGTGATCATACTTTCCAAGGTGCTGCTAGGCTTCAGGAAAAGCTGAGGCCCTGGTTATCCAGATCTGCAGGCTGAAACACTAACCACAAGGCTGTTCTACCTCTTTGCTGACCTGTACATCCAGAGCATTGCAAAAGAGGCATGAATTTCCATTGTCACTGTGCCCAGGACCCCTCAGCAAGTCAGCAGGCTCTGCCTTCCTCTGCTGTGACTTTATGAAGCTCCTTAATGGGGACATAATGCAAGCCATTGCCTTATTGCCTAATAGTTTATTGCATTCTGTTTTTCCAGCCCAGAAAAGAAGGCAAACTTTAATGTTTTCCTCCTGTGAATGCTTTTACTTCTGTCCAGGCTTGTCCCTAACCTCTCCCTGGTTTCTGTCTGTCACTCTCCACCCACTCCTTGCCTTTTCTCCAAATGGCTGCAACAATCACATAGAAGAGTGCAGGGGCTTCCTCTACAGATGCCTGGGTTCGGGTCTCAGCCCCACCACTTACTGGCTCTGTGCCCCCTGAGCATGTTTCTCAGCCTCTCTGAGCTTCAGTTTTCTCATCTGTGAAGTGGGAATAATGACCATTCCTACCTCATAGGGTTGAGGGCTAAATGCATCAACTATGTAAAGACATGTGGTGAGTGCTCCATCAGTGGTAGAAACCATCATTTCTG
The DNA here is from genome assembly GCF_000001405.40 of Homo sapiens. Taxonomy (NCBI): domain Eukaryota; kingdom Metazoa; phylum Chordata; class Mammalia; order Primates; family Hominidae; genus Homo; species Homo sapiens. Next base: position 57,314,357 of record NC_000020.11, on the reverse strand, counting down.
AGGACTCTGGAGGCACCAAACATCTCTTCTAAAGTGTTTGGGGTCCATCGAAGTTGGCACAATATTATTCATGCTTCACTATTTGGAAAAGCAAAAAAATTGCCAACACTCAAATATTCGCTGATACAATACAAAATTGACTCAATCAATTCTCCCTGTGACTGCAGTGGAAAACTCTACAGCTGGTAACAGAACCACCATATTGCCCGGAGGTACGTCGGCTGAAAAAGCTGGTTATGTCACATACCACATTAGTAGGTTAGATTGTGGGGACTTCACCTTCTGCATTCCATATTTCTGAGATACTTAAATTATTTTATAAGTTAGAGGTTGTTTTGTAATCAGGAGAAGCAAAAGAGGTGTGAGCTTCATGTAATGGGGTCCACAAGAAATTTTGTATGTCTATGACTTTGTTTCCCACTTCCCTTGACTCAGCTTCAAAGAGTTTGGGGGTTCTTAAAGTAGAAACCCTTGTTACTGGCGTCTTTGGAACTCCTGATTTGCTGCTGAATAAAAACAGAGTTCAATGGGTCTGGTAGGTTTGGTTATGGTCTTGTTGTAAGGGCTCTGCGAATTTCCCTCCATGTGCCCTATGCAAGTGCTCAGCCCACCAGTCTTTAAATAAAGTTCCATGCTGCCTGATTTAGTGGCACAGGTGGGAATCATGCCCGGAGCTTCTGTTTGGGGGTAGCAGTGTCCTTTCCATCACCCATACTGCTTTCTTCTGACTACCTTGAAAACCATATCCATGTGTTTTGTAATTATTTTATTAGCCCTACATATGGAGGTGGTGCTGGCAGCTGGGCAACCCCTTGAACTCGATTATCCCAGTGACACTCTGCATCCCTGCACGTTTCCTGTCACTCGAGTTTGTCTGCTAATGCCAGCTCTTCTATTGAGCAAGTGGGTTAAGAAGCACTATCGGCTCTGAGACCCAGGGTGAGGCAGCCTCCACTTCTACTTGTACTTTTGCAGTCACAACATCAGGGGAAAGGGAGAGTGGTATGTCACACAGTGACACCTGTCACTTCCATGCACATTTTTGCTTGGCCAAAGCAAGTCACAGGTGTCTGGAAGGAGAGCCAAAGATCAGCAATTCAGACCTTCTCAGTTAACTCGTTAGCATCTTGTTGAGACAGGATAACTTCAGGAAAGAAAATAGAGGGAAGAGGGGAGTAGTCACCAAACCTCTGATTGGAGACCTCTGGGATGATTGTCCTACAATCACTGGGCTTCCAGTGATCAGCCGCTTTTATTTCTACCACGTTTGATGGGGAGTCAGTTCAGTATGTCTTTCAAAAGATCGGTTTAGGCCTCAATCCCATATGCCCCAATCCCAGCAGACGAGACCAGCAGTCTCGAGAGTCCCTGAGATTAACTCCCATTCCCAGTTACAGAAAACTCACTTTGGTTCCTGGTGGTTAATGGCATAGAATCTGCAGCCAGTGTGCCTGATTCACACCTGAGTTCTGCCTCTTACCAGCTGGTAGCCTTGGGCAAGTTCTCCATCTTCTTGGGTCTCAGTTTCTCTATCTGTAAGATGCTGATGGTAAGGTACCCACCTCAAGATTATTATGAGGACTAAGTGAGTTCATACATGCAAGAAGCTTAGAACAGGTCCTAGCACATATTAAGTGCTCGTAAACATTAGCCATCATGATTGCTATTATTATTATTATTGCTTTTTGTCTTTCAGTTGTGATGACAATGCTCATCACTGTGAGCACATGCTCAAACTCTGTTCACATCTTTTGTCTGTCCATTTCCATCAGTTTGATAAAAAGATCTGTCTGTATTGGCCAAAGGTTACATTCACCCCCTTTCACAATCCTGGATTTTAACTGTCAACTCAGTTTTGCCTCCCTAGAGTTTGAGAATGCCACACACTTATCATCCATTGCCTGTGATCTCCCACGCCAGACCCTTGCACCCTCACCTCGAATGCCGCCTCCCATCCTCTGCCTTGATGAGTGTTGCTCGTTCCTGGGGATGACGTTGTCCATGAGGTCCTCTGCACCCTCACTACCCCTGCCTCTCATGCCCACAGCTCCCAGTGACTCACCACCATTCCTGTGGGCACTTGGATGGAATCTTCTACTGAGAGCCAACTGCCGTCTAGGTCTCCCACCTGTAAGTAGGGCCACTGGATCACACAATTGTTAAGGTTCTATTCAAGCCAATGTGGGTCTTTGGAACATAGCTAAGAAAATATTGATGATACCTGTATGGAGGGAATCACGAAACATTATTTAAGGACATGAAAGAAGATCAGAATAAGTGGAGCTACATGGCCATATTCATGGATGTAGGACTCAATATTATAAAGATAAGAATGTATCCACATTTACTGAAGTTCACTGAAATTGCAGCAATTACTTTTAGATGTTGCATTTCTCTTTTTAAGTCCGGTCAAGTGAAGCGGTGGGAGTGGGGAAGGAACAAATAAATCTGTAACCGGCTGTGATCAATTAGTTGTAAACACCACGGCACATCCTGGGCCAGCCAGGATGTTGCATTCCCAGTGGAACTTAACAAACTGATTCCAAAACTCATATGGAAAAACAAAGGCGAAGAATAATTTAGGCAATTTGGAGAAGAACATGAAGGGAGGGTGCACCAGACATCGAGTTGTTTACAAAGCTCTAGTTATTGAGAGAGGCTGATATTGAAATAGTGATCGAGAAAGAGATGAATGAAACAGAACGGAAACTTGCTCAGTGACTCAGGTGGCCTTGAGGACAAGGGAAAAGAATGGGTCCTTCAAAAAATAATGCTGGGACAACTATTTTTCCATACCTTACAAAAATTGATTCCAGCCATATATCATACTCAACACTCAATTCAGGATGGATTAAACACCTGTGTATGAAAACCAAAACTTCAAAAAGAACATGTTGGAAAATATGACTCTTGGGGAAGGAAGGACTTCTTCTGTCTATGAAAACCAAAACTTCAAAAAGAAAATGTTGGAATATGACTTTCAGGGAGGGAAGGATTTCTTGAATACTCCAGGTAGGAAAGGTGAGGAAGATAGTGGTCAGGCTGTGTGTTGCGGCTGTGAGTCACTCCAGCTGCCACCTCCCGGCAATGTCACACTGGACACGCTCTTCATCTCTCTGTGCTCAACTGGTAGAATGTGAGTGTGCATTTTGGAAAACTAAATCTACTGCTGCCTTTCCCCATTCTTTTTTCTCCAGCAAAGTCAATCCAACTCCCACCATGGAAGATGAGTACTCTGGCTAATTTCTTTCTAGTGAACTGTGGGCCGGGCCGAGTCGAGGCATATGCCCCAATCCCAGCAGACGAGACCTGAGGGCCTGTGTACCACGGGCTTCGGAGAAAGGCTCACTCCCTAAGAAAGAGACATCCAGGAGCAGACACCTTCCACCAGCATGTCGTCCAGACCGTATGTGGTACCTGGAACTGCAGCAGCACCCTGTTACCATGAGGGCTCCAGCTGGTGGCATAGATGGGGGAGCACAGAGATGGAAAGAGCCTGGGTCCCTGAAGAGTTTATGGGGACACTGGTCTCAGCTGGGACTGCATGGACATGGGACATCACATTCCGGGAGAAGATACATTGTCCTTATTGTCCAATCCACTTAATGCATGATCTGTGATCTACTGTTAGATTCATTCTGACTGATGTATAACAGTCCTACATCATGATTCCTTGTAAGAATTAAGGGAGGCAGCCAGGCCGGGTGGCTCATGCCTGTAATCTTAGCACTTTGGGAAGTCGAGGTGGGTAGATTGCTTGAGCCCAGGAGTTTGAGACCAGCCTGGGCAACATGGTTGCCCATCTGTACCAAAAATACTCCCCCCCAAATTAACCAGGCATGGTGGTGTGAGCTGGTAGTCCCAGCTACTCTGGAGGCTGAGGCAGGAGGACTGCTTGAGCCTGGAAGGTCAAGGCTGCAGTGAGCTGGGGCACCACTGCACTCCAGCCTTGGCAACAGAAGGAGACCCTATCTCAAAAAATAAAAAGAATTAAATGAGGTGACAATGTGTATGAAGCACTTTGCACAGTTCCTAGTGCCACTGAGAGCTTGATAAATGACAGCTGCGCAGTCGCTAGAACATGGAAGCCCCTCACTGTGGTGACTGAGTAAGGCTAATGGTCGGTTAGAGGCACTTACAACAGGAAAGGCTCTGGCTGGAGTTCAATGGGCATTATCCCACGAGTCCTCATAAAGGTCATATGAGGTCAGTACTATTATTATCTCCATTTTAAACACCAGGAAACTGAGGCTCAGAGAGGTTAAGGAACTTGCCCAAGGGTCTGCAGCAAGAATGTGGTGGAGCCAGGACTTAAATCCAGGCCAGGCTTAGACACTGCAGAGCTTATTCGTCTTATTCAGAGGGTTTCTCCTAGGACACGAGCCCTGATGCTTCCTTTGTGGGGTGGTGGGGAGCATTTTCATGTCATCAACAAATCCTGCTGCGTGGAGCCCCACCAGCTCCTAGAGAGCCCAGCGCTGGCCTCAGCCCTCTGCCTCACTGTGTCATGGCTGGTCCTGGTGCACTCCCCCAGTGAGACAAGGAAGAGCCAAGAACCCCTGGCTCAAACCCCTCACTAATAGAATTAGAATGTTCTTGTCAAGAAGGATTTCTTTTGGGGACAGCCAAGTGAGCCACATGCTCAGCTTTTAGAGGCAAAAGGACAAACATGACGCGTTCTTAGGGACTCAGCTATGGCAGCTGACACTTCCGTCTTCAGGGCAGGGCGTACGAAGAGGGGGCCTGTTAGTTGCACATGAAATCCAACTTCCTTGGGGGTGTTTTGATGATTTCTGAACACTCTGGACTTTCTTGCTATGTTTCTGTCAGTTTCCTCTTATGACTTCTGCAGGCAGTCTTGGTGCCAGCTCAAAAGGACCTTGATCACTGGAACAGCAAATGGTGGGGATAGCCCCTACCCTCTTGGAGAGTCTTTTCAACCCATCAGTTTGTGAAGGGGAGGGTGAGGTACCTGAACTGGGGGAGGGAACCCCTGGTGAGATCCTCGACCATCTTAACATTATCCACAGCCCAAGGGGAAGCCCTGAGTCAGAAACTGCTGTTTCTGTTGCTTTTAAATCCCAGCTCTGGCTCTCCATGCAGATTTCCTTAGCCAACTTCAAGCTGGACACTGCACAGCTGAATCCCCCTGGAGCACTGGAGCTGGACGCTAATGAAGTCGCCACTGAAATCTTGGGAATCTTCGAAGAAGACAGAGAAGCCGAGAGGCAGCATCTGAGGTCACCAACCAGGGCCATCAGCCCACAGGTCACAGCCTCCAGCAAGCAAGGGACTTGTGTGGCTTGTGACTCAGTGTTGGAGATAATTGCACAGAGACCTGTTTCCCTTTTCTTCTTATCCATTTATCTGCAACACTGAAACTCCCACCCTCTTTTGCATAATACATGCAACGAGGGAAGCTGTCCCTATCATCACATGCTTGTGAACTGCCGTATGGGTCAGCTTCTCACTGTGTCCGGCTGTCTGGCTGCCGTTCCCAGGGGTACAGCATCCCCACTGTGACCCTGCTGAGATTCCATCTTGGGGTTATGGGTTCTTATGTGCTGGTCACAGATGAACGACTTCACATACTAGGCTGTGCTGATCTTTTTACCACTCACCCAAAAATAGGCAAAAGACACATCCAAGAGGCCCCTTGCTGAGTCAGCTAAGCTGCTGGTGAGGGGGATGTGGGGAGTCCCTGCAGGGTCCTGGCCTTGGTCCTCACGTTGAGCCCTAGGCTCCAACAGCTGGGGCGAGTAGATGTGGTATAAGCACTCCAACCCCCAGTGCAACCTCATCAGCCATCTCTTTCGGTTGCCATTTCAAAACCCTAGTATAATTTTCACTGCTGTGTGGTGGTATTTAATTTTACCAAAGTATGACAAACTCGCAAATACATTCCCTTTGGGGCTTTTCTCACTCCTCCTCCCACTTTAAAACATAACACATTTCAAACAAACCGTAAATTCTTCCCCTTTCAACTCCTGTCCATGTCTTTCCCTTTGGGCTGCTTTATGTTTCTTCCTATCACCTTCTGACATGATGTGATGATGTCTGATGTTACATCTGACTCTCCGGGTGCTGCCGGCAGTGGCAGCTTCAGGGGGACAGAGGCTTTGCAAGTCTTTTGCTGCTTCCTTCCCTGTGTCTAGAATAGTGAGTTGTCTGGTGCCTTGTAGGAACTCAATCAAGATTTGGTGAATAGTGGCACTAAGCCATTCACTAAATATTAAATTATTGGACAACCTATGATATGTGTTGAGTACTGTAGAGGACATAAATAATGGCCAGATGGCTACCATTGATGGACGGCTGGGTGCAGAGGCCATGGGACATCTCCACATCTGTTCTACATTGAACCAGGGAGCAGTGGGATGTGGGTCAGAAAGCTGGGCTCCAGTGACCAACTGCCTGGGTTCATTTCTGGCCGCAGCACTTGGTAGATCTGTGACCTTGGGCAAGTTGTTTAGGTTCCCTCTGTGTCAGTTTCCACATTTCTAAATGGGGATAATAGGAGTACCCATCTCATTGGGGTATTGCCCAGATTAAATGAGGTCACGCATGTCAAGCACTCAGACACCCTGCAGGACACAGCCTGGATGAAGGCAGCAGTCACTAAACGCTTCGGCAGCTGATGAAGCAGGAACCATTAGGATGCCAATTAGCAGATGAGGAAATGAAAGAAGCTCGCCAAAGTACTCAGCTGGTAAGCATACGGGGCCTCAGAGGAGACCCATCCTGCCCTCCAGAAGCTTACAGTTCAGCCTGGAAGAGGAGACAATTGCACAGATAATGATGCTATGCAGTGCACTTCACAAAAACGTCAAATGCAGACAAGGTGCTTCAATTCCACCACTCAGATCCCTTTTCTTACAGAAGGACCAGCTCCAGGCCCTATATACCCCAGTGACTTCCAAACATCTTGAACCAACTCGCCTGCCATTTCAAGGGAATCTTCAGTTATGCAAGGACGTGGGCTGGGATGAGACCTCAGTGTCATGTGGTGTTCAACATTTTACACAAATAGCAGGATTTTTGAAGAGTGTTGTGTGAATAGAAAAATCTTCAATAATATATATCACAAACCGGTAGCATTCCCAGTGATGGTTGAGGGTGGGCATGTGATTCCAATTAATTAACAGGCTAAATTCATGATGGGACTTATTAGTGCCCTGTAGCAAATGTCCATACATTGACTGCATATTTCTGCTGTAAGAGTGCTGAGCCTGGGGACCCAGGACACAGACAGTGTGGCTCCCATGAGCTTCCTATTCCTTAAGCCAAACTGCTCCTTGCAAGGCGAGGCTGTTTGCTGCAACCTCACCTAAGGGAAGCTCCATTCCTTGCATAGCAAGATGAAACTTGCCTTAGATTGAAGGCCCATTAGGGATAGTCATTAACTGGTCCTTGCTTTGAACCTTGCCAATGGTGGTAAATATTCTTTAAAACAGGCTGAGCAGGCAGGCATTTCATTGGGGTGGGCCCTGTTTGAAGAATTAAGTCATCGACTAACAGAGTCTGCAAATAACCTCACGGCGACTTCCAAGGAGCAGGCCAAGGTCTGGTAGCCTCTTTAGTGCTCAAGGTCACCCGTAGCTATGAGCATCAGTGGTAGACTTAGGCTGTGTACTGGGGAGAGAAGGTAAAGATTTGCAATAGTAGTCAATGTTAATGAGTCCTCCCTATGGGCCAGGCACACGTGCATGACTTAAACTCTTCATGAATAGGAATTATTATTATTAGTTTTGAGATGAAGTCTCACTCTGTCATTCAGGCTGGAGTGCAGAGGTGCCATCTCAGCTCACTGCAACCTCTGCCTCCCATGTTCAAGTGATTCTTGTGCCTCAGCCTCCTGAGTAGCTGGGATTACAGGCACCTGCCACCACACCTGGCTGATTTTTGTATTTTTAGTAGAAATGGGGTTTCAGCATATTGGCCAGGCTGGTTTTGAACTCCTGACCTCAAGTAATCTGCCCGCCTCTGCCTCCCAAAGTGCTGGGATTACAGGCATGAGCCACATGCCCGACCATGAGTAGGAATTGTTATCCCCATTTATGGAAAAAAGTCTGAGTCTCAGAGAGGTTAAGAAATCTGCTTAGGTCACGCAGCTGGAATACTTGATGTCTGATGTTTATGGTATCCTGGATGTCTGGCTCTAGATTGTACACTCAGATTCAACTTGTCTGCAAGTCTCCCTCAAGAGAGAAGACAGGCTCTACAGAGAAGAAGAGGGGGAAGAATGTAAGGGGAGAGGAGGAGGAGAGGAAGAAGAAAGAGTAGCAGGTGTTGGGGAGTGAATTTGGGCAGCTGTGATGATTTGCCCCAGGCCCCCCAAAGGAGCCTGACTTGTTGGGCAGGAGGGCCAGCTCACAGCCATCTGCAGAACACCAAGGGCAAATCTGGGAGGTGTGGCTACTGGAGCAACTTCAAAAGCAACTATGTGTGTTTTGCCTTTGGGTATGAGTGAGACTCTAGGTTGCAAGTGACAGAAAACCTAATCAAACCAGCCCAACAGAAAAATAAACATTAGCTCATGTAACTGAAATGTGCAGAGTAGATGGCTTCATTCAGGCAAGGCTGTGTCCAGGTGTTCAAATAGTGCCTTTCTCTGTGTTGTCTCCTTTTCAGGCAGGCACTTTCCCAGAAAGATGGTGGTCTGGAGCTCCAGGTATGTCCAAAGCTCCTAATAACCCCAGCAGAGAGAGTTGCCTCTCAAAAGACTTCCAAAAGGAATTCTGGGACTGAGTGGTATTGACTCTGATGAACTTGGCCTGGGTCAGGTGTCCATCCTTGAGCCATCTTTGACCCAGGCTTGTCCATCCCTGCTCGTGGGGGTGGGAGGATGCAATACTCTCTGCCCAGTTCACCCGTGGACAGAGCCAGGCTCAGCCCCACCGGACTATGTGGAGAGAGTTGCAGGGTTGGGTGGGGGTCTCTGTATTAGCCTACTTCGGCTGCTGTAGCAAAATACCGTAAACTGGGTGGCTTAAACAACAGAAATATATATTTTCACCATTCTGGAGGCTGGAAGTCCAAGGTCCAGGTGTCAAGATGGTCAGGTTCTGGCGCAGGCCCTCTTCCTGGCTTACAGATGGCCGCCTTCTCACTGTGGCTCACACAGCCTTTCCTCGGTGTGCACGGAGGTAGGGCATCAACGAGCAAACGCTCTGGTCGGTGTCCCTGCTAAGAAGGGCACCACTCCCATCACATCAGACCAGGGCCTCCTGACATCTAACCCTGGTCATCCCCCAAAAGCTTCATCTCCAAATCCCATCACACTGGGGGTACAAGCATTCAGTTTATAGTCTCTGAGGAAAAGTCCTAGAAGAAAGAAAAGATTAACATTCTGAGAAGAGAAGACAAAACCATCAAATGTCCTGTACAAAGATCTTTCTTAGAAATCTCTCATAGTGTTCACCTTCTCCCTTTCTGTTGTCACGGCAGTGGCCCGAGGAGCTCTGGCTGTCACCCCTTCAACAGCTGCCTCGCTTGCAGCCCCGTGGCAACCTGTGGGCAGAACGCTCTTCTTAAGAGGCTATTCAGGTGTGGTTCCCCCCTTTTAGCAATGTTTTCTTCCGGGGTTATAGGGTAACGCATGACATATTGGAAAATATAGAGGAAAAAATTGCCCACAATCTCACACTCAGAGGAAGCCATATTTCCTTCTAGCGCTTTTAAATGCACTATAGATATTTTTATACAATTGAGGTCATTGTACTCATAGAATTGTATGTGTTGCTGCTTCACTTAAGTAGTGTAAACTTTTCCCTGCATCATTAAAATACCTTTGTAAAGACCCAAAACCATGGTGGCCAAGGGCATGAGGCTGTGAGTCTTGTGCCCCACACCATAGCCAGGAGATCTGGTCACAGGGATCAGCAGCTGTACCAGGACCATGGTGGGAAAGCATACTGGGAAAAAGCAGTTCCCCTGATGAAGAGAGTGGGTCTGTTTTACAGACAAAAGAATACATGTTGGTACTTAACCTTCTTCCCGCAGGCCTACCTCCATATCCAGCTTCCTGCCTGGCCAGAAGACACAGTGCTCTCTCAGCCTCTCCCACTGTGTCCCCGGCTGCCCCATCCCTGTATTTCTCCAAAGCTGGGGTCATTGTGACGCCCTGTGTTTCCTGGCTGGGAGCAATCTCACACCTTCTCCTCTGTCCCTATAGGCATCATGTATGGTGAGGACTGCCTGTCTCAGGGTTATCTAGGCCCAGTCTTCCCCCAGGGCTGTTCCTTACGCAGTGGTTACTTAATAAGAATCTTTGGGGGTGGGCACTGCTCTGGGCTGGGGATGCCATGGACAGCCAACAGGCATGGTCCTGCTCTCCTGAAGTTACAGTCTCGAGAATCAGCCTGTATTAGTCTGTTCTTATGCTGCTAATAAAAACATACACAAGACTGGGTAATTTTTTTTTTTGAGATGGGGTTTTACTCTTGTTGCCTAGGCTGGAGTGCAATGCGTGATCTCGGCTCACTGCAACCTCCACCTCCTGGGTTCGAGTGATTCTCCTGACTCAGCCTCCAGAGTAGCTGGGATTATAGGCATGCGCCACCACACCCGGGTAATTTTGTATTTTTAGTAGAGATGGGGTTTCACCATGTTGGTCAGGCTTGAACTCCTGACCACAGGTGATCCACCCACCTCAGCCTCCTAAAGTGCTGGGATTACAGGCGTGAGACATCACGCCTGGCCGAGACTGGGTAATTTATAAAGAAAAGAGGTTTAATTGACCCTCAGTTCAGCATGTCTGGGAAGGCCTCAGGAAACTGACAATCATGGCGGAAGGGGAAGCAAACACATACTTCTTCACATGGCAGCAGCAAGGAGAAGTGCTGAGCAAAAGTGGGGAAAGCCCCTTACAAAGCCATCAGCTCTTGTGAGAACTCGCTCACTATCATGAGAAGAGCATGAGGGTAACCACCCCACAATTCAATTACCTCCCACCAGGTCCCTCCCGTGACACATGGGGATTATGGGAACTATTAATTATCTTAATACAATTCAACATGAGATTTGGGTGGGGACACAGCCAAACCATATCACAACCACACAAATAACAATGTGACCAGTGCCCTAAACCTCGAGGGCATCCCTTGAGGAATTCCCCCTTGGGGAATCAGGGATGGCTCCATGGAGGAGGTGATGTCTGAGCTGAAGTCTGACAGATGAGAAGTTACCTGGTCTGAGTGGCAGAGAAGAGAGTTCCAGGCAAAAGGTACTGCAGGTGCAGATGTTCCAAGGAAGGATGGTGACCTCAGAAGTGGGTGAGGCTGGACAGCAGAGAGGTATCGGGAACAGGACAGGAAATGGGGAGAGGAGACTGGAGAGGACCGTGGAGCGGTGCAAGTAGCACCTGCAGGACTGGTGCGGGTGTTGGTCCTTGTCTAAGAGCAATCGTGAGGTGGGGGTTGAAATGATCAGTATGCCTCAGGCATCAATAGTGGATGGCAGTGGATCAGAGCTTAGGAAATAGAAGCTACTCTAGGTACTCCAAGTTTGTGGGGTTTAATCGAGGAATTGGGGGCTTTTGCAGGAGCAAAGGTAGTGAAGGATGGAGATGTTGCCAGGAAAGATCATGGCCTGCTTCACAGAGGGCTCAAGAAGAAGCTCTGGGTGTGTGGTTGTCAGGAGATCACTGGGAAGCCCCTGGGAATCCTCAGGTCTCCTGTGGGCCTGGCTGCAGCTGCCTCGGAGATCAGCAGCTCCTTCTTTTCTTCCACTGTCCAGGTTTCTCACAAGAACCTCTCCTTGCAAAAACTAACCTGAAGCCCCTGAAAGAAGGATCCTTGGAAACACAGATCTTGCCCCTGCAAAGCCACTTTAGCTGGACATGGATGCAAAGAGAGCCCCAGACATTCTGCGCGCATGGTGTGTGGTTCACAGTAGGTGGTTTGGAATCTGACGATTTGGGTTCACGTCTTGCTACTACCACTTTTGAGATATGGGACTTAAAGCACGTTATTTATTGTATGGGTCTCAGTTTCCTCTTCTGTACCATCCGCCATGGGTTGGTTAAGAAGCTGAAATGGGCCGGGTGCGGTGGCTCATGCCTGTAATCCCAGCACTTTGGGTGGCTGAGGGAGGCGGATCACCTGATCAGGACTTTGAGACCCGCTTTGCCAACATGGTGAAACCTCATCTCTACTAAATATACAAAATTTAGCCTGGCATGGTGGCAGGCGCCTGTAATCCCAGCTACTCGGGGAGGCTGAGGCAGGAGAATCGCTTGAACCTGGGAGGTGGAGGTTGCACTGAGCTGAGATTGTGCCATTGCACTCCAGCCTGGGAGGCAGAGCAAGATTCCATCTAAAAAAAAAAAAGGCCAGGCACGGTGGCTCACACCTGTAATCCCAGCACTTTGGGAGGCCGAGGAGGGCGGATCATGAGGTCAGGAGATCGAGACCATCCTGGCTAACATGGTGAAACCCCATCTCTACTAAAAATACAAAAAAGTAGCCGGGCTTGCTGGTGGGTGCCTGTAGTCCCAGCTACTCAGGAGGCTGAGGGAGGAGAATGGCATGGGCCCGGGAGGTGGAGCTTGCAGTGAGCCGAGATCACGCCGTTGCACTCCAGCCTGGGTGACAGTGCGAGACTCCATCTCAAAAAAAAAAAAAAAAAAAAGAAGCTGAAATGGGTTAATGTGCACGATGCCCTTAGACCAGCACCTGGAAGTTAGTGAGGCTCACTGTGATTGGCTGCTATTCATGATTCCATAGATGGTTCTGGACTCAACGTGGAGAATGGATAGCTACGAAGTGATCGCAGATCGAGGGACAGCTGTCCAGGGAGAGGCAGCACTGACCGGGTTGAGATGGTGGTGACAGGGCCACAGCAATGCCGATGCATTTGGGGGCTCCTTGGGGGATGAGATTGGCAGAGCGCGGTTGCAGACTGGAAGTGGGGACAGGAGCGGGAGAAGGAGGCTTCGACACCAACTCCCTGGGGGTCTGCCTCATGCAGTCCCCTGGATGTCACCGGAGCTCACTTCTCTTTGAGCACCTGGCTCTTGCTGACAGACTGCTTGGTGCATGGTGGGTGCCACGGGCCCCAAGGAGGGCAAGTTGCAGACGTGGCAGCAGTGCACATGAAAGCAGCCGCAGGGCCTGAACGCGAGGCTGTAACACGATGCGTGCGTGAAAGAGAGTCACACGGGCCTGCGGCAGGTGCGAGGAAGGTACTTCTGAGAGCCCCGTGAGCAGCTGCCTCACAGCTGGGCAGGGGAGCATGCCTGGGGGCACTCTCTGCAGCTGGGGGAGATTTGCAACCTCAGGATCAGAGCACTGGGCAAACCATTCTTGGAGCCTTCCAGGGAAAATGTAGCCTGACCCAGAACCTATTTTTGGACGATTTTTCCAGAGAGGTCCAGCGTGAGATGGACTCAAAGTGGGACTGTCGTTCAGCTCAACCACTCTGCAGATTTTAGGGTGAACCCTCCTCCTAACAGAGCCTTAGCCTCCAAAATGGGGTTGATTGTAGAGGACTGAAGTCATGATAGGCGTGAATTTAATTCATCATATTCAGTGGTATGCACTTTGAAAAAAACCGAGATATTTGGTGATTCCTCCTGTCGTTTTACTCAGTGAGTGTCCTGTGGGACAGAGAGCAGGAAAAACTGAATCCTTTGAGGGCTTAGAATGGGCCAGTCATGTTCTCAGAGCCTCACTTGTCCTAGCCCACCTTATTCTATGTGACTCAGTGAGGTAAGCATTGTTATTTTTCCTGTTTTATGGAAGGGGGAAAGAGGCTTAGAGAGAATAAGCACGTTGACCCTGATCCCCCAGCCAGAAAGCTGCAGAGGTACAGTCGGGCTGTAAGCACTGGAGAAGACCACATCCACAGCGGCCACAGAGCACTGCCCCTGCCGCACCTCCTGCGTGTCCCCCGATGCCTACACTTTAACATGGCCCTGGATGCAGGGCCATGGCAGAGCCAGCGCTTGATGGACAACACAGTGTCCTTTCTCTTGCTAGAGGAAAATCTGGCTCTACCTGACCCCTGAGATGCAGCAAATTGGGTTTTCAACATTGAAACTTCCTGGGGGATTTTTTTAATTGTTTTTTTTCTTTTTAAAAACCTAGGTGATACAACCATCTGATCTTTGGCAAACCTGACAAAAACAAGCAATGGGGAAAGGATTCCCTATTTAATAAATGGTGCTGGTAGAACTGGCTAGCCATATGCAGAAAATTGAAACTGGACCCCTCCCTTACACCTTTTACAAAAATTAACTCAAGATGGATGAAAGACTTAAATGTAAAACCCAAAACTATAAAAACCCTAGAAGAAAATCTAGGCAATACCATTCAGGACATAGGCACAGGCAAAGATTTCATGATGAAATGCCAAAAGCAATTGCAACAAAAGTAAGACAAATGGGATCTAATTAAACTGAAGAGCTTCTGCACAGCAAAAGAAACTATCATCACAGTAAACAGACAACTTACAGAATGGAAGGCAATTTTTGCAGTCTATCCATCTGACAAAGGTCTAATATCCAGAGTTTACAAGGAACTTAAATTTACAAGAAAAAAACAAACAACCCCATTAAAAAGTGTCTTATGGAAGACAGCGTAGCGATTCCTCAAAGATCTAGAGGCAGAAATACCATATGACCTAGCAATCCCATTACTGGGCATATACCCAAAGGGATATAAATCATTCTATTATAAAGATACATGCATGCGTATGTTCATTGCAACACTATTCACAATAGCAAAGACATGGAATCAACACAAATGCCCATCAATGATAGACTGGATAAAGAAAATGTGCTACATATAGACCATGGAATACCATGCAGCCATAAAAATGAATGAGATCATGTCCTTTGAAGGGACATGGATGGAGTTGGAAGCCATTATCCTCAGCAAACTCATACAGAAACAGAAAACCAAACACCACATGCTCTCACTTATAAGTGGGAGTTGAATGATGAGAATGCATAGACACATGGCGGGGGCGGGGGGGCAGGGCAGAAAATACACACTGGGGCCTGTTGGGGGGTGAGGAGGGAGAGCATCAGGAAGAACAGCTAATGGATGCTGGGCTTCATACCTAGGTGATGGGATGATCTTGGCAGCATACCACCATGGCATACATCTACCTATGCAACAAACCTGCACATCCTGAACTTAAAATAAAAGTTGAAGACAGGCCGGGCATGGTGGCTCACGCCTGTAATCCCAGCACTTTGGGAGGCCAAGGCGAGCAGATCACCTGAGGTCAGGAGTTCGAGACCAGCCTGGCCAACATGGTGAAACCCCATCTCTACTAAAAATACAAAAATTAGCTGGGCGTGGTGGCAGGCACCTATAATCCCAGCTACTTGGGAGGCTGAGGCAGGAGAATCACTTGAACCCAGGGAGGTGGAGGTTGTAGTGAGTTGAGATCATGCCCCTGCACTCCAGCCTGGGAGATAGAGTGAGAATCCATCTCAAACAAAACAAAACAAAACAAAATAAAAGTTGAAGGCCAAAAAAAGGAAATAATAATAAAAAAAGCAAGGTGAAATTCATATAATTAACCACTTTAAAATGTACAATTCAGTGGCTTTTAATACATTCTCGCTGTGCATGCATCACCACTCTGCAGTCCCAGAACACCTTCATCACCCCAAACGGAAGCTCTGCACCTGTTACCTAGTCAGTCCTCATCTCTCTCCCATCAGCCCCTGGCAATGACTCATCTTTCTGTCTCTTTGGATTTGCCTATTCTGGACATTGCATATCAAGGAAATCATAACAGTGTGTGATTTTTGTGTCCACCTTGTCTCAATTAGCATGTTTACAAAGTTTATCCATATTGCATCATGTATTGGAACTTCATTCCTTTCACGGCTGAATAATATTCCGTTGCCTGGCTATGCCACAATTGTTTATCTATTTATTTCTGGATGGACATTTGGGTTGTTTCTACCTTTTGGCTATTACAAATAATGCTACCATGAACATTTGTGTACAGATATATGTCTGGGCCCCTGTTTTCCATTCTGTTTGTTATATACCTAGGAGTGGAATTACTGGGTCATGTCATAACTGTTTAACTTTTTGAGGAACTGTCAAATTGTTCTGATGAATTCTTTTTATTTTTATTGTATTATACTTTATTGTTTTGAGACAACGTCTTACTCTGTCACCCAGGCTGGAGTGCAGTGGCATGCTTATGGCTCACCGCAGCCTCAACCTCCCAGGCACAAGTGATCCTCCCACTTCAGCCTCCCTAGTAGCTGGAACTATAGGCATGTACCACCACGCCCAGCTAATTTTTGTATTTTTTTTTATAGAGACAAGGTTTCACCATGTTGCCCAGGCTGGATATTTTTTTAATGGAGTTACAAACTTTACATCAAGCACACACATTGTTAGATAAATGGCTTGATGAATTTTTCCATACATATGGAATAAGAGATAGGACATTTCCATGACCCCGGAGGACTTTCTTGAGCCCCTTTCCAGGCAGCACTTCTCCCCATCCTAGCGGAAAGGTAACCACTGTACCGAATTCTCTCACTGTCGATTAGCTTTGGAACTTTATGTAAATAGAATCATATAGTAAGTTCTGTTTTGTGTCTGGCTTCTTTGTCTCAACACAACGTCCATGAGATTCATTGATGGTTGTTGCTATTTTTCATTGCTGTGTAGTATTCTACTGATGAATATACCATAATTTTTTTTTTTTGAGACAGAGTCTCGCTCTGTTGCCCAGGCTGTGCAATGGTGCAATCTTGGCTCACTGCAACCTCTGCCTCCTGGGTTCAAGCGATTCTCCTGCCTCAGCCTCCTGAGTAGCTGGGATTACAGGCACACGCCAGCATGCCTGGCTAATTTTATTGTATTTTTAGTACAGATGGGGTTTCACCATGTTGGTCAGGCTGGTCTTGAACTCCTGACCTTGTGATCTGCCTGCCTCGGCCTCCCAAAATGCTGGGATTACAGGTGTGAGCCACCGCACCCAGACTACCATAACTTATTTATCCATTCTATTTTTGATGTATATATTTGAGTTGTTTCCAGTTCTTGGCTCTAAGGAACCAAGCTGCTTTGAGTAGTCCTGTGCTTCTCTTTGTGCCGATGTGCGTGCACTTGTCTTGCTCATGCCCTCAAGGAGAGTGTGCACTTAGCTTGAGTGGGTGCTGCCCGGCAGCTCCCAAGGGGTGGAGCCCATGGAGCATCCACCCTGAAACGCAGGAGGGTTCCAGCTGCACCACCTTCTCATCAATAGTTGGTATTTTAAGCTTTTTTTTTTTTTTTTGGCTATCCTAAAAGAATTTTAGTAAAATTCAACTAACAGAATTTCAATAAAAATTATTTAGCACTTTGAGTGGGTAAAACATTCAGACAGCTTCTAGTTCGAAAAGTATGTAAAAGTTAACACTAAGAACCCCCCTCCCACCCTGCCCCCGTCCATCGACCCCAGTTCCCATCCCAATAGGAAAGCCCTATTAATAGTTCATTATTTATCCTCCCAGATATTTTTTATAGATAAAAGGCAATACAAATATATGTATATGTATATATATAGTCCCCGTTTTAACACAAACGGCAGAATATTATGCACTCTTTTCTGCGTCTTGCTTTTTCCATTGAGCCGTCTTTCAAAGCTCCTTTCACTTCAGGACATGAAATTCATGAGTGGATGTGCCGTGATGAGGCCGCCTTGCTGGAAATATTTAGGTGCTGGTTGATCATTTGCTTCTACAGAGAGAATTGCAATAAATAACCTTGTACAAAAATGATCTTGGTCCTGCTCAAGAGCAGAACTGGCCAGGCACGGTGGCTCACGCCTGTAATCCCAGCACTTTGGGAGGCCAAATCTGGTGGATCGTTTGAGCCTAGCAGTTCGAGACCAGCCTGGGCAACATAATGAGACCTGTCTCTACAAAAACTAAAAAACTTAGCTGGGTGTGGTGGCACAGGCTTTGTGGTCCCAGCTACTTGGGAAGATGAGGTGGGAAAATTGCTTGAGCCTGGGAGGTCAAGGCTGCAGTGAGCCATGATCAAGCCACTGCACTCCAGTCTGGGTGACAGAGTGAGACCCTGTCTTAAAAAAATTATCATTCATATTTACTTATTCATTCTTTCATTCATTCAGAAATACCAGAAATATCACTTGGGGTCCTTGTTAGGTGTCAGGCACTGTTTCAAGTACTAGGAGGAAGTGGTCACAGTGGCTCATGCCTGTGATCCCAGCACTCCGGAAGGCCTAGGCGGGCAGATCAGGAGTTTGAGACCAGCCTGGCCAGCATGGTGAAACCTCGTCTCTACCAAAAATACAAAATTAGTCAGGCGTGGTGGTGTGCGCCTATAATCCCAGCTACTTGGGAGGCTGAGGCAGGATAATCACTTGAGCCCAAGAGGCAGAGGTTGCAATGAGCTGAGATCGGACCATTGCACTCCAAACTGGGCAAAAAGAATGAAACTCCATCTAAAAAATAAATAAATAAATAAAAATAAAAGTACTAGGAGGCATCTCAGGACCTAGAACAATTGGACAGTATGCTGTGCATAAAAGATGCTCAATCTAATATTTGTTAGGCAATGAAATGAGTCTCTATAGAGCTTTCCCGCAACACCATTCTTGTTTGCTGGTTGGTTGATTTATTGTTTATGACGGTTTCAACACAAAATCAATTGAAATTCCAGGTTTTACAGTTTGTGAAAATTGTAATCTGTACAAAAAAGTGCACAAATTTGTAAGATTTGCAAAATGTACAATTTATTATTTGTGTGACTTGTAAAAAATATTTAAATTTCTGAGCTTCAGGCTCTGGACTGTACTATGGGGGATAATAACATAACCCACAGGCTTATTCAGGAGGTGGAAGAAAGTGAGCCTTAGAAAGTGCTTAATGTGGTCAGGAGCAGTGGCTCATGCCTGTAATCCCAGCACTTTGGGGGGCCGAGGCAGGTTGATTACCTGAGGACAGGAGTTTGAGACCAGCCTGGCCAACATGGTGAACCCCATCTCTACCAAAAATAAAAAAAAATTAGCCAAGTGTGGTGGGGCATGCCTGTAATCCCAGGTACTCGGGAGGCTGAGGCAGGAAAATTGCTTGAACTCGGGAGGTGGAGGTTGCAGTGAGCTACGATTGCACCACTGCTCTCCAGCCTGGGCGACAGAGCCAGTCTGTCTCAAATAAAATAAAATAAAAAAATAAAATAAAACAGTGCTTAGTGCGCAGTGCCTGCCTGCAGAAAGCCCTCAACAATGGTAGCACTGGTTATGCCTAGGACCTGGACAGCTCTGTGACATTTCATGAACCCAGAATGGCTGAAGAAGAAGCTGTGTGCAAGGAAGACGGGGGGAAAGGAGGATTGTGCCACCTCAGCCTTCCGTCCCCCAATCTGCTCTTTGCTCTTCCACTTTGAAGTGGCCACATCCCAAGGAGGGAGAATCTCATCTGTTGCCCCTTAGATCAAAGTCTCCCTGGTCTGAGCAGCTGGCAGGTCTCTCTAGGTGTCCTGAGGGGGCTGATGGAGCACGGCAGGCCCCACTCCTTGTCTGCCTGCACCTCTGATTAGCAACATATCTCCTAGCACAGCCCTTGGGTCACCTACCTAAAGTCACACTCAATGCCCTGAGATTCCTTTTGCAAAGTATGTGACAGCCCTTTCCAGGTCACTGCAGTGGAATTTGACCTCTGGAGCTGGGCTCTCCCCCTTTCCAGAGTCACAGTATTTCACGGTTTGTTCCCACCCTCCTCCAAAGACAGCAATCATGGCCATTTTCATTTTAATGTGCACTTCTTGTTATGATATTATTTGTCGATTACAAAAGTCATATATTCTCACTATAAAAATATAGAAACATAAGTGGAGAAAGTGAATCCTTTTCTCTAGAAATGAGCAGTTTGTGAAAATTCCTTTAGAATGTATTTGCCTACCCTGACCATATTTTTTAAACTAAAATGGAATAACTGCATATTGTTTAGTCACCTTCTTCTTCTTGTTTCCTTTTTAACTTTAGGCACATCTTGGACATTATTCCAAATAGAGTCATCCTTTTTTAACCGCTGCAAAGAATCCCATCATATGGATGATCTGTAACAGGGGTCCCCAACCCCTGGGCGAGGACTAGCACCGGTCTGTGGCCTGTTAGGAATGGGGCCACACAGCAGGAGGTGAGTGTTGGCAGAGAGTGAGCATTACCATCTGAGCTTCGCCTCCTGTCAGATCAGCAGTAGCATCAGAGTCTCACAGGAGCATGAACCCCGTTGTGAGTTGCACATGCGAGGGATCCAGGCTGTACACTCCTTATGAGACTAACTAATGCCTGATGATCTGAGCTGGAGCAGCCTCATCCCAAAACCATTCCCCCCACCTCCTCCCAGTCCGTGGAAAAATGGTCTTCCATGAAACTGGTCCCTGGTGCGAAAAAGGTTGGGGACAGCTGATCTACAGTATATTGTTCCCACCCCATGGTTTGATATTTAAGTGGCTGCCAATTCTTTGCCATTACAAATAGCTCTGCAGCAACAAACAGCATTATACGCATATGATATGACACTTGAGGAATTGTAAAATTGAAAGTTGGAGTTACAATTGTAAAAATAGAATCTGGGCCAAATAATAGCCGTAATATCAATCAAGTGCCCACTGGATCCAGGCATGGTTTAATGCACTTCCCGTTTACTAATTAATTTGATCCTCACAATGATCTATGAATCAGGCATTGTCAGTCCCATTTCCAGGTGTAAAAATGGAGGCACGGAGAGGTTAAATAATTGAGATCACATGGCTGGTAAGAAGTATGTTTCACCTTCTGACCCATATTCCAACACCGACTTCCAGAAAGAGTGTATCCAGGTGTGCTGTTGTGAACTCGGCCTTCCTCCACTATAGCAGAAGCAGAACACAGAGGCCCACAGCTCACAACGACCGAGCACTTCATGTAGATTCTGCCATTGCAATACTTACAGCCACCCCATTAAGTAGGAACCCTCCTTACCCCACTTTACTGTTGGGGAAACCAAGGCACAGAGCTTAAATGTTCACTTGTGATCAGCCTGCTGGTATAACCAGATTTGGAATTATGATCTGTTGAATTAAAGAGAATTCACATGAAAGTGGTTTAAGAAGTTTATGGGCACCCAAGACTCCTGGTCCACTAGATGACCCCTCTCCCCCAGGCATTCCCTTTGTACATCATTGGTGGATTTGGTGTCATTTGTGGATGGCAGTGACAGTGCCCTTGGAGATCTATGGGGGTGGTTGGGATGATTTCGGCACAGATGTCAAAGTTGAGCAGGCTTCTATCTGTGAGAGGGCAAAACTGTCCTCCAGGCGAGGGTTTGATACCACTTAGTGGGAAGGGAGGGAGGGCAGAGATTCCCCCAAAGTTGAGGAAGGGAGATGGGAGGGATCCTTGCTCTGAGATAGCCTCCAGGTGAGTACCTCCTGGGGCAGCCATCTGTGTGCCCCTCCCCATCCGCTGTCCCCTCCCCTGCACACTGGTCTGGGCTCCTCAGCTTCACTCTGTGGCCTCCCGGCATCCAGCCCCAGGTGCAGCCTGGGCCACCCACAGCTTAGTGCCAATTGCTTTACTCAGCTAATTAGATCAGCACCTCAGCCTTCTCAGGTGCCTCTGGATGTCCAGATGTGGGCCTGAGGCTGGGGAGAAAGAAGGACAGTCTCCTTCCCTCAGGGCTTATCAGGAAGGAGACAGACTTATTTCTAAGGAGAGACAGCACAGGCCTGGGTAGAGTTGGGGGTGACCAACTGATAATGTGGACAAAGCTGTGTCTGGGAGGGACCTCCGAGGAAGAGTGAGACAGGAAAGAAGGGGAGGGGGATGGCTTCCTGGCCACTGAGGAAGGACGATGGGGTGGAGTCAGCCCCCAAGGGGTAGCCTAGACTGCTCAGATCCCCCACCCACCCCCTGCTGCCGCAAACACACATACCAGGGGCCCACTGAGCCCTGGGGTGCTGCCTTTCCTGCTTGGAGAGGGCTGCCCCAGCTGGGATGTGACCCCAGCCCCTGTTCATGAGTCTGGTCCTGGGACCCTGGCTTCTCTGTGGAGTCTTTGTATGTTTGTGGATCCTTTGCTTACCCCCTCTCCATTCTCTTAGAGTGAAGACAGCCATCTCTGGGGTGGGGAGAGGGCCCTGAGAACCTGCCCTGGTCCCCCTGGCTGCAGCATCGTGTGGTTGCCAGGGCCTGGTAGCCCCTTTTGTCTCCTGCTTCCCCTAGGGCCCCCTCACATCACCTCCCACAGCTGCACAATGGACACAGGATTTCTGCTCTGAACCTTTGCACAGGATGCTCTGTCTGTCCCAGAACACATTTCCCCGCTTCTGGGGTGGGGTAGGGTTATCATCCTGGGGAACCTTACCCATCCTTCAGATCTGAGGTGACATTTTCCCCGCCTCCCCTACTCATTCTGGGTGGAGTCCAGCTGCTAGCCATGGGTACCTTAGCTGAGCTTTAAAAAGACGCCCTTGTACCATGATTATGCAAGATGCTAACATTAGGGGAAGCCGGGTGAAGGGCAGATAGGAACTCTGCTGGTTTTGCAACCTTGCTGCAAGCCTAAAATTATTTTCAAAACACAAATTAGTAAGCAAAGATGTCCATTCCTCCCGACAGTCTTAGTGGGCTTGATCTCAGCTCCCACTTTTCACATGCGCAGGGCAGCCTGTGTGATCAGACCTACTGGTCCTATGGGTTAAGGTCTCCCCTTTGTGTGTCCCCCATTAACACAAAGTGTGGCCGGATGGGGTGGCACCCAGGATATACACAGGTGCACTCACCTGTTCACTAAGCCCCTGGTCTTACCTTCCACAAGCGTCAGCACAGGCTGTTTGACTCCTAACCTGCTGTTTGAAATCACTTTGCTAAATATCTTTGCATTAGAGCAAGTTTCCCTGCAGACCCAGAATCACTGATTCACACGCTGGTGGTTTATTGGGGATACATGTCCAGGAGAAACCACTATTGGAGTCAGGAAAGCAGAACCGAGAAGGGAAAACATCAAGGAAATCTGTGTGATTTTAGGCACAATCCCAGCCTCACTTGATCCCAGGGAGTTCTGGGCTGTGAATAACACCCAGAGCTTGGCCTGCCTGAAGGCAGGGCTAGGCTTTCAGTCTCTGGCTACAGGCTTCGGGAAGGTGGGGACCAGGTGTGTCCCGCTCCCTGCACCTGCAGGGGGAGCATCTGTGGCACAGAGCACCGGGCACCGGCTGTGGAAGTTGGGAGCAGAGCACAAAAGCAGAAAGGGGGACCCGAAGAGACCTGGGCAGGTCCAGGTGCGTGGAGTCAGAAGAACAGACAGTTGGGAAAGGAAGGTGGATGCAAAATGGGGAGAGGAGGGAGAAGCTGGGACCGACGGCACGAGCTGGTGCCCTGAGGACAGACTGAGCCCCGCATCCATTCTTGTTGCCTCTCACCATGATGATGAGGATGTCACCAGCACTGGGCCCTTTATCACGAAGCTGAGCACACACCTGGACCTGGAGAAGCTGTAGGAGGAGCCAGGGCCAGGTGGAGCAGCAGCAGGCTGGTAGCTGCCCCGGGCCATGCAGTGTGCAGTGGAGAGCAACCATGTGTGTGTACGTGCTGCAAGGGGCTGAGGTGGTTTCACCCTCCAGGTCTCACTCGAGGGTCTCTCTCCTGGCCTCCTTCTCGTGGGTTGCATGGTATCCCCCAAAAGATATGTTGAGATGCTAAGCCCCAGGATCTCAGAATGTGACGTTATTTGGAATTAGAGTCATTGCACGTGTAATTAATTGAGGTAATGAGATCATTTAGAATAGGGTGGGCTCCTGATCCAGTAGAACTGTCCTAATAAGGAGAGGGAAACGTGGACACAGACCTGGAGAGGGAAGACGACGGGAAGACACACAGGGAGAAGATGGCCAGGTGGAAATAGAGGCAGAGATTGGGGTGATGCAGCCACAGCCAAGGACGCCTGGGGCTACCAGAAGCTGGAAGGGGCCAGGAAGGCTCCTCCCCCAGAGGTCTGGAGGGAGTGCTACCCTGCTGACATCTTGATTTTGGCCTCCAGGCTTCTGGAACTGTGAGAGAACACATTTCCGTGGTTTTCAGCCATCCAAGCGTTCAGAACTTTGTGACAGCAGCCTCTGGAAACAGCCTCGCAGCAGAAACCCACATGGAAGGCAGTTCTGGAAGTGTGGCTCAGCCAGGCCCCGCAGGAGATCAGAGCCACCCCAGCCTCTGAGATGAATGTCTCCTCCTCACGGAGTTTTGCCAAGCCCCCTCCCTAAACCAGGGAGCCAGTCCTCTGCCCGGCTCCTTCCTGGTGCCAACCACAGTGGCGATTGCATTGGGGCCCTGGACAGCCTTGCCAGGCTCCCTCAGGAGCCTGTCACTCCCTGAGGACAAAGGTACCGTCTGTTTCCTTCTTTTGGTTGCCCCAGGATTCAGCAAAGGGCCAGATTCCTTGTAGGGCCTTTTGTAACTGATGGAGAGAGTGGGGAGTTGCAGGGAGAGAGAAGCGCCCATCCCCAGGGTGGCATTGCAGCCAGCAGGGGCCCAGTGGATGGGAGTGGGGCCTCCCTGGTCTACTGCACTCTGTTGCCCAGGCTGGAGGGCAGTCAGCTGGTCAGCTGATGAACTCGGCTCAAAGAAAACCCAGCTTTTCTTTCCTGTGGGACAGACAGCTCCAAACCCTGGCCCACCAGCTTTCTCTGAGTGTTAATTTATCAGGACAATAATAATCCTCCTATGATTTAGGGTTTGGAGGGATTACCAGGCTGTGGTGGTGCAGCTGATAGGCGTTTATTACCTACTTAACCATTTAAGTAGAACAAAAAAGAAAATCCTTGTTGCACAAAAGGTGATGAATGTTTTTGTTAAAACACTCTATTAAAATGATTCATTAACATGACAAAGAATTGCCCAGTCTCCAGGCACCCTTGAGGAGGTTGGAACATCTGACCAGACAAGCGTTTTTGGGGAACTGCAAGAATTCAGGATTTGCTTCTACTCTGCATGGGGTGGGGGGTGGAGCACCCCCCACCCCATGCAGAGGATGCCCCGCTGCTTTGTGGGATGTGGGTTTTTTTAAGAACCCAGACCCGTGTTCTCCTATGACAGCGCTGCTGCAAACCATATTGCTAAGGGAGCAGCTATGAAGGAGTCCCAGCGGGTTTCCCAAAGTCTGCTACCTATTAGGTCATTTGCTCTCCTTTCCCTTTTAAACAGCAAAGGTGTCAGCTTGGCACGTCACCCCTGTGCCGTCCGATGATAGTGTTAGATCACTCAGGGGCTGACGCATAGTAGGTGGATTCTAAACTTTTAATGAATATAACATGGCAGGAAGTGGCTACCCTGGAGTGATGGACAGCTGGGTCGGGAGGTGGGGAGGCGTGCTTTGGACTGGCCTCGGTTTACATCCTCACTGCCCCGCCCTCGTGTGTGACCTTGAAGAAGTGACTTCTCTCCAAGCTTCAGTTTCCAGTCTGAAAAACGGAGCTCACACCCAGACTTTGTTCCTAGGGCTGTCGCAGGGGTTAAGTGAGAGCACAGTGGCAATGTTCTTGGGCCAGTTCCTGGAAGGAACGTAGCACATTGCCCGGCACAGAGCAAATGCTGAGGAAAGTCACTTGGGGCTGTCTTCAGGCTGGATCAGAAAATTCCTCTTTCAGCAAAGACACCATCTGGCAAGCGCTCTGCAGTCTCCGCCATCCTCTGTAGTTCTGCCAGCTTATTACTGTTTTGTTTTGTTTTAAAAATATAGATGACATTTATCGAGTACTCACTGTTATTTCTCCCTTAATTCTCTCCACAGCCCCATGAGGTAGGTGCTGCCATGAGCCCTATTTTCCAGATGAGGAAAACTGAGGCTTAGAAACAGTTAAGTGGCCCGTCCCAGATCACATGGCCAGTAAGTGACTTGTGCCCAATTTGAACCCTAATCTGTTTGAATCTTTGACTTCGGTATTTACAAATATGTCTTGCCAGCTGGGAGAGGCAGGAAATGGGCAAGTGTTTCTTCAGGAATCAAGAACCAGAATCTTCCGTGCCCTTTATCTCATCGAAGCGCCACGGCAGCACTTCAAAGTAGATGTTTTATTTGTTTTGATTTATGGCTGCTTGCTCATGAGTGTTATTCCTTGGTGAGGAAGGAGAGGTCTTGGGGGAGGCAAGCAGGCTTTGGAGGAAAAAATGCATTTGGGTTCAGCTTCATGATGGAGCTGTGTGACCCAGGGGACGCTGCTTAACCTCTCTGTGCCGCAGCTTTTTCAGTGGTAATCTTGGCACCTACCCTCTAGGGTGGTCCGAGGCACGGTGTCTATGAGGGGCTATGCCCAGTGCCTGCCCACTGTCAGGGCTTGGTAACTGTTGGCTGAGATGATCTGGCAGGACCATGCTGGCCTCCTTGTCATTACTCAGTGGGTGGCGATGATCTATGGGGTTTCCACCACTGCACACTGTTCACACCAGTCTGACCGCTGATAACTCCTCTACTCCCAACAACAGATCTCCCTATTTTCCTTTTAGTTGAAGATGAAATTCATATTTCTATTATCTACTATAGGTGTGTCTGAGAGCAAAAAGGGAAAAACATGTGATTTAAAGCCTGGAATTCAAACCCCTCAAATCTTTGAAGCTACAGCCAGCTGAAAAAAATTGCAGTCAACTGTAGTCATTCATGTTTATCAGGGGGAGAAAAAAAAAAAAAGGTTCACTCCAAACAAAAGCCCTTACCAGGGAGAGGGAAAATATGAGAAGTATTTGGTCGGACGCTTCATTTGCTCCAGAGCCCGCCTCTGAGCGGCTTACCCAGCAAGGCATTCCGGCCGCTGGGGGCTCGACCTGTCCCCCACCCCAGGACGTTATTAAGTTGGAAATAATTAAGGTTGCTAAGTGACTTCACCCCTTGTGAAACTGCTGGAAAGGAATCCAGTCATTGTTTAATTAAAAAATGAAGAAAGAAAGGCTAAGAAGGGCAAAAGAAAAGGGAGGAAGAAAGAAAAAGAAGGAAAAAGGGAAGGAGGGAAGGAAGGAATGGGGAAAGAAAGAGAGGAAAGGGAGCTGTGTGATGTGCTCAGGGAATGGGCTCAGAGGCTAGGTAGGGGCATCTCTTCCTATCACGCAAGACTCCATCTCCTGCTCAGCTGCACTGCGGTCCCTGCCTTTGCACGCCCCTGTGGCCATCATCCCTCCTGGCACCACTGTTTAGGCAGCTGCCTCCTTCCTGCCACCAGGGAGGAACAAAGTGAACCTGGAGTTCTCCTGGCGTCAGATGCCAGCTTCTAAAGGCTCAAAGGGGCCCAGTTAACACACTGAGCAGGAGTTCCAATTCAAGAGTGGCTCCTGCGCTTCCCAGCCGTGTGGCCTGGGGAAACATCTTTTAACCCCAATGAAGCTGCCATTTTTGTAGGTTAAAACGGTCAGATATCAGCAATTCCATAAGGTCCCACCTGAATTGCTTAAAAGGAAAGAGCGTAGGAGTGCTTTTCAAATGGGCAAATGTCGTCCTACTATGAGGCAGTAACGCGTTCCCCATGCAGTCACTGAGTATCTCTGAGATGTCAGTGTGGGGCTAAGTTGGTACGTAGTGTGGACCTGCTTAATCCTTGTAGCAACCCCAAAAATGGATGTGGCTGTTTCGCCATGTTGTAGATGAGGCAGCTGAGGCTCAAACAGCCCAAATCTCATGCCTCAGGACGTTCTACTAGAATGTGAAGCAGCTAGGATTTGAACCCAGGTAGTCTGGCTTCAGAGCCTGGGCCCTTCACTATTAATTAGTCAACCATCAATTAATTAAATCAATACATTCATTTGTTCAGGAAATACTTATGGAGTTTTCTTTTAATGGACCATGTACTGTTCTAGGCATTAGAAATGCAGTGATAAGGAAGAAAGAGACTCTTCCATGGAGAAAGACAACATGTGGCAGATAAATAAAAGGTATTACAGACAATGGTTGACCCCAGGGGGAGAGATTTTGCTAGGGTGGTCTGGGTGGTGATACAGAAGGAAGAGGCAGCGTAGCTGGAACATCTGGAATGGGGCAAAGTGATACTGGCAGGCAGCAAGTTGCGGGGGGCAATTGTGGGCTGTGGCATGGACTTCCGGGGCCACAGTCCAGGCAGATGTAGCCTGGACCCAGGGCAGAAGTGGGTAGGGTCAGACTCTACCTTGAAGGTAGAAGCAGCAGGACCTGCTGATGACTTAGATGCGTGGGAAAGAAAAGGCTATTATTTTTGTTATCCCAAGTCCACAGCTAGTAAGTTGCAGAGCAAGGACTGGAAGCCAGGCTCTTCATATGGGGCAAATATTCCCTTCGCCATTCATTACACAAGCATTTATTGAGTTTTGTGCCAGGTGCTGAGACAGCCCTGTTCTGCCCTTCCAGAGCTTCTATTCTCCAGGGGAAGGCAGACTCCAAGCCACAAAAGTCATTGGGACCCATACAATTATGTAGGTGCAAAGAAGCGGGGTGCCCCAACACGCAGCAAGGGGATGGACCCCATCACTCCAGGCTTCCTGGGGCCTGCAGAGGGGCAAAGTTGGACTATAAAGATAGCTGGCTGGGTGCAGTGGCTACGCCTATAATCCCAGCACCTTGGGAAGCCAAGGTGGGTGGATCACAAGGTCAGGAGTTCGAGACCAGCCTGGCCAACATAGTGAAACACTGTCTCTACTAAAAATATAAAAATTAGCCAGGTGTGGTGGCATGCGCCTGTAGTCCCAGCTGCTAGGGAGGGTGAGGCAGGAGAATCACTGGAACCCAGGAAGCGGAGGTTGCAATGAGCCAAGACTGCGCCATTGCACTCCAGCCTGGGCCACAGGGTGAAACTCTGTCTCAAAAAAAAAAAAAAAAGCCAACACCTTCTGATGCGTCCCAGAGGCCAGGGAGTATGCTGAAAAGTTTAAATCTATTATCTTATGTCAATCTTTATAAGAACCCTGGGAGGCTGGGTGCGGTGGCTCACACTTGTAATGCCAGCACTTTGGGAGGCTGAGGCAGGTGGATCACTTGAGTCCAGGAGCTTGAGACCAGCCTGGGCAACATGGTGAAACCCCATCTCTACAAAAAAAAAAAAAAAAAAAAAATTAGCTACACATGGTGGCACGCACCTGTAGTCCCAGCTACTTGTGGGGCTGAGGCACGAGTATTGCTTGAGCCCAGGAGGTCAAAGCTGCAGTGAACCATGATTGCACCACTGCACTCCAGCCTGGGTAACAGAACAAGACCCTGTCTCAAAACCACAACATCAAGAAAAACAACCCCCAAAACAACAAAAGCCTAGGAGGAGGAAACTATTTTTACTCCCTCTTTACAGATGAGAAAATCCAAGTTTTGGGGTGGTGGGGGCAGGTTGCCCAAGGTCACACCGCTGGCAGAGCTGGGACTCAAACCTTGGGGCTCAGATCCTAAACTTCACCCCTTCCCTCTCTGCTCAAAGTTCTGTGATATCAGCCCCTTCTCATCACTTCTTAGAGACAAAGAGATGTGATTAACAAACCAATATGTCAAATACTAAGCATGTTCTACCTCCAGACAGTCTCTGGTGATGGAAGCAGGTGTGTTTGGGGGCAGGGTAGAAGGTTTGAGCTGAGCAAAATTTGATGAAAGTCCAGAATTTTGCATGGCTTTTAATTACTTTCAGATTTAATAGAATATCATTTGGTGTGATTTATTCTACTCAAAGATTGATTAGTAATACAACTTGAATTGTATTCCATTTCCCCCACACAATTTAAGATGAGTTAGTGCCAAATAAAGACTAACCCTAAAACCTGTTTCTTTAAAGAGCCCCAGTCGCCCTTGTTCTCATGCACTTGGAAAGGAGAAATTGTGCCTCCACCAGTCAGACAGCAATTTGATCCTTCCTGAACCTCAAACAAATGAGGGTCCTTCCCATCTCAGCGGCGGTGGGTGCTTTAATGGGGTCTGAGTCACCTCCTCCTAGCCCAGGGTTTCTCGACCTCAGCACTATTCTCTTCTGGGCCAGATCCTCCACTGTTGGGGGGCCCATCCTGTGCATCAGAGGGTGTTAAGCCACATCCTTGACCTTCACCCACTAAATGCCAGTAGCACCCCCTTTCCCCAGTTGTGACAGCAAAAATGTCCCTAGACACTGCTCCATGTTCTCTGTGGGGGCACAATTGCCCCCTGCTGAGAACCACCGATTGCTTTTGTGGGGAACCAGAGCATGTTCTTCAGAGGCAAACTTAAAATCTCACTCAAAAGTGGGGAAACTCCCTCTGAGGGATAAATCACAACTTTTCATTTTTTAGAGACAGGGTCTCGCTCTGTTGCCCAGGCTGGAATGCAGTGGCGTGATCATAGGTCACTGCAGCCTCAAACTCCTGGGCTCAAGGGATCCTCCCACCTCCGCCCGAGTAGCTGGGACTACAAACATGTGCCTCCATGCCCAGCTATTTTTTCTTTCTTATTTGTTTTGTAGAGAGATGAGGTTTCACTACATTGCCCAGGCTGAACTCGAACTCCTGGGATCAAGCTATCCTCCCACCTCGGCCTCCCAAAGTGTTGGGATTACAGGCATGAGCCACCATGCCCGGCTTGTTTCCTTATTTCTTTTGTCACTGTTGCTACATGGAGAGCATCCTTCAGGTGCCACTGGGGGACCCTCAGAGGACGGACACCTGCAGACATTGGGGCTTAAGAAGGGTGCGGGGCAGGCAGCTACTTGTGCCCTGGTAGCGGTTCGTATCT
This sequence comes from Homo sapiens, assembly GCF_000001405.40. Lineage (NCBI taxonomy): Eukaryota > Metazoa > Chordata > Mammalia > Primates > Hominidae > Homo > Homo sapiens. The sequence goes on along the minus strand of NC_000020.11, from coordinate 57,283,696 downwards.
TTCCATCTGTTTCTTCCCCTCTATATCCTGGATTCTGCATGAACCAAAGGGCCCCCTGAGGCCTCAAGATGAAAAGTAAAGTGGTCAGAAATGTGCCTCCCTTAATGCAGTTGGAGTTCTTGGGCCGGGGAACACATGTTGTTCCATTTAGTGGATTTGCTCTACCAGCTTCTGGGTGTTCAGCTTTTGGGAACCCCTAACCCTCCAGGATGACGTTTGATGTTACTGTGTGTGTGTCCCTAACACTCTGCAGGCAGTAATTATAGAAATTTGCGGGACGGTCCTCGTCTCGACGACCCCCTCCCCCTTTTCCATCTCAGACAACAAATAAAACAGCCCAGCTCTCCTTTGCGGCAGGACCACCAGGGCTGAGCAAAGGGCCGCCGGCCCCTCCCCAGGGTCCCTCGCGCTCCCCACTTGGCTCTTTCAAGGGCGTTTCAATGAGCAGCCTTGTTGAGACTTCCACTAGGGCCCGGCCTAGAAGGGACCATTAAAAACAGTTTCATCAGAACAAAAGAGGTTCTGTTCTTATTGTCCCCCTGGCTGCAGTTTGGATGCAGCAGCTGAAAATCTATCTGGACCGAGCAACAAATCTGGACTCAACCACACTGTGGAGTTCACCCTCAGTAGGGATTTCTGGGTGGATCCTTGGAGCAGATAATTTACAGCTAAAGCAAAACACAAGGAGAAGCTTTTTATTTGGCACAAATGTTTTCTATTAAAAGCCTTCGGAAGCCCTGGTAACTGGAGCTCTCTTCTTCTTACACGAGCTTGAGGTGATTGTATTCCTGCACACAGAGCCCCTCAGAAGAATTCCTGGTTTGAATGCCAGTCTCGTCTGCGAGGAGGAGCGTGGAGCTGCGCTATGAAAGATCGCACGGAGCCCAGAGCATGTGGAAGGGGAGTGTCTTTGGGTTGATTTTAAATGCCGGTCCTGAAAGCTTTGTGGTTGGTGATTTTCTGCTGCTGAGATGCACCAAACAGGCAGGGGCGTTTGTGGTCTGGACACAGGGAGAATTGCCCCAGAGTAGAACTGTTTGTCTGTCATGGGGGATGGAAACTTTTGTGGCCAGCTTTCTGGGACATCAGATGAGGTCAGTGCCACCAATTCCATGGAATGGACTGCCTAAAAGAAGTTATTTTAAAATTTATGTTTGTTTTAAAAAAGTTATTTTTAGGCTGGCTGTGGTGGCTCACACCTGTAATCCCAGCACTTGGGGAAACCGAGGCCAGTGGATCACCTGAGGTCAGGAATTCGAAACCAGCTTGGCCAATATGGCAAAACCCCGTCTCCACTAAAAATACAAAAAAATTAGCCGGGTGTGGTGGTGGGCGCTTGTAATCCCAGCTTCTTGGAAGGCTGAGGCAGGAGAATCGCTTGAACTCAGGAGACAGAGGTTGCAGTGAGCCGAGATCATGCCACTGTACTCCAGCCTCAGTGACTTAGGGAGACTCTGTTTCAAAACAAAACAAAACAAAAAGTTTTTGAATTTTTTTTTTTGCTGTATTACCAAAGATGAAATTTCGAGAGATGACTAGTTTCAGTAGCTTATTTAGTTTGACCTCTGGAAACCTCATGCAGATTTCCAGAATGGTCATTTTCAAAGCTGCCAGTTAGTGTCTGTGTGCAGGGCCTAGTGCAGCTCAGAGCCACTTTCATTCGGGTCATGAATTTGTCGAAACAGAGGAGTCGCAGGAGCCCGTTTTGCTGTTCTGGATTCTCAACTCTAGGAAACACGTCCCTGCAAGGCCCTGAAGATGACCCCCAAGTGCAAACAAGAACCAGCCAGAAAGCTACAGGCCAACAGGTGTATCACAGCATTTCTGAGAATTCTATATCAGATGGACGTCAGCAGTGTTGCTTTCCCTGTGCCCAACAACCAGGATATTCCTGGAGTCTGTTTTTCTTTCTCCCTTGAGGAATTCAGAAGTGCCCTCCTGAGGAAATATCAACTGCGAGGCCAACATGAAGAGTGGTACTGGCTGCCAGTCATTTCTTTCTTTCTTTTTCTTTCTTTTTTTTTTTTTTTTTTTGAGACAGAGTCTCGCTCTGTTGCCCAGGCTGGACTGCAGTGGGGGTGATCTCAGCTCATTGCAACCTCTGCCTCCTGGGTTCAAGCAATTCTCCTGCCTCAGCCTCCCGAGTAGCTGGGATTACAGGCGCCCGCCACCACACCTGACTAATTTTTGTATTTTTAGTAGAGACAGGGTTTCACCATGTTGACCAGGCTGGTCTTAAACTCCTGACTTTAAGTGATCTGCCCGCCTCAGCCTCCCAAGTGCTGGGATTACAGGCGTGAGACACTGTGCCCGGCCAGTTGTCATTTCTTAAGTTGATTTTGTGTTAGGCACTTTCCATGGATTATCTCATTGGTTCTTCCCAGCAATCTGAGGGAGATAGATGAGAGAAATAATTCAGCCCATTTTACAAATGAGAAAACAGAGACCTAGAAAGGTTTGGCAAATTGTCCAGGATCGCATGGTGAGCAAATGGCAGATTCTGATTCAGGAGTCCTGGGTGGGCTGAGGTCCTGCTCCTGGTGGTGCTGAAACCCCATTTCTACTAAAAAGACAAAAATTAGCCAGGCACGGTGGCAGGTGCCTGTAGTTCCAGCTACTCGGGAGGCTGAGGCAGGAGAATCGCTTGAACCCGGGAGGTGGAGGTGGCAGTGAGCCGAGATCGCACCACTGCACTCCAGCCTGGGCGACAGAGCGAGACTCCGTCTCTTAAAAAAAAAAAAAAAAGGAATGCTCTTCCCCAGTGATGTGAGCGGCTCCCTCCCCTCTGTCCTCAGGGGTCTCTGCTCAGATCCGGGGCTTTTCCTGATTATTATAGCTAAAGTGGCATCCTTGTCCCTCTCTGCACCCCTGCCCTGTGTTACTGGGCCCAGTCTAACAGCCCTGTTAGGGTAAAAGTCCCATGTGCGGAGAAGTTTGGTCCATGTTGTTCACTCCTGTACGCACCACACTCAGAATAAGGTCTGGCACATGGTAATACTCACTAAATAATTAATGCAAGAGGATAGAATGAACCCCTAGAAGAATCTATTCAAAAAGCAGACAAAAGGAGTTTAAATTCAAAGTAGGAACAAAGACGGGCACAAAAACCAACACACAAACAAAACCCAGCGGCAAGCGAGGGCTGCTCCCTGATTGAGCAGCTGTGTCGAGTCCCCGCTACCTGCCAGGTGTTGAACCAGGAGGCAGGAGCCTGTGGCAGATGGTCTCATGACGGAGGTGGATGAGAAGTCAGGAACCACACTGGACTGAGTTAGGGCCGCAGCTGAAAAAGAGCAGGGGATCTGTGAACTCCTCTATTGATCAAGTGTTCATTGAACACTGACTGTATGCAGAGTCCCGTGTTAGACACAGAAAGTACAAAACAGCATATGCGGCATGTCCTCTAGGAGCTCACAAACCAACGGGCATGTGGCACCCAGTGCTAATGACCTGCAAACCCATGCCAGCACAGAAATTCAGAGCTGGAGAGGTCGTTGTCCGGGGTAAGCATCTGCTCCCCAGGGCCTCTGTCTACAGAACCCCAGTTCAGCTGGGTGCTTGGCCATCAAGGGGGGTTTTTGATCAAATTTTCTTTTCTTTTCTGTTCTTTTCTCTCTCCTCTTCTCTTTCCCTTTCTTTCTTTCTTTCGTTCTTTCATTCTTTCCTTTTTTTGAGATTGCATTTTGCTCTTGTCGCCCAGGCTGGAGTGCAATGGCGCCATCTCGGCTCACTGCAACCACTGCCTCCAGGGTTCAAGTGATTCTCCTGCTTCAGCCTTCTGAGTAGCTGGGATTACAGGGGCCCACCACCACACCCAGCTAATTTGTGTATTTTTAGTAGAGATGGGGTTTCGCCATGTTGGCCAGGCTGGTCTTGAATTCCTGACCTCAGGTGATCTGCCCCCCTCTGCCTCCCAAAGTGCTGGGGTTACAGGTGTGAGCCACCATGCCCAGGAAAATTTGGTTTCCTTTTTACTGACCCAGTGCCCCTTCCTGGATTCAGGTGATGGCGTCCCCCTGCTTTGGGGAAATGGTGCCTGCCCTACCATATGGGTCTCTGGTGGGGCTGACCCAGTGCCCTGACCTCCACCCTGACTCAGAGGTGAGCAGACAAGGCTGGGAAATCCAGGTGCTCCCTTCCCCGTTTGCCATTACTGGTGCGCAAGGTAAGCCAAGACCTGGACATTCTCTCCTGGGAGCAAGAGGCTCTCTCTCTCTCTTCCCAGGGTCGCTTGCTGGCCTTGACATATGGCAATGCAGAGGAAACCTCTCTGTGGTAGGAAATAATGAAGCCAGCATTCAGATAGATGCCGAGTTGAAAGATGGAGACAGAAAGAAATGGAGCCCCAGAGACAGAGGTCACTCCATGAGCCCCTGGGCACAGCGTTGATAGGACTTCCCCCTTAGGGAAACCACTCTGAGTTGGGCATTGAGCCGTTTTGAGTTGGGTTTCTGACACTTGCACATGATAGATCTCTGACTTAATATAACAGCTTGTGAAACACTCTACCCTCTCCTCCCTAATTAAAGACAGAGAATGTAATTCCAGCACTTTGGGAGGCTGAGGCGGGTGGATCACAAGGTCAAGAGATCAAGACCATCCTGGCCAACATGGTGAAAACCCATCTCTACTAAAAATACAAAAATTAGCTAGGCGTAGTGGTGCGTGCCTGTAGTCCCAGCTACTTGGGAGGCTGAGGCAGGAGAATTGCTTGAACTCAGGAGGCGGAGGGTGCAGTGAGCTGAGATTGCGCCACTACACTCCAGCCTGGTGACAGAGCAAGACTCCGTCTCAAAAAAAAAAAAAAAAAAAAAAAAAATTGAGAAGTCCTGCAGTGAAGAAACATGTTTCCCTTTCTGGAGCCCATCGTTTCTTAAACTTACTTGACAGAAAGTCATTTTCCCTCACAACATGTGCAAACATTTTGGTGAACCGGAGAAAGAGAGAGGGTCCTCCATGCAGTGAAACATTGAAGGCATGGAGGTGATATTTGCAACACGAAACTCGTCTGGAAAACGGGGCTTTGGAGTGGCTCCTTGAAGCCAGACGTAGAGAATTATCTAGATGAAACCTTCCTGTGCTGCTGTAGAACTTAGCTCCTGAGTAAAGAATTTTGTGTCTACATGGGGCCATTTTCACAACACGACTTTTTTGAGTCACGTTCTGTTGTTTTATCTATAAAAATTCTGCCTCGGAGACAGGCCTGCTTTTTAAACACAGGGTGGTTTTATCTGCTCAGCCTGTTTATTGCTTCATGCCAAGAAGGCTTTCTGAAGTCACAGATGCCTTGAACCTCTAAGCAAGGGACTCAAAATGCCCACACTAGATTGATTTCTTTTCTCTCCTTAAAAAAATGGAAATAAAAGAACCAAATGTCTGTAAATTGAATTTTCTGGTTATAATGAGGCTTTTGAACCCCTGTAAATCATCCTTTTGTTTCTCTGGTTCCCACCCCACCCCGCCAGCAAATTCCTACATGGCATTTGGGGATGAAAGAATATTACCCCATAAAAACAAAATCAGGGCTCCAGTGCCAGAGATGTGGAGGTTGTAAGGAGCCATGGATTACGGTGGGGTCCAGAGAAGGGAGGTGGTGGTGGCTTGAGGTGTAGGACAGCTTCTACCCTTCACTGGAGTCCTAAAGAAAAAACCCTGGACTTGGTATCTAAACAGCAGCCTCAGGAAATGGTCTGGGTCTAAGGTGACCACAATCTTTTGCAAACTCTTTGATGTCTGGGAACATCATGTTTCCCGGCTTTGCAGATGCAGGCAGCTCACTGGGAGCTTGTTGGAAGCAGAGATGGGTGGGGCAGAAGTCTGGCTGAGGAGGGTCACTGAGACTTGGAAGAGGAGAACAGACCAGGGCCAGCAATGCCCATGTCTGGAGACTCTGTTCGGGGACAGGGGCCCCAGCTGGAAGTTGGGTCAGAGTTCTTTGGGCTGTGAGAGGCACTGACTCGAGCCACCCCAAGGAATGTGGTGGGATCATAAAGACACTTGTGTCTGGGGACCTGGGCACAGGGAAACATCGACTCCAGGAAAAGCCGGAGTTAGGAGGGGCTTCTGGAGCCAAGCATCCCAGATGCTCTTGTGGGTCACCACAGGGCCTTTGCACCCACCGTTGCCTCTACCCACAGTCCCCTCCCCCTGCTCCTCCTAGGCCTGGCTTTGGAGACCTCCCCTCCTCAGAGAGGCCTTCCCACCCTCTGCTCTCAGCCTCTCGCTGGGCTTTCTTTTTCTCCATGCACTTGTCAGTCACTCCTGCTTCTCGTCCATCTCCCCTAACTAAAATACCTGTGTGAAAAGTCTTGAATATCTTTTCACTGCTGCCGTCTCATGGTCTGAAAGAGACTGTCACATGGTGGGAATAAATTAATATATATGTGAATGAATCAATGAATGAATAAAATTTCAGAGCTGCTGGGTACAGTTGCTGAGAGTGTGTACTGCACAACTCCAGAGGTCACCGTTCTCAAAGGCAAGAATAGGAATGTTGATCCCAGAGTGCACAGTGTACAACATACACTACTGGACCCCAGTGGCCTGAGCTCCTTTATAAGGCCAGCTTGCTCACCACCCATCATGGCCACACTTTCTACCTCTTGACCTGGCCTCATTCCTGTAACCTCGTTTTCTCTGGATTTCCTATTTCAAATACCCAAGGAAGTGAATCTGATAACTCTGGATAGTTGTCTTGCCTCAAGCTAGGTCATCAGTCACTCTGGGCAGCTTGGAAAATGGCCTTCACATGACATCCTCTATCCTGATTATTTCTGGCTGGGGGGAGGGCAAGGTTGCCTGTGGTGGCCACCTGTGTGTGCAGCCTGCCTGGACCCATGCAAATACTTCACACACAATGTCTCATTTTAACCCCACGACATCCCAACAAGGCAGCACATTTAGTTATTTATTTATCTATTTATATCTGAGATGGAGTTTTGCTCTTGTTGCCCAGGCTAGACTGCAATGGCACAATCTCAGCTCACTGCAACCTCCTCCTCCAGGGTTCAAGTGATTCTCCTGCCTCAGCCTCCCGAGTAGCTGGGATTACAGGCATGCACCACCACACCCAGCTAATTTTGTATTTTTTAGTAGAGACCGGGTTTCACCATAGTGGTCAGGGTGGTCTTGAACTTCTGACCTCAGGTGATCCACCCACCTTGGCCTCCCAAAGTGCTGAGATTATAGGCGTGAGCCACTGTGACTGGCCAGGTAGCACTATAATTATACCTACTTTACAGGTGAGGAAATGGGCTCAGAGACTGCTATCAGGCTGGCTGAATTAAAACATGGTTCCATTGCTTTCTGGCAGTAGAACTGATTAATCTGAGCCTCAATTTCCTCATCTGTAAAATGGGCACAAAAATATCTATTTCAAAAGAGTTGTGAGGATGAAAGGAGGTGATGCAGATAACTGGACCAGACGTCTAGACTATTAGCCGTCGTTGGTACTGATGTCTGTTGGTGTGCTGTCCTTCCCTCCGACTTGGAAGTGCTTGATGCCACTGTCTGCAGTGATGCCAGGGGTAGGAGGAGCTTGCATATGCTCTGAACACTGGAAAAAATTGTTTTTTAGGGTTTGTATTCCGAGGCTCAGTTGTCTGGGGCACGAGTGCTTGAAGGAGAAGAGAAGAGAAAAGCACACTGGAATGCTTGCATACGTGCTCCGGCAAGTTTGCATCTGACTCTCAAGGCTGTTTCGTCACCTGATCTCCCAGTGACTCTGAGATGTGTGATGAGTCCAGCTCAAGGAGTGGGGAGCTCAGGGGCATGCCCACTGCCACTCAGCAGGTGAGTGACAATCTCAAGTCAGGCAGTATTCCAGACAGAAACCAAGATGTGCTCACAGAGAGTTCATTCACTCATTCAGCAAAGATTCATTGAGTATCAACTACATACGGCACACCGCTCTGGGCTCTATTCACGGTAGTGAACAAATCAGACCAAAACACATGCCCACATTTCCATGGCAGGAGAGAGACAATGAACAAATAAACATGTAACTATTGTATTTCAGGTGGTGGTGTTAAGAGGAAAAGAAACATGGGTTGCTTCTGATAGACGGGCAAGGGAAAGCTTTAATGGTGAAATATTTGAGCAGAGACCCAGAGGAGGTGAAGGAGGTGAATATCAGTATGAGCCTTCCAGGCAAATGGCACAGCAAGTGCAAAGGCCCTGAGGCTTTTTGCAGAACCAAGGACACAGCTGATGCTTCTTGCTTTATGCGTAAAAGCCCCTTAGTGTAGAATTGCCAAACAGAATACACCGTGAAAGGTTAAGTTTGCATTTTAGATAAACAAAGGCTCATTGTTAGTGTAAGTATGTCCCTTGCAATTTGGGACATATTTATTCTAAAAAAATTAGTCATTGTTTATCTAAAATTCAGATTTAACTGGATAGCCTATATTTTTTATTTGCCACATCTGGCAACTCAACTCAGTGGTTTGTTATCATGTGAGCTCTGGAAATAAAAATCTCAGGCTGGCTTTACAGGGGCAACTGGCTGGGTGAAATAGGGGATCAGAATTGGGTCATCCAGGCTTGAATGCTGGCTTTGTCGTTTGTTAGTCATGCTTCTTGGCCAAGTCCTTTGACCCCTGGGCCTCCAGATCTTCATCTGTGAAATGGGAGATACTGCATCCAATTTCAGGGCGATTAGAAGACGAGAGCTAATCAGCAAAGCTTGGACATCAGATAGCTGTGTCATTCATGCTAACTCTTATTAGTTGTTGCATCATATGTAAGATGAGCTCAAATCTGTTAATCTTCCCATACGATCTTTTCACATGAGTTGGGACTAACCTGTTATATTTAGAGTAATGGTTTACCAATGGGGAGGGAATAAAGATAAAACTCGAAGTAAAAGAAAGAATACAATTTTTTAAATGAGGAGAAACACAGTGAAGGAGAGGAGAGAAGGAAGAAAACAACAGAGATGGAGAGAAGCACGACGTGGGGTGGTGAGGAGTTCCCAGGACTCTGGGAGCGAGGAGCCCAGTCTAATCCCTGATTCACTGTAAGACTTTGGGCCCAGCAGTTTCTCTTTGGGTGTCAATTTCTCTATCTTCAAGATGAAGGAATTGAACCACGCTTCTGCAGGACTTTTGTTGTAACTGACTGGAAACTCCGTACACAATGGCTTAAACTGAACAGTCCTGGGTGGGGCTGGCTTCAGGGATAGTGGGCTCCAGGGGCTCACTGATGCTGTCAGTCTCCTGCCTTTTCTTGTTTTACTGTCTTGTGGCTTCTCTCACAGGGCAGGCTCTCCCTGAAGGGAGGGAAGATGACAGCCAGCAGCAGCCCCTGACCTAGCAACCCCAGTGGGAGGAGAGACCCCTTTACCGGTAGTTCTAGCAAAAGTTCTAAAAGTTGAATCTCACTGGCCTGGATTAGGTCACATGACTGTCACTGAACCCATCGCATGGGCATCTCTGGTTGACCAGGCTGGGTCATGTGCCCAGTCTGAATTTTAGAGAAGAGGATAGTTCAACCTGAAATACAGGGACTGATGGTGAAGAAGGGGCATTTCTACTGAGGAAAACAGAGGAAATCTTGGCCAGGCACAGTGGCTTATGCCTGTAATCCCAGCACTTTGAGAGGCCAAGATGGATGGATTGTTTGAGGCCCGGAGTTCAAGACCAGTCTGGCCAGCGTGGTGTAACCCTGTCTTCTACTAAAAATACAAAAATTAGCCAGGCATGGTGGTGCACACCTGTAATTCCAGCTACTCGGGGGGCTGAGGAGGGAGAATTGCTTGAAACCGGGAGGCAGAGGTTACAGTGAGCTGAGATTGTGCCATTGCACTCCAGCCTGGGTGACAGAGGGAGACTCTGTCTAAAAAAAAAAAGAAAAGAAAAGAAAACAGAGGAAATATTTGCAGAAGAAGGAGAAAAGGCAGGGGTCTCAAATTAGGTGAGCTTCCAAAGTGTTTTCTGTGGAACCCTGGGAGCAGAGAAAATGGTAGTGAAAAGAAACAGGCCTGGGGACTCTGGGCCCCTGCTGGGATCACCTGATAACAGGCAGGGTGTCCAGTCCGATTTGAACTTCAGATAAACAACGAGTAAATTTCAGTATGAGTATATATAATACATATACTCCAATATAATGGGATATAGTCATACTAAAATTCATTCATTGTTTATCTGAAATTCAAATTGAACTGGACACCTATTTTTTTTTTTGCTAAATGTGGTAACCCTAGTCCCTCCCCTGCTCTATGTAACCAAAGAAGCTCTGTTTCTGTTTTCTGTGTCGAGCATGTGTGAAAAACTCCTTGACCAAAAGTTTTAGCGCTGCACAAAAGAGAAGGCCTGTATCCTTTTAACTGACATGATTGCCATGCCCTCTCCAGCTCCCCAGTGCTGTATCCAGCAGGGCTTCTGGCTGCAGGCAACAGAAACCAGCTTGGGCAGGCTGGTGCGGAAAAGGAGACCACTAGAGGATCTTGGGGGCTCACAGAACCCCTGGGAAGGCCAGAGAACCAGGCTTGGGGGCTCTCTAGTTGGGACACGGCCCCAGATCACTCTGCAGAATAGTCTGGGCCTGCACTGATAGCTTCTGGGGTGGGTGCCTCTGACTGGCTGAAACTTGGTCACCTGTCAGGGCTCTGGCTGCAAAGCAGGCTAGACAGTGCCTCTCTGGATATTCACCAGATGGGGCATCCTCAACCATAAGAGAGGGCTCAGATCTAGCTGGGAGGAGGGAGATGCTGAAAAGCAGGAGCAATGAACACTCACTCCTGCTCTTGCAGATGGAATTCTGGTTTTTGATGTTTCTGGGGAGAGGGGGAGTTTATCAGATCAGTCACCAGGGCCAAACAGCAGAGTTTTGCTGGGAAGGGACTCTGGGGAAGGTTAGGGTCAGATTTTGCCTAAAGGGGCAGACAGTTCCAGCCTTTTCAACCACTGGCTCAGTAGCCCTCGAATCATGAATTCAATGGAGCTGTCTTGAAATGCACCATCCTTGGTGGTCCTTTGGTTTGGGTGATGGGTTGGGGGAGGCTGGGCACATCCTCCAGACACAGCAGAGCCCTTTATGAGGCCAGGGGCAAACCAGATTCATCGAATCTGACTGGTAGATGTGTCTTCTTTGGTCTAATAACCAAAACGAGTTGAATTAGTTGCCAACAGATAAACATTGAGAGATGTCACATTCAAACTCAAGTTTCTAGCTTCTTTGGAAAATCAGAACTTTCTGGTGATGTTGGAATCAAATTTCTGGATGGCATCACCCATGGGCATGTGGTTTCCAGTTCACCCCAGTCTGCACCCTCCTTATTTATCCAGGCCAGTGTCTCCTGCCACCTGTCACCATGTCTGTGCTCATGATTGCCTTCCATTAAATTAAGAGGAAGAGAAATATTCCTTGAGCTTCATGTTGCATCTCTGTATTTATGTTACCTGGTTGGTGCCCGTTGGCTTTTGAGTGTATGACTTCTGCAATAAAGGAGGAATTGAAGAAGGGCTCAGAGGTATGTTCCTCAAACACTGATAGGGCATCTACTGTGTGCAAGGCCTCCATGGGTACTGGGAGGTCCCTACAGGACTAAGACAAACCCTGTGTTTTGGTGTACCTCAATGTTTAAGGACTTAAGTCCTGGAACAAGATAGCCGGCGTCAGAATTCTGATTTTACCATTCACTCACCATTGGTGTGGCTTTGGGCAGGTTCCCTCAAGTATTTGAGCCTCAATTTCCTCATCTGTAAAATGGGGATAATAATAATAAAAATCATACAAGGTAGTTGGGAGAATTAATGAGTTAATTTTAAAAGACACCTGGAATCATAGATATTGAAGTTTTAATTTGAAGCCCCAATTTGTCAGCTATAACTTCAGAAATCTAGAGCCTCGATCGTCAACATACAGCCTGAAGACGACAGCCTCCGAGCCCCCAGGAGCTAGTTAGAAGTGCAGAATCTCAGCTCACTCAGACTGACTGTGGGAATCTATGTTCTAACAGACCCCCAGGGGATTCACACGCACAGTTGGGTTGGAGAAGTGTTGCTTTAGGTTAAAGCAAGGAAGGAAGGGGCTGCTCCCAGGTCACTGAACGTGCACTGATGCTTAAAGGCCTGGGCTGTGTAGACAGATGTGGCTTTGGATCCTGGCTCCATTACAGATTAGATTGGCTGTCTGACTCTGGACAAGGTGCTCTCGGGATGTTGGTCCTCCTCTGCAATCTGAGGAGCAGAACTAGCCTCTCCATGCAGTGGGGAGTTGCGGGTGATGTGGGCTTGGGCCGTGCAGGCCTAGCAGGTGCCCAGCAGAAGCAAGTGCTCCCAACAGGTGACAGGTCGGCCGCTCCCCTGTCACGTTTTGGAAGGAGGAAAGGGCTACCTCTAGTGCTGAACCGAGGATAGTTAGTGCTCAAAACCATACCAGATTTCCTCCAATCAAGGAAGAAATAACAGCCCTGATAATAATAAACAAAACCACTGCTTCCCCCTAGCTGGCTTCCAGATCCTAGAAATCCTGCATGGTATCAGCTTTCTCTAGAGTGTGTGTGTCGTCTGTATTTTCCATTTGGAACTGTGGCCACTGCCATGTGTACTTAAGACTGATGGAAGACGTTTAATCTCTTATTCTGCTGCTTTTAAAGTTGTGCAAAGAAAATCTCAGAGTGGGCAAGCGTGAGGAGTCCAAGCCTCCCGTGCAATGAGAGATCTGCGTGGGAAACAAAATTTCACCACAGGTGTGCTCTAATAATTTCCTCTGCAGGGTCCACCTCTGCACACAACGATTTTCAAGCCTGTGCAGGAGGCAGCTCTTGGCCCTCTATTCCTTGTTGGGGTTGGAGGTCCAGGTCATCTGGCCTTTGCCAGGTGGTGTGGACAGAGAGAGAGCAGCCCACTGGCTTCCTTGGCTGTGCTCCCCAGGGAGCTTCCAGGCCAGCTGAGCCTCCTCTAGGGCAGATGGATGAAGATGAGGTCCCCACCTCGCTGAACAATGTGTGTGTCAGCAGAATTCTTTTCTTCTTTTTACTGCCTTAGAGAGACATGCTGACTTGGTCAAAATCACTTCAGCAAGATGTGACTGATGATGTAGGAAATGAAAACTCCTGGCCCAGCACTGGGAGGCCAGCAGGCGAGGGGCGCGGACACTGGGACCGGGCCACCCGACACAATAACACCCCTTACAATTCCAGGCCGTCTTTCATCCAGGCAAAGGCGGCCCCAGGTGTGGAGCAGACTGGGGCAGATCAGATTACGGTCCTGGAGCCCAGTGCTGGGTGCCCTGGCCAGGGGAACCACAACTGGGGGTGTGTGGGTTGGGGGCTAGCTGCTGGGGAAATGAGATAGGACCCAGGGAAGTCCCTGGGCCCCAGCTGGCCTGCAGGGGGCCTAGGCACAATGTGAGGATTGGAATGCAGTGATGACCTTTTCATCTCTCATGTTCCCTTCCACTTCACTCTCTCTTTTGCTCTGGTACTTTTGCTCTTGCTCTCAGAGTCAGGATACATCTGCTTTTCTCTGCTTGGCCAAAAAGCAGACCATCATGAAAAGTTTTGTTGTTATTTTGTAACTCAGGAGGCTTTCCTGTTACCATATTTTCCTTTTCATCCAGATGGTAACACAATAACATTTATCAAGGGTTTTCTCTGTGTTCCAGGCACTGTGCAAAGCCCTTTCCATGAATTAAGTTCTGCAACCTCACAGCGATCCCAGAAGACAGGCGCTATCAGTCACCCCATTTTACAGATGGGGGAACTGAGGTGTAGAGAGGTTAAGTCCCTTGCCCATGGTGCACAGCTGGAAGAGACAGAGCTGGAGTGTGAATGCGGCTGGGCAGGCTCCAGTGCCCAGGCTACCTCCTCCACACAAGACTTGCCCTCGGCAATCTCAAAGCCTTTTCTGGTGGTGGGCTCAGCTCCCAAACTGGCATCGGATGCACTCCCAGCCAGATATTTCTTGCTTGCCGGTTTTCATTCATTCATTCATTCATTCATTCATTCATTCATTCGGCATTCACTGAGGGCCTGGTGCAGTCTTGGGGATGCCTCTCGGGGAGGAAACAGGGAAAAGAAAGACCCCCCCACCAAGCATGGATCACAGAAAAGATAAGGCTAAATGGGGGTTTGTGGGACTTCAGAGGAAACCTTATCTCTTGAGGTCTTGGATATGAAGAGCATGTTGTCTCTTCCTCTTGCATGAGAAAAGATGGCGTCTCAGAGGAAGGGTTGCTGGGGTGAGGGATCTGGGAGATGCCTTAGCTTGGCGCCTGCACAGTCAGCCCTCAGTCAACCGGTCTCTTTAGGTTTTGGCTGTGCTTATTACTATTCATTCAACAGGTACTAATTGAGCACCTGCTGTGTGCCAGGCTCAGAATAGGCTCAGGTGAGATGCACAAAGAAGGGTAAACTAGAATCCTTGCTTAGACACTGACGGATCAGTTGTTTCATATGTAAATTGTAGCACCAAGACCTGCTGCCCCTGCCCCCAGCCTCACCTGCTTGTGAAGATCCCTCCAAAAGATTTGAGAGTAGATAAAAAGCAGAGACTACTACTGAAGAACAGGGCTGCTTTGGCTCCTTATTATTTCAGACTTTGGAAGAAAATGACCTCCTTTTTCTCTACTGGCACTGGAGGTGGCATAGCCTGTCCCTAGCAAGCCAGCGCTGGAGGGCGTGTGCAGGGCTGGGGACCGAGCCTGGTTTCTGTTCCCTGCTCTGCAGGGCTCAAGCACTTGCTGTTCCTCCACCTGGGATGCCTTTCCCTGGAAAAGCCTGTCTCTTTCTTGTCTTTCAGGACTCAGGTCAGTGGCATCTCCTCCAAAAACTCCCCTTCCCACCCTCCATCACCTCACCCTGTTTATCTGCGCCCCCGCCCCCACTGCCTGTCACTTATTGCAGGCTGAAGTGACCCAGGCTCTCCAGTTGTACACTCTCAGATGGACCCTGGACGACTGTGGCACTCCTGCAATTTCCCCAGTCTCCCTGGGGTAGGATTCCTGCTTGCCAGGATGCCCACCTTTCCTTCTCCCTCCTGCATGTCCTCCTCTGCCTGGCTTCTGAATTGTTTCCAGAGAGAGTGATAGACAAGATCTGCCTCTCCTTCAGTCCCTGAATCTTATTTAAGGCTCTTGCTTTGCTTCCCTGGCCTGGAGGCCGGCTCCTTGATGGAGTCTGCCATGTGGGTTCGCTCATGGCCATGTCTTCCTGCCCAGCATGGTGCTTGGCCCTGGGACTGGCCACATAATATCTGGGCCAGGTGCAAAATTAGTACGGGGCAGGGGGTACTTTGTTCATAGGTGATTCAGAACCACATATGGTGACCTCAGAGTAGGAAACCAAGTGTGGGGCCCTTAAGAGCTGGGGGGCCCTGTACGACTGTCCAGGTTGCAGGCCCCACAGCTCGCCTCCTGATATCCTGTGCTCCATGCTTGTCTGTTGAAGGAAGGAGTGAATGGATGAAGAGCAGGTGGTGGGGGTGGTTTGAGGGCCTTGCCTGGTGGGTGGGTAGAGGCCCCTCCCTGGCATGGGGCTCAAGACCTGTTCCATCCCACAGCCTGGGGCCTGTGTGTAAATGGCCAGGACCTGCAGGCTGGCATTTTTCTGCTCCTTGCCTGGCCTCTGGCCTCCCCTTTCTCCACCCATGTGGCCCCTCAGGCTGCCATCTAGTCCAAAAGTCCCCAAGGGAGACCCAGAGGGCCACTTGGCCAAACTACTTCTGCTCCAGAAAACTGTAGAAGACCATAATTCTCTTCCCCAGCTCTCCTGCTCCAGGAAGGACAGCCCCAAAGTGAGGCTTAGCCAGAGCCCCTCCCAGACAAGCGCCCCCGCTTCCCCAACCTCAGCCCTTCCCAGTTCATCCCAAAGGCCCTCTGGGGACCCACTCTCTCACCCAGCCCCAGGAGGGGAAGGAGACAGGATGAACTTTTACCCCGCTGCCCTCACTGCCACTCTGGGTGCAGTAATTCCCTTGAGATCCCACACCGGCAGAGGGACCGGTGGGTTCTGAGTGGTCTGGGGACTCCCTGTGACAGCGTGCATGGCTCGGTATTGATTGAGGGATGAATGGATGAGGAGAGACAGGAGAGGAGGCCGATGGGGAGGTCTCAGGCACAGACCCTTGGAGGGGAAGAGGATGTGAAGACCAGCGGCTGGCTCCCCAGGCACTGCCACGAGGAGGGCTGATGGGAAGCCCTAGTGGTGGGGCTGGGGTGTCTGGTCTCAGGCTGAGGGGTGGCTGGAAAGATACAGGGCCCCGAAGAGGAGGAGGTGGGAAGAACCCCCCCAGCTCACACGCAGTTCACTTATTCACTCAACAAATCGTGACTGCGCAGCTACAGTGGCTACCAGGCGCTGGGTTCAAGGCACTGCGGGTACCAGAGGTGCGGAGAAGATCGCTGATCCGGGCCCCAGTGCTCTGGGTGTCTAGCGGGGGTAAGAAGGCAATAAAGAAGGCACGGAGTAACTCAAACAGCAATTCCAGACAGCAAGAGAAACTACAGGAAAGAAAACAAACGTGCGAGGGGCGAGGCGAGGAAACAACCTCAGCTTGGCAGGTCTTGGAGGTCTCTGGGAGGAGAAAGCAGCGTCTGATGGGGGCGGGAGGTGGTGAGTGGGGAGAGGTCCAGGCGGAGGGAATGGCGAGCGCAGAGACAGGCTGGCAACGGCTTCAGGGAGGCGCGGAGGGGTCAGCGTGGCTGGCTTAAAAGGATACAGGGACTGAGGGGCAAGACCGGCTCAAGGGTCACCGCTTCCAGGAAGCCTTCTATTTCCGCGCCACCTCCGCGCTCCCCCAACTTTTCCCACCGCGGTCCGCAGCCCACCCGTCCTGCTCGGGCCGCCTTCCTGGTCCGGACCGCGAGTGCCGAGAGGGCAGGGCCGGCTCCGATTCCTCCAGCCGCATCCCCGCGACGTCCCGCCAGGCTCTAGGCACCCCGTGGGCACTCAGTAAACATTTGTCGAGCGCTCTAGAGGGAATGAATGAACCCACTGGGCACAGCTGGGGGGAGGGCGGGGCCGAGGGCAGGTGGGAGGCCGCCGGCGCGGGAGGGGCCCCTCGAAGCCCGTCCTCCTCCTCCTCCTCCTCCGCCCAGGCCCCAGCGCGTACCACTCTGGCGCTCCCGAGGCGGCCTCTTGTGCGATCCAGGGCGCACAAGGCTGGGAGAGCGCCCCGGGGCCCCTGCTATCCGCGCCGGAGGTTGGAAGAGGGTGGGTTGCCGCCGCCCGAGGGCGAGAGCGCCAGAGGAGCGGGAAGAAGGAGCGCTCGCCCGCCCGCCTGCCTCCTCGCTGCCTCCCCGGCGTTGGCTCTCTGGACTCCTAGGCTTGCTGGCTGCTCCTCCCACCCGCGCCCGCCTCCTCACTCGCCTTTTCGTTCGCCGGGGCTGCTTTCCAAGCCCTGCGGTGCGCCCGGGCGAGTGCGGGGCGAGGGGCCCGGGGCCAGCACCGAGCAGGGGGCGGGGGTCCGGGCAGAGCGCGGCCGGCCGGGGAGGGGCCATGTCTGGCGCGGGCGCAGCGGGGCCCGTCTGCAGCAAGTGACCGAGCGGCGCGGACGGCCGCCTGCCCCCTCTGCCACCTGGGGCGGTGCGGGCCCGGAGCCCGGAGCCCGGGTAGCGCGTAGAGCCGGCGCGATGCACGTGCGCTCACTGCGAGCTGCGGCGCCGCACAGCTTCGTGGCGCTCTGGGCACCCCTGTTCCTGCTGCGCTCCGCCCTGGCCGACTTCAGCCTGGACAACGAGGTGCACTCGAGCTTCATCCACCGGCGCCTCCGCAGCCAGGAGCGGCGGGAGATGCAGCGCGAGATCCTCTCCATTTTGGGCTTGCCCCACCGCCCGCGCCCGCACCTCCAGGGCAAGCACAACTCGGCACCCATGTTCATGCTGGACCTGTACAACGCCATGGCGGTGGAGGAGGGCGGCGGGCCCGGCGGCCAGGGCTTCTCCTACCCCTACAAGGCCGTCTTCAGTACCCAGGGCCCCCCTCTGGCCAGCCTGCAAGATAGCCATTTCCTCACCGACGCCGACATGGTCATGAGCTTCGTCAACCTCGGTGAGTAAGGGCAGGCGAGGGTACGCGTCTCCTTTCGGGGGCACTTTGAGACTGGGAGGGAGGGAGCCGCTTCTTCTATGCAGCCCGCCCAGCTTTCCGCTCCTGGCTGAAATCGCAGTGCCTGCCCGAGGGTCTCCCACCCACAGCCCTATGACTCCCAAGCTGTGTGCGCCCCCAGGTCGGGCGCGCTGGGTTCGGTGAGCCTGTAGGGGTTACTGGGAAGGAGGGATCCTCCGAAGTCCCCTCCATGTTACGCCGCCGGCCGCATCTCTGGGGCTGGAGGCAAGGGCCGTTCAAAGCGCGGGGCTCGGTCATGTGAGCTGTCCCGGGCCGGCGCGGCTCGCGCTACCTGGATGTAAAGGGCCCTTCCCGGCGAGGCTGCCTTGCCGCCCTTCCTGGGCCCCTCTCAGCCCTGCCTGGCTCTGGCATCGCGGCCGTCGCACCCCCTTACCCTCCCTGTCAAGCCCTACCTGTCCCCTCGTGGTGCGCCCGCCTTAGCGTACCGCGCGCTCCGAGCGCCTTGGGGCCCCTCTCCGGGCCGCCGGATGCCCCATTCTCTCTTGGCTGGAGCTGGGGAAGAAACGGTGCCATTGCTAATTTTCTTTGTTTTCTTTCTTTGTTTATTTTTTTCTTTTTTCTTTTTTTTTCTTTTCTTTTCTTTTTTTTTTTTTTTGAGACGGAGTTTCACTCTTGTCGCCCAGTCTGGAGTGCAATGGCGCGATCTCTGCTCACCGCAACCTCTGCCTCCCGGGTTCAAGCGATTCTCGTGCCTCAGCCTCCCGAGTAGCTGGGATTACAGGCATGCGCCACCATGCCTGGCTAATTTTGTATTTTTAGTAGAGACAGGGTTTCTCCATGTTAGGCAGGCTGGTCTCGAACTCCCGATCTCAGGTGATCCTCCCGCCTCAGCCTCCCAAAGTGGTGCTGGGATTACAGGCGTGAGCCACTGTGCCCTGCCGCTAGTCTTCTATTTTAAGTATTTAGTGGTAGGTCCCGGGCCGGCAGAATCTATTTTCAGCATTTACCACGTGTGGCGCGCAAACCACAGGTTTTGGCGATTGGGTTGCGCGGGATCTCAGAGCTGACGCCGCGGGGGCGGCTGGGGGTCCCGGTTTCCGACTGGAGCCGCGACGACCCCGGCGACGCGAGCCTGGGGCTGCAGCGAGGGCCGGGGAGCTCCCCCTCCATATGTGCGCGCACATTCTCCAGACTTGCTCAAACTAACCCCCCGGCAGCGCCAGCGCGCTGCGGGACTGATGATCAAATATTTGGTTTCCGAGATAACACACCCCGATAGCGCTGTTTCCTGAGCCGCTTTCATTCTACTTGTGTAACTTGCTGCGAAAACCCGAACCAAGTCAAGACAGCAAACTCACGCCCACGGGCGCTGTGTCAACATGGAAATAATGATACTGAAGCCCCACGCTGGGCACCTGGGGCGTGGACTGGGGGCGCGGGGGAAGCGCAGATCCGCCTTCATGCTTCCCCCTCCTGATAAGGTCCCTGGAGTTCCCGGGAGGCCATTGTCTGTACTTAATAATAACTAAATCCAACTAGTGAACCAAGCTTCAGCGAGCAAGGGGTGGGAGGTTTAGATGCCAAAATACCTTCAAAAAAGTTTAAATTATACTAAGCAGCCAGTTAAGAAGGAAGCAGCAACATATGACCTGATTTAGAACCATCTCCAAGATGTATGAGGTGGAAAGAAGCAAGGTGCAGATGAGTGGGCTGCATGTGTGCTTGTATATCATCGTGTCCTCCTGGAGGAAGACACCAGGAACTGGAGAGAGATTTTACTGGAGGGGTAGAGAGGCGGGGGCATAGCTGGGGCTTACGGAGTGGGAGGTGGGGTCTGATTTTTCGTCGTCTGCACTTCTGTATTTGTGATTTTTTTAAAACAATGTGTATTTATTAACTATACCAAAAACTAAAGGAAAATTCCAAATACATACATATAAATAATGAACGCAGAGCTCTGTCGCCCTCCTGAAGCCTGGGGTTAGCCAGGGCCCTTTCTCTGGTGGGGGATTTATAGCATCTTCCCTTCTGTTGGGTACCCCGGACTCCCACTGAATGTGCAGGTCCCAGTGGCTGCCTTCAGAGCCTGGCTGGAATCATTAAAAAGGTATTTGTAATCTCTGGCTTCTGCAGAAGGCCCTGCAAACCAAGAGCAAAAAAGCCCCCAGTGCTTATGGGCCGGCAGTGTGGGCTAGGCCCCGGGGCTCCCTGTCCCCAAGAGAAAGACCAGGTTGCTCGGAGGGTGCCTCTGGGAACTTTGGTGCGGGCTATTTGCTCCCCCCATGGCGGCAGGAGCAAGCTGGGACTTGTTTGGGAAGGCCACAGCTGGGTGGTTTTCCTCCTCTGGCTGTACATACACCTTTCAATCCATTTCTTTCATCTTGAAAGGACAAAGACCGGCTTGTCTGAGCCTCTTAATCAGTCAGGCTGGCTTTGGGCTTTGTGGGACCCTGACTTTCTCAGGTCTAGCTTTCTGGGACATCACTCCAAATTAGATGGCAGAGTGGCTTTTAACAGAGCGCACTGACCTTGTTTTCTTTCTCTCTCTGTCCCTAAACTCGAGGTCATTAGTTAGGTGAAGACCTGGGCTGCAGTTTGGCGAGACACTTCCTGTAGATGCTTCTAATGTTGGCCTTTAATTTCTGCTAAGCAGCAGCACACAAATAAATGGCCTGTCCCTTCTATCCTGTTGTAGCTTGGAATTTCTCCATAGGAGGGACTTGGGGGTGGCAGTAGGGTTGGAGAGGGTTGGGGGGAGGTGTAGGAGACTTGTCTGGCCACTGAGTTTGCTGAGAAAGTACTGCTATAGTGTTTTTCCTTGGATTGCAAATCATGTTGATCTGTAGTATTCGAAGTTTTCTAAAGGCAAGTTTATTCTCACAATTTACATAAGAGTGAGAAAATATCACTTGCACATATCAAACTATTACTTCTTATTATGGTGGGAGTTTGGCGGGGGGGGCATGGGTGAGGATCTTGGCAGCCTCTGCTGCCCCTTCGCCCTGCACTGCAGAGCTCTGCTGTCTTGCAGGCAGGCGGCCTGCGTGCGCGGGAGGGGGGACCCTTGCCTGAATTCTGAAGGCTTTTGCAGACCTGGTGCATTTATTCTTCCTTCTGTCTGCCGCCAAACTGGTTTTTGTTCCTATAAGTCGTTCTTGGAATTCAAGTTTTTTGCCAGGCTGAGCGGGATCTAAACTAGAGGGGAAACTAGAGGGGAATTTACGACAAAACCAGGTGGTGGGAATGAGGACTAAAGGCCGCACCTTATGACAAAGCCCAGCCTGTACCATAAAGCCCCAGGCAATGTGAACTGAGCTGCCTGAGTGAGACTCCCATCTTCCCAGCCTGGGCCCCTTAAGTTCAATGGCAAGATTTGTAAACTGGTTTGGATTAACAACCCCGACTCCTCTTTGTAGACTTAATTTTGGAATTCAAAACAGCTACCCTCTCTTAAATAATCCCCAGGCAATGGCGACTCCGCACACTGCATCTAGCCATAGCCCGTTACCATTCTTTCTCTGGGAAGATCCAGCAGCTCTGTTAGGAATCTTGTAAAGTAGCCGGCTGGCACTAGGGGAGTGGAAGTCATCATGTTTATCTCTGGTCCAGGTAATGAAGGCATGAAATTTGTGTAATCTTTGAAGGAAAAGAAGAGAAAGTTGGAAACCTATCATTATTGGAGTCAGCCTATAAAAGTGGCTTTTGTTAATGTAGCTGAAGAGTAGGGAGAAGGCCGTGCAGTTTGATTTTTGCTTTATGCCATCTGGCTGTCCTTTTTGTTGACAAGTGTTTGGCATTAAGACCTCTCCCACTGCCCGTCAAGAGCAGGCCCTACCACTGTAGAGTATTAGAAAAAGATTCTGTTACAGTTTAAAAATTTCCTTCAGGGAGTGCTTCGCAAAGGGGAGCGTGGACTGCAGGCATTTGCAGCTGTAACCTGGCTTGTGTTAAAATTTGGAAGGGGCTGCTCCACATTCCAGCACTCGGAGCGCCGGCCCTCACTGGTGAGCAGCCAAAGGTTAATATAGATGTCACACAGCTCCCCCCTTCTTTCTTTCTGCAGAGCGCCTTTGCTATAGGAGTGCACCAACAGCTGTGTTTTTCGTAACCCTTTCAAAATCACTTCTTTTAAACCTCATTTTCCTGCTTATATAAATCAAAGATTTTCCTCCACTTTTCCCAAGCATGTATGTGACCCAGCTTTGAACTTTTTTCATTTTCTATGTATTTTCCTTCTGGAATCAAGGCAGGGTAAGGCTGAGCCCTGGATGCCAACTTGGGTGGCTGTTTTTGGTTTTGGTTCCAGGGTTGTCATTCGGTTGTGGAGCGGTCCCCATGGAAGGGGTAACAGAGATGGCCCACTTGCAAATCAGTTTCAGGGCAGCAAGGGGGATGATTGTCTGAATGCACAGACAGACGAAACCGCTTTTGAGATGCAGCCCTCTCAAGCTACGGTTTGGGGCTTTACCATGGCGTAGTAGGCTCTCAAGCCTTTGCCGAGATAAACACAGCTGGTGCGCGATCCCCTCACCACCGGAATGCCTGCGATGTGAGTGAATATCACGTGTCCGCTGAACTCAGAGACAACTGGTGACTTCATTCCAGGGAGAGTCCCATCTAAGTTGATTGATCACTCCTATCACTTTAATATCTCTCCCTCATTTGGTAAGGTCATATTTGGCCCATTGCAAGAATCAGCGTGCCCTAAGTCTCCCCCGTCTCCACCCTTCCCCATCTGCCCATCCGTGTAACAGCCTGAATATTTTGAATGGGGAGCCCTTTGCACCATGCTTCTGGCCACATTAATTCTTTCACGCTCACTCTTCAGTCTTAGCGGGGGGGCTGTTGGCACACTGGTTTCTTGGCAAGCCACTGCAAGGCTTCGCCTTAATGCACTCTGGCACTGTCACCGGGGTTAGGGCACAGGCAGGGATGTGTGGGACCTGTCATGTTATTGTCAGAAGGAATGTGCGGATTAGCCTTTACAGCGTAGTGGTGGGAGAGCACTGCAGCTGTGTACACTTATTATAAAAGATTTAAGTCCCACTGGTAAAATCAATATATTGAATTGCACAACCCTCTGCTTTTAATTAGTTTAAATCAAATGCGCCGGTGCCATTTTGCCTTCTCTCGCCTTCATGGGGTGAGGAACTACCAATATTTACATAGAAACTGTTAATTTGTGGTGAAAATGATAACACATTTAGCTTTACACACTCAAATTGCTCCAACTTGATGGATCCCAGATCAACGTGGAGTTGAGCTGAGGAGATGACGTCACCAGGAGCGGGGAGGAGACACCCGTGATGTCTGTTGCTTGGACCCTGGATTCCAGATGCAGGTGGACATGTGTGTAGAGGCAGTGACTGGGGATGCTGGTCCTTCAAGAAGCGAGCTGGTTCTTTCTATTGCAGGTCAAAAACAATGAGATTTACCTACATCATCTAAAATCCTTTCTCGGAAGCATTCTTACAAAATTGCGAAGTGGGCACTTGCTCTTGGGTCATTTTGAGCCTGTTCTCACAGCATGCAAGGGTCATGTACTGGGCAGCTCAAGGCACGGTGCTTTATTTATTCCAGAGCTTCACATGCTTTTCTTTCCAATCCCTGAAACAGTTTATAGAGGAAGGGCGTTTGTTCACTGCAAATGATCCCATGTACGACCGCGGCTATTAGTGAGCCGTTTGGTATTAGCTGTGTGTTCAAGCTGGGATTGAATTCCGGGTTTTGCAGCAAATGGCATCTGACAAATAATAATTGACAAAAAATGTGACTTGGTATTTCTTAATATGGAACAGATAGTTCATTTAAGCTTCCCCGGCAAAAAAAAAATTGCTCAAACTCAAACTGAAATAGCAATGCCAGGGAATACTAGGACTGCTGCTGTGTATTTTTTTCCGCTCCAAAGTAGAGTGTTTATGATTTGGGGGGATATTAGAGTGCATGAAGTTTGACACTTACTTATGCGAAACTCAGGCAAGCATGTGCAATACCGCCTTTTCAACATTTGTGTCGGAAGGCATTGTGGGGAGCCGCGCAAAGCCTGTGCTGATCCGCGTGGAGTGGATTGAATTAATGACAACTCCGAGAGCACCAGCTTTAGGGTAATTGCTTTATTGTTTTGGAGCCAGGGTGCATATAATCCGGTTCCTGTGCAAACATGTTGAACGTGTGTTAATGCATTTCCAAACCAGAGCCTCTCACACAACCCTGCTTTTCATTAATTGATGTCGGTAGCATGGTACAGTATTTCAAAGGGCTGGCCAAGTATAAACTGTGTTTCCAATTTCCTTCCTTTCCTGTGTTTGGAATGCCAATGTTAATTTGTTCCCATGCAGGAGCGGGGGCTGCCAACCGCGGCTTTCTATAAAGGGCTTCACAGTGAAGGCTTCCAGCCCTCGCTGATGCTTGGGGCTGCCTGGCCAAGTCTCCTGACACTTTGCAGCTAATTCTGGGTGATATATGGGGTGGGGGATTGGGGGCTTCACTGCCGTGTAACGGAAGTTCTCGGTGACAGCAGTGGGTGTGACTTGGCAAGGGAGATTGGAACGGCATCCACAGTGATTCTCTTTAGACACAGCCTAAACCTATGTGTCTGTTTCCACTATGACAGCACATTAGCTGTGTGACCTTGGGCAAGTTACTTAACATCTCTGCATTTGTGTCCTCATTTTATAAAGGCTACAAGAGAATCTCTTCCTCAACAGATTCTAAAGAAATAGAAATCATATCACCCATGCGCAGAGGCTGTCACCTAGTAGGTGTAAAACAAATGGTAGCTCTTGTTTTTATTGTGTTGGCCAGATGAAGATTTACGTTGGTATATTAGTCCAAATTTCAGTTTTTAAGTACTTAATCTTAAAATACTGAGATTAAACTGCCCATGTTATTTTAAATGTCAAGAAAATGGTCCCCAGAGTGTGAATATGTGTGCGCCTCCCTCTTTCAGAGATCAATGGAATTTGAATGAATGCACCAAACTTATTTGAGGATGAATAGAGTCTAAGGCTGAATCTTTTCCCCAATTTTAGCATCTATGGTTATTTAATGATTTTACTACTTGGGAAACTGGAACTCAGTGAGAGGGTATACCGGAACTCTCTGTAGTGCCTTTGCAACTTTGAATTAAAAATTAATTTCAAAATAAAATGTTTCATTTAAAAAATTGCATTATTGAAGTATTTCTTCCCAATCCTTTCTGGAAGATGGTCAAAGTACAAATTGTCTTTTCCTTCAAGGGAGTGACAAGCCCAAAGCATTCATTAACAGAACTGCACAACTTCCCCACTTTTTATTGGAGCAGGTGCAAGGCTGCCCAAGGCTCCCGCAGCTGGGGTTAGGCTGCAACAACAAAGCCCTGTGTGGATTCAGCATGTTTAGAAGCCTCTAGAGACCAGAGGACGAAAGAGAATGGCTTCAGGGCCAGATACCGAGGGGTGGCGTTTCTCATTCAAGACTTTCCATAAATTCCCTTCAGCTCTTTATACTGTTTGAAAAATCCGACTCACCAAGTATTAGGTTTCCCTGCATCTCTGAGGTCACGTGTTCTATCACATCTTTATCTCCCTGGAGTAGCTTTCAAGTTTCAATCTTTTGTTGCCTGGCTTAATTAAAATTGGCCACGAATAAAAACTTGCACCGTTTCCAAAATCGAGGACTTGTGTGTTTCTAAGCATTGGGTTTAGGCCTGCCCTGTCTTGTGCTTCCAGCCTGTCTTCTGCTTTCATGTAGCTTGGACTACATGAAGAAAAAGAAAAAGCTAAGCTCTTAGCATGACAGTTGGCATATAATGGTCCAAGTGCTCATCCCCCTGGCAACTTACACACACAAAGGCAGGCAAGTTTTTTTTTTTTTTTTTTTTTGGTGGCTTGTGTTTTGGCCTTCAATAAAGGACACTTTTCCTGTTTTTTTTCAGACAGCCTTATTCTCCTGCCCATGCACAGCCTTGCAGAATTCTCATGGCATAGAAGGTGCTCAGATATTGGTTGTTTCGGTGCACATATGGCATGAAGACATTCTAAGCAGTCTCTTCTAAATGCTTTTGATCTCCAATTCCCACTACTACCTTTTCAGGTACATACCTTAAATAGTAATAAGTTGTATAACTACTGCAGGATAGCTAGGATAGCTTGTGCTTCATAAAACATAGACAAAAATAGAAATTTAAGTAGGAGACACTAAAGCTAAAAGCAATACAAAATTTTGGTGTTTGTTAATTAATACAAATTTTAACTAATGAATCATTTTAATTTTAATTGTTAACACAATTTTAATTAACAATATACATTTAATTAAAATTAAATTTTAATATAATTTAATTAAGTTTGCAGTCATGAAAATTTGCGGTGCAATGGACTGTTCTTTGGTGTTTTCAAAATCATGATTTAACAGTTTAGAATCACTGATCTAAAGGCCTGGTCCCAAATTTCGATGACCCTTCATCTGGTCAGTATAAATGAAGTTATTGTGTGTGAAGAAACTCACAATCTTGGTGCGTTAAAAATCCCAGAAGTTTGTTTTTCATTTGTATCACATTATAGCTCTATCGTGGGTTCAGGGTGGAGGCGTGGAGTTCTGCACATTGGTGGCAGCAGAGTCCCTGGGAGAGGCTGAGGTCCTCAGAATGTTACGAATAAGGTGCCAGAAGGAAAGATAATGTGAACTGTGCGTTGGCTTTTAATATTTCTACCTGGGAGTGACTTTCTAACTTCAAAAATTTCTATTTTTGTCTGTTTTATGAAGTACAAATGATCCTAACTAGTAGTTATACAACTTATTTCTTTTTTTCTTTTTTTTTTGAGATGGAGTTTCGCTTTTGTTGCCCAGGCTGGAGTGCAGTGGCGCGATCTTGGCTCACTGCAACCTCCGCCTTCTGGGTTCAAGTGATTCTCCTGCCTCAGCCTCCGAAGTTGCTAGGATTATAGGTGCCCACCACCACGCCCAGCTAATTTTTGTTATTTTTTTTTATTTTTTATTTTTAGTAGAAATGGGGTTTCGCCATGTTGGCCAGGCTGGCCTCAAACTCCTGACCTCAGGTTTTATCCACCCGCCTTGGCCTCCCAAAGTGCTGGGATAACAGGCGTAAGCCACCTTGCCCAGCCACAACTTATTTCTATTTAGGGTATGTACCCCAAAATTTACTCTTCCACCTGAAAGAGCTTCTGCTCACATTTCATGGGCCAAAGTGAGCCATGTGGCCAAACCTGACCCAAGGTTGGCAAGGAGATGACGATACCACTGCTTGCTCAGAAAGGCAAAGCACCAGAGAGCGTCCAGGAAATGGCACAGATGACACCACGCTATCATGATTGAAGTGTCTCTCACAAGATTCAAAGACAGAAATGTGGGAAGTAAGTTGTGGGGTGTGTTACTGAAACCAGAGCTTCATTTTTCAACCCCACCTGTCAATTATGCAGATATTTTTGTTGAAGCTAGTGAACTCCCATGATTGTCAGTTGGAATTTGCATAACAATTATAATTGTAATATATCTTTTCCTGACTCCCAGTGGGTTCCTCTTGCCTCCTCCCATCTTGCGCTTCATTTTGGAGACTGATGTTCTGGAGGCTTCCATCTCACTGAAGTACTCAATTGGTTCAACAACAATAACATCTCTTTCCATTCCCACTTGTAAAGTGACTTCCCTGTTTATGACTTGTCTTTCAGCAAAGGCAAGCTTCAGCTTTTGTCCGGTTCACTATCTAGAGAATTAAGAAGCATTACTCTGCTCCTGGCTAATGAGGTGACTGCTGGTGTTTCCCCGGAAGATACAGGTTATCACTTCGCCATGAAATCTTGTCCACAATGGAAGAGCTGCTTGCTTTCTCTCCTGGGCCTTGGAGACATTCCTTTTTCTTTCTTTCTTTTTTTTTTTTTTTTTTTTTTTTTGAGATGGAGTCTCTCGCTATCCCCCAGGCTGGAGTGTAGTGGCATGATCTCCACTCACTGCAACCTCCACCTCTGGGCTTCAAGCAATTCTCCTGCCTCAGCCTCCTGAGTAGCAGGGATTACAGGCTCCCACAACCACGCCCGGCTAATTTTTGTATTTTTAGTAGAGACGGTGTTTCACCATGTTGGCCAGGCTGGTCTTAAACTTCTGACCTCAAGTGATCCACCTGCCTCAGCCTCCCAAGGTGTTAAGATTACAGGCGTGAGCCACTGCAACTGGCCCCTTAGAGACATTTCTTAGTCCAGGCAGGATCTTGCATAGGCTGAATCTAGACATTAAATTCAGAGACCCCTTCATCATCTAAATGCATCACTGAAATGGATTGTAGACCTCAGAGGGCTAAGACCTTTCTGTGTAGCAGCAATGGATTCAGAGTAGCCATCTTTATGGGGCCCTCATGCAGTTCTCTCAGTATTCTGCAGGGTAAGCAGTGTCATTTCCATTTTAGAGAGGAGGATGCTGAAGGGGCCCAAACATGCACAGCTAGGAAGTGTGGGGCAGATGTGTCTGTCCAGCTCTTGCTGGGTGCAGAGCTGCCCATTCTTTCCTCCTGAACCTGTGGGGTATCGAATAGGTAGCGGGGAGCGTGGAGGAGATGATGTTGAGACCATTAAAACAGAAGCCGAGCCCATGGCCTTGACTCTGTGGTCCCGTGTTCTGATAAGTGACATAGAGATAAGCAGGCACACACCTTTCCCTTCTGTTATCCACCCTGCTTGTGATACCTCCCCTCTCCTCGGTCTTTATGGTTTAAAAATAATTGTCAGGGCATAGGGCCCTGAGTGCCTGTGGGGGGCACCTACATGTACCCCATAACCCTTCCATGGGGAAATTCCATAGCCAGCCAGAGATTGGTATTTTAATAGCAATTCCTCAAGATGCTGTATAAAAAAGACCACAGAAACAGTTTTTTTCCGTATGTCCCAGCATGCCTTTGTGTACGGTCTGTAGTATTGTAAACTCCCCAAAATCAAAATGTGCATGAACAGGGGATTCGAGAGAGAAGCAGGTGTAGCTCTGGGAGGGGATATGGAATAGTCGCCCCAGCGCAGGGACTTCTTTTTGTTTTTGTTTTTTGTTTTTTTTTTTTTACTGTATCAATGTAGACTGGAAACAATGTCAGAAGGAGAAAGCAAGTAGCAGAAGGATGTTTAGGATGTAACCATTTGTTAATTACACACATAGGCACCCCCGCCCCCAACCTCCCACACAAGGGGACCAACTCATAAATGTATTGTTTGTGGGTTCATACACATTGCAGTAATACCATGGACACATGGGCAGGAAGGACTCCCTACCTTCAGGGTGAGAGCTGCCCGTGGGGAGGAGGGAAAGGATAGTTTTGATGAGAGTTTCAAATAAATCTCACCTATTTCTGTCAAGTTTTCTGTCTTTTAATAAGAAGAAACCAAAAGAGGCTGGGCGCGGTGGCTCACGCCTGTAATCCCAGCACTTTGGGAGGCTGAGGTGGGTGGGTCATCTGAGGTCAGGAGTTCGAGACCAGCCTGGCCAACATGGTGAAACCCCGTTTCTACTAAAAATACAAAAATTAGTGGGGTGTGGTGGTACACACCTTTAGTCCCAGCTACTTGGGAGGCTGAGGCAAGAGAATCGCTTGAACCCGGGAGGCAGAGGTTGCAGTAAGCCGAGATCACATCACTGCACTCCAGCCTGGGTGACAGAGCAACTCTGTCTCAAAAAAAAAAAAAAAAAAAAAAAAAGGAAAGAAACCAAAAGAAAATACAATGTGGTATCCTGGACTGGATCTTAGGCCAGAACAAGGACATCTGTGGAAACACTGGTACAGTCTGAAACAAATCTGGAGTCGAGTTGACAGTTACACAGCAATGTGAACGTCTCGGTTTTGTCAAATGCCCTGTGGTTGTGGAAGATGTTCACCCTGGGAGGACTGGGTGAAGGGTACTCAAGTATTCTCTGTACTAGCTTTGCAATGTTCTTATAAAGTTATTCTAAAATAAAAAGTTTATTTATTTTTTTTAAAGGAAGCAACTATGATGCTACCTCTCATCATTTCTCTGTTATGGGTGCATGGATGTCCATGAGCTCATCCACCAGCTGCTCTTTGTGGTGGTCCTGCCATTTCCAAGGCTGGGGGCAGGAGAGCCAGTCCTAGAGCCTGTTCAGTATGATGCCCTGAAGGCCAATAACGAATCAATCTACGGACCCATTAACACGACAGGGACTCAGCAAGTAAAAGAAAAACCCACAGGACAGTGCCCTGAGAACTTTAAAACTCTCTTTTCCTCATTCATAAGGTGCCCGATATAAAGCAGCTGTTAGTTTATGGTCAAGAAAGAGGGGGTAGGGTGGGAGGAGATCTAAAAGATCTTTCGATTTTCTTCTTGGTCCTGAATTTTGTAAAATGCCCCCTACTCCATTCCCCAATCTTCCCACTTCTCAAGTTTCAGTTTTTGACTGACTTGACCTAACATTTCTTGAGAGAGAAGCCCTTAAAAATGGCAGCAGGGCCTCAGAACCTTCCAGGCTAGTAAATGTTTATGGGATGGAGGCACTGGTTGGTCATTTCCTTTAGGAGGAAACAATAAATGAAGCTACTTGCCTTATGCCTACTCAGGCCCTGAGCTCCTAATTATCTTAATATACTGGTGGGAAGTGGGGATGGAAGGGGGTGGGGGACCCAGAAATCTCTGCGCCTCTGGAGCTTGGAAGTGCCCTTTTTAGTACGTTTAGTGTGCAGTTTCTCAGCCTGGGCACTATTGGTATGTTTAACCAGATCGTTCTCTGCTGGGAGCTGTCCTGTGTATTATAGGATGTTTGGCAGCATTCCTAGCCCTTCCCCCAGGATCTGACAACCAAGTGTATCTCCAGACATTGCTAACTGTACCCTGGGGGGCAAAGTTGCCCCCAGTTGAGAACCACTGGTTTAGAGTAACTTGCCTCAACCTTGGGAATTCATCTGGGAGCCTTAGCCTCAAACGCACTGACCCACAGTGGTGAGTGGGAAAAACAGCATTTCTAGATGGACGGGTTATTTTCTGGCTGAAAGAAGCACAGATTGCAATCAAAACTCGAGGCTTCTCCTGGGAACACAGCTCTACCTGGCTTTGAAACACCCTGGAGACTGAAATGGAGCTCAAGTCTCTAACGAGCAAGCATTGTCTCCTGGGAACCAAAATACTTGACTGCACCTTTTGCTCGATGATGCTAAAAGTTTATTAAACACACATCGAGGACTGGCCCCTCTTTTATTTTTATCTTCGGACGTTCCTCAGGAAGAATAGGGCAGATCTCTCTCTTACCTTGTTCCCCTCTCTTGGCAGGTAACTTACTCTGGGGTGGGAGAGGGAAGGTGAGCACAGAAGCTATATTTTCCCGTGTCTCCCTGTAGCTTAAATGCTGCTTGGAGCAGGGAGACCTGCTTGCTTCAGACCCCAGCCCGCGGGCCAACTCCAGCCCACAACCTGTTTTAGTACAGCCTGCAGGCTAAGAATGGCTGGTACATTTTTTAAAAGTGTGATAAATACTCGAGAAGAATCATATTTCATGACACTAAAATGACATGAAATTCAAATTTCAAGGTCTGTAAATAAAGTTTTATTGGAACACATCTATCCACTTACGCATTCACTCTGACTGCTTTACTGCCGCTGCGACAGGGTTGAGCAGTTGCCACAGACACGATGGTGACCGAGGCCTACAATAGTTTCTGTCTGGCTCTTCATGGGGTTTATTGATCCCTGCTTTCCACACGCTATGTCCCCTACCTGGGAAAGTGCAAAAAGTAAAAAAGCCTGAGTTTTGTTTTGTTTTGCTTTGTTTTTTTGAGACAGAGCCTTGCTCTGTCACCCAGGCTGGAGTGCGGTGGCGCGATCCCGGCTCACTGCAACCTCTGCCTCCCGGGTTCAAGCAATTCTCCTGCCTCAGCCTCCCGAGTAGCTGGGATTACAGGCGTGCATCACCACGCCCAGATAATTTTTGTATTTTTAGTGGAGACAGGGTTTCAACATGTTGGCCAGGCTGGACTCAAAGTCCTGACCTCAAGGGATCTGCCTGCCTCGGCCTCCCAAAGTACTGGGATTACAGGCGTGAGCCACTGTGCCCGGCCAAAAGCCTGAGTTTTTTATCTGTCCCTTTTGTCCTTCTGCAGACAGTGACTCAGCCACACTTCCTGCCCCCCCTCCATGTTCACTGGAGCTCCTCTGAGTCTGCGAAAGCTGTAGGTTAAAGGATGTCCCCTCGGAAGACTCCTCTGCATCTTTAACATGAGGCATGTGCTCTGAGTCCCCACAAGGGTGATGTCGAACACAGGGAGGCTTTTCCTGCGTTTGCTTGGTCCCAGCACCCTGTTCTCCTGTGTTTTTGAAAAAATTCTAAAATGTCTCAGATGGTAGTTAAGAGTTTGGGTCTGAGTCAGACCGTCAGACTGCAGAGCCCCCACCGCTCTGCCCCCACCTCCCCGACTCAGGCAGGTTGTTAAACCCTGGGTCTCCTGTTTCCTACTCTGGGGTTAATGTGGGTGCCTGTCTCCTGGGCTGCTGTGAAGATCCCATGTGGGGAGACAGGAAGAGGGCTGACCTCGGGCCGCCTGCAGCTGGTGCCTGGGGATGTCAGTGGTAGGCAGTGATGCTGTCATTTGCTACACCATAGCCAATCAGGAACCCACCGTGCACGGGACCTGCCTGTGCCCTGAGCTCAGCTGCTCTGTTACCCACCGTGGTGGGATGTGCTGCTGGTTTGTGCTGGGGTCCAGAGCAGGCAGTGGGCACGGTGGCCCCCAAGCCGTGTCTCCACAGGACTTGGATCAGGGCAGCTGGCCTTCTCTTTGCGATGATACCTCAGCTGAAATGGGAGGCTTGTCGGTGTCGACTGGACACAGGCAAAACAGGAAACTGGGTGTATTTTGACGAATCCTGTTATACTAGAAAATTGCCTCCTGCTGATTAAGATCTGTGTTTATTGGTGCAGAGTTTTAAGGAGACACCCAGATCTGCCCACCCTTGCCGGCTGGGGGCACAGGCAACCTGCTGGGTTTAGACAGTTGACTGTGGGCTGGCCTACTCCAAAAAAAGCACATCAATAAAACTTTCACAGTAAAGTTATATATTTTTCTTTTATTTCTTTGAACACCATTCATGTCAGACTTAGTGGGGTGGCATTTCTGTGTTTCCCTCACTTTTTGATATGGGCAAATGAATTTCTCCTTTTTTTTTTTTTTTTTGAGTCAGAGTCAGGGTGACAGGTTCTGTCATCCAGGCTGGAGTGTAGTGGTACCATCTTGGCTCACTGCAGCCTCTACCACCTGGGCTCAAGTGACCCTCCCACCTCAGCCTCCTGAGCAGCTGGAACTACAGGCATGTATCACCATGCCTGGCTAATTTTTTGTGTGTGTATATATATCTATATTTAATATAGATATATATTATATATTATATAAATATATTTATATTAAAATAATATATTTAATAAAAATATACTCTATATATATTTTTGTAGAAATTGGGTTTCACCATGTTGCCTAGACTGGTCTTGAACTCCTGGGCTCAAGCAGTCCTCCTGCCTCAGCCTCCCAAAGTGCTGGGATTATAGGTGTGAGTTACTGCACCTGGCCCATTTCTTCATTTTAAGTGAGGACCAGCCCATGCCAGATGTTCATTAAATAGCATGATTTCAACATTTATTTTTATGTATGTGAAAATAGGGTCAGGAATGACAAATTACTCGCCGAGCTTTGGGGATGGCAAGTCTGTCTGTCTTTGGGTCCAGGTCACTGGTGTGTGTCCTCAGGCAAGTTACTGAAGGGGTTGGAGTGCTCTGGGCCTCAGTTTCCCTCTCTGGTGGGTGGCTCAAGGCTCAGGACACTAGGATTGAGTGAGATCATGGCAGGAAGGGGCTCAGTCCTCACCTGCAGGGAACTCTCAGTAAACAGGGCTGCTCCTGGCTGCCTTGGGGGTCCAGTCTCGCTGCAGAGCCTCTTCTAGGCTCATCCGTGAACATGACAGTAGACCAATATCAATGGAGAACATGACAATGGCCTGATGATGTTTTAGTTCAGCAGCTGTAATTCATTGGAGATGCCTGGAAGTTTGTGACTAAATACAGCCCTCATATCCAAGACTATACACTTCCCTGAGTACCTTCACATTTCAAACATTATATGTATCTTATTTACTCAACTCCCATCATAGATTTTGAAAAGAATCCGGGACATTTGAAAAAGTGCGATGCAGTCACCCCTGCATCAGGGGTAGGCTAAAGACAGCAGGTAGGACAGACATTGGGTAGAGTGGGAATTACCTTTGAATTTCCATGGGAAGCTGTTTCGTTATGCAGTATCTCCATATGGCTGAGTTCCTTCTCCCAGTTTCTCTCCCAGTGTTGCAGCAGATCACTGCTTCTTCCGTTGCACATGGGATGAAATAATCTGCTTGAGTGTAGGACCTGTATCATACCAAAACACTTGCCTTCAAACACTAGAAGGTAAGAAGTTTGGTATGATACAGGTCCTACACTTAAGGACCCTCTGGGTGTTATACTTACACTTAAGGACCTATAACACCCTCTGGGACAGCAGATACTATAAGAGATACACATCCTAATGGCCACTACCTGCTTCTGTGGAGAGGAATGGTGTTTCATTTAGAACTCGTTCAGCAGTCAGCCGGGCGTGGTGGCTCATGCCTGTAATCCTAGCACTTTGGGAGGCCGAGGCGGGCAGATCATGACATCAGGAGATCAAGACCATGCTAGCTAACACGGTGAAACATCGTCTCTACTAAAAATACAAAAAAAAATTAGCTGGGCGTGGTGGTGGGCACCTGTAGTCCCAGCTACTCAGGAGGCTGAGGCAGGAGAATGGCGTGAACCCAGGAGGCGGAGCTTGCAGTGAGCCGAGATCACACCACTGCACTCCAGCCTGGGGGACAGAGTGAGACTCTGTCTCAAAAAAAACAAAACAAAACAAAACAAAACAAAAACAAAAAACTCATTCAGCTGCAGTTCACAGAACACCTGCCTAGCATGGCTTCAGCACAAAAACATGTCATTATCTCCCCTAATAGCAAGTCTTCAGGGAGATGAGTTCACGTTTGCAGGGGCAGCTCAGTGATACTGTCCAAGCATCCATGAGCTTCCCACCTCCCCCTACCACCATCCTCAAATTCCTCATGTCTCTTACCTCATGCTTACAAAATGGCTGCTGCCGCCCCAGCCAGTTCATCCTCATGCAATCTCACATTCAAGGCAGGAGGATGGGGAATGGCACAAAGAGCTCTCCTTGCCTGCCTGCCTACCTCTTGGTTTCCTAGAAGTTCCTTGGAAGACTTCTCCTTGTCTCTTGGGCTAAACTGTGTGTAAGCCCCTGTCTTGTTACTTCGAGGGAGGGTGTGAATGTATGCAGCTGGCATCTGGCCAGCACAGTGGGAGGCAGGGGAGGGAAAAGTGGGTTGGCAGTGGTTGTTGGGTGGCCACATTCAAATGATTGAAATGGTTTCTCTCTCCCTCTTTGTCGTTGTTTCCTGTGTTGTATACAGTTAGATTTACAAAAGTTATTTGTACATGTGATGTGGTTCCACTGTATGCACATATAAATAGAGGCCCTAAGCAAGCTTCCAAAGCCTCCAGATGATAGTGTTCCACTGTGAATATATACAGAAGGTTGGTTGCACATTGACATTAATTTAACCAGACCCTCTGTAGCTCATAGAAAGATTTTAGTTATTCTTTAAACTCAAACCTACCTACAGGTAGGTACATTA
Organism: Homo sapiens; assembly: GCF_000001405.40. Lineage (NCBI taxonomy): Eukaryota > Metazoa > Chordata > Mammalia > Primates > Hominidae > Homo > Homo sapiens. Next base: position 57,248,002 of record NC_000020.11, on the reverse strand, counting down.
GCTCTAACTTTGAGGACTATATAGAACTCTAGCCAACAGCCAGTTGTTTGCTGAAAACAAGCTTTGTTTTATTAACATAACCCTCCTGATCTCCTGAGATAGGGGCAAAATTTCTTGAAAATGACCCGAGGAGGTCAGGAATTATTGTCCCCTGGGAGGAAGCAGAGGCTGGGGTGGAGCTTGGTTTGAGTTCTGCTTGTGGGACAGGCGGCTCCTGTTTCCCCTGAGTGGAGGATGAACAGAGCAAGAGACTCAAAGCATTTTAAGAATCTGTGTCAGTGTTTGTTAGCCAAGGGTGGAGAGCTGCTTGAAAGAAACGCCTGCCTGCCCTGGTGGAATGGTGGAACCTCATGCTTACACTGGGAGCCTGATCAAATGTTTTCTAGTAAAGGGTTCTGGGCACCTATATGCCTTCTGCTTATTCCCGTGGGAGACTAACGTGATAGGGTCTGGGTGCCTCCTTAAGCCCGTTGGTTGGAGGAGATGATTAGGGGAGAAGCTGAGAGGTGGTTCTGAAAAATATTTTGCTTTCTATTAAATGGCTGCTGAGCAAACGGAACTCTCTGTTCTCGTCCCCATTGTCTTGCCTTGAATGTGGTTTTGTGAAGACATGTTGCTTGGAACCACAGCAGCCATCTTGTGACTGTGGGACAAGAGGCCTAAGAATTAAGTCAACATGCAGACAATGATGGAGCAAAGAAGACAGAAGAAATTGGGGTTCTTAGTCATATGTTTGAACTACTACATTCAACTACAATTGTTGGGGGGAGGCTCTTAAGCAGTTTGAATCACATGTTCACTCATGAATCAGTTGGGTCTAGAGGGTAGACCAGGCTGCATCAACACAGTTGCTGGAGTCAGCCTCTGGCCCTTTGTGCCTGGGCTGGGGTGTGGAGGTGTGTCTACTATCTGATTACAGCTATGTTAGCCATTGTAATAATCATCCCAGTAGTGAACATTTGTCAAAGGCTTACTATGTGCCAAGCACCCTTTGTCCTCTTTTGGTTTTTTTTTGAGATGGAGTCTCGCTCTGTCACCCAGGCTGGAATGCAGTGGTACAATCTTGGCTCACTGCAACTTCTGCCTTCTGGGTTCAAGTGATTCTCCTGCCTCAGCCTCCTGAGTAGCTGGGAGTACAGGCACGTGCCACCATGCCCGGCTAATTTTTGTACTTTTAGTAGGGATGGAGTTTCACCGTGTTGACCAGGCTGGTCTTGAACTCCCAACCTCAGGTGATCCGCCCACCTCGGCCTCCCAAAGTGCTGGGATTACAGGCATGAGCCACCGCACCCAGCCTGTCCTCTTTAGTTAATATTAACATATTTAATTTTCATGACAGCCATTTCAGGTGGGGCAGTTATTATCACCCCTATTTTACAGAGCAGATAAATGAGCAGAGAGCGGTAGTTGGCCCAAGACCACATACCCAGTTAAGCATCATTGGATTTGGAGATCCAGTTCCTGGAGACTTCCCTCTTACACTTGATCCTGAACTGCTTCTCAAGCCTGAAGGATAGGTTTGGAGCAGGCCAGTCAACAGCATTGCTAATTGGAGAGTCTCACATGAGGGCAGGAGGAAGACACATAGGGGTTTTACAGTTATGTGTGTCAGGCCTAATGCCCTGTATCTTTGCTTATCAAAGTTTCTGAAAACCAGGATGTATTTAAATTGATTAAGATATTGGTATATTTTCCCAAAGAGCTTCTGTTGAATTGATTGTGCCTCTTAGTATGGTGACAAGCGTGTGTTGAGTAGACCTGGCAATGGGTAAAGCTAACAACACTTATTATGAATAAAACTGCTAATTGAGTTTTAATGAAACTGCTTATTGAGGTGTAACGTGTGCAGAACAGCACAGAAATCAAGAGCACTTGTGAGTGTTTACAAGGCAATCACACAGGGTAACCAGTGTGTAGATCAAGAAGCAGAAGCGACCAGAACCCCCTCGTACTTGTACCCAGCGGTAACTATTGTCCTGTTTTCTAATAGCATAAATTAACCTTGCCTGTTTCTAAACTTTATATAAATTTAATTGTACAATAATACTGTTAAATCACTAACCATGGCCGGGCATGCTGGCTGACGCCTGTAATCCCAGCACTTTGGGAGGCTGAGGCGGGCAGATCATGAGGTCAGGAGATCGAGACCATCCTGGCTAACACGGTGAAACCCCATCTCCACTAAAAATACAAAAAATCAGCTGGGCGTGGTGGCGGGCGCCTGTAATCGCAGATACTCGGGAGGCTGAGGCAGGAGAATGGCGTGAACCCAGGAGGCGGAGGTTGCAGTGAACCGAGATCACGCCACTGCACTCCAGCCTGGGTGACAGAGCAAGACTCTGTCTCAAAAAAAAAAAAAAAAAAAAATCACTAATCACAGGAGCAATGATTTGGAAAGAAGACCCCAAGTAGAACTTTTTGGAGTCTGTTTGCAACTCTTCCAGTTACATTTCATATAGGATACAAAATGTAATTTAAAAACCATTCTCTGGGCCCCGTAGGGTGCCTCATGCCTGTAATTCCAGCACTTTGGGAGGCTGAGGCAGGAGGATCACTTGAGCTCAGGAGTCCAAGGCTTCAGTGAGCTGTAATTACATCACTGCACTCCAGTTGGGAGTGACAGAGTGAGACCCTATCTCTATAAAAAATAAAAATTAAAAAAAAACACCACTTTTTTGTTTTGATCTCATATTCTCCTGCTTCCCACACCGGAAAGAGGTTTAAAGGACAACCATGCAATTTGAAGGGTGTTTTGATCGTTTAGCTTAGGGATTTAAGTTTGAGTTCTTACAATGTGAACTTGAAATGAGTGAGGCTCTTCAAGATTTCCAGTTCCCACCAAATCTGCCCCATCAGCCCCTGGGGCGGCTTTTGTACGTCTCTGCACCTTCCTGTTTTCAGAAATGAAGCTGATTACTGTGGTCCAGGGACAGAGTGTGGCTTTAAAGAAGACTCTTATTTTGAAAGGGAGACAGGGGCTGGGCATGGAGGAAAGGCAGAACCATCTTTTCCTTCACTGCACCTGCATCTCCTGGGCCTAATGAGTTTAGGCTGATGGAACCCAGGCCTCAGGAAGGATTATAAATTCTCATTTGATTTGATTTGCCTCTAAAATACCTTAAACCAGCTGTGTCTGCCCAGCTGACCCAAGCCTCTCTGGCTGCTCTGGGGGGAAGGTCTGAGCAGGCTCCTCCTGTCCTGGGGAAGGGAGGGAGGACGGCAGCTTCACTTCCCCCACCTGGCTGCTCTTGGGGCCTGCTCTGGCCTGGCTGGGAGCAGGCAAGGCACAGGTCTCTGCTGCCCTCCCTGGTGGCCAGCCTCCATGTCCTTGAATTCTCCCAACAGCCCCAGAACTGGGGGCCTCTGCCTGTCCCCATTTTATAGAGAGAAAAAGTTGAGCCTTCCAGAGGTGGGTTAACTTGTCCTGGGTCACTGCTGGTGATTGGCAGAGCCTGCGTGTGAACCAGACCTCCAGGCCCCATGGCCCACGCTCAACCCCAGTTCTCTCCTGCATCCTGGGCTGAGTAAGGCTAAGGAGCCGGTGTCTTCCTCCTGATTTGCTCACGGGGAGAGTTTCAAAACCCACTTCACTAAGTCTCCGGAGAAGCTGCTGAGTGCCCAGCAAGTGAGCGTGGGAGGTGGTGTGTGAACAGTGCTAAGCAACAGAGCAATCAGAGCGAATAGCTTCCAAGACTATTACATGTGCCAGGCACTCCATGGACACTCTCCTTTCCTCTGGTTCTCAAAGTGGGGTTTCTAGACCTGCATTATCACCATCACCTGGGCATGTGTTAGACATTCATGCTCTTGGGCCCACCCTAGATCACCCACCTTAGACATGCTGGAAGTGGGGCCCAGTGGCCTGTGCTGTAATAAGCTCGCGTGTGACTCTGGGCATCCTGAAGGTGGAGCATGCCTGGTCTACTTTACTCCTGGGCTTTAACTGGCAGCCCAGTGGAGTCAGTGCTATTACTACACCTGCATTTCACAGAAGAGGAGTGACGCGCCCCAGCAAGTGGCAGAGCCGAGACTCGCCCTCTCGCCCGGCTCTGCTCTGGAAACCTCCTGAGTCCTGCTCCTTTGCTCAGTTCTTACTTTCCTGGAGTTAAAATCTAGAAGAGAGGACAGTGGAGAAACAGGTCAGCAGGTCTCTCACCAAAATAATCCCAGTAGTTAGGCTATGGGAGGGAAATGAAAGGGGCTGAGAGGGAAGGAGGCCCAGGGAGAGTGTCAGTGGGGGTGAGACCAACTCAGCCGTGGGGAGGGGCTGCGGTGCCCGGGCAGGCCTGGAGCAAAGCCTCTGCGGTCGTGAACTTGGCACGTCTAACAATTACCAGCAGGATACCACTCGCCAGGTGCTTGGTGGGGAGTGTTTGCTCCCTAGGTGACCCCATGAGCAGAGTGAGGATCCTTGTACCTGTTCAACAGCCCCCATCCCAGGCCTCAAACCCGTAAGTCAGGAGTTAAATTCCTGAATTTCTCACACTGGGAACGCCATTTCATTAATTTTTTTAATTATTTTTTTTTTAGGGCAGAGTCTTGCTGTGTCACCCAGGAGTGCAGTGGTACGATCTCAGCTCACTGCAACCTCTGCCTCCTGGGTTCAAGCGATTCTTGTGCCTCAGCCTCCTGAGTAGCTGGGAGAACAGGAATGCACCACCACGCCTAGCTAATTTTTGTATTTTTAGTAGAGACAGGGTTTTGGCATATTAGCCAGGCTGGTCTCCCGGACTCAAGTGATACACCTGCCTCGACCTCCCAAAGTGCTGGGATTATGGGCGTGAGCCACCAATCCCACAGTTTTAAAGAAAAACTTTCTCCTACATCTCTGAGAACATAGTCGGGGACCCTCATTTGCAGTGGCCCCCTGCAAACCCTTGGTGCTACAAAGCAGTGTGGGCGACAGCACCTCTTCAATGATGGGGACACCTGTGATCTGGGCTGTCCACTAGGAAGGCCATGAGCCACATACAGCTGTTTAGATTTTATTTTATTTTTTGAGATGGAATTTTTGCTCTGTTGCCCAGGCTGGAGAGCAGTGGCACCATCTTGGCTCACTGCAACCTCCGCCTCCTGGGTTCAAGTGATTCTTGTGCCTCAGCCTCCCGAGTATCTGGGATTACAGGCACGTGCCACCATGCCTGGCTAATTTTTGTATTTTTAGTAGAGACGATGTTTCAGCATATTGGCCAGGCTGGTCTCAAACTCCTGACCTCAAGTGATCCACCCACCTTGCCCTCCCAAAGTGCTGGGATTACAGGCATGAGCCACTGTGCCTGGCAGCTGTTTACATTTAAATTAATTACAATGAAATACAATTAAACATTCAGATCTCAGTCACGGAAGCCACATTTCAAGTGCTCAGTAGCCCCACGTGTCTCAGTGTGCTTTACCAGACAGCACAGATAGAGCCTCCAAGCTGCCCCGAGGTGTTAGGGTGAACCCCATACAGGTCAAAACTGGTAGAGTATCAGCAGCTTTTTACATGGTACAGTCTAATAGGCGAGAAAAGGGACTTCAGAGAAATTCAGTCCTTTCCTTTGTTATGGGAGGAAACTGAGGCCCAGTGAGCCTGGGGTTATACCAGCCAGCTCACAGCTCAGATGAGGCCAAACCCCAGGTTTCTTGACCCTCTTGAGCTCTGCCTGTCTGTCGGTCCAGATCAAGGACTCTCAACTCAGCACTAGTCACATTTGGGGTTGGATGGGGGACCATCCTGAGCATTGTGAAATGTTTAGCGGTGTCCCTGGTCTGTACCCAGTACATGCCAGGAGCACCCCCTCCTAAGTTATGACAACCAAAAATGACTCCAGACAATGCCCAGGGTGCCTTCATGGGAGTGAGGGGAGGACAAAGTCAGCTCTGGCTGAGAATCACTGGTTCTTTTCCCTCAATTTCAATGAGCTGAGGATGGGGTTGGAACCCAGACATCCCTGGAGACTGCGTTCCTCCCTCTGGGAGGTGGGAAGCCGTAGGCCAGGGGGCTGTCTGGGTCTATAGTAGAAAGAGCAACATGTGCTTGCGGCCCATTTTTCTTTTCAGCTCTACGGGCATCTGGGTCTTTTTAGGCAAAGAACTGGCCTCAGCTCTAGAGATAATTAAACCCATCTTTTTTCCCTCTCCCTGCCCCATCCCCTAAACCCTTTGGTTCATTCAATTCACAATGATAACATTGTTCAAGCAACACTGCACACATGTTGACATTGAAGTGTTTAATCTTGTGGTACAATCATTCCCTCTGGCCCCTACCCCAACATCTGTGCAGGCTGCAGGCTCAGGGCTCATGACAAGAGGATGGCCAAGGAGATGCCTGCCTGTGGTCTCGCCTCCAGGTCTCATGTCTCTGGACGCAGCCCCCCAGCACCTAACAAGGAGGCAGTGTCTCCAAAGACCCTCTTGGAGAGCCAGGCGGGTAGGACTCCAGGTGGTATTGCTGGCAGCTGAAGCATTTGGTGGAAAGTTCGAGAGTTGAAGCAGTTCAGGAACAGGGGAGACAATGCTGCCTGTGTGCCCTTTGCCAGGCAGGGCCCTGCCCCCCAATCTGGGGGCCTGGGGAGGGGTAATGAGGAGATGGGTGAATGCTACAAAACCTTCAGGCTGTCAGCCTCCCTCCCTCAAGGACTGGCATTAGGCAGGAGCAAAATTTACAAGTCTGAGAGGGAGCTGAGTCGGATGCAGAACCTTCACTTTGAGTTTAGCTTTGGAGATTTATGTGGCGAGTGCATCGAGTGTGCCAAGAGCAGAGCATGGTTCAGCTCAGAGCTGTCCTTATTGAATCGTTGCCACAGCTAAGAGGTCACTGGCAGCTCCCATGTGAGGAAGAGAGTTGGTATGGCTGAGTGGGGAAGAGTACGGGCCTTTAAAGATTCAGATCAGCTGTGTGACCCTGGGCAAGAGTCAGTCTGAGCCTCAGTGTCCTCATCTGGAAAGTGAGCACGATGTGTCCCCCTGCCTCTGAGAGGGGTTTTCATAAGGATTCAGTGAGATGATATATACATGTGAAGTGGCAGCCAGGCCAGTGGGAGGGCTTCTAAAATGCTGGCTGCCCACCTCACAGCCATCAGGATGGTCACTGATATGGTTTGGCTGTGTCCCTACCAAATCTCAACTTGAATTGTATCTCCCAGAATTCCCACGTGTTGTGGGAGGCACCCAGGGGGAGGTAATTGAATCATGGAGTCCAGTCTTTCCCATGCTGTTTTGGTGATAATGACTAATTCTCACAAGATCTGATGGTTTGATCAGGGGTTTCCACTTTTGCATCTTCCTCATTTTCTCTTGCTGCTGTCATGTAAGAAGTGCCTTTCACCTCTTGCCATGATTCTGAGGCCTCTCCAGCCATGTGGAACTGTAAGTCCAATTAAACCTTTTTCTTCCCAGTCTCGGGTATGTCTTTTTCAGCAGCATGAAAATGGACTAATACATTAATTGGTACCAGTAAAGTGGGGCATTGCTGAGAAAATACCCAAAAATGTGGAAGTGACTTTGGAACTGGCTAACAGGTAGAGATTGGAACAGTTTGGAAGACTCAGAAGAAGATAGGAAAATGTGGAAAAGTTTGGAATTGCCCAGAGACTTGTTGAATGGCTTTGCCCAAAACGCTGATAGTGATATGGACAATAAAATCCAGGCTGAAGTGGTCTCAGATAGAGATAAGGAACTTGTTGGGAACTGGAGCAAAGGTGACTCTTGTTATGTTTTAGCAAAGAGCCTGACGGCATTTTTTCCCCACCCTAGAGATTTGTGGAACTTTGAATTTGAGAGAGCTGATTTAGGGTATCTGGTGGAAGAAATTTCTAAGCAGCAAAGCATTCAAGAGGTGCCTTGGGTGTGTTAAAGGCATTCACTTTTAAAAGGGAAACAAAGCATAAAAGTTCAGAAAATTTGCAGCCTGGCTATGCGATAGAAAAGAAGAATCCATTTTCTGGGGAGAAATTCAAGCTGGCTACAGAAATTTGCATAAGTAGCAAGAAGCCTAATGTTAATCCTCAAGACCATGGGGAGAATGTCTCCAGGCCATGTCAGAGACCTTCATGGCAGCCCCTCCCATCACAGGCCTGGAGGCCCAGGAGGAAAAAGTGGTTTCATGGGCCAGTCTCTGGGTCCCCCTGCTGTGTGCACCCTAGGGACTTGGTGGCCTGTGTCCCAGCCACTCAAGCCATGGCTGAAAGGGGTCAATGTACAGCTTGGGCTGTGATTTCAGAGGGTAGAAGCCCCAAGCCTTGGCAGCTTCCATGTGGTGTTGAGCCTGTGGGTGCACAGAAGTCAAGAATTGAGGTTTGGGAATCTGCACCTAGATTTCAGAAAATGTATGGAAATGCCTGGATGCCCAGGCAAAAGTTTGCTGCAGGAGTGGGTCCCTCATGGAGAACCTCCGCTAGGGCAGTGGGGAAGGGAAATGTGGAATTGGGACTCCCACACAGAGTCCCTAGTGGGGTGCAGCATAGTGGAGCTGTGAGAAGAGGGCCACTGTCCTCCAGACCCCAGAATGGTAGATCCAACAGCTTGAACCGTGTGCCTGGAAAAGCCATGGTCACTCAACGTTCAATGCCAGCCCATGAAAGCAGCTGGGAGGGAGGCCGTACCCTGCAAAGCCACAGGGGTGGAGCTGCCTAAGACCATGGGAAGCCACCTCTTGCATCAGTGTGGCCTGGATGTGAGACCTGGAGTCAAAGGAGATCATTTTGGAGCTTTAAAGTTTGAGAGCCCTGCTGAATTTCGAACTTGCATGGGCCCTGTAACCCCTTTATTTTGGCCAATTTCTCCCATTTGGAATGGCCGTATTTACCTGATACCTGTACCTCCATTGTATCTAGGAAGTAACTAGCTTGCTTTTGGTTTTAGAGGCTCATAGGCAGAAGGGACTTGCTTTGTCTCAGATGAGACTTTGGACTGTGGACTTTTGAGTTAATGCTGAAATGAGTTAAGAATTTGGGGGACTATTGGGAAGGCATAGGTGGCTTTGAAATGTGAGGATATGAGATTTGGAGGGGCCAGGGGTGAAATGGGTTTGGCTGTGTCCCCACCAAATCTCAACTTGAATTGTATCTCCCAGAATGCCCATGTGTTGTGGGAGGGACTCGGGGGAGGTAATTGAATCATGGGGGTAGGTCTTTCCTGTGCTATTCTCATGATAGTGAATCTCACAAGATCTGATGGGTTTATCAGGGGTTTCAGCTTTGCTTCTTCCCCATTTTCTCTTGCTGCTGCCATGTAAGAAGTGCCTTTTGCCTCCCGCCATGATTCTGAGGCCTCCCCAGCCATGTGGAGCTGCAAGTCCAATTTAACCTCTTTTTTTTTTTCCTGGTCTCGGGTATGTCTTTGTCAGCAGCATGAAAACAGACTAATACAGTCACCATCAAACAAAACAAAACAGAACAGAAAATCACAATGGTGGTGGACATGTGGAGAAATTGGAACCCTTCCCGACTGCCGGCGGGAAGGTAAAATGCTGTAGCCACTATGGAAAACAGAATGGTGCTTCCTCAAAAATATTGAAAATAGAGCTACAATGTGACACAGCGATTTCATTTCTGGGTATGTCCCTGAAAGATTTGAAAGCAGGATCTCCAAGAGATATTTGCACACCCATAGTCACAGCAGCATTACTCGCAATCACAAAAATGTGGAAGCTGCATACCATTCAGGGATGAATAAACAAAATGTGGCCCATCCATACAGTGGAATATTATTCAGCCTTAAAAAGGAAGGACATTCTGACAGGCTACAGCACGGATGAAACTTGAAGACATTTTGTTAAGTGAAATAAGCCGGTCACAAAAGGACAAATACTGTGTGATTCCATTTATAGGTGTTGCCCAAAGCAGTCAGATTCATAGAGACAGAAAGTAGAAGGGTGGGTGCCTGGAGCTGGAGGAGGGAGGAAGAAAGGGGAGTTAGTGTTTAATGGGGACAGAGTTTTGGCGTTGCAAGATGAAAAAAGTCCTGGAGACTGGATGTGCAAGAATGGTATCCCGTGTGTTTAAAATGACTGAACTGTACACGTAAAAGTGGTTAGGATGTTAAATTGTATATTCTGTGTATTTTACCACAATTAAAAATAAAAGTTTTAAAAAATGGTGGCTGTTTACCTGGCTTAGGTGTTCCATAGGTTGTCAGGGCTGCAATCTAAGTGAGCTTCTATGAACTACTCTTCTACAGTACAACTGACGGCTCTCACGTCCATGCTGGGGCAGCCAGAAAGTCCTTGTTGAATGAGTACAGTGGAGGTGTTATCTGAACAATGTGTATCATTGTCAACTTCTAGGCGATGTTCTGTTTCTCTGGGCATAGAGCATTCTCCTCCCTTCTCCCAAGAGCTGTGTGTGTCAGTGTGGCCTCTCCAGGCTGCTCATGTTATTAAGAGAACATTTTCCTGTTAGAGTAGTCAGGTATGTCTGTTCCACTTTCCAGAATTCCCAATTTATTGCATGCCTCTGGCGGCTTTTTCAAGCTCCTTAATCTTGCCATGTAAATCTTTGAATGAATGAATGAAGAGCCATCATCAAATTTCACATCCCTGAAACTGTGGGTCGTAAACTGCCTCCTAACAGCAGCCGGGATAAGTCAGCTCCAGTGAGTTCTGGTGTGTGCCAGAACCTTCCAGATGAGCTGTAGCCCTCCAGGGAAAGAGCGAGCCAGGGTTGGTAGTTTCAGAGTTAAATGGGTACCGGGGACGTTCCGGGATATGGGGCCCTGAGCAGTCCTCGGGTCTGTGAAAACCCAGTTCTGACTTCTGGTTATAATGTGGACTTCGATTAGTTCTTTTAGCCCCTTGAGCTTCATCCTCATTAAAGTGGGGTGTGGGGGTCTGTCCCCGGCCCCTAACTGGAGCTGAAGAATGCTTTGGACTAGTCTGTGCTCACAGAAACCAGACTCTGAGTGAGGAACATGGAATTCTAATGCTGGACTTGTGGTTTTTGCCTGGAAAGCATCCCTTTGCTCATAAAATATTTGTTCCTGCCTCATAGTTTAGCGGCATCTTTGGGGGCAGTGAGAGGGCCGCATAGTCTGGAAGGTTAACCAAATTTTTTCTGAAGACCATAAAGTTTTGGAAGGAGCTGCTGGGTGATTATTTACTATCCATTTATCAACTCTTTCCAGCCCTGGCTGGGAGAACGTCTTCAGGAGGAAATGAAGGCGGCTTTGCCTGGGCTGACGGTTCCCCTTTTCATGGATACAAATATCTTTCATGTGCAACTGGCCACAGTCTTGCTCGTCAGGTGTTTTTTTTTTTTTTATGCATGGCTGTCCCCATGAGAGCTGCTTCCTGAGGTCTCTGAGCAACCAGTGACCAAATCCAGTGAATGGTCCCTGGAAGAGGGGTCTCCCTGCCCCCTTTCTCTGAATCTGGCCACTGTTGCGCCATCTTGCCCTGCCAGTCCTCTGGTCCTTCCCTTCCTTTGGACCAAGTCCTTCTGGTGGCATCGTTCTCCCCCTCCCAGGTAGCCCCAAATATTGATCCAAGGCCATGCTAGTCTTTCTCATCATAAATGCATTTTTCGTGCATAACTTTATCCATAAACCCAATTCAACAGCTCCCAGCTTGAGCATTCTTGCCAGGGTTATCTAAACCTCTTTTTCCAACTGTCCAGTTGAACATTCTGCAGGTCATCTCAAGTTTCACCTGTCTGCAGCCACACGTGTTTCTTCCCTACCACTTCACCTCCTGAGCGCTCTCTCCTGTGTTGATATCTACTGATGGTGTTATCGCCCTCCTGGCATTCCAGGCCGGCAGTGGGCAGCATCCTCTAGTTCCCCCTCTTCATATGCTTGCTTTTAATCAATTGTCTTGTTCCTTCCCCTAGAGAAGCACTTCTGGTCCATTACACTTCTGGGGTCCTGACAAGAGATGGAAAATGCTGACATCTTTTCTCTTGAGCCAGTCAAGATTGATAGTGGCTGCCTGGGTGCCAGAATTAAGAAAGGAGTGTTGCCATTGTTTAGTGATGCCTACCTCGGGTGCCAGGAGGGAGGAGGAGGGTGCATGTACTGGGTATGCATCATCTCTGATCAGAGCCTCCTCTGAGCTCCCTGCCTCTGTCCTCACTCCCTGCCTCTGTCCTCACTCCCTGCCTCTGTCCTCACTCCCTATAATCCACTTTCCACAGGGTCACCAGTCCTCTATCTAAAATAGATCTGGTCAGGGCACTGCTTTGTGTCTAACAAGGGACCAAGCCATCATGGTTGATGACATCAATGATCAACCCCTTAGCTTGACATTCAAGCATTTTCCCAATGAGGAATTTGTTGCTTTTTTCTTGTCGTTCTCAGCAAACTTCTTACCTAAACTCCCCAGCATGCCCTGTTTCTTGTCTGTCGAGCCCTCGATCATGCTGTTGCCTCTGCCTACAGTGCCCTTCCTTGTCCTCTGGGACTAGTGGGCCTCCGTTCTTCCTTAAGAGTCCATTCAGCACCTCTCCTGGAAGAACCCTCACCTGCAGAGCTGCCTCGTACCTGAACGCAGGCACTGGGATTTGCCAAAGTCAACAAAAATGAATGATCTCTTTAGGGACTGTGTCTCCTTTGGCCTCATACCCTGTTTCCCCAAAATTGTTGACATGGAAACAGTCAGATGTGGAACTAAAGTTGAACGTGCCTACCCTCTGACCCAGAAATCCTGCTTCAAGACATTTACCCAGTGGACACGTGTTCACCAAAAGCCATGCACAAGAGTATGCATTGCAGCACAGCTTGTCTCAAACTGTAAACTCTCCAATGGCTCAAACTGGAAACTCCCCAAATGACTATAAAAAAATGAGTTGTGTCCTATTCATACGATAGGGTTCTAGACAGCAGTGGGAATGCATGGACCACTGGTACACAGAACCACATGAGTGAGGCTGTGGAAGGCTGCAGACACAGAAGAGAACACATCTGTGATTCCATAGTCAGGTCTCATGGAGGCAGAGCCAGTCCGTGGTATTGGGTGTTAGGAAGGCAGTCAGCCTTAGGGGAGGAGGGACTGGTGTTTGGGAGGGACCCCTGTCGGGACGACTTCGGAGCTGGTAATAAATGTTTTGTGTCCTGCCCTAGGTGCATTCACGTTGTGGAAATTCATCACACTTCGTGAATGCTTGTCTGTGTGCCTTACTGTGTGTACGTTATCAACAAAGTAGTTTACTTAAACTAGAAAGGAATTGCGTGAAGAGTAATGTGTTCAATGCAGAAGATTTATGAGGCCCTGCTAAGCATCAGGCTGTGGAGGGCATGCGATCCAGAGCTGAGACAGTCATGGGCCCTGTTCTTACAGAGCTCAGTCAAGGGGGATGCCTTACATTTGGGAATGATCCAAGTCTGAAGAAAGCGGTTTTCATGGTGAATGGTCATCTGGAGAGAACACAGCTACTGGGAGTGTTTCCTGCCCATCCATTTCCACTTCTGGGTGTGTATACAATTGGGCTTGTGTGTGTTTTGCTCAGAACTGCCTTGGTTGCAGTCAGGCAGCAGTCTGACTAGAGTTAGCTTAAAGGGGACTTCTTTGAAGCATCTCAACGTAACTCATAGATTGGAAGAGCTGAAACCCCAAACTTCAGGAAGGGCAGGGACTACCAGACCAGGGGATCAACCCAGCAGGTCTCTCTCCTCAATTCCAACCTCAGTCCTCCGTGCTTGGAAGCTTCTTTCTCACAGACCAGCCTTCCCTGCAAGGTGCTGGCAAGGGGCTTCCCAGAGCACTGGATTACATCCTTAGAGATCAAGGCGGGGAGAGCGAACAGGGGCTCTTTCATACCAGGTTCCAATAAAAATAAAAGAAGGCCTATGTGTGGCCAAGGTTAAGGCTGGCTTCCTCCCATCCCTCAACTGGGGAGAAGAGGGTCATGGAACAAGATGGTGGCTCCCTTGGAGTCCCATGGCTCAACTGGGACAGTGATGATGGACTCTCCAAGAGAGACAGATACACGAGGGATGGGAGTGGGGGTGGGGGGACATGGGCAAGGCTCCTTAACAGTTGTGCATTGTAATGAGCCATGCCCCAACTTTGCTCATCCTGATGAGCTATGCCCAGCACAAAATCATCCCTCAGGAAGCAGGAGAAATATATCTTCTGTATCTGTTTTCTCGTGTTTGTAACAATGTATTGTGTTCGTTTAGTTTTGTGCATTATGATGTACGACTGTACATATGCATATATTTGGGTTCATACCCCTAATTTTTAGGGTGTTAAATACTGTCCCACGGCTCTGAATACTGCAGGTTCTGTTTAAGCACCAGCTGCCCTTTGCAAGTCTACAGAGTGGGTTGCCAATTTCTTTGGTTGTGGCCCTCCCTTTGTATCAGACAACTATAACTTAGTGAGGGGTTTGCCTGAGTATGTCTCATAACTGTAGGTGGGAGGAAGAACCCCAGATGTTAGGGAGAGGCAAGGTACTCCTGAGTGATGCCGGGGGCAGGTGTGACTCCCATCTGGGACAGAAGTCTTCCCTGGCATGGCAGAGGATCATGAAGGGGGGGCGCCCAGGTGGGCAGCTTCTTGTTCCTACCTGGCCTCTAACCCATTATTGACACCTTCCAGCCCAGAATTTCCCCTCTTAGGGCTGGTTTTGGGGCTATTTCGGGTTTTTGTAAAAGGAAGACACTGGACTTGTCTTTGGGACAGTGATGGGTCTGCTTGCTGTCAGGATGGTGTTTTCTGGAATCCATTTTCTTTGGACTTATCTTTTGGTCTTGGGGATTTAGGCCCTTTTAATTTTTTGAAGATGAAAGTCCTTTGTTAATGCCTGTAAGCTCTCTCAGCCCTTGGGGTGCTGGGATGTAACTGGAGGTAGAGGGAGGAAAAGCTGGAATCCTAGGCTCTGGGCTTCCTTAGGAAGCTTTTCTCTGTGGGCATGGGGAGATGTCAACTCTAGACATTTAGTTTAAAACTCAAGTCTTGGGTAATCAACTATATACAGTAACTTTAGAAGAAAGTATAAAGACATATTTTCACCTGAAAAATACATGCAAGCTTCTACCTCTTGTAGTGGTAACAATTCAATTATCTTGATACTTGAGTTGAAATGGTGTAGATTTCACACTGTGGAGTGGCTTCCATAGAAAAGGGAAACCTTGGAAAGATGAGATTTGGAAGTTGGTTTGGACTTTGAATTATCCACTGCTTATTTGTGTGTGTGTGTGTGTGTGTGTGTGTGTGTGTGTGTGTGTGTGTGTACTTCATGACTGTTCTTTCTTTGATAATGGATACAAAATTATTTTCAGAACATGTGACAATGTGGGTTTCAGGGAGAATAGAGTAACATTGTCGTTCCTGCTTCTCATAGTCTCCAACTAATTAATGAAGGAAATCCTCTCAGAAAGCCATACCAAAGAGCCCACAAATGTTTGCAAGAAATTTAGTTCCTCACTTTATCCCTGAGTTTCTTTTTAGAAAAGAACCTTGTAACTCTGATACCTTAACAGTTAAGATACAGTTCATCTTCTATATTAAAAACAGTTGTACCTGCAGCTGTTGTAACAAACCTTGTGTTTGTGATTATGTGTCAGTGTTTTCTTTCTTCATTGGGCATGACTCTAATGATTGTACCTGTGTTTATGTCATGCTTATTCAAACGTATCTTTATTGTTCGGTCTATTGCACTTTTTTTTTCAAATGTAATCATAAGTGCACTGTGTAAATGCCCACAGCACATGTTGCTTCTTCTGCATTGATTGTCATTCTTCTGGCTCATTGTTTTAGAGGCCCTGTAACAATGGCAGACTCAAATGGCTCACCTGTGGCTTTCTCCTGTCAGCAAATGGCTTCTGTAATCTTCCCAACAACTCCATGAGAAAGGGCCATTGTTACTATCTCCAGGGGGAGGGGAACACACAGGGATTAAGTAGATTGGGGAAGGTCACACAGCTGGTAAGTGGCACAGCCAAGATCAAACTCAGGCCACCTGGCTCTAGAGAGTGTGAAGGTCAAGAGGGTGAGCTTTGGAGTTCAGCCGCTCACCTGATTTGTGACCTTTGAAAGTTACCCGGCCTCCCTGAGCCTCAGTGTCCTCATCTGTAAAATGGGGATCAGTCCTGTCTCATGGGGTTCCATCAGATGATGGCAAAGAGTGCTTGCTCAGTGCAGGACTCACAGAGTTAGCACTCAGCAAACATGTGCTTTGTACTTCCGGGCTCTTCAGCCATCCTTAGTTGTACATCCTCAGATGTTCCCCAGCCCCTTTCTCTGCTCAGGCTGATTGCGTATCTGCCAGTGGGGCTGCTCTGAAGCTGGGTTCATCCAGCACTGGGAGCAGGGAACTGAGGTTTGCGGGGAGCCACTGTGTTCAAGGCATTGGACTTTGCACCTGTGCATGATTGTGGGAGCAACCCTCTCTGCTGAAAGTTGAATCATGGCACGACTCAAGGGCTCTTCCTGGTCTTTGGAGGTCTGGCTGTGCTGCAGTGGAGAACAGAGATGGTTGGAACAGGACTTCATCTGTGCTTCACCGCTCCTGGTCCCCTGGAGAAAAGCACTCGAGAAGCCATGAGTTGTCCCAAGACTGTGCCACCTCCTTCAGGGGGCAGACCTGGTCTCTTCCACCTCTCTCCTAGCATACTCATGAAAACCTCTCAGATGCAATGCTTTGGGAGAACAGCTTCCAGGGTGATTAAAGCTGCAATGCACAATGCCACTTCTAGGCATGAAACACGTGTCCTGTGATGTTCATAGCAGCACTGCTTTCAGAGCCCCAATCTGGAAACTCCCTGAACGCCTATGAACTGTAGAATGGATACATGGATTGCGGTCTAATACAACGATGGACTATCATATGACAATGAGGATGAATGAACATGCACGGTGACGTGGATGAATTACACAAGCACTGTGAAATGGAAGAAGCCAGATACGAAAGATGATATAGTGTATGAGGCCCTGCAGCGACTGTTCAAAAACAGGCGAAGCTAACCTATAGTTTGAGAAGTCCAGGGTGGGAAAGGGGGTTGGTAATGTTCTGTCTCTTGACCTGGAGGAATCTCCGTGACTGGGTTTACTTTGGTTTACACACACGCTACACGTATACAACAGTGCAGTTAAAAAGTTCTGGCAAACGGCCAGGCGTGGTGGCTCACGCCTGTAATCCCAGCACTTTGTGAGGCCGAGGCAGGTGGATCACGAGGTCAGGAGATTGAGACCATCCTGGCTAACATGGTGAAAATCCCATCTCTACTAAAAATACAAAAAATTAGCCGAGCATGGTGACGGGAGCCTGTAGTCCCAGCCACTTGGGAGGCTGAGGCAGGAGAATGGTGTGGGCCTGGGAGGCGGAGCTTGTAGTAAGCCGAGATCGCGCCACTGCACTCCAGCCTGGGTGACAGAGCGAGACTCTGTCTCAAAAAAAAAAAAAAGTTCTACAAACAAGCAGAGGAACGGCCCTTGTTGAGCTCTTCAGCTGTTCACGCAGCCACAGAGATGCATGGTGGTTCAGGCCTCTGGTTTGGGCAGGACCTGGGCTTGAATCCCAGGTCTTTGGCCCTGGGGAGGTCACTGGACACCTCCTGGGTCTCAGGTGCATGCCTCACCTACCTATGCGGGATTGTACTCACTTCCTCGGGCTGCTCACCTTTTGGGGCTGGCATGAGGGTTGACTGAGCTGGAAAGGTGACAGAGGACTGGCCGGGGGCAGTCCCACGGTGACACAGTCAGGCCCTTTGCCCCGCCTTCCCACCTGGGGTCACCTCCCGAGGCTCACTTGGTTCCCAAGTGGCTGCCCTTTACGGAGACTCCTACCTTCTCTGTAAATCAAAGCAGATTGGTGACATCCCCATGGCCTTCTCTCCCATTCATCTGGCCTGTCCCATAGATTGGGTCAGGAGAGAAGGGTTCCTTGTGGGCGTGAGGGGCGTGTTGTGACAAGCAGAGCTGTCATCTGGAAGGACCCCGGAACGGTTTCTGGAGAGTCCTTCCCTCCCGCCAGCTCTCCATATATGGCCCAGGATTCTAGCAGCTGTGGTTCAAAGGTCATCTTCCCGAGGTCTCTCCAAAGACAGGGATGCTCCTGTGCCCAGCCAGAGACCCCAGCCTCAGGGACTTCATCTGCCCCTTCTTCCTGAGAGGGAACAGCCTGAGCGGGTAATTCCCCCATGCTTCCTGCCCTCACCCTGCTCTCTTTTTGGACTGTTGTTAAGGTTTAAACCAGATTGTTTTTAATGGAGCTGCGCAGCCAGGGTCTTGGGGCTGCCAGTGCTGTGAACTTCTTCCTCAATGGTGTTCCCGTCCTGCTGTCCCACTTGGAACCGGGCAGCCATAACCCAGCCTGAGAGCTGAAGATTGCTGATCGTATTTCTCCTTTCTTCTGACCAATCTGCTGGCCAAACTGGTTCTGCTCTTTCTCCCTCTCTCTCCAGTTCCCCACCCCCAGACAGGAAGTGGAGATGGGCTTGTATTTTCCTGCAGATGAAAGGTGTCTGGAGGTTCTTCTCACTGGCCTGAGTGTGGTCATTCTGCCCCTTCCAGCACTCTGTGGCTCCCATTGTCATTCCTGCTCCATGTTGGTCCAGAGGGGGCATGATCCACAGGAGCCACAGGTCCCCACCCAGAAACACCATTCCTGGGCTTTCATCTTGGTGCTTATCATCTATGAAATGGACATGACATCTTAGTCTAATACCGCTGCCAGGAGAAGGGAGAAAGGTGGAGGCCTTTTGCCTTATTTTGTCCTGAGTCACGTTCAACCTCCACCCCAACTCTGCCATTCACTCCTTTTAGTGCTGTTAGTCTACTGCTGTGACTGTAAACCTTGGCACCTCATTAGAAATATCTGGGGGTGCTTTAAAGAGATATGGATTCCCTTGGTTCAGGAGGGGGTCGGAGTAGCTGTGTGCTGGAGCCTACTGTGTGCTTCTCTTCCCATGTCCAGCAGCCTCACGTTGGTAGCTTGAAATCTGCCAAGATGGCAGTATTTACACGGTGTAGTCAGCAGGCGCTTCAGATCAGGTCCCTGAGAGCCAATTGTTAAATGTTTACCATCCCAGACTTGGGCCAGGACATCAGTATTTTCTAAAAGTTTCCACAGTGATTTTCATGTGCATTCAGGGCTGAGAACCCCTGGTCCTAGAGATGTCTCATACTAGGCACAGTAAGGTTTATGCTTACCAACAATAGCTAACAGTTATCCAACCCTAGCAGATGTTAAACTATTTGTGTGAATGAGATCATTCAACCCTGACCATAACCCATGAAGGAGGATTACAATCCCCATTTTTTAGATGATGAAATTGGGTTCCATAGAGGTTTTCTGTTACCTTATCTAGGGCCACTCTGTTGGTTAGTGGCTGAGGCCAGATTCCAACCCAGGCCTGAGCCCCTGGGACCTGAGTCTGGCCAGGACCTCTTGGATGGCTGTGGTTAGTGCCCTACTTTTCCCAGCAGGTTGGATGCAGAATCATGCTCTTGTCGTTCAGGATGACCATGGGGACCATGGGGTCTGAGCCTGTGACCCTCCAGTCTACAGTGTGTTGGTGAGGAAGGAGCAGTTGTCACTGGGGTCACTGGCAATGGGCATGCCTCCATCTAGCTTAGGCAAGATGCTTGGACTCAGAGCCAGAGAGTGAAACCCAGACACTAATGAGCTGTCGGTGTTGGTGTGTGTTCTCTTCCTCTTCCAGTGGAACATGACAAGGAATTCTTCCACCCACGCTACCACCATCGAGAGTTCCGGTTTGATCTTTCCAAGATCCCAGAAGGGGAAGCTGTCACGGCAGCCGAATTCCGGATCTACAAGGACTACATCCGGGAACGCTTCGACAATGAGACGTTCCGGATCAGCGTTTATCAGGTGCTCCAGGAGCACTTGGGCAGGTGGGTGCTATACGGGTATCTGGGAGAGGTGCTGAGTTTCCTCTGGGGGCAGAGGAAGAAGGTGGTGAGGGCCAGAGGATGGGTCAGATTGGCACAACCACGTGCCAGGCCCTGTACCAGATTATCCCTTCTAAAGAAGGTGTATGGTGTATGTCACTTCCTTAAAACCATGACCGACAACAAATTCAGGAATAGTAGAAGGCCAGGGAGCCCAGGGATGCGTGGTGCCTTGTGGGTTTTTATAGGCAGTCTAGATCTGGCTGGGTGCTAAGGGACATAGAAGAAAAGGGGAAGGGGAAGAAACATTTTTGAAGGGCTACCTCTCTCCCGTTTCTCACTCTGAAACCCAGTGCACGATGTCAGGCAACCAATTAAGGTGGCCATCTAAAATAAAATGTTAGGGGAAGAAAAAAACCCAAACCAAAAAAAACAGAGAACTCTTAGCCTTCCAAGAATCACTAGGTCAGAAACCAAACGTTTGTGTTGAAAGTCTTTAATTTATCGAGATCCATTAATTTCAAGGTCTTGTGAGAGGTAAGGAGGCTAAGAAAAAGGGCTGGGACATTTAGCAGGTGCATTCTATTCAGACAGTCCCGAGGCAGAAATGACCAAGGTCCTATTACTCAGTGGCTGGGTTGCTGGACCCCGCAGGCTGTCAGACATCTACCGTCCCCACTGGGCAGGGAAATTGATGGAAGAAAGGTGGTGTGGGCACCTCCTTGTGATGTGCAGGCTTAGCATCTTCAGCTAGAAAGGGGACTTGTTACCATAGACAGGGACAGAAGAACCATCACAGCTACGTTTGCCAAGCACTGCTATTTGGTGCTGGTGGGGGGTGGGGGTGGGGATGGTCATCTAAGTACCAAGAAAACAAAACTGTTCTTGAGCGTTTCCAGAGTGTTTTGCACTTGATATCTTGTTTCATATTCACAGTAGCCTTCAGAAGTGGTGGCTTATCTGTAAAATGAGGAGAACTAAAGTGACCTGAAGCCAAAGAATGAGGCTACCCAGAGAGAATGTGGCCACATTAGGACGTGAGCCCAGGTTTGCAAAGCTGGAGCCCATGCTTATGAAAGATATTTCTTTCCAAAATTTGTTTTTAGGCCGGGTGTGGTAGCTCACGCCTGTAATCCCAGCACTTTGGAAGGCCAAGGCAGGTGGATCATTTGAGGTCAGGAGTTTGAGACCAGCCTGGCCAACACGGTGAAACCCCGTCTCTACTAAAAATAGAAAAATTAGCCAGGCATGGTGGCGGGCGCCTGTAATCCCAGCTACTTGGGAGGCTGAGGCAGGAGAATTGCTTGAACCCAGGAGGAGAAGGTTGCAGTGAGCCGAGATGGTGCCACCGCACTCCAGCCTGGGTGACAGAGTGAGACTCTTTCTCAAAAAAAAAAAAAAAAAAAAGTTTTTGAGTAGGCAAGACATGTTCATGGTATAAAATCAAAAGGAAAGAAGAGGAACCAC
The DNA here is from genome assembly GCF_000001405.40 of Homo sapiens. Lineage (NCBI taxonomy): Eukaryota > Metazoa > Chordata > Mammalia > Primates > Hominidae > Homo > Homo sapiens. The sequence goes on along the minus strand of NC_000020.11, from coordinate 57,226,764 downwards.
AGTGAAAATGAAGGCTTCCAGCCCCTGCTGAGGTGGTCCCTGATGCCAGTTTCTTGAGTCTCCTGAAATCAGCGAAGGAATCTGTGTTGCTGTTTTCACCTGTGGAACCCCACAGTGCACTCACTCCTGCCTCTGGCTTTCATCGTTGGATGATGAACCTTGGCAGCCCTTTCCAGGGGTTCACACGGGGTGCCCTCATCCTCTGAGTCACCTCACTGTTCCACGGCTTGGGTTGTGCTGTGTTTCACGTGTGCACGCTGGCTCCTCTGTTCTATGATGGATGGTGCCGCAGGGCAAGTACCCTCGCTGACATACGTGTTCATGTCTATCAGTCAGATAAAGTTCTAGAGATAGAATTGTGGGGTCAGAGGGCCCACACATGGGTGGCTTTGGTAGACACTGCTGAGCAGCTCTCCTGGGAGGTGACATCGACATCTACTCCCAGCAGCCAGGGAGCTTCTTGCTTAGGATGAAACCACAGCCTCTGTGTCCAGGCTGTTATCTGGATTCTCCACTCAGCTCCGGCAGCTCTTGGTCCTTCCTGCTGGCTTTGTGGGCACCTGGTCCCATCATGGTCTGTGGTGCCTCTGCTGTCTTGCCTGAGATCCATGGGGTGGATCCTGAGGGCTGCAGGGTTGGGCAGCAGGCCTGAGCACTGTGTTTGGAGGAGGGATGGGCGTTCCAGGCGTCCTCCCTGCCAGGCTGCCGGCAACAGGCAACTTGGGCTGGGGGTGCCCATTCTAGTGCTGGGGTCCTGCTCCTGGGGGCTTCTGGGCTGCTGAGTGACTGAGTCCCTCCTCAGCACAGGTACCTGCTGCATGCCATGCCTGAGGGCATCGACCAGAACGAACCAGACACGAGTCCCTGCCCTCTGGAAGCTCACGTTCCAGCAGAGGAGAGGACATGGCAGGTGGGAGCATTGAGCAAGGAAGGGAATAGGGTGAGAAGCAGTGGAGGGCAAGACGGAGCTGCTTTCTTTAGGTTTCTACATGTTCTTCCTGTGCCTCCTGCAGCAAAGCCTCCATTCTTCAGAAGTTAAATGGTTAAATTTAAAAAATATATTATTTATTCATTTTTCTGGACAGGTTGTTTTGTTTTTCAACCTAGAACCAAGATGCCCCTATGATGTAATTCCCCAGCTATTAAGAGCATGGATTCAAATCCTGCCACCAGCTACCCATGTGGCCTTGGGAAAGAGTCATCTCTCAGAGCCTCAGTTTTTCCCTCTGTAAAATGGGGATAATAATTGAATCTCCCTCCCAGAGTTGTGCTGTGGATGAAAGGGGGTGACATACTTACAACAGTGTCTTACACACAGGAAGTGCTCAATAAATGGTCACCTGCGTTAGTATCATCATCATCACAGCAGGAAGTGGAGCAAGACCTCTTTAGGAAGACAAGAGCCCTGGGTGGTGGCTGTGGCACTGCCTTCCCATGTAGGTCCACCGAGCCAATTCCCCTAATTCTGCAATCTTCCAGTAGGAACAAAGCCCTGAGCTTGCAAATGCTCTTCAAATCCCCCACGCTTCCTCCAGCTCGCCTGTTCAGAGATAGGCTTTTTCTTTGCATGTCCCCAACCTGGTTGCATGTCCCCAACCTGGGCCCGCACAGCTTCTTCCAGCTGAAGGCCTCCTGCAGACCTCAGCCCGGGGGAGCCCAGAGCCTGCCCTGCTGTCCCCGCCATGTGGCTGCCTCTGTCTCTGTGCCGCCAGCTGCCCAGCTGTGCAGGGCTGGGACATCTGACGAGCTGTGCCTGAGCTCCAGGAAAGCCCCGGGGGTGCCGAGGATTAGCCGGCTTTGGGTCAGCCTCAGCGTCTCTCCCCTTGTGGGAGTCACTTTCCACTGACTCCTCTTGATCTCTCGGAATCCAGATTAAATTCCGATAATGAGCCGAGCTGGAGGCCTTCCATAGCCCTGCGGCTCTGCTTAAAGCGCGGCCCCAGACAGCTGGAAAGACATGTTGGAGCCGCCCTTGGCGGGCTGTGGAGCGAGTGGGGGCTCAGAGGCAGGTCTGGGGACAGTGGCCTTGGCTCCAGAGGCCTTGCTGGGGTGAGAGGGGGCTGCGAAAGGATCGGAGTCTTATCCTCATTTTCTGAACCCCAGGCCTGAGGCCAGGCCAGCTGGGGCCTGGCTTCCAGGAGCTGGACTTGCTCCTGTCTCCATTGGTGCAGACTTTGGTTCCAGGTGAAGGTGAGGATATTTGGGGTAGGGGTTGTGCTGTTTGCCCTGTTTCTGCTGTGGAGCTGGGACCTGGCATCTTCCATCCCAGTCTTCCCCGTCTCTCCTTGAGCATGTGTCAGGCTTGCCCCACTCCACAGCGCTGCCCCACATGTAGGCGACACACTTCTGCTTTGGGAGCTGGCCTCTGAGAACCTCCCTGGGAGGCCAAGGCCAGCCAGGGCAGCAGAATCTGCTCCAAGGGAGTCGGCCGCCACCAAGGTCGAGATGATGTTGGCAGCTGGATGAAAATGTCCCTGGGTTCATCTCAGTGATTTTGGCTGCCAGGAGGGTGACCTCAGCGTGGTCTCGAGGGCCAAGATTTGGATCAGCTGCAGCCTGAGTCACTCTGAGGAAGAGGGAGCTGCCCCCTGCCTGTCCCCACCACACAGGATGGATTGGCAGAGGAGGCCTGGGCTCAGTTTCCTGGGTCCCTTCAGCCCAGGCAGAGGCTCTTGCCCTCGACTAGCCCTGGGATGGGGGCCCTGAGTTTCTGCCTTTCTGAGAAGCTCCCTGGGGACGCCGTGATGATTTTGGTCCATAAACCTGAGAAGGTAGGTGGGGCTGGATGTGGTAGGAGGAACGATGCAGCCCCCTCACAGGGCGGCCCTCGGGCAGTGGGCCAAGGGCTCCTTGCCCAGTCCTCTCCTGGGGATGCTGGGGTGGTGGCAACTTATGATGTGCGGATTCATGACTTGGTAGCAAGACTCTGGGCGGGTTTTGCCCTGCCGTTAGCCCCCATGAGCGTGTTTGGGCAGAGAGCCATGGTCACGTTCCAGAGCATGTCTCCACCCTGTGGTTGAGGCTTCTTGTTGCGTGGTGCTTACTGTTTATGACTGTGCTGGACACTTCAGCTTTGTTTCATGCCTTGGAAAGGTTCCTATGAAGATGTATCATCCCCATTTTACAGGTGCGGAGCCTGGCTCAGAGGTGGGAAGTAACTTGCCCAAAAGCACACAGCTACAAAGTGGCAGAGGTGGGGCTCAAACCCAGGCTCTTAGATTTCAGCAGTCACCATCTTAGCCATGGCCGTGCCTCAGTGATTCCCATAGTGCTGATTCCCTCACCTGGGGCTCAGATGGGTCCATTGATGAGTCCTGAGCTGGTTTTCAGCCTTGGCTGTGCAATAGAATCACAGAGGCTTTTAAAACTCCTGATCCGTAGGGGTTGAACTGTCATTGGTGTGCTTTAAAAGCTCCCAGGTGATTCCCTGTGTGCTGGGGTGTGAACAGGTGGCTAAGATCTCTCTAATTTCTCACCCATGAGCTGTCTTACATGCCCAAGAGGAAGGAAAGAGATTCCTTTTTTTTTTTTTTTTGAGATGGAGTCTCACTGTGTTGCCCAGGCTGGAGTGCAGTGGCACGATCCCAGCTCACTGCAACCTCCACCTCTCAAGTTCAAGTGATTCTCCTGCCTCAGCCTCCCAAGTAGCTGGGATTACAAGTATGTACCACCATGCCTGGCTGATTTTTTTATTTTTAGTAGAGATGGGGTTTCACCATGTATTGGCCTTCTGTGACACATTCCATGTTCCCTTCAGCTTGGTGTCTCAGAGAAGACTGTTCTTCTTCCCATGAGACTGAGCCCAAAGTGTAGTCCAGACCACAATTGTCAGTCTCAATGGCACAGGAAAGGGACTGGCTAAGGGTGAAGATCCCTTTGGACTCTGGCTCCAGAGGCTTCTGGAAGCTTCTGGAAGCTTCCAGAAGCCTCTGGAGTTTCTTGCTGCTCCTGAAGGCTACATGCCTGTTTCCTCGTCTCCTGGCTTCTACCCCTTGCCACTACACCTCAGCCCCAGGGCATGAGTTCTGGTTTTGAGCTGCCTTCTCAGGATGTGCCAGGTCAGCTTCCTGAGTAGCCTTTTCAGAGGGCAAGGAGGATTCCTTTTGGCTGCTGGGAACTTCCAGGATGTCCTGGAAGGTCAGAGGAGAGCAGCCCTCATCAAGGAGCCTTGGCATTTTTCCTCGCAGTCCCTTTCTCTGGGCCTCACTCCAGAACCGAGACTGAAGCTGCCTGAGAGGGAGTGGCAGGCCCTTAATGCCTTTGGTTCCGCTTGGGGTCCTCTCATGGATCTGCAAGGATCCCTCTGGAAAAAGCCACCCAGCTGGGCAGAGATGGCAAACCACTGTGTTCAATCCAGTTAATGCCAGAGACACAGCCAGTATCCCCTACTCAGCATCTGGGGGCCAAATGCCCGTTGGCTTCCTGTCCTGTGGCCTGAGGCCATCTGGTGGGCCTTGGTGGCTTTTTTTTATCTCTGTCCCTGTTATTTCTTCCCATAATTCATCCCGAGCCTGGCTTCACAGGGAGCATACGGGTGGTGGCTGGGAATCGATGGCAACAGATTCCGTTTGCTGAGTGTTTGCGGCGGGCGGGGGCTCAGCAGGTTGCCCACATTTTCCCTGATTCCCCGTAGGTGTTATATCACGTTCAGTGAAGCCGAGCGGGTGTCCCCACGAGGTGGTCAGTCCTGCCCCTCTTGTAGACCACCTGTGGGAAAGGTCTGCTCTCTTTACGTTTCCATCGATTTAGCTGGGTCCACAATGCGATCTTGGAGCCTCCTCTCTCCCATGACACTTGTCTATGCTGGGAGAAGGGATGGCTGCCTTTGGGAACAGTCATGATGACAAAAGCTAATTGCATGCAATGGGGGCTCTTTACTGCTTCCCACAACAACCCCCCATGGAGACACCCTTATCCCTGCCCACCCCTCTTTTTTTTTTTTTTTTTTTTTTTGAGAGATAGGGTCTTGCTCTGTTGCTCTGCTGGAGTGCAGTGGAGTGATCACAGCTCACTGCAGCCTCGACCTCCTGGGTTGGAGCAATCGTCCCACCTGAGCCTCTCAAGTAGCTAGGACCATAGGAACACACCACTATGTCTGGCTAGTTTTTTACTTTTGTAGAGATGAGGTCTCACTGTGTTGTCCAGGCTGATCTCAAACTCTTGGCCTCAAGTTGTTCTCCTGCCTTGGCCTCCCAGAGTGTTGTGATTACAGGCATGAACCACCGTGCCTGCTCCCACACCCTCTTTCACAGACAAGGAAATGAAGGCACAATACTGGGTTGGGGATTAAGGATGAGAAGCTTCCATCTTTCCCCAGTCGCATATGTTTTTCTTCCTTGGCTGGTGGATACACTTTTTTCTTTCTCCTCGTGGCAGTCCAGTCCTGTAAATTGGGAAATGGTGGGGCAATTCATATTTTCCACACAAGGAAATTGAGGCAGAGACCAGTGACCTGCCCAGCCTGTCCCAGTAGTGTGTAGTGAGGCTTTGCAGACGCACCTGGAGCCGCCTCTTTTTCCACCCCTCGGAAGTTGCACGGACTTGGACAGCATGTGGACACTTGCTGAACCGTGTGGGGCTGCATAGTGAAGATCTGAGTGGGGCCCAGCAGAGACAGTGACAGGGGGTCCACAAGGGGAGGAGTTTTGTTCGTTTTGCTCACTGTGGTATCCATTTTGCCTAGAGCCTGGCACATAGTAGGTGCTCAGTAAGACACCAAATGCACGAAAGGATGAAAGCACGACCCAGCCTTCCCTTTGAAGATGTGGGCTCTCTGAATTCACAGACCACATGGTCTGGTCCTGTGTGCCTGAGCGCATGTACAACAGATGCCTGCTGGATGAGTGAGTGCCGGCCACAGTATCTTTGCCCTGGAGCTAGTTCGTCCTACCAAATGCTCCAATGTGCTTTCTCTTCCAGAATTGAAACTCGAGAATGCCTTGCTTGCAATCTTTCTTCAGCATCTGAGCCCAATTTCCAAAAAGTGAAAATTGCCTGTAATTATGATACTTTCTGATCCTATGGATGTTTCCCTGTGATGATTATAATTACGTTATTTACAGCTGTGTGCCAGTGGGTGCCCAAGGGTAGGTCGGTTCTTGTTTGCAAATAGGGGAGACATCAGCGTGTGTGCGGCAGCCTGGGGTTCTTTACACTGGGATGCATTTGGGAAGAATGGGCTTTCGTGGAGGCAGCTCTCTGGATAACTTGATTTGGCACTTTGATTCCAAAAGCACTTCATGCTTGGCCCTGGGCCTCTGCTCGCCTATAGAAGCTCATTTTTCCAAATGTATTAACATCTATGTTTCGAATCAGGATCTGTAATTGCTTTAGCTTTTTTGGCAGGAGACAAAGAGAATTAATATTTTTCAATTTGGTCACAAGCAGTCATCTGTAGCTGGGAAGAAAAGTGTCTGCTCAAATACTAACTCTAAGGGTGGGGAATACAGGCTTACCAGGAACATGATGATGTTTTAAAGGAGACAACCACAGTTAATGAAGCTAGTTCAAGTTCAGATTGGAAGTAGGCATGTAGGTAAATACTCAAGGTTCTTCCAAACCCTGCTTCTTCCTTTGTCTTCCTATTGCAACCTCTGTCGGTGCCATGTTCTTCTTTTTCCTCAACAATGCCCATGGCTTTCCATTTTGCCACCCCAAGAAAGGAGGAAGGAAAGCTGACACCTGGTCTTGCATTCCAGCACGCATGCCACCCTTCTCCTCCTGGGACCAAGGCAGGCATTGCTAATGGATCCCTTTCCCTCCCTTTCCCTGGATCCTTGGTACAGGTCTCTAAATAAGGCAGCCACTGCCAGTTGAGTGAAGCTGCCATCAAGTGAAACCTGTTGGCCACTGGTTTCAGGTCAGGTTTCTCCAAAGCTCACCCTCAGCTGAGGATTGTGTGGCTGTGAGAGTGAAGGATTAGAAAGTGTTTCCAGGAAAGGCCTTTAGGAGCATCGGGCAGTGGGGAGATGGGGAGGCCAGGTGAGGGAGCGGTGCTGCGCAGAGCACCCCGAAGGGTGACTTTGGCTCACTCTTCCTGCTAGAGGTTCTGGAGACAAAGTTGCACCCTCATCCTAGTCCCGTCAAGAGAGCTGAAGTGTTTATACCCTGTCATTTGAGGCAGGGTTTCGGTTTCCGAGCCTCCGCAGTAGTGACCTTTGGGGGTGGCTCATTCTCTGGGGTTAAGGGCCATCCTGGGCATAGTAGGGCATTCGGTAGCAGCCCTGGCTTCTGCCCACCAGATGCCAATGACACATCCCCACACTCAGTTGTGAAACCAAAAATGTCACCAGATATTGTCAGGGTCCCATCTTTAAAAGGGCCTCTAACTAGGCCCTGACTGAGAAGCACAGGGTGGAGGGAGGGAGGGATGTCAAGTACCTCTGGGTGACACAGCCGAAGTTGAACATACTTAAGTGGGAAGTCCCTCGCCCACCCTGTCTTCTTCCCACCTTCCCACTTACCTTGCTCACTGCTACCTACCACCAAACACCACCTACCAGCAAACACCAGCTACCAGCAAACACCAGCTACCACCAAACACCACCTACCACCGAACAAACACCAGCTACCACTGAACAAACACCAGCTACCACCGAACAGCTACCACTGAACACCAGCTACCACCGAACAGCTACCACCGAACAAACACCAGCTACCACCAAACACCAGCTACCACTGAACAAACGCCAGCTACCACCAAACAAATGCCAGCTACCACCGAACGCCAGCTACCACCAAACAAACACCAGCTACCACCAAACAAACCCAGCTACCACCAAACACCAGCTATCACTGAACAAACACCAGCTACCACCTAACCAACACCAGCTACCACTGAACAAACACTAGCTACCACCAAACACCAGCTACCACCAAACACCAGCTACCACCAAACACCAGCTACCAGCAAACACATACCAGCTACCACCGAACACACACCAGCTACCACCAAACAAACACCAGCACCACCAAACACCAGCTACCACCAAACAAACACCAGCTACCACCGAACAAATGCCAGCTACCACCGAACAAACACCAGCTACCACCAAACAAACCCAGCTACCACCAAACACCAGCTATCACTGAACAAACACCAGCTACCACCGAACAAACACCAGCTACCACTGAACAAACACCAGCTACCACTGAACAAACACCAGCTACCACCAAACACCAGCTACTACCAAACACCAGCTACTACTACAAAACACCAGCTACCACCAAACACCAGCTACCTCCGAACACCAGCTACCAGCAAACACACACCAGCTACCACCGAACACACACCAGCTACCACCAAAGAAACACCAGCTACCACCAAACACCAGCTACCACCAAACAAACACCAGCTACCACCAAACACCAGCTGTGCAGCTCCTCACACACATCTGTCCGAGGTGGTGCTCAAACCCAGCTGTTGTCAGAACCTCCTGGAAATATATTGGAAGAGAAAAATACAGGTTCCCATGTTTAACCCCAACTAGTCAGGTGTAGGGGCTAGGAGTTTTCATCATGAATGTTTAAAAACAAGCTCCCAGGACTGGTTGTGTCACCTTCTGGGCCCAGTGCAAAATGAAAATGTGTCAAAAATGTATAAAGGATTTCAAGACAGCAACAGCAGAGCATGAAACCAAGCTCGGCGTACTTCTGTGTGTCGGGCCCTGTGTGACTGCACGGGTCAGATGCCCATGAAGCCGGCCCTGGCCTTGCCATCTCCCTGGATACAGATGTCTGTTGATATCTGTGTTGATAGGTATCTTTATACAGATACCTTTCAGCCCCAGCCTCATTTCCAGCTGTCTCCTGTACACGTAAACACGTGGAAACACAGACAGATCCACAGAAACACAGACACAGACACAGCACACAGATGCGCAGACACGCCTGGTTTCCCCTGTTTTAACACCTAACATCAATAGGGTACAGTTTTCATAATTAAGGACCCAGCATCTGCATTTTTATTAATGAAAGTCAATCATTTATTCCGGACCCCTTTGCTTTTACTTCTTGTCCTTCTGTCCTGTCCAGGACGCCACCTACCCTTCAGTGGCCACATTCCCTGGGGCTCCTCCTGCCTATGTGTTTCTCCTGCTTTGCTTGTTTCTGAAAGTGACAGTCACCCAGCGTTTGGAGGGAGTTGATGCAGAGTCCTCTCCCACTATCGCTCCGTCTATCTCAGCCCCACCTATTTTAAAATTCAACCTGAATCCCTACACTCTGGCTGTGGCTCGATGTCTTCTGAACTTGAGTGACGTGGGTCACAGCCACACGGGGTCCCCAGACTGGAGTCCTTGTAACCCCTGGGCTTTCAGCTATGGCGACCTCAGTGCCTGGCACAGAGCACTCCATGTGGCTTTGCTTCTTGAGTGGAAATGAGATTATAAGAGCCTTTTTGGGGTAAGGGTTCTTTGTCTCCTAACTCTTCCCCAGGGCCTAGTTAGGGGCGCTTTAAAGATGGCACTTGAGGTGTCCTCAATAGCAGGCTCTTTCCCCTCCATGCTGTGGGCTTAGGGAGCGGGCTCAGCCTCTTGCTCTGGGGTTGAACCCACAGGTCCCGGAAGTGGGAGAGGGTGGGTGGGGTGGTTTGGGAGTCAGGTTTGCAAGTGGGATTGAGAGCTGGAACCAGGAGCCTCCCAACAAACCTGTCATGGTCATTCTCCTTGGAAAGCTTTCTCCAGCTGAGTCCTGCCTCCATCCCTTTCCCCTTGGGTGTTCCACATGCGGGGGCTCACGGTGCAGTAGGAAAAGCATCTCTGAGGCCCTAGTCTGGCTCCTGGACATAAGAGGGATCCTCCAGCTTCCCCAGCATCACTGGTGTTTGAGTCTTTTCTCTGCAGATGCCACCACAGGTTGTCCTGGCGGGGGTCCCTGCCATGAATGTAGACAGCATTTCTCCTCCAGCCCATGTCTGGCTGCTCAGGTGGTGACTCCCACCATGTCAGCCTCACCAACTGCCACCTTGGACAGGGCCTCCACTCCTCCTCGGAGAGATGGACCCGCTGAGCCGCAGACCTCGAGGCTTCCCCTCCCCACACACCTTCCCCTATGTGGGAGCTCTGCGGGGAACTTTCTCTGACCCACTGAGGAGTCGGAGTCAAGGTCTATGGAGAATTCCCCAGCCCCCTCACCCTCAGGAGACAGTCCCTCACCCTCAGGAGACAGCCCCTCGCCCTCAAGAGACAGCCCCTCACCCTCAGGAGACAGCCCCTCGCCCTCAGGAGACAGCCCCCTCGCCCTCAGGAGACAGCCCCCTCGCCCTCAGGAGACAGCGCCCTCGTCCTCAGGTGCACCCCTCTGGAGCTGCTCCAGGAGGTTCTGACGGGCTGAAGTCCCAGGCCCACAGTGTTCTGTTTTGACAATCTCCAAGCTTGCCTTACTTCCCCGCCCTCTCCAGGTGGTTCCTGGGGTCACCTCTCAGACAAACTACTTGCATTCAAGTCCTTGACTCAGGACCTGCCTCTGGGGTCACTGAAGCATGACAGAGGCCAAGTGTCAACCACACAGGGCAGCCGGGAGGGCTTCCTGGCAAGGGGCAGCTTTGGCACCGGCACAGCTTCTGGGACCTGGTGAGGGCCTACCAAGTGCAAGCTGATGTCCTCAGCCTGCCCCCTTCCTGGACCCCCCCGGCTTCAGGATGCTACCGTGAGAATAAGTCTTAGAACAGCCCGCTCTGGCCTTCTCTAGATGTTCCAACCCAGCCTCTGTTTTTGAGAATCTTGAATTTGGAAATTGCGTCACTTGTTTCTGTCTGCAAAGCACTGTCAAGTTTCTTTCCCCTTGTCGCCCTGCTTTGCTGCACTTTTTCTGTCTCTGGGTTTGGAATCTTAAAACAGCCTGTGGTTCTCTTAAAAAAAAAAAAAAATGAGGTTGGAAAGATGACCCAGCCCGAAGACTGTATTTGTGGTGCTTGTTTATTCCTTGAGTGTGCTTCAGGAAAGGGGCTGAATTTACCTCATTCTATTTTGGTCTGGACCTGGAGGCTGGAGGAAATGCGGTCCCCAGGAGAAGTCTAGAAAGATGAGTCTCCCCATCCTCCATGGCTGCCCGCCCACCTCCACAGTGCCAGATGCAGGCAGCTGCCCATCCGTGTGGGATTTCCCCCAGAGCCGTGTCAGAAGCTCTGCAGTGCCCCCCAGATTTTTCTGGGGGGACCCCCCAGAGTTCTTGATGTTTCACCAGAGTTCTTGGTGTGTTCTGTGAGCTGGAATCCAGCTCGCGGCTCAGTTCCACTGGGTTTCTGGATGGATCATGCCTGGGTTGAATGGAACAGTAGAGCCTCCAGTTTTCCAGAAATTCTGGGGCTCAAACCCTGATATCTTAAGCAAAGAGGGACAAGAGTCAGGTCCAAAAGGAAATGTGAGATGTGCTTTCTTCCCAGCTGTTGCTTTCTGCCCACCTGAGTCCTCTTGATTTTTGCCTGATGTGGGGAAAGGAGGTGGCTCCGAAGAGGTGATGGGGACAGTAAATGGGGGCACTCAACCGGAAGCCCATGCAGCCTGGCAGTTTCCAGTGAGGGGTCAATTTGAGGTAATTTGACAGCCCCCTGGTTCCATAGCCAGGCCTGTGAAGGTGGGGGGTATGGAGGTGCCCAGGGGCTGATGAGGGTTTCCCTTCAACTAGGATGTGCAGCTGGGTGCCCATGGCCTGGGAGTGTGGGTGCCCAGTGGGACATAGAGTGGGCTGGGTGGGCTAAGGCCCCAGTGAACTGTGAGTCAGAGCCATTTCTGGAGCTACCTGAATAATCTGAAAAAGTATTTACCATTTCTCTTTTAATAATGTAAACTATTGGAAGTGAAACCAGAAAACCTTACTGGCCATAAGGATGCAGAGGATACCAGCACATTTGTCCAGCGTGCATCTGAGGCCTGCTTTGTGCTAAGCTGTGTGCCTGGTGGAGAGGCCGCTCCAGGGCTGAATAAAATAGGGCTGGTTCTTGCTGACAAAAAGCTTAAAACCTGGCAGGAAAAGAGGAGAACCCAAAAAACTATACAAACAAACTGAAACTCCAGCCCAGATGGCGCAGGGGAGAGGACTTGGGCTTGGAGCGTGTCCGACGTGGATGCACCATTAGGGCATCAGTGGACGCTTCCCTGGGATGCTCAAGAACAGGCAGGTGTGAGGGAGGTGAAAAGGCAGGGAACAGTGTTGCAGGCAGCGGAAACAGCATGTGTGAGGGGCTGTGGTGGGCTGGAGACTGGCACAGATGAGGAGGGCTGGGTGGGAGGAGGCTGTGGAGACAGGGGCCGGACCATCCAGGGCCTTACAGGTTGGATGACCTGGAGTTGACAATAATGCCTCCTCTCTCTCCCCAGTTTCTCGGTTTGGACTGTCAGTTCCATAGTCTTCTTTATCACAGAACACATTAGAGAGCTTTGGCTTTTTATCCTAAGAGCTGATAAAGGGTTTGAGGCAGGGAAGTTAATTGCTCAGCCCCTGCAAGCTGCTGGGGCAGGGGGAGTGCGGGGTGAGAAGAGTGGAAGGGGAACCCCCGGGTTCTCTGGGTGGTAGCTCTCCCTCCACCATCAAACCATCACCGTGCAGGGGTGACACTTTGCTGGAACAAGGCTCTGGGGTGGTTCCATTCACTACCTGCATATCTCTGAGCCTCAGTCTCCCACCTGTGAGAGGGGACAACAGTGCTCGCCTCTCAGGTACCATACGGTTCAGAGGGCTCGCTCCGCACCTTGTTCTAAGATGGTTCCATCTTGAGTTGGGGTCAGCTCACTGCAGCTGTGATCTTACTTTAGAGCCAAGGCAGCTTGAATCCCATGGTGGAAGATTCACACTGACATTGAGGTTTGCTCCAACCAGCTGCGAACCTTGAGTCTCTGGCTTTGCGCTGGCATCTTGAGCATATCTTTCCATTTAACTCATTCTCAGAACAATCCTCATGGCTACCTCCATTTTACAAACAAAAGAACCTGATGGACAGAGACTGACTTGCTCAGGGTTACTTCACTGAAATTTAACTCCAATTTTCCTCAACTCAGAGCCTGGAGCCCTACAGCCTACATCCCTGAGCACCCACTGTGGGACCCGAGGACCACTCTGGGGATTTCATCACAAAGAGGATTCCGGGCCTCTCACCCCCTGATTGTCTCTGCTGGTGGCTGTGTCTCTAATGAGGGAGAGCCTTCCATTTGTCGCTGTATTTCTCTTCCCTCTTGACCCCCAGCCTCTGTGATCCACACCTTGACACAAGTTTGAACGGCTCGTTACTGCGCTCCATTGCCGGAGCAGACATTTCTTTGCAGCAGGACTTTTCAGAGCCTTTAAAGAGCTAAGGTGCATTATGACATCTCTAAGGAGCAATGTGTCATGTGGTGCTTCCCAACCTCATTTCACCACAGAGCATTTTGGATTTTTGATCCTCTCATTTTCCTCTCTTAGCTATCCTATTAATAAGTTGCAGTTTTTGAGACCTTGATAAACTCCAAACCCTTTGTCTTGTGGATGGAGAAACTGAGGGCTAGAACATAAGGGCCACTGACTCGCCTTCTGACTGTGACAACGCTGGCCTCCGGGTGCTGGACGGGCATCTTCCTGACTTTCCCATGAGTGGCTGGGTTGGTGCTGTCTGCAGTCAGCTGGCCCTGCCCAGAGGGAGACAGACAGCCGTGGGGTGGGTGAGAGGGCCGTGGGTGGCCACCCGAGCTCTGTCTGGGGCAGGAGGATATTGTGCCTCTTTGTGTATTTTTCCACCTTACTCCCCAAAGCTTTAATTTTAGCCTTCCTGGATATGCACCGTCTTCAAGAAAGTGTATTTTTAAAAAGCCTTGGACCTCCCTGACTTCCTCTTCCCGTCTGGGGGATGCCAGGGACTGTTCTATGATTTGGCAGGAAAGCAGGGCATTCCCTGAAGCTGAGGTGGGGGAGCCTGGGGCCCGGGCTGAGTCCTCCCCAGCCTGCAGCTCAGAAGGGGCACCCCTTGGACCCGGGAGCTGGCTGCCAGGGTGGGGCCGGCTTCCTTCTGGGCTCCTTTGATCTCCTTCCCGGGCTTCCCTGCAGGCTGGGGTTGCTGCTGGGCTGACTCCAGGTGCACGGCGGGTTGCAGTTTCCCGGCCTGACTCACCGCAGCCGCAAGCCTGTGCTCCCTCCATGACATCATGCTAGCCTGGGAATGCTCTGGCCATGCTCGCTGGCTCGCTCTCTTGCTCCTTTTCTTCTGAGGAATATCCTTGCGGCCCAGCAACCGTTCACAACATGCAGGCCTTCAGAATGTCCGGCCTGCAGTTTTCCAAAGAGCAGCAGAGTGAGGCGAGGGCGAGGGTCAGACTAGGGGTCGGGGAGCGAGTCAGCTGGGTCTGCGAGTGGCAGAGCCCGTCATCTCCACTCCTGCTTAGAACTCCTCCCGGCTTCCCAGCGCTCAGCAAGACCTGACCTCCCGCGGCCAGAGGCCCTGCAGGGGACATCGTGCACCTGTGCCCTCTCCTCACTACTTTCTCATCATGACTTCCGCATTCGGTTCTCTCTGCCGGGAACGCTTTTCCCTGCCCTTTTAGCTGTGTTAGTTCTGCTCATCCTCTGACCCCCTTCGGGAGATGTTTCTATAAAACGTCCTCCCCGCACACCCTCACACCTCACATCTAGTCCTTTTCTTTTGTCTTGCTCACCCAGAGGCCTCTTCCCTCCTTCACGCCACTTAATTAGGGTTTGAATGACCCTCTTGTGTGCTACGCACGCCCAGCCTCTGGACCCGGAGCTCCATCTCTGGCTGCCGCTGTGTCTCTGGCTCCTAGCAGAGCACCTGTGGAGAGGAGGCGTTTCAGTGTGGATCTCAGGAGAGAAACTGTATTCATTCCTCCAGCTGCTGAGCCCAGTGACCGCCAACTTAGTGGCTTAAGACAACACACATTTATTCTCTTAGAGTTTGGGAGGTCTGAAGTCTGAAATGGGTTTTACTAGGCCCAAATCAGGGGGTCCATAGGGCTGCATCTTTTCTGGAGAGCCTGGGGGAGGATCTGTTTCCTTGTTGTTTCTGGCTTCTAGGAGACAGAGCCCCCTTTCTTGGCTCAAGGTTCCCAGCCGCAGTCACACCACCCTGACCCCTGCTTTCGCTGTCACAGCTTATTCTCTGGCCTCCTGCCTCCCCTGTTATCAGGACCCTTATGATTCCTTTGGGCCCATGAGGATAATCCAGGATAATCTCCCAACTCAAAAATCTTTCATCACATCTGCAAAGTCCCTGCTGCTGTGGAAGGTGGCATACCCACAGCTTCTGGGATCAGGGCCTGGGAGGTGGCATACCCACAGCTTCCTGGGTCAGGACCTGGATGTGTCTGAGGGGGTGTTATTCTGCCTACCACATCATCTGAAGTGTGTTTTCCTTTTTTTTGATGGTGGGCCTGGGCCAGCCCCGTCCTCTCCTGCCCTGCCTCCTCTAACTTGGGTGGGGCTCCTGGAGATGGCTTTCTGTGCTTCGAGTAACCTCTGGCCTGGGGCCTGTTGCTCCCAGCAGAGGCGTGTCCTGAGCCTCCCTGCCCCTCAGTTTTTGTACAATCCCCATCCCCATGTAATAGGTGGTATTAAGGTGATATTAAGTGGGGATGCGGATTGTACTGACCTCATTGGAGGAGGGAGGAGGAGGTGGGAGAGTGTCCCTTAAGAGCCTAGTGTGCAGTAGGTGCCCAGTACGAGGTGTCAGGGTGCTGAGGGCCCCCGGCCACCAGCCGGGTGATTCCACATGCGGCCCTTCCAACCCTGGCTTGCGCCTGCTCCCTGAAGGTGGTGGGGGGCTGTGTCTGAAGGTAGCAGAGGGGGATATCAGGCTGGCTCTCAGGCTGTGATGGCGAGAACATTTTTCATTACACTGCCCTAAATTATGGCCCAGAACTGGTGTCTAATCCTCGTTCAGCCACCAGCTGCCCATGCGCAAGACAAAAACTCTCTCATCTTTCCAAGCTGAAAATTAAAATGACCAGAATGGATTTCCAAGGGCCTGTTCTGCTCCTAAGACCCTGGATGGCTGGGCCCAGGGGCAGGAGGCTGAAGGAGCCCCGATGGTGGGCGCAGACAGGATGGGGACTGTCCCAGGTAACGAGACAGTGTGCACTGTGTGGCCATGTTGGAATTCGTGTTTCCTGTGGCTCCAACGCGTGCCTGGGTGCCTCAGGGCCAGAGAGATCCTCAGACTCCCAACTCCGCTCTGTTTTGCCCTGGGGCAGTTTCAGGGCCATCTTCCCTGGATCTGTGTTTGCGCTGAGGCCGGGTCCTGCATCCCACATGGGAGTCTTACTCCCCTGGGAGGCGGGTGGTGGGTGAAGGCCCATGAGGATCAGTCTCTAAATAGCCTCTAGGTAGGTAGCCAGAGGCCAAAAAAAGGACTTCCTGCCTTCCCACGTTTGAGATTTTAAAATATCCCCTTTTCCATTGTGGTAGAACTTTCCAGGGGAAGGTGGGCTGGGAGACACTGGAAACGAGCCTGGGGATGTGCGGTTCCTCGTCCTGCTCCCCTAGAATTAGATTTCAGCCGATTCACCTGGGCGTCCTTGGGAGGAGGCACCTGAAAGCCCAGCAGCACGCTGTCCCCAGGCTGGTGGTTAAATATTAACGCCTCTTAGTGCGGCGGCATTGGGGTCACCAGCGGTTCATGCCTTGCAGAGCAGGGCTATGGGAGAACCCAGTTTCAGAAGAGAAGAGAAGACGACTTTTGGGGTCTTGCTGTTTCTTTAATCAGAAACAGCCTGAGAAAGTGGAAGGATCATCAAGTTTATAGACAACAGACGTGTGGCCTGTCCCCTGGCTCTGCTGCCTTTCTCTGAGATTAGAGGAGTGGAAAAAACTGTCCAAACCCAGGAAAGAAGATGAGAGCCAGGCTTGCCCCCTCACCTAGGTTTGTTCTGCTGTTCAAGTATAACATGGAAATATGTTGCCCCATACAGATCTAGCTTTTTCCAGAAATAGGGCATGCTTACTAAATTGAGACAATATTGACGTACATGTGTTAGCTTGTAAAGGGAAGCAAAATACTTCACAGTGAATTGTTGCTACCACTCTGGTGTGTATGCGTGTAAATGTTTCATGCAGCTGTGTGTACACTTTAAAACAATTGTTAACATAATGGCACCATACTCTATATTTGGGGCTTAGATTGGCCTTATCCATTTTCAAAAAATAGCTTTATTAAGATTTGAAGTGTATAATTCAGTGGTTTTTGGTACATTCAGAGTTGTGCAGCCAACACCACTGTCTAATGTTAGAATGTTTTCATCACCCCGAAAGGAAACTCCATACCCACTAACAGTTACCCCCATTTTCCCTACCTGTCTAGCTGTTGGCAAACACTAATCTACTTTCTTTTATTTTCTTTTTGTTTGAGACAGGGTCTCGCTCTGTCACTCAGGCTGGAGTGCAATAGCGTGATCACAGCTCACTGCAACCTCCGCCTCCTGGGCTCAAGCGATTCTCCTGCCTCAGCCTCTCGAGTAGCTGGGACTACAGGCATGTACCACCACGCCTGGTTAATTTATATACATATATATATATATATATATATATATATATATATATAAAAATATATAAATCTAGGTATTTGTTTATTCATTTATTTTTGAGACAGAGTTTCGCCCTTGCTACCCAGGCTGGAGTACAATGGTGTGATTTAGTAGAGATGGGGTTTCTCCATGTTGGTCAGGCTGGTCTCGAACTCCCGACCTCAGGGTGATCCACACGCCTCAGCCTCCCAAAGTGCTGGGATTATAGGCGTGAGCCACCGTGCCTGGCCAATTTTTATATTTTTTGTAGAGACGGGGTTTTGCCGTCTTGCCCAGTCTGGTCTTGAACTCCTGGGCTCAAGCAATCTGCCTACCTCTACCTCCCAAAGTGCTGGGATTACAGGTGTGAGCCACCACACCTGGCCCTACTTTCTGTCTTTATGGATTTGCCTATTTGGGACATTTCATAGAAATGGACTCATATACTATGCAATCTTTTAAGTCTGACTGCTTTTTCTTAGCATAATGATTTCAAGATTCATCTGTGTTGTAGCCTTTATCAGAACTTCATTTTTTAATGCCAAATAATATTCCATTGTATCAATTGACTGTATTTTGTTTATCTGTTCATGAGTTGATGGACACTTTGGCTGTTTCTACCTTTTTGGCTGTGAATAATCCTGCTATGAACATTGGTGTATAAGATTTTGGGTGGACATGTATTTTAATTGCTTCTGTGGGTAGCTGAATTACTGGGTCACATGGTAATTCTACATTTGACCTTTTGAGACACCACTATACTGTTTTCCAGAGTGGCTGCCCCATTTTCCAATCCTACCATTAGTATATGAGAGTTCCACTTTCTCTACATCCTTGCCAGTAACACTAGTTATCATCTGTGGTTTTGGCTCTAGTCATCCTAGTGGGTGTGAAGTGCTGTCTCACTGTGGTTTCAATTTGCGTTTCCCTAATGGTTGCTGATGATGTTTAGCATCTTTTCATGGCTCACTGGCCATTTGTGCATCTTCTTTAGGAAAATGTCTGTTCAAATTAGCCTTCTCTATTTTGGGAGTCAGTGGCGTGCTAGCTTTACAATATGGGTTTCAAACACTCCTTCTTCCATGTTCTTGATCAAATTATATAAGAAAGAATTATCTGTTGATAATTTGCAAAATCTGTGGTTATAAAACCAACTGGGGGCCGGGTGCGGTGGCTCACGCCTGTAATCCCAGCACTTTGGGAGGCCGAGGCGGGTGGATCATGAGGTCAGGAGATCGAGACCATCCTGGCTAACAAGGTGAAACCCCGTCTCTACTAAAAATACAAAAAATTAGCCGGGCGCGGTGGCGGGCGCCTGTAGTCCCAGCTACTGGGGAGGCTGAGGCAGGAGAATGGCGTGAACCCGGGAAGCGGAGCTTGCAGTGAGCCGAGATTGCGCCACTGCAGTCCGCAGTCCAGCCTGGGCGACAGAGCGAGACTCCGTCTCAAAAAAAAAAAAAAAAAAAAAAAAAAAAACCAACTGGGGTATGGGGATGGGAAAGACCTTCCTATTTCAGTTTCTTTTGGGCAAATCAAAATTTTCATTTCTTTTTGCACCAATTTTTGCATTTTGCATTTTCCCAGAAGTTTCAGTCCTACAAATTCTGTTTCTTAGCACCTTCCTATCATATTTCCACCTTGTCAACAAGTGTAGATTTATACGGTCCTTTGAAGCGGCTGTGCAGGGCTCTGTTGCCTTGGATGTGCCATAATGTTTTTACCAGTCCCTCTCACTGGATGGTTAGTGCTCAGTTTTTCTGTTATAAACAATGTGACTGTTGTTTGGGTTATCTGTCTCTGAAACTAACCACTCATATGTAGTGGCTTAAAACAACATCGTTTTATTGCTCAGGAATTTAGGCAGGGCTTAGCTGGGTGGTTCTTCTACTCTTTCTGGTATCTGCTGTAGTCACTGATGGAGCTAGGAGCTTGACTAGGTCTGGAAGGCCTGAGATGGCACCTCACTGGGGACTGGCTTGGTTTTTCTCTCTCTCTCTGGTTTATAGACCCTTATCCTCCATGACCTGTGCCTCCTTCCCCTCCATGTGGTCTCTTCCTTCAGCAGTGTAGTCAGATTTCTCGATTCAGTGGCTTCCTTCCCAGAGGGCAAAAATAGAAATGATAGGCTTCTTGAGTCCTAGTCCTGAGCCTGGCAGGACCTCAGTTCCACTGGGTCCTACTGGTCACAGCAGATCACATGGTCAGTCCAGACTTCAGAGGTGGGGAACAGACTCCACAAGTTTATGGGACAGCAGCATGTGCATACAGAGACAAGGAATTGTTGGTGGCTGTTATTTGCAGAAAATCTAACACTACTGTGAACATAGGACACTTTTCTGACAAATTTTGGAGTCCAAGGTAAACATTCTTGGAATGGACAAGTGGTCTGTTGACTGGAGAATCATGGGCAAGTCACATAACCTCTGGGACCAAGACATGTAAAGTCCCCATCCTAGGATTTCCTGAAGTTTAGCAGAGAATAGACACCAACACTGACATACCTTGTAATAAGTATAGATGCTCTTCCAGGAGTGTCTTGGAGTTTGCTGCCAGGCTGGTCTTAACCTGGCTCTTCCTAATCATTGAAGAAGATGGCATTATTCTCATTTTACATAAGAGGAAACCAAGACACGGGAATTATCTGGCGTAACCTTGCCTTATCCCTTCTCCATCACCTGGGTTTCATCCCCCTCTAGTATTTTCTCTGCCCCACACAACGCTGTGATGACAACACGTATCATACAGGATTTGACATCTTCCTATGTGTCTCTTATCCCCAGGTGAGTGAAGGAGGTGGCAGGGTTTAAGCGCTCAGGCTCTTGAGTCAGGTTTCCTGCGCTGTCGCCTGGTTCTGCCACTTATCAGGTGTGTCCCTGGAGACAACTGGCTTCATTTCACTGACCCCAACTTTTCTCATCTGTAAAACAGTAACAGGACTTTGATCATTTCATAGGGCTGGCGGGGAGATTCAGAGAACCGAGGCGTGGAAAGCACCGAGATTCTCAGCAGTGGCGAAGGTGAAAGAACGCATTTAGGTTCCTCAGGGCCTTTCACCCTGAGCCTTCCTTACCTCTTCTCTCACCTGGGCTGGGCCGGGGAGGCCAGTGTGTTCAAGGTAAATAAAAATGTCACAAAGGGCTCCTTCAGTGCTCTCCTGGTTGTAAGAACCAGTGTTCTTTTACGATGCTCAAGGTGGCAGCTAGAAATTCCCCCTCTCCGAGCTGTCAGACTGGACCTGGCTGCTGAGTAATTCCTTCCTTGTCCTTTCCATGAGGTCCAACCTCATGCCTGGGCTCTCAGTCTGAAAGCAAAGCCCGTGTTAGCATCTCACACTCGACCCATCTCAGCAAGGCTCCCGTCTCCCAGTGCCTTCTGATGAAGATTTGGCTCTCCTAAGTGTGCCTGGGACAAATTGCAAACTATGACTTGAAGGAGGGGAGTTGACGCATTCACGTTGATTCATGGATGAGTCAGTGCTGGCCTGTAGCATCTGGCCTCAGTGTCATAGCCTGCAATAAGAGAATGCTCAGTATCGTTTGGCGAGGCGTTCTCTGTTTAAAGGTCTCACTCTGTTCCTTTGGTTACCATTCATTGTTTTACTGTCCTCGAGGGCCTGTCCAGATATCTGGTCACATTTTCCTGCTAATAACAATTTTCCAGCAAAATCACCATCTGGGTTTGTGACTTCTGTGCTGAGGTGTGGATATTTCCTACAGGGGCCTTGGGAGCCTGATTCAGTAGGAGAAGTTGTTTCGACTTGGAGTGGTGCTTCTTGTCTCATCTGTTAATTGTTGAGAATCGCTAATGGTTCATTGACAACCTTGGTAGCTTTTCAAAGCCAGGAAAGTCATCCAGGCAAACTGGAGATAAGACAGCAGGAAATTCTTGTTTATAAGTTTAAAATCTGTGTAGACATCCCCGAAGCCAGCCTGAAACTACCTCTAAAAGAGCATGGGGAAGAAGAAGTAAATGAGTCATGAAAAATAATCTCATGACTTTAATTCAGTTTGGATGTGAAAGGTAAACTTAGGGTCTTCAAAGTCCTGTGTGGCTCTAAAAAGACTTCCTTGCTTCTGTCATCTCTCTGTGCTTGAGAGAGGAATGAGTCCTTTACAATCTTTAAAAACAAACAAACAAACAAACAAAAAACAAATACCTCATTCCTTATAGTCCTGGAGACTGGGAAGTCCAAGATCTAGGCGCTGGCAGGGTCAGTGTCTGGTGAAGGCTGCCCTCTGCTTCAAGATGACACCTCGTTGCCGTGTCCTCACATGGCCGAAGATGGAAAAACAGAAAGGGTCCAGACTTTCTCCCTCAAACCCATTCATAAAGACACCAATCCATCCCCAATGGCCTAATCACCTCCTAAAGGGCCCACCTCTTAATAATGATGCATTGGGGATTTTCAACATGAGTCTTGGGAAGGACAAAACATTGAAACCACAGCAATAACAGAATTAAGCATTTTCTGAATCAGGTTCTGGGGGTCATTGAATATTACTTAAAAAGGAGACTTTGAGGTGGCATGGGAGGAGGTGACTCCTGCGCCCATCTGTGGTCCTGGTGATGCGTCCATTGCTGTGGGGTGCCCACCCTCCCATGGCTAGGAGTGGGCACATAGATTGACTGGGCCAACTGGATTCTGTCCCCCAGAGTTTTGGATGGAGAGAGGCCCAGAGGGAAAAGCAGCTCCGATTCGTTCCTTCTGTGCTTGTGCCTGAGAAAATTGCGCTGTGCCCTCGCACCTGCCTCGGTTCCTGTCTGTTTCTGACCCTGGTTCTTCTTCCCTGTGTAGGCTTCTCCGGGTCTGTTAATCTCCCAATACTTGCTAACATTACAGGTCTGTTTCCCGTGTGTCTTCTCTGAGCCTTGTTCACATTGATGTGCCTGACGAATGTCTAACATATTATGGCATGCAGCAGAAGGGTGATCTAGCAGACCTCACAAACCTAGAGTTGTCCAGGTCAGACAGGAAGATAAATAGCGGTGGCTGTCTGCAGTGTTAGTACGGAGAGCTGGGGGCTGGAGCCAACCGGAGATGTGTGCCTCATCAAAGGGGACATGAGTGGCTCGGCTCCTGCCCGTGGCTTAGTGGGTTACATTCCAACGAGGTTGACTGGTGAAAGGCTCTGAAAAGGCAGTGTCCAGAAGAACTGTCTTTGTGTACAGTTGCAAGCTTGGGCTTGCAGGTAGCCTGGTTGGTTTCCAGTCCTGCCTGGACTGTCCTAGTGGCATAACCCTGGGCACACAACTTGACCTTTCGGATCCTGAGTTTTGAGTTCTGCACAATGGCATGGGGAATATTATCTACCCTACAGAGTGTTGTAAGAACTAAGTGACATGAGACTGGTCAGGCATTTCAACCTGGAGCCTGGCATATGGTAAGTGCTCCATAAAGGATATGCCTGACATCTTTACGTGTGAGCAGACAAGATTCACTATAATCACCAGGAAGATTAGATAACTCCAGGTATGATAGAGACTGTTGTTGCCCTGGGGCAGGGACCAGTGTCATGTTGTTCATCATTATGCCTTGGTTTCTGGTACAACACAGAGGTATAAATATTCTAGTTGACTATTAAAGGACTCAAAGTATTGAAACTTTGAATTCTTATTAAAAGTGTGCAAGAAATGTTATGAAGATCTTTCATACTAGAATTCTACTATCCAGAAATGTAACAATCCACTTATTTACCCTCTTATTCATCTACTCATCTACCCATTCATCCATCCATCCACCCATTTACCCATCCACTCATTCACCTACCCGCCCACCCATCTACTCATCCATCCATCCATCCATCCATCCACCCACCCACTCATCTACCCATCCATTCACTTATCCATCCAACCATCCATCCATCCATCCACTCATTCACCCACGTACCCATCCATTCACTCACCTACCCATCTACCCATCCATCCAACCACCCATTCACCCTCCATCCCCTGTCAAGTTAATTATGATTTTACCCATTTTGCTACTGTAAAAAGTAAGGAAGAGAGAATGAAAGGATTTTCACTATTAATACCATCAGTCCAGAGATTCACCTCCTAACTCTTGGTGGGCTCATAAAGATGGTGCACGTCCTGGAAATGAAGAGTATCTGCTCTGGTACACAGGTAAATGGGCTGAAACCCCAGCTTGGCAACTTCCTGGTTAAATGACCTTGGACCTTGGGCAAATCATGGCTTTACCATAAATTGAGTGGAAATGATATTCCCACAGCTTCGGGTTGTGGGAATTGAATGAGATAGTGTAGTGTTGAGCCCGTGGGACAGTATCTGGCACATGGTGAATAGTTCAGTCACTATCAACTTCTGCTCTCTGAGACTCTTCCAGCAACACGGAGGCTGCATAATCCCTGTCTTCCTATACTCTGTCCCGCTGGGATGCCCTTAACAATTTATGGGGTGAGATTGCCTTGTAACAGCTGCCTTTTCCCTGCGTGTATCTCTTTGTAGCTCTTCTGCACTCTCTTTCCTCACCACAGCTACTGAGGGGTCTTTGTGCCTGGATCTTGGTCTGATGTTCCCACTTGTCGGGGACCAGTGGACTCTTTCCCTCCCCTCCCACCCCATGAGGCTCTGCTTCCCATCTGTTGGGGTAGTGGAGCTGTGACCTGGCTAACGCGAAGCCCGTGTCTCTCCTCCTCTCTCGCAGGGAATCGGATCTCTTCCTGCTCGACAGCCGTACCCTCTGGGCCTCGGAGGAGGGCTGGCTGGTGTTTGACATCACAGCCACCAGCAACCACTGGGTGGTCAATCCGCGGCACAACCTGGGCCTGCAGCTCTCGGTGGAGACGCTGGATGGTGAGTCCCCCGGCCACTGCCAGTCCTAATGCAGCCTGTGCTCCTGGACTTCAGGAGGGTCTCAGCAGTGCTCATGCTTGCTTCACTACAAACAGGCTTCCCCGCCCCTCCCAACCAGTACTCCATGTTCAGCCTTTTGATCCAAACCAGAAGCAGCCCCTTCCCCTCTTTTCACAAGAAGATTACATGTTTGGTCATAGCAGAATTGGGTAAGGCTTCATTACACAAAGGGTGGTCCCATATCAGCAGGGGTGAGGGCAGCCCTCTTATGAGAAATGCAGAATCCTGGGCCCACCCCAGACCTGCTGCATCAGAACCTGCACTTTAACTAGAGCCCCAAGGTGACACCACAGGACACAGGACATTCTGGACTGTTCCGTGCACGGCAGGGTGTTTAGCAGCGTCCCCGGTCTCTTACTCACTAGATGCTAGTAGCATCTCCCAGTTGTGACACCGAAAAATGTCTCCAGACATCGCCAGATTGTGCCCTGTGGGACAAAATTGCCCTTGTGCAAGGCATTGGTCCCTTCCACATTAGAACCTGAATGTGCGTCTGACTCTCCAGTTCCTGGAGAATCCATTGTGAGTCTGCCCTCCCCAACACTTCTCATTCCCACTACAGTTCTGCCTCCTTTGAGAAGGGAAGAAGGAAGGATGGTGAGTGGAGAAGTGGGAATGGACTTCTCTATGCTAATTTTTCCCCACCCCAAACAGATAAGAAATGATATCTTGTAGCTTGACTTTGCTTAAAATTCAGTGGTGATGGTTTCCAGCTGTGTAGCTTCTTCCTTCCACCAGTTTTATGAACAAAACAATTTTTTCATTTATTTTTGAATAAACACCTTCACAATGTTTGCCTTTGGAGCTATGAACAATACATGTGTAACACTAAATAGTTTCCCTCCCACTTTCTTCTCCAGCTGCTGAGTTCCACTTCCCAGGGACAACTGCTGTTTCTGTCTTTTCAGAGATGCTCTCTGGGTATTTCAGCAATTACATGGAGATTCGGCTTTCTGTTTTTCCCCTCTCCCATAAATGGTGGCCTGGCATATACAGTGTTCTCCAGCTGACTTATCTCGGAGACTGGTCCTGTCAGCCGTTAAAGAGCTTCCTTGTTCCATGTGTTTTGTGTCCATGTAGCTCTGCCACCCACACACTGTGTGACGTTGGACAATTTCCCTAACCTGTCAGAGCCTGGGCTTTCTCATCCAGCATGCAGGTGATGAGAGGATTTGGGCCATTGGGTTGTTACAAGATGTAATGGGTTATTATGGGAAGAGTTTTTAAAAATAGTGCCTTAATGTACGTAGGATTTTCCCAGGCATCTTGGTAAAATGCAGATTCTGACTCAGCTGGCCTGGGGCAGAGGAGTCTGTGTTCTCAGACAGCCACCAGGTGACAGAAGCTGCTGGTCCCTGGACCGTGCTTTGAGTAATGAGGCTTAGAACAGGACCTAACTGTAATACACATGTAAAGGAGAGCAGTCATCATCCTCGTCATCATGATCACCAAAACTGACATACCCAGCTCTCCTGGGATGGATGCCTAGGTGTTTTCTAGTCTTTTGGTCTCACAAACAGGGCTTCAGTGGGAAACCTTGGTGTGTAGGTCGTTTTTCGTTTGAGTGTAGCTCTAGGACCAATTCCTGAAGTGGCATTGTCTATTTGTAGTTTTATTTTTTTTTGAGATGGAGTCTCTGTCACCCAGGCTGGAGTGCAATGGCACGATCTCGATTCACTATAACCTCCGCCTCCCAGGTTCAAGCGATTCTCCTGCTTCAGCGCTTGAGTAGCTGGGACTACAGGCGCCCGCCACCACACCGGCTAATTTTTCTATTTTTAGTAACACATTTCTGTGGACTTGTAGATGTTGGGGAAACCTTCCAACTGGGCCCCAGTGGGTTCTGTGCTTCTCTGTCTTGCCTGTTCTGCTGGCTCAGGTGATTTTGTCTTAATTGACGCCAGCCCTGTGGCCAGCTCCTCTTACTACCAGTCCTGCCCTCATCATTCCCCCCAGACACAGTCAGAGTCCTTTTGCCCCTTTCACCTCCAGCACCTACTCCCCCATTGTCCAGGTTATGGAGAAAGGCTCAGCATTGGTGGAGGCAGTGCTGCCTGATGGTTAGAGCTCGGGCTCCCGAGCCAGGCTCCCCAGGTTCAAATCCTAGCCCTGCTATTTCCGGCCTTGTGACCTAGGGTGAGTCACTTAATGTGTCTCATCTGGAAAATGGGGTTAATAATAGTTTCCATCTCCAAGGGCGGTTGTGAGGGATTAGATGAGCTCATGCAAGTGAAGAGTTTAATTGCTCAGTGTGTGGTTGCTACGAAGCACCACTGTCTCTTGTGATCCTCACAATTACCCAGCAAGGTAGATGCTGTGGCTCACATCCCCGTGGTGCAGGCAGGAAATGGAGGCTCCTGAGAACCCGCCGGGGCTCCATATTTCAGAGCCCACCTGAGACCCTCTCCATTCCTTGCAGCCTAGTGGCTGCAGGTTGCTATCTAGAGTCAGATCAAGGATTAGATGCTGTGTCCCTGTCCCCCTCTGACTCCGGGACACCATCTTTGCTCCTCCTGGGCAGGGCCCTGGGGGCCGGGTGTGGTGCCACCGCCCAGTGACTTGGCTTGTCCAGGTGCTGTGCGCGCCCAGGCAGTGAGTTTTGTGTGGTTGCCCAAGTCGGGGGAGGATCACCCACTTGGATTGTCAGGGAGGGGCAAAGTGTATAATGGCCAGTTGGCTGTGTGGAGTTTTGGACCTCTTGGGGGTGAGCTAAAGAGCAAGTGAGTCCGGGATTTTCGAGACATCATGGCTGTGAAAATGCTTTGTTTTCCCTACCGTGGAGGATCTCAAGCCTGGCGTCCTTCAGGGTCACCCTAGGGGGCAAACTGCACATGCAGGTGCCTGAGCTCCATTTCAGACCCACCGTGGGGGATCTCAGAGGATGCGCCCAGGAATATGCCCCTTTTCCCCAGTAGCTTTAGGGGTACATGTGGTTTTGTTTCCGTGGGCAAATCATAAAGTCTGAGATTCTAGTGCTCCTGTCAGCCAAGTAGTGCACGCTGCACCCAGTATGTAGCTTTTTATTCCTTAGCCACCTTCTAAAAGAAGACTTGGGTAACTTGAGGCCTGGCCCAGTGACAACACTCTGGCAAAGTCGTGCACGGTGCCTAGGGCAGCCTGTTTACAAGATGGTGCCTGGGCTGACAGGTACCCCTCGGGTTCTGGGTCTCAACCCTCCCCTGCCAGATCCTGCACGGGGAAGGGCAGCAGGGCCTGTGGGAGGCGGTGTGCATCCGACAAATCAGTGCACACCTGCTTTGTGCCTGGCCCCGAGCTGGCTGCAGAGACCCTGGTCCCTACCCTGGGGACCTCTTACTGATATTAACTCAGAGGATATCCTGCCTGCACCAGCACCCAGAGAAGACAGGTGCCCAGGCAGCAGCGCCCATGTCATCATCCAGAAGGGGTAGAGACAGGGTCACCTGAACCTTGCAACCACTAGGCAGTTACACTGTGCGTGGGTGGAGAGGAGCCCCCAGCAGCTGCTGGAATTTGGAGCCCGGACACCTCCTGGGGCCTTGCTTTTCTCATGCACACAATGGGCATGTGGAGGATAGTAATTTGGGCCAGCGTGTTTCCATTCTAGCGGGGCGCAGCCATCGCAGACCTTCTTTCAGAAGGCTGGTGTTTAACCCCACATGAGCCCCTGCCTGCCAGTGGTCTCCAAAACTCCAAAGCCCAGATGGCGTCCTCCTTCCCTCCCATCTGGCCACGGGTGGTGGGGGGTCTCGAGGTCAAAGTGCGGAGGTGCCCTTCTGAGACCACCCAGGAAGCGTGCGTCTTTTCCCTCTTCCTCCCAGCTGGGCCCTCCTGTGAGTCACCATGCGGAGCAGCCGCAGCTGGGGCTCTGCTCCAGGCCAGCGTGCCCTCGCGGGGAGAAGCCTATAAACTCCCAGGCACCTGCAGCTCATCAGGAGGAGGCCGAGCGGGGAGCCTGGTCTCATCTCCCTGGGGATGGGCTGGTGCTACAGGAATGAGGGCTGGAGTCTGTTTGTCTTTCCCTTAATACAGAAGAGAGGAGAGGCAGCCTCTCCACTTGTTCCAGCCCCCAGGCTGTGCTTCCCACCCATGGACTGGCTGTGTCCTACAGCCCATGCTGGATGCTGGTGTCAGAGACCCGGGGTGAATCTAGCACTGCCCAGAGCCCTGTGAGAAAGGAGAGGATAGAGAGGAGAGCGAGAGGAGAGGAGGGGAGAGGAGAGTGAGAGGAGAGGATAGAGAGGAGGGGGAGAGGAGAGCGAGAGGAGAGGATAGAGAGGAGGGGGAGAGGAGAGCGAGAGGAGAGGAGGGGAGAGGAGAGGAGAGCAAGAGGAGAGAAGGGGGAGAGGAGAGCGAGAGGAGAGGAGGGGAGAGGAGAGGAGAGGCAAGGCACCTTTGAGTGGAGGGAATCCTGCAGCTCGGGGCTCCTCCCACCTTGTGGCCTTAAGGCAGGGGAACCCTCCCTACAAGCCAGGCCCTGAGCTTCCAGTGTGGGTGCAGCTTTTAGAAGCAGGATGGACTAGCAACCCCTGCACACTCATACTCTGGCACCCCTGCCCCTGTCATAGCACAGCTCCTCAGTCACCTTTGTGTGGTCTCAGCAGCTACTCCAACTTCTTGGGGTCTTGTTCCTTTGTCTGTTCCATGAACATAATACCATCACGGATTCTGTAGGCGGCTGGAAGAAGAAAGTGAGTTCTCAGAACATGCTGAATCCTGGGCCCAGCACCCTGTCTGTGCTCATGAATGTTAGAAGTTCTAATTGTTGATTTATTTAGTTCTCTCAATAATCCTGCCCAGGTAGCACAATTGATATCACCAACATTTTATAGATGAGGAAATAGAAGCTGAGAAGGCTGGGGAACTTTCTCATGACTCCCAGGTGTAGATCTGGGCTTTGGCCAGAGGATTGTGACTCCAACTCCCTTCCTCTTTGCTGGAAAATCTTCCAAGGAATGTGTTCACCAGGCTGCAGCCTCAGGATGGGGTTTGGAGGGGCAGATGAGCCCCTGCAGGGGACCCAGCCTGGCCATCCGGAGGTAGAGACCCCAGGACCCTCTAACATGTTAGGTCTTACCTGGCTTTTCACCTGGGAAGGAAAGTGTTTCTAAAAAGCACTCAGAAGACAGTAGGCTTCTTGCAGGACTCACTGTGGGAGCCCCCTTTGCAGAAGTGACCAGGGCTGCCCTTGACTTCTATGGGCTCCTCCCTCCATTACAAAAAAAAAAAAAATTAGGGCCGGGTGCGGTGGCTCATGCCTATAATCCCAACACTTTGGGAGACTGAGGCGGGCAGATCACGAGGTCAGGAGTTTGAGACCAGCCTGGGCAACATGGTGAAACCCCGTCTTTACTAAAAATACAACAGTTAGCCAGGTGTGGTGGTGTGCGCCTGTAGTCCCAGCTACTCGGGAGGCTGACTCAGGAGAATCACTTGAACCCGGGAGGTGGAGGTTGCAGTGAACCGAGATCATACTACCGCACTCCAGCCTGGGCAACAGAGTGGGACTCTGTCTCAAAAAAAAAAATTAAATTAAAAAGTATGTTTTATGGCCATGTTGATATCAAGATGAATATTATAATTCTGGGTGAATTAAAAATTAAGATTATTTTTGAGATGGGGTCTTGCTACGTTGCCCAGGCTGTCCAGGCTCAAGCGATCCTCTAGCCTCAGCCTCCTGAGTAGCTGGAATTGCAGGTGCCCAGCTTTGAATTAAAAACCAAAACTTTCTTAGACACTAAAAGTTCATGTTTTATCTTCCGATTTTAAGAGACATTATAGTGTTTTCGTGGGCCCTGCATCCCAGCATGGGGAGTGAATGATGAATGATGGTCTTCCCCCACCCCCGCATCTGGTTGTTAGAACAAGTTTCCTACAGCAAATAGCCTCTCCACCTATGTTGGAAGCACAGTTATTCACTCAACAAACAATGAGCCAAGGACTGTTGTGCCCCTACAATGAGGCAAGGACTGTTCGAAGCAGCAGGGGCACAGCCTTGAACAAAATGAAGATTTGGCTGTTGTGTTGCTCACATTCTTCTAGGAGGAGTCCGACCAGGAACGAGAGACCATGTACTGAAGGGTAGGGGTGAAGCCATGCAGATGAGGTCTGAGGCTCTGAGTATGGTTCAGAAGGGCTTCCTGCTGCTCTACAAATCAATACGCCCATTTTCCTTGTGCCGTCTTCTACCCGCAAAGCCTGCTGCAGAGAGATGAAGACTGGTTTGGGCTGGGGAGACTGTCGTCCTTGCAGACATGGAAGCACCAGGTCATTTGTCCCAAGAAAGGGACTGCAGCCTTTTGTCCTGGTTCATGGTGTCTCCCTCCTCTTCCTTGTTTGCAGAAGAAATCACTCGCGACTCAGGAGGGCCATGTCAATCAGCCCTGCCTCTCAGATCCAAGAAGATGATCGGGGAGCCCTTGTCTGCCTCATGTTATACTCCCTCGTTGGGGACCCTTTTCTCCAGCTCCAGTAAGCGCTGGCTGTCCATACCCTGAGCTCCAAGGTCATAGGGCACCTCTCTCCCTCCTGCACCCCATCTTTGTTTCCTGAAGTAAGTCTGCTGGGGGTCAGGAGCATGTGCATTTTGGCTATCTGCATGCAGAGAGCCCTGAGCGTCTCTCCTGTGACACACGAGAGCACGTGTCTTACTTCATGCTCACTCCAGATTGAATTGGATGGGATTGCAGAGCATTTAAAGGATTGAAGGGCATGTGCTGTCCAAGTGTGACACTCAGCTGTGGCAGCTGAGGAAGGAGCCAGGAGGTGAGCCACTCGCCTGCGGCGGCTGTGGAAACTAAGCCCCACAAAGCCAAGGCTGGTGAGCGATGCCGCCCACGGCGCAGCTGGCTCCAAGGTGCCTTCGCTCCATGCGATTGCTTCACATCCTGTTTGTCCAGAAGCCGGAGAGGGAGAGAAAAGAGAAAGCCTGATGACCCAGTGGCGGGGATCGGTCCTTCCAGGGCTGGGACGGCAAGAATGGGGAGGGCGGAATTGGGTAATTGGGGCCAGGCAGATGTCACAAGTGTTAACTAAGTTCTCACTTGTCACTTGGGCCTTGGTCCACCCAGAGAAATGGCTGGAGTGAATGTGTTTTTCACAATTAATGAGAAACATTCTTGTGCTGTGGGTCTTGGAAGGGTAGCCTGTAGCCCTGGGCCTGGAAAACAAAAAAGCCACAAGGAAACCGAGATGCCACCCCTGTGCGGCGTGGGTGGGCTGCATCCCCTCCTTTACCAAGGGGCCTCACTGTGCTCCCTGCCTGCTCTCCAGGGTCTTTCCGCAGAGTTCGCTGGGTTCCTCGGGCTGGCCATGCCGATTTTGCTCAAGTCGTCTGGGGTTTGCCAGCGGTGCCAGGATGCACGGCTGGGCCCTGTCCTCAGCTCACTCTGAGTCCTATCTCCACCAGGCTCCTTTTAGAAGGCCTTTCCCTCTATGCCTCAGTGAATCCCTCCTACCTTTGGGGTCCCCGTAAGTCACCTACATCTATGCCTGGGCAGTCTCTCTGAATTTTGGGGGATCCTTTTCCCTGCCATCGCCTGGACTCATTGGCAGATGGTGCAGGGGTCGAGCTCACAGGCTCCAGTCGGCTGGGCCAGGGTGTGGACTCCATCTCTGTACTCCCTAGCATTGGGTCCCCGGTAGGTGACTTTGCGCCTGTGACCTTGCTTTCCTCCTTTGTAAATGTGGGGTCACAGTTCTACCTTGGGAGATTCCAGCGAGGAGCGATGCATGGAACGGGCTTAGCACGGTGCTTGGTATACATTGGTGGGTTTTCATTTTTGTTGAGAAGCAACGATGGAATCAACTGTACCCAGAATACTTATACTGGCAAATAATAGAAAATAATGATGTCTTATCTCATGAGGACACTGATGGTTTTCCCTACAAGTCTGGAAGTGAGTGGATCTAGGGTTGGTTAGAGTCAGGGTCAGCAAAGGTTTTCATCTTCAGTAAAGTACCAGAGAGTACATATTTTAGGCTTTGAGCGTCAGGCGTTCGTTTTTGCCTGCTGTTTAGTGTGAGAGTAGCCACAGATCATGCGTTCCTGACTGTGCATCGACTGTGTTCCAATAAAGTTTTATTTGCAAGAACAGGCAGTGGGCTGGATATGGCCTGCAGGCTGTAGTTTGTTGGCCCCTGGGCTAGAGTATCAACAGACTCGAGGCTTTTTCCCTTCCGGCCCCATCATCTTGACAGTGTTGACATTTTGTCCTGAGGCTCTCTCATCATGGTTGGCAATGTGGCTGCCTCCATGTCCACAAGCATGGAAGGAAAATGCAGTAGGCAAGGAGGAAGGATGTTTATCTCATCATGTGCCTGCCTTTTTTGGGGAGAAGACACTTCTGAGAAGCCTGCAGCATCCATCCCCAGCAGGAGCTGCAGGGGATGCTGGAAAGGGTCTAATGTGCAGCGTTCATGGACGGAGGAAGGTCAGGCACGAGGGGGCTGGGCATGGCTGTGGGGTCCGCACCAGCCACTTCTGCCTCACCTCCCTGCAACGATTGGGCCTTCTCCAATCTGCTCTGGACCATCGGAGCAAAGGTCTGGTCAGACAGCTTTCCTGGCCTCTTCAGACAATAGTAGCTGTGATGCTTTGTGAACAGAGGGCGCCTACAGCGTGCAAAGGGCTGGTTTTGGCAATGTAAAGGACTCAATTTCTGCTTTACATCAGAAAATGCCAAGGTAAGTTCACCCCAAAACCTGCACATGATGTCTCTCATTATATGAGTAATCACCAAAGCTGGAAGCCACCAGATGGATGGATAAACAAATTATGCTACTTACATACAGCAAAAAGGAATGAACTATTGAAATGCAGCTACGTGGATGATCTCAAAGGTATTGTGCAGGTTGGAATAAGCCAATGCAAAAGAGTGCAGGAGTCCATTGGTATGAAATATCTAGAAAATGCAGTTATAGTGATGTGAGTGGGTCAGTGTCTTGCCAGAGGCCGGCGGTCGGAGCCATGTGACTACAAAGCGGAGTTTCCCAGCCTTGGCACTACTGGGTAGTTCTCAGTTGGGGGCCGTCCTATGCATCGTAGGATGTTGACAGCTTCCCTGGCCTCCACCCACTCAATGCCAGTAGCAACTGCTCAGTTACGACAACCAAAAATGTCTCAAACATTGCCACATGTCTCTTGGGGAGCAGCATCACCCCAGTTGGGAGCCACTGAGCTAAAAGGCAGCTCAGAGAGTTCTTTGTGGCGTGGAGCTGCTCTGTATCCCGATTGAAGCTGGGTACCGGCGTCTGTACACGCGCTAGTGCTTACAGATGGGCATACCAAAAGGGGTGGATTTTACTGTATGGTAACTTAAAAACTAAGACTTCCAAAAGCAACAAAACACACCACAGAGAGACAAGCACTGAGTCCCAATGAAGAAACCAGCAAAGCCATGACCTCTGGGCCCCTCTA
Source organism: Homo sapiens (assembly GCF_000001405.40). Classification (NCBI taxonomy): domain Eukaryota; kingdom Metazoa; phylum Chordata; class Mammalia; order Primates; family Hominidae; genus Homo; species Homo sapiens. Next base: position 57,193,017 of record NC_000020.11, on the reverse strand, counting down.
CCTGCCTGTCAGGTAGGCCGGGCCCCTTTCCCACCTGGCAGCTGCAGCCTGCAGAGAGCTCAGTTATTATACCGCAGGAAAGCCTTTCTATCCCACCCTTAAGGAGAATCTCTTGGAGATAGAATACAAGATGCCGAGTTAAATTTGAATTTAGACAAACAACAAAGAATCGCTTAGTTCAGCATGTCCCTCGTATTGCAAACATTATATGTTTATCTGAAATTCAAATTCAATCAGGCACCCTGTTTTTGTTTTTTTTTTTCAAAATCTGCTATTCTTGGGCAAATCTGCAGGCTTTAAAAAAAAACTATTAAACCTCTGCTAAAATATATTTTCAAACTTTCTCAAAGATACAGATTTTATGGTTAAAATATGATGCAGGTCCTGCCTTCCTGCCTACATCAATTTGTTCACTCACCTCGCCCCTATGCCTTACAGATGCAGGCTGGCTCCCTAGCCAGTGTGACTTGTCCGGGACATTTAAATACAAATAATCAAAGTAAATAGTTACGCGCACTGACTAAATCTGATATTTTATAACATAAAATGAAAAGGAATTGTTCTCCTGCAAAATAACCTTTCTCAGCCCTTCCTGGGGTATTAGAACAAAATACATGTTACATCTGTACACGAGCACCTACGTTAGTATGTGCTTTATATATATATACACATAAAAAATACATAATATATATTAATATGTCTTCTATATTTTATATATAATATATACTATATATATTATAGTATATATACTATATATACTATAGTATATATGCTATATACTATTATATAATATAATAGTATATAATATGTAATAGTATATATACTATATATAATATATAGTATATATTATATATCTATGTATAACTATATATTATATATAATATAATATATAGTATAATATGTATATATTATATAAATTTATAAATATAAATAAATATATAAATTTAGATATAAATATATATTATATAATATACTATAATATGCTATATTATATATTATATATAATATATATTACATATACAATAATATACAATTATATAATATACTATATTATGTGGTATATACTATATTATATAATATACTATAATAGAAAATATATAATATATAGTATGTATACTATCTATACTATATATACTATATAATATATAGTATATGTATATTTTATATCTATAATATATAAAATATGTATAATATATAAAAACATATATATACTATAATATAAAAATATATAATATATAGTATATTATATATATTATATATTATAGTATATATTATATATATATGTTTTAGGTGGAGTCTCACTCTGTCACCCAGGCTGGAGCGCCGTGACATGATCTCCGGCTCACTGCAACCTCTGTCTCCCGGGTTCAAGCGATTCTTGTGCCTCAGCCTCCCAAGTAGCTGGGATTACAGGCGTGCACCATGACGTCCAGCTAATTTTCTTTGTGTTTTTAGTCTCTACTAACACGGGGTTTTTAGTCTCTACAACACGGGGTTTCTCCATGTTGGCCAGGCTGGTCTCAAACTCCTGACCTCAAGTGATCTGCCTGCCTCGGCCTCCCAAAGTGCTGGGATTATAGGCGTTAGCCACCACACCTGGCCTACATTTCTTTCTTCCTAGGTGTAATCAGGCTAATTTGCATGCTCCTCCTCATTTAGTGGCTCATGGGAGGGAACTTTCCTTCTGTTGGCCCCACCAGAGCCTGCGCCTGTCTTGCCTCTGGAGCACCCCAGAGCACACGGTAGTGCTGGGCTCAGTACCCGAGGCATGAACACGTGTTCAGTAAATGAATCTTCAGGCACTGGTTGATGCTTCATGATGCACCTTCTAAGTTCATTAATCTCTTCTTGATAAAGCACTACATTCTCTCTTGGGTTTTGTAGGTCAGACTCGGCTGCGATGACTCACCTTTACACATCTTCCTTTCTTGGCTTGTTTAGGGAGTGTGTTTGTACAGCCATGGCTCTTGACCAGGGATGGTTTTCCTCCCAGGGGACATGTAGCAATGTCTGGAGACATATTTGGTTGTCATGACATGGAGAGGTGCTACTGGCATTAGTGAGAAGAGGCCAAGGGTACTGCTAAACATCCCACCATGCCCGAGGCAGCCCCGATGCCCACTGCGCTGGAGTGGGCAGGCCCACCATGCTGGCTGTGGCCTGTCTGGTGAACAAGCTTTGGAGCCAGCGTTAAAGCTGGCTTCTGTGCAGGAGCAGTGGGTGCAGGAGACCATCCTTCCCCTAAGTTGTTGAGCTTGTTGGAGGAGGAGGGTAGTATGTGTGAGGATCCCAGGGAGGCCGGCCCTGAGCGTGGTGGGGCCTGGAGGAGGGGCGGGCAGGAGCGGACGCGCTTCTGGACCACCACTCTCTCTCCCAGCCTTGTTGGTTCCCCACACGGCATTCAGAATGGGTCTCCCACCACAGAACCCTGGCCACGTCGCCCCCTGCCCAAATCCCCCACTGGGCTGGGAGACCCCAGGTGACCCAGCCCCATACCCACCTCGGCTTCACCCCCTTGGGCTCCTCACTCACTCTCTCCAGCCTCACCCCCTCGGGCTCCTCACTCACGCTCTCCAGCCTCACCCCCTCGGGCTCCTCACTCACGCTCTCCAGCCTCACCCCCTCGGGCTCCTCACTCACGCTCTCCAGCCTCACCCCCTCTGGTTCCTCGCTCACTGTCTCCAGCCTCACCCCTTCAAGCTCCTCACTCACTCTGGCCTCACCTCCTCTGGTTCCTGGCTCACTCTCTCCAGCCTCACCTCCTCTGGTTCCTCGGTCACTCTCTCCAGCCTCACCCCCTCTGGTTCCTCGCTCACTCTCTCTGGCCTCACCTCCTCTGATTCCTGGCTCACTCTCTCCAGCTTCACCCCCTCCGGTTCCTCGCTCACTATCTCCAGTCTCAACCTCTCTGGTTCCTGGCTCACTTCTCCAGCCTCACTGGCCTCTTCACTGTGCTGACACACACCGTGTATTTCTCATGAACCTGGCATGTGCCATTCCCTCTGCCAGGAACATTTCCTCCCCAAAACCTCCCATGGCTCACTCTGCCCTGTACACTGTGCCCCACTGTCATGTCCCTGCCACCCTGTCCTAGGTTCTTCCTAGTCCTTGCCACCATCAGACACAGCACTGTGCACCCCTGAGCTGATCTCCCTCGCCAGTCAGCTCCCAGGGTGGTCGTGTTCTCATTCACCGATGTGCCCCAGCCCCTGGCACACAGTAGGTGCTCAATAAACAGTTGCTGAATGAATTAATGAAAAAACAAGTTAGTTGTTCAAGCCTGGGACACAGAACCTACGTTAGGAGAGGAGGACGAGGCAAAGGATGCTTCTATCTCAGTGTTTCCAGATGGGAAGCTCCTCTGTGGCCACCAGGGAGAAGGTCAGTGTGTGTTTCATCGACGTGGAAATATGTCTGCAATATATTACGTAAAGGGCAGAGTGATATGAAACAGGATTGACGGTGCAGTCCCAATCATGTGGAATGGCACCCTGTCTCTGCGTCACGCGTGTGCGATGGGGCCAGCCTCACAGGTGTGGGTGAACTTAGAAGGGCCCTGTGCTGGGTTTGCTTCTGCTGCCCCCACCTTGAAATGATGAATCACTTTTGAACAAGAGGCCCCACATTTTCATTTTGCACCGGGCCTTGCAGATTGTATAGCCGGTGCTGGCGCCTGGGGATGGATGGGAGGTCGCTGCCCGCAAATGGGCTCTGAGCAAGATGTTCCAGGGCCTACGTTCTTCTCTGTGATTTCCTCTGTTTGCAGTCATCAGGTATTGTTTTCAGAGCCCCCTGTACCCCAAGAAAAAGTCAGATAACTGAGTTCAGAGTATTTCAGTCCAATTTCTTCCAAATGACTATAGTCAGGCATTTGACATTTCAAGGAATAACAGGGACAAAAAGACCTAGCTGTTGGAAGAAGTTGTCCCCTCCCCACCCCTGGGGTGCTGACCTCCAAGCTCATGTGTAGGTCCCACCCCCTTCTGGGGAGCTTTGACCCTAGTTGAGAACTGACTGTAAACCCAGACGGAAGGGAGGCCTTGGGTGTGTTTGCAGCACGAGAGCTTGTGGTTGTCGTGGCAGAGAATGCAGGCTTTGGTTTTGACAGACCAGGGTTCGAATCTTGGCCTTGCCGTGGACCAGCTCAAAGGCCTTCCTCACTCAGAGTCTTGTTCCTCCTTTGCAAAGTGAGGTTGCAGCATCTGCCCTGGGGCTGTGTTGAGGATGGGGTGGGCCATGAGCTCCCAGTCTGCTGCTGGTGAGGCAGGCATTTATTGGGTAAACAGCCAGACACTGCGGTAGGCATCCTTACTGTTTATTTATACAAACTGTCCCTCTAAGGCACAGTGAGTGGGTCATTCCCACCCCTGTTTTGCTTTTTAGTTTTTTAAAAAATGTGAGATCTAATTTTCCTAACATAAAACTCACCATTTCAAAGAGTGCAATTTGGTGATTTTTTTTTTTTTTTTTTAGTATATTCTCATTGTTGTGCAGCCATCCCATTGTCTGATTCTAGAACGTTTCCGTATCACTCCGAAATATCCCTTAAGAGCCACTCTCTGCTCCCCCAACCCCTAGCTCTAGGCAACCAGTAAGCTACTTTCTGTTTCTATGGATTTACCTGTTCCGGACATTTCATAGAAATAGGATCATTCAATGTGTGGCTTTTGTATCTGGCTTCTTCCATTTCGTGTAACGAGTTGAAGGTTTGTCCGTGTTGTATCATGGATCAGAAAATGACTCCTTTTTATGGCAAACAATATTCCACTATATGGATTCACCATATTTTGTTTATCCATTCATTTGTTAATGGACATCGGGTTGTTTCCACTTTTTGGCCATCATAAATAATGCTGCTGCCAACTCTTGTGTACAAGTTTTTCATGTGAACCCGTGTTTTCAGTTCTCGTGGGTACACGCCTAGGAGTGGAATTGTTGGGTCACGTGAAGACTACATATTAAACTTTTTTTAGGAATTGCCAGTGTATTTTCTGTATCCCTTTGTTGTTGTTGTTGTTGAAGGTGAATAAGTGTCTGCTGTGGTGTTGTTCAGCCTTTAGGTTAAAAATCTGAACCTTTTTCCAAACTTGGTGACAAAGGGGAAGATTCCATACCTGTCCTCAGAGCACCTGTTCCACGTCAGGTTCCAGATGGCTGGCACCATGCTCCCTGTCCCCAAGTCTCTAGGAAAGGGGCAAGAACAACCCAAAATACCAGTTCAGACTAAGAAATCGAAGGGTTTTTCATCTTAGTGGCTGGGGTGAGAATGCGGGCTTCAGGGCTGGCTTGATCCAGTGACTTAGCAATGTCAGGAGAGACCCGGTCTCTGTTCTGCCTTCTACCAGGGTGGCCTCTTTGGAAACATGGTCACCTGTGGTTGCCAGATGGTGGCTGTTTCTGTGGCTCCATCTATCCCTCCTCCCTCAATCGTGTAGAGAGAGAGAGAGAGAGAGAGAGAGAGAGGGCAGGCTTCCTTCTGGACACTAGAGTGGGAGGCTTCTTTTCCAGAAACCTCCAGGATACTTCTCCTTCATTTATTGGCCAAAATGGGTCATGTGCTCATCCCTGAACTAATCACTGTAGCCAGAGGATTAGTTGCCTTTTATTAAACCACAGGCCCCACCTCTAAGGCCAGGGTGGAGGCTATGTAAGGCACAACTGCCTTAATGAAAATCCGGTTGGCTATCACGGAAAGGGGGGACAGATGAGTCTCATGGCATCATCCCCATTTTACAGATGAGGAAATTCAGGCCCCAGCATACAACTTGCCTCTCTCAGCCCACACAGGCTGGTTAGTGGCAGATGCGGGTTTAAACACCCTTGAGACTCACTTCTTGCCCCTCTGTCCTGACATTTCTCAGCTGAGGCTGTGGCTCCCTGGATGTGGCTGTCCTGACAGCTGCCCAAGGCAAGCCAGACACCTTCACTCAGAGGTACAGAGAGACTTTTTGCAGCGCGTGGATTTAAGGTATCTGGAACAGCATCAGCTTTTCAGGCCAGGCATTTTTATTTTGCCCTAAAAGCCTTCTAGTGGGGGAAACACAATTCCTAGGGGCTCAGCTTTAATGGTTTCTTTTATAGAACCATTCAAATTATAGATGGGTGAACTCCGGGAAACCCCGCTCAAGAATGCAGGAAAGCCAAACGTTAAAGGGAGTTAAGGTAAAATAGCGGCGGGTGGGGGAAAATTTGTTCTTTTAAACACTAGTTGTTAAAAAACCAAAGTGAACCCCCTGGTGCTGATCTGGTCCTGGGAGGCTGGGTTTCTTGACTTCTGGCCCGTCTGGGGGACTCCAGGTGAAGTTAATTCCAGATGTGAACAGGCCCATCGCTTTTGCTGGCCTCTGACCCCTCCCATCTAACTTGGGGGCACCGTATCTGCAGAGGCTCAGCCTCCCAACTCCCCGTCATCCTCACCTGGGTTCAGATTCTACTTTGTTGCTTCCAAGCCGGGTATCCCTGGGCGGGTTATTCAGCCTCTCTGAGCTTGTGCTGTCATGAGTAAAACAGGCTTTGTTTCCACTGGATGCTTTATTTTTGGCTTTGAAATACTCATCACCCCCAGACATGGTATTACATATATATTTGCCAATGACCTCATCATTGTCAAAGCCAGTGGATAGATAGTGTGTTCTTAGGTCCATCTGCAGAGCAACGGACACGGAGTTTGCTCCCTCTATTTTCCTCCCCTGTTTTCCGGGACCCCATACCCTGTTGGTGTCCCCATTCTTCCTGCCCAAGCGTCTTCCAGATCCTTCCTTACCGGGTACTCCTGCACAGTCTCCGTTGCATTCCCCTGACCTCTCAGTGGAACACAGAGGCCACCTTCACATTGCTTGTCAGGCTGTACACACTTTCCCCAGGCGAGCTCATCCAGTCTTCTGGCTTTAAATGCCATCTCTACACTGGGGACACCCAAGCTTACATTACTGTCTGGACCACTGCCCTGAGCTAGCATTTATTGAGCACTTAGGGTATGCAAAGCTCTGTCCTGAGCTAGCATTTATTGAGTACTTAGGGTATGCAAAGCTCTGCCCTGAGCTAGCATTTATTGAGCACTTAGGGTATGCAAAGCTCTGCCCTGAGCTAGCATTTATTGAGCACTTAGGGTATGCAAAGCTCTGCCCTGAGCTAGCATTTATTGAGTACTTAGGGTATGCAAAGCTCTGCCCTGAGCTAGCATTTATTGAGTACTTAGGGTATGCAAAGCTCTGCCCTGAGCTAGCATTTATTGAGCACTTAGGGTGTGCAAAGCTGTGTCCTGAGCCCCAGCTGTGCATTAAGTGACAGAGGCAGGGCTTTGAACCTGCCTGGGCCCTACTCCCTCCCTCACTAGCCCAGAGCTCATCTCTTCCAACTGATCAATTGATCAAGCCTAGGCCAGACCTCTGCTGCCCACCTGACACCTTCCTTTTGGTGTCAAGTAGGGATTTCATACAATATCTGCTAAACGAAACTGCATTTTGTCTTCCACCCTCTATTTCCCAGCTTATGCTCCATTGCCTCAGTTTCCCTACCTTGGTAAACAGTCCCTCCCTTCTTCCAGGGGCTTGGGCCAAGAGCATGCCAGTCTCATGAGACTCCCCTTTTTCTCACACCTTTTATAATCCCTTCCCAAATTCAGTCCTAAATCTGCCACCTTCCTGGTTTGGAGGCTGTGTTCTTGTTATTCGAGACATCACCTTTGGGGGAAACTGGATGAAGGGCACTTGGGACCTCCCTGTACATCGTCTTTCAACTTCCTGTGAATCTATAATCATTTCACAACAAAAAGTTAAAACCAAAATAAATTCTAAAGATTTTAAAAATGAACTCTTGAGGATCTGGCCTTTTCTCACCAGCCTCCCTCCCCACTGCCCTGGGTCCAGTCTCACGTCACCTCCCACGTGGACCATTCTGTTGCCTCCACCTGGTCTCCCTGCTTCCAGGTTGACCCCTGCCATCGGCTCTCCAGGGGCAGCCTGAGTGGCCTTATAAACACCACTGAAAGTCCCACCCCAGTGGTTCTTGCTTCTTGTAGAGCGCCTTGGTGTCCTGACCAGGGCCCTGGATGCGAAGTCCCACTCACTGGGTGGCTTGAAACAATAGGGCTTTATTGTCTCACAGTCTGGAGGCGAGAAGTCTAAAGTCAAGGTGCCACAGGGTTGTCCTCTTACAAAGGCTCTAGGGAGGAATCCCTCCTTGCCTCTTCTGGCTTCAGAGGCTCCTGGCAATCTTTGGCATTTCATGGCCTCTGTCTTCCCCAGGCTGTCTGCATCTGTGTCTTTATGTGGCCTTCTTATGGGGACACTAGTCACTGGATTAAGGCTCATCCTAATCCAGGATGAGCTTATTTTAACTGACGACAGCACATCTGCAAAGACCCTGCTTCCAAATGAGGTCACATCCTGAGGCTCTGTGTGGGTGTGAATTTTAGAGGACATCAGCAACAGAGGACACTGGGCTGAGGCAGGTGCTCGTGTTGCCCATAGGACCCGACCTGACTCGTGCCCCTACTGCCCCTCCCAGTTGTCCCTGCTACTTGCCCCTGCCCCTTGAACACACCCTCCTTGCTCCTGCCTCCGGGCATTCACCTCTGCAGTTCCCTCTGCCTGGAATGCACTCTTCCCAAACATCCATTGGGCCCCCTCACTCACTGTTACCCAGATCTCTGCTCAGATGGCCCCTATAGTCATTAGGGTTGTTTGCAATTGTTCCCACCTTCCCTGGCACGGAGCAAGATTGCCCCCCAACTCCCTGAAATTAGGCAGATACCACGACCTGCTTTGGCCAATGGAATGTGAGTGGCACTTATGGGGTTCGCTAGCTTGCCACCTTCCGCACCCCTCAGCCTGGTTCCCCACCCCTTATATTTCCTGCCTGCCTTCCCCACTTGCATGGAAACCCAGAGAACAGGATGTTTTCTTGGCTGCTTTCACAGTTGTGTTCCAAGTTCCTTAAACAGTACCTGGCCTAGAGTGAGTACTCAATAAATACTTACTGGATGGAGGAATAAGGAGTTCATGAATGAACCGGGAGGCATAGCATCTCTGCAGCCCTGTCCCGCTCGTGGCCCTCCTGTAACTACTCTTCTGTGCACTTGGCTGCTTCCTGTCCAGGGCAGAGCATCAACCCCAAGTTGGCGGGCCTGATTGGGCGGCACGGGCCCCAGAACAAGCAGCCCTTCATGGTGGCTTTCTTCAAGGCCACGGAGGTCCACTTCCGCAGCATCCGGTCCACGGGGAGCAAACAGCGCAGCCAGAACCGCTCCAAGACGCCCAAGAACCAGGAAGCCCTGCGGATGGCCAACGTGGCAGGTATGCTTAGGTGGGAGGGATCACAGACCCACCACAGGAACCCAGCAGGGCCCCGGCGGGACCCGGCAGGAGACTGACTCAAAATCCATTCAGGTGCTCACCAGATGGCTCTGGAACAAATATAGCAGGAAGAAAACCCCCAAATCCACCCCTACACAGGACATCTTAATTCTGTAAAAATAAACTAGCTTAGAAATGCAAGTAGCAAAACATTCGTATAACACAACACCAAGCATGTAGATATTTAAATAAACAGAACAATGGCGGCACTTGCAGCTACACAGAGATGAAGGAAAGACCCTGAAACGTGGATGGGAAGACCCCTGGGGGGGCTTACCCCATGGAAGGAGGGGGAGGAAGAAATGGGGAGGTAGAAGAGTTTGCTGTATCTTTATTTCATAAATGAAAAATATTTTAAATTCATGGCAAACTTTAATACTTGATAAATATTATATATATATACACACACACACATTTTTTTTTTTTTGAGATGAAGTCTCACTCTGTCACCCAGGCTGCAGTGCAGTGGTGCGATCTCGGCTTACTGCAACTTCTGCCTCTCAGATTCAAGTGATTCTTCAGCCTCAGCCTCCCGAGTAGCTGGGACTACAGGTGTGCACCACTGTGTCCAGCTAATTTTTGTATTTTTAGTAGAGACGGGGTTTCACCATGTCGGTCAGGCCGGTCTCAAACTCCTGACCTCAAGTGATCCACCTGCCTTGGCCTCCCAAAGTGCTGGGATTACAGGCGTGAGCCACTGCACCCGGCCAGGTGGTAGGTGTTTTAAGAATATATGATGTGCGGTACTTTTCAGTTTGTTTGAAATGTTTATTTACGATAGGTTTTAAAAAAATTAAAGATAATATTTTTATTGCAAGCAAATCAAACATTAACAGTAAATATAAGTAAAGTTAACGCATTGTGCGAAGGAGACTTCCAGGAGGTCGTGCTCTGCAGGTCCTCTAAAGCAGACAGCTTTTAGCCCATCATGTTGTGTGGTTCTTGAGGCTCTGAGGTAGATGGCCTCCCACTTCACAGAGGGGAAAACTGAGGCTCAAAGAGGGTAAGTCGTTTGTCTAAGGGCACAGTGTAGGTAACTGGCAGCCCTGGGATTGGGTCCCTGGGGTCTGGGTTGTCCCTTGCCCCAGGCCCTCTTCCCTGTTGGGCATTGCCGGGGCCATCTACCTGGCCTGGATGAGCTTCGGTGTCCCCAGCAATCCCATTGGGTGCTTTCTGACAATTCACCAGGCATTCGTGGAGCCCCCACAGGAGCCTGGCTTTGTCCCGGGCACTGGGGCTGTGGCTGGGGTGCAATCCCTTTCCCCATAGGCTGATTGGGAAACCGACATTGACAGCCTCTGGTGGCCTGGGGGTGCTGGGATCCCCAGAAGGTGCATTCTGGTTTTGAGCTTTGGAGGTGGGCTGGCCTGGAGCAGACCTGCTGGCACTGTGGGCATCTGTGGACAGCCCTCCCACACCCCTTGCCTGGCTCATGCCCCCTGCACATGCAGTGTCAAGTCCGCCAGAAGATGCATCGGGACTCCTCCCAGACTAAAACCAAAGCTTCGAATAATGAACCTCACAACAAACCATTTTCCAGTGGACTGGAGGGGTGACACCTCCCAGATCCAAGGAGCCCAGTTTGCTCCCCATCCCCAATCCCATCCCGCCGGCCAGGGGAGCTGCTGCCCGGGGGTGCCGTTTCTCTGGCTCTTCAGGAAGCCATTTGCAATGAGCAGGGCAATAGCCTCTCCAAGATGCCAGTGTCTTAATCTCTGGAACCCGTGAATGTGTCACCCTCCAGGGCAAAGGGGAGTTACGACTGCCCTTGGAATCACAGGTGCTAATCAGCTGGCCTTCCAATACGCGGGCTCTGTGTAGCAGGGTGGTCCCATCGGTCCTTATAGGAGAGAGCCTTTTTGAGCTGTGGTTGGAGCCATGTAAGCACAGAGCACAGAGGGGTGGAGATGAGTGGGGCCACCAGCCCTGGGATGTGGGTGGCCTGGAGAAGCTGCACAAGGCAAGGAAGGGATCCTCCCCTAGAGCCCCCAGTTGCATTTACCTGCTAAGACTGGTGTTGGACTTCAGAGCCACAGAGCTATAATCCGCTTGTATTGTTTTGATAATTTGCTTGGTTAATTTGTTAAAGCAGCGATAGGAAAGAATACATCTTTGTTGGCAAAGTGATTTTCTTTTTCTTTTTTCTTTTCTTTTTTTTTTTTTTTAGAGACAGGGTCTCACGCCATTGCCCAGGCTGGCGTGCAGTGGTGTGAGCATGGCTTACTGTAGCCTTGACCTCCTGGGCTCAAGCAATCCTCCTGCCTGAGCCTCCCAGGTAGCTGGGACTATAGATGGATGCCACCACACCTGGCTATTTTTTGTAGAGACAGGGCCTCCCTATATTGCCTAGGCTGGTGTCGAGCTCTTGGGCTCAAGCTATCCTTCCACTTTGGCCTCCCAAAGTACTGAGATTACAGGCATGAGCTACTGCCCCCAGCCTCCTCAGAGTGCTTCCCTCATCCTGCTAAGGAGCTGGGACACAACCATCTGGGGGCCGGCTCAGGAGTTGCAGCCTTCTTGGCTCCAGGTTGATCACAAGGCAGAAAAAGGTCTGAGGTGCAAACCTGCCCTGCCACCATGTGGGAAGCTATTAGCTGCTTATCACCTCCGGGGCCTGCGGTTGGTCCCAGGAAGCACCCAAGGGGAGCAAGGGGCTATTGAGAAAGGTCCTGGCGAGGGGATAGCAGCAGCCCCACCCCCAAATTAACCCTCTAGTGCCAATAGCTTCTTCCTCCTTACCTAGCCTAGCTTGAAATTTATGTTCATTTTACTTTTCAAGGGAGAAGGCAGGTCAGTGGGGTTGGTGGCCTTTTTAAGACAAGGCTTCCTGACCCCTGGCGGGTGTCCTGGGGCCCCCGGATGGACCTCAGTGGGTCTGTGTGGCCCAGAGTGTGTAGGGATTCCGTATATTTTCTTTTCTGACAGTGGATCCATTTTTCCAGGTTTCTCAAAGGGGTCTTTGATCTCCCAAGTCAAAAACCAACCAAATTCCTTCATTTGTATTCGAAGCCTCTTTTATGCTGGACTCTTGAAGGCTAGGATTCAATGTCGAACACCCACACAAAGGCTGCCCTTGGGGGTGTTAATTTAGGACAGGAAGGAGGGGGTTGCCATTCACATCCATACATAGTAACAGACCCAGAGTCAGGGTGGTGCCTAGGGAACGCAGCCCATCCCGAGGGCTGCAGACAACATTTCGTGGCGAGCGAGCTGAGAGCTCTGGGTCCAGTGGGTGCCCACGAGGCCAGGCTGGTCCGGAGAGGATGCTCTGGGCTGTGGGACCTGCAGGGGCAGAGGCCTGTGCTGTGGGGTTTCCTGGCGCCTTTGGGGAGTGGGGAGGAGGCTGTGGGGGCTGAAGCAGGGGAGGGGAGTGAGGGTGGGCGGGTCAGGCATTCTCTTGGGAGTCACGTCTTGAGTTTGAACTTCATGCCAAGCATGTTCAGAAGTCTTTGCAGAGATTCAAGCTGTGGTGTGGGGTGCAGGTGATAAGATCATTCTGGCTGCTCTAAGAAAGGTGAGGAACAGGGTGGGTGCCGAGGGGGTGCTCAGAGGCCGGAGACTCCTTAGAGGATGTGGCAGATCATCCAGGCAGGAAGTGTAGGCAAACTGCATCCCGGCAGAGACTTCCGTGTCTTGGAGCTCCATCGGGTGCACCTGGGTAATGAGGGGGAGAGGAACTAGGCATCGCGGGCTTAGAATTCACTCTGATTTTCCCCACCGCCTCCTCATCAAAGCCCCACCAAGTCTCCATTTACACAGCCCCCAGGACGGGGCTCTCACTGTTTCCCGTGGCAGAAATTCATTGCTGGGAACCTGCCTCCTTCCCGCGGATGGCTCGTGGCCCTGTTTGCAGCTCTTCTAAAACCTGCCTGGAAGTTAAGAAAAAAATAAAATAAAAATACCGAGGCCTGGGCCCCACCCTAGGCTTAGGCCAGAGTCCTTGAGTGTGAGTGTGTACGCCTGTGTGCCTGCCCCTTTGAATCGCTCGTCCCCCCGGTTTTGGGCTGGAGCCCTGCCGTGGAGCCACACAAGTTGAATCTCTCGGCAGCCCTGTGTGTGCTGGGGCGGGGGCACATGCTCCGGCACGCTACCCCACGCGGAGCTCGCTTTCCTGCCCGCCAGCCCCCTCCCCCGGGGCTTCACGTGCTCTTCAGATGGTGCGGTTTGGGGTTGAGAAACTGGGTCCCTGCACTTCCTTCTCCCCACCCACGTTTGGACCCAGCTCCCTGGTAAGCAGCCGCCTTTGCCAGATGACCCGTGGAGGCGGGAGCTGAGCCTAAGCACCAGTCCTGACTTGTCTGCGGCCCAAGCAGGGGGTTGAGGAGGTGGATGAATCCCGGTGCTGGCGTCAGGGCTGTCTCCTGCTCACTTTCTGTTGCTTGGGGGCGGGTGGGGCAGGCTTGGACGGACAGGGGAGCTGGGAGTCCCTCCTTCGTTTCCTTTCCTTGTTTTCCTGCTAATAAGTCCTAAGGATACACAGGAGCTCCGGCCACTTTCTGCTGGGACAGCCGTGATCAAAGAGCCCTGGAAGCACAGAGCAGGGTCTGGAGTCCCTGGTGGCAGGGCCAGTGCCCACGCCTCACTCGTACACCATAACTAGCTTCATGAGCTGTGCTCGGCCTTGGTCTGTTTGGCCTTGGGTTTGAACTAAGTTATGCCAAATGTCGTGGCTTTACTTTAAGACAGGGTTGGGGAAAGTAGCACTCAGGCCACTCCTTGTCCCTTCTGTGCTCATGACAGACATTGCTAATAGATCATGGCCTCTCCTGTGCTCATGACAGACATTGCTAATAGATCATGGGACTTCCTTCTGACGGAGCCTGAACACAGCTTCAGAATCCTCCTTGACTCAGGACACCAAGGAGTCAGCAATGTCCCTGGCTCGAGCTAGCAGCTTCACCTGACACATCCCTGAGCTGAGGGGATGTTCCTTCTCCTCCACCCTGCCTTCTACCCCCCCACAGGGAAGAGGGAGGAGGCTCGTGGAGGGGCATGGCTACCTGTGGCCCTGGGCATTGCCACAGCCATGAAGGCCATCTTAGGTTTCTGCTTGGCATCGTGTGCTCTAGAGGGCAGGCTGTAGAGTCCAGCTGTTTGGGCTCCTCCCAGATGGTTCCTTGACCTTGACCTTCCTGTGTTGAGGACACCCTGGCCCTGGGGAGGTTCCTGCTGCCCCAGAGCTGGTTCTCTCTCTCCCAGCCCTGCTACTCCCCCACGGAGGGTGGGGACCAGGGGCCTCTGGGCTCCCCCTGGCTGCCTCCATCCACTCTGAGCACCCCCTTGCAGCATTGAGCCTTGGGGCTGGTTCCAGCCACGCAGATCTTCCCTCCGCCCACACTGTCTGCTGACCCAGGCCCCAGCTTCCTCATTCCTTGCCAGGCTCAGTGCCTGCCTCTGATCCTCTATCCGATGCTACTCCAGCGGCCTCAGACATGGAGGGCGCCTCGTCCCCACTGCTCAGCATCGTCATGCAGGAATGCCTCGCCCTTGGATGCCTCCCCACCCTCCTATCTCACTTCCTTTTGGTTCTTACCCACATGTCACCTCCTCAGAAGAGCGCCTGCTGGCACCCGCGGCAGCATGCCCGCTCACTCCAGCTTCTCCTGCCTTGTTTTCCTCTGTAGCCCTCATCTCCATGTAAGTCATGTGCACTCACTTATCTATGACCCGCCTCTCGTTCTGGAAAAGCCCCTGAGTGGCAGGGCTTTGCTGTCTTACACCTGGGACTCATCTCATGCCTGCACACCAGGAAGCAGCCCCTAGCAATGGCTGAATGAATGAGTGACTCCACAAGGCATGCAGGCCGCGAGGGCAGGGCACCCAGGGGCAAGCGCTCCTGCCCCAAAGCCTGGAGCCCACCAGCCCCGCCCCAGCCTTCAGCAAGTTCACTTCACCGAAAGTCTCAAGTGTCTCCTCAGGAATCACACATGTGATTCGGTTATAATCAATTAAATGTAATTTCGTTATTGGTGTGCATATCTTTCCACATTGCTTTTCTGAACTGTAGATAAATTTTATATCTGTATAAATAGATATATTCAAAAATGGCATTTTGGGAGGCCAAGGCGGGTGGATTACCTGAGGTCAGGAGTTTGTGACCAGCCTGGCCAACATGGTGAAACCCCGTCTCTACTAAAAATACAAAAATTAGCTGGGCATGGTGATGAGTGCCTATAGTCTCAGCTACTCAGGAGGCTGAGGCAGGAGAATTGCTTGAACCCAGGAGGCAGAGGTTGCAGTGAGCCAAGATTGCACCACTGTACTCCAGCCTGGGCAACAGAGCAAGACTCTGTCTCAAAAAAAAAATTGCTGATGAAAATAAAAGCAGCCTGCTTTTCAGTCCCCAGCAGGGAGCATGGTGCTCCTGTCTCAGCCTGAGCCTTGGAGGCCAGTTCCTGACTCCTGTGCTCTCCATGCTGTTCTCCTCTCTCCTGCCTCCTTCCTCCTCAACCCTCTTCTTTCTCCTTTCTGCTTTCCACTCTTGGCTTGCTGCTTCTAGCCCATTTCATTCCACAATTGTTCTCAGCCATGGGGTAGCTAAGGCACACTGAAGGTTTCCAGGACCAACAGAATGTCCAGTCTGTGTCTGAGGAGGTGTCCTAATTTGCAGTGTGTGGTCCATGGGAGGCTAGCTTACTGCACCACTCCTGTCCCACCCATTTTACAGATGAAGAAAGTAAGGCTTAGGGAAGGGAGTTCGGCGATGTCCTTCTTATCTTACCATTTCTCATTATCCTAGAAGCTATGCAGATAGAATTCTCATGAATCAGAGAAAAGCCAAAAATTGAGTGGTGTTCCACTCTTTGACATATACCCTAATGGCATGTAGTGGGTGTGGAGGAAAGAGCCATGCATTCAAACAGTTAACAGGTGTGTGTGTGTGTGTGTGTGTGTGTGTGTGTGTGTGTGTGAATGGAGAATGTGCGTAGTTTCAAATTTCCCTAACAAGTGGGCTAGAAGAAGAAGAAGAAAATATGAAACTGCCATGAACACTCAAGCCTACCCCAGGAGTTATAGGAGCTCTCTTCATTTTGCAAACCAGGAGTCCAAGATCTAGGAGAGCTGGGGTTTGACTCCAGAGCTAGAGCAGTCCCCAAGACCTGGTCTTGACTCACGAGTTAGACTCCACTCAGAGGCTGACTGTGCTCCAGGGTCTACACCTCTAAGGGCGACACCTGGGCTCAAGCAGACTGCCGTTTTCTATATGGGATGAGCCTTCACAGGGCAGCCAGTTGGGATGGGTTGAGGTTTGGCTGTAGACATCAGAAACCCAAGTCAAATGCGCTTCAACCAGTAGAAAATTCACCAGCCCGCAGAGCTAAGGTTGGGTGGACATTAGGGTTGGTTGATCCAGGAGCTCAACAGTGTCCTCTGAGCCCCAGCTCCTTCTGCCCCACCCCACCATCTTCAGTGCTGCTTCCTCTCAAGGCCACAGCTGTAGTTGGCCAGGGGGGCTTCATTATTTTTTGCTCCTGGGCAGTAGGAGGAAGAGAATGAATGTCTCTCCATGGGTCTTTCTTAGGAATGTGGGAACTTTTTCCAGAAGTCTCTATGTCTTTTAGTTTGTGTTGGGTCACTTGCCCTTCCTGAACCACTTCCTGACTCCTGGACAGGATGTGCACTGATGAGCTTAGCTTTGGGGATCTAATAGTGACTTTACAAAGCCTCTTTGAGAAGGTGACATTGGAACCAAGGCTTGAGCCAGACACAACAAAGATTGCAGGGAGGGGCATTGCAGGTGGAGGAAACGGCACATGCAAGAGCCCTGCGGTGGGAGTGAGCTTGGTGTTTGGTCAATCAGTTGTCAGAGCACACCGGGCCTGTGGGCCACAGGCACAGCCTGGGCCCTGCTCTGAGTATGACAGAGAGCCCCTGGGAAGTTGTAGGTGGAGGAAAGACAGGTCATGACTAGGAAAAAAGCAATCCCTCTGTTGTGGGGTGGAAGGAAGGTTGCAGTGTGTGTGAGAGAGAGACAAGACAGACAGACAGACACTTCTGCAATGTTTACAAGTGCTCAGGCCCTGACCCGAATGCTTCCAAATTTACGTAGTTCTGGAAAACCCCCTGTATCATTTTCACTACTCAAAGAAACCTCGGGAGTGTTTTCTTCTGAAAGGTCATCAGGTTTTGACTCTCTGCTGTCTCATTTCTTCTTGCTGGTGGTGGTGATGGTTGCTTGTCCCAGGCCCTGTCCCGCATCCTCTTGCCCCTGCAGAGGGATGAGTGTGTTGGGGCCTCACGAGTTGAGGTTGTTCATAAGCAGATCTCTTTGAGCAGGGTGCCTGCAGTGGCCTTGTGTGAGGTGGATGGGGTTTGATTCCCTTATGGAATCCAGGCAGATGTCAGCATTTAAACAACACACGTGTATAAAAGAAACCAGTGTCCGCAGAAGGTTCCAGAAAGTATTATGGGATAAGACTACATGAGAGAGGAATGGGGCATTGGCACCTCCCTTAGTAGGGCCTTTGCTGGGGGTAGAAATGAGTTTTAAGGCAGTTAGACCCTCGAACTGGCTTTTGAATCGGGAAATTTACCCCCCAGCCGTCTGTGCTTCATTGCTGTTCACATCACTGCCTAAGATGGAGGGAACTTTGATGTGTGTGTGTTTCTTTCTCCTCACTGGGCTCTGCTTCTTCACTTCCTTGTCAATGCAGAGAACAGCAGCAGCGACCAGAGGCAGGCCTGTAAGAAGCACGAGCTGTATGTCAGCTTCCGAGACCTGGGCTGGCAGGTAAGGGGCTGGCTGGGTCTGTCTTGGGTGTGGGCCCTCTGGCGTGGGCTCCCACGAGGCAGCGGGTCTGTGCTCAGTCTTGTTTCTCATCTCTGCCAGTTAAGACTCCAGTATCAAGTGGCCTCGCTAGGGAAGGGGACTTGGGCTAAGGATACAGGGAGGCCTCATGAAATCCGAGAGCAGAAATGTGGTTGAGACTTGAACTTGAACCAGGAACCCAAACACTTTGGACTCTGAACCCCATTCTCTGCATGCACCTCATTCCCATCCCTTGGCTGGCTGCTTCTCAAGATGATGCCGGGCCGTGTGTTTGAATGTAGATACCTGGGGAGCCATCTCCCCCTCTGCCCTCTGACTTCATTTACCCCATTCCCATTCCCACGGGAGGGACGGATCTGCCCAGCTTGGTTCAGGCACTTGTTCCTGAACCAGTCAACTGTTTCAGGGGTGGGGTCATGTTACTGGCACATGGCTGCCCCCTCTGGAGCCATTTGCATGGAGTGAGGCAAAAGGCAGGGGATGAATCCTAGGAGAGGAGTGAGGGTCATGTGATCCACCTGCCGTGAGCTCTGGTGTGATTCTCATTCAGCAGTCATGCAGCATCTGCAGCGTTCTGGGCCCTGTTCTAGGTACTGGATTGGAGATGCAGCGATGAACACTGCAATGTGTCTGCCCTGTGGGGCTCAAATATCCCTGGAGAGGGTATTGTCATGAGGTCATCAGGGCAACTGGTGGTATTCTACCCTCAGGGAGCTTGTAGTTCAGTGGGAGAGTCCAGAATCTTCCCTGGGGATTATGCCCAGACACACTCAGGGCGTACGTGCACACAGCCAGCTCTGAGCCCTCCTGTGAGCCTGCCCTCAGGACTGATGACCACATCCACCTGCAGCTGGGACAGAACCCAAACTCCAGGGGCCTCTGCTGGAAGATTCCATGTGCTTAAGCATCACTGAGGAGTATATTGATTATTGGGCAACATTTCTGTGCCACCCAGACCCTAGAGGCAAGGATGGCACATGGATCCCTTACTGACCAGTGCACCCGGAGCCAGCATGGGTGATGCCATTATGAGTTATTAGCCTCTCTGGCAGGTGGGCAAACCGAGGCATGGAGGTTTGTTTAAGGTGAACTGCCAGTGTGTGACCACCTAGTGGGGGTAGAGCTGATGATTGCCTCACACCGGAGGCTCCTTCCTGTGCCGCGTTCTGTCCAGAAGACACAGCCATGGATGTCCATTTTAGGATCAGCCAAGCCCCGTGGGGCTTTCCTTCATTTTTATTTTATGTTTTTTTAGAAATGGGGTCTTGCTCTGTCACCCAGGCTGGGGTGCAGTGGTGTGATCATAGCTCACCGCAGCTTTGAGCCGTCTTCCCACTCAGTCTACTAAGCTTGGACTATAGGCCAAGACTATAGAGTGGTCCTTCTTTCCATTCTTTTGGGACCATGAGAGGCCACCCATGTTTCCTGCCCCTGCTGGGCCCCCTGCTGCTCAGAAGGCATGGTCTGAGGCTTCCACCTTGGGTCGTGAGCCTGGCGTGGTGGTTTCTGGCCAGCATGGGGGTTGGGATGCTGTGGCTCAGGCCTTCTGCATGGTTTCCCACACTCTCTTCTCCTCCTCAGGACTGGATCATCGCGCCTGAAGGCTACGCCGCCTACTACTGTGAGGGGGAGTGTGCCTTCCCTCTGAACTCCTACATGAACGCCACCAACCACGCCATCGTGCAGACGCTGGTGGGTGTCACGCCATCTTGGGGTGTGGTCACCTGGGCCGGGCAGGCTGCGGGGCCACCAGATCCTGCTGCCTCCAAGCTGGGGCCTGAGTAGATGTCAGCCCATTGCCATGTCATGACTTTTGGGGGCCCCTTGCGCCGTTAAAAAAAAATCAAAAATTGTACTTTATGACTGGTTTGGTATAAAGAGGAGTATAATCTTCGACCCTGGAGTTCATTTATTTCTCCTAATTTTTAAAGTAACTAAAAGTTGTATGGGCTCCTTTGAGGATGCTTGTAGTATTGTGGGTGCTGGTTACGGTGCCTAAGAGCACTGGGCCCTGCTTCATTTTCCAGTAGAGGAAACAGGTAAACAGATGAGAAATTTCAGTGAGGGGCACAGTGATCAGAAGCTGGCCAGCAGGATAATGGGATGGAGAGATGAGTGGGGACCCATGGGGCCATTTCAAGTTAAATTTCAGTGGGGTCACCAGGAAGATTCCATGTGATAATGAGATTAACGTGCCCAGCACGTGGCGACACTCAGTAGGTGTTATTCCTGCTCTGCCAACAGCAACCATAGTGATAAGAGCTGTAGGGATTTTGTTCTTTTGCTTAGAATCCAAGGTTCAAGGACCTTGGTTATGTAGCTCCCTGTCATGAACATCATCTGAGCCTTTCCTGCCTACTGATCATCCACCCTGCCTTGAATGCTTCTAGTGACAGAGAGCTCACTACCAGGACTACTCCCTCCTTTCATTTAGTAATCTGCCTCCTTCTTTTCTTGTCCCTGTCCTGTGTGTTAAGTCCTGGAGAAAAATCTCATCTATCCCTTTCATTTGATTCTGCTCTTTGAGGGCAGGGGTTTTTGTTTCTTTGTTTGTTTTTTTAAGTGTTGGTTTTCCAAAGCCCTTGCTCCCCTCCTCAATTGTAAACTTCAAAGCCCTACTTGGGATTGAAGGTCCTTAGGCTGGAAACAGAAGAGTCCTCCCCAACCTGTTCCCTGGCCTGGATGTGCTGTGCTGTGCCAGTATCCCCTGGAAGGTGCCAGGCATGTCTCCCCGGCTGCCAGGGGACACATCTCTATCCTTCTCCAACCCCTGCCTTCATGGCCCATGGAACAGGAGTGCCATCGCCCTGTGTGCACCTACTTCCATCAGTATTTCACCAGAGATCTGCAGGATCAAAGTGAATTCTCCAGGGATTGTGAAATGATGCGATTGTGGTCATGTTTAAAAGGGGGCAACTGTCTTCTAGAGAGTCCTGATGAAATGCTTCCAGAGGAAATGAGCTGATGGCTGGAATTTGCTTTAAAATCATTCAAGGTGGAGCAGGTGGGGAAGGGTATGGATGTGTAAGAGTTTGAAATTGTCCATCATAAAATGTGTAAAAAGCATGCTGGCCTATGTCAGCAGTCACAGCCTGGAGGCTGTGAACAGAGTGCCAGTCACTGATGCTCTTGCCTGGCACCTACAGTTGCTGGAAACCCAGAAGTTTCACGTTGAAAACAACAGGACAGTGGAATCTCTGGCCTGTCTTGAACACGTGGCAGATCTGCTAACACTGATCTTGGTTGGCTGCCGTCAGCTTAGGTTGAGTGGCGGCCTCTTCCCTTAGTTTGCCTTAGTCCCCACTATTCCCTATTGTCTTACCTCGGTCTATTTTGCTTATCAGTGGCACTCACGTGGCACTCATAGGCATTTGAGTCTATGTGTCCCTGTCCCACATCCTCTGTAAGGTGCAGAGAAGTCCATGAGCAAGATGGAGCACTTCTAGTGGGTCCAAGTCAGGGACACTATTCAGCAATCTACAGTGCACAGGGCAGTTCCCCAACAGAGAATTACCTGGTCCTGAATGTCGGATCTGGCCCCTTCCTTCCCCACTGTATAATGTGAAAACCTCTATGCTTTGGTTCCCTTGTCTGCAAAACAGGGATAATCCCAGAACTGAGTTGTCCATGTAAAGTGCTTAGAACAGGGAGTGCTTGGCTTGGGGAGTGTCACCTGCAGTCATTCATTATGCCCAGACAGGATGTTTCTTTATAGAAACGTGGAGGCCAGTTAGAACGACTCACCGCTTCTCACCACTGCCCATGTTTTGGTGTGTGTTTCAGGTCCACTTCATCAACCCGGAAACGGTGCCCAAGCCCTGCTGTGCGCCCACGCAGCTCAATGCCATCTCCGTCCTCTACTTCGATGACAGCTCCAACGTCATCCTGAAGAAATACAGAAACATGGTGGTCCGGGCCTGTGGCTGCCACTAGCTCCTCCGAGAATTCAGACCCTTTGGGGCCAAGTTTTTCTGGATCCTCCATTGCTCGCCTTGGCCAGGAACCAGCAGACCAACTGCCTTTTGTGAGACCTTCCCCTCCCTATCCCCAACTTTAAAGGTGTGAGAGTATTAGGAAACATGAGCAGCATATGGCTTTTGATCAGTTTTTCAGTGGCAGCATCCAATGAACAAGATCCTACAAGCTGTGCAGGCAAAACCTAGCAGGAAAAAAAAACAACGCATAAAGAAAAATGGCCGGGCCAGGTCATTGGCTGGGAAGTCTCAGCCATGCACGGACTCGTTTCCAGAGGTAATTATGAGCGCCTACCAGCCAGGCCACCCAGCCGTGGGAGGAAGGGGGCGTGGCAAGGGGTGGGCACATTGGTGTCTGTGCGAAAGGAAAATTGACCCGGAAGTTCCTGTAATAAATGTCACAATAAAACGAATGAATGAAAATGGTTAGGACGTTACAGATATATTTTCCTAAACAATTTATCCCCATTTCTCGGTTTATCCTGATGCGTAAACAGAAGCTGTGTCAAGTGGAGGGCGGGGAGGTCCCTCTCCATTCCCTACAGTTTTCATCCTGAGGCTTGCAGAGGCCCAGTGTTTACCGAGGTTTGCCCAAATCCAAGATCTAGTGGGAGGGGAAAGAGCAAATGTCTGCTCCGAGGAGGGCGGTGTGTTGATCTTTGGAGGAAAAATATGTTCTGTTGTTCAGCTGGATTTGCCGTGGCAGAAATGAAACTAGGTGTGTGAAATACCCGCAGACATTTGGGATTGGCTTTTCACCTCGCCCCAGTGGTAGTAAATCCATGTGAAATTGCAGAGGGGACAAGGACAGCAAGTAGGATGGAACTTGCAACTCAACCCTGTTGTTAAGAAGCACCAATGGGCCGGGCACAGTAGCTCCCACCTGTAATCCCAGCACTTTGGGAGGCTGAGGTGGGCGGATCATTTGAGGTCAGGAGTTCGAGACCAGCCTGGCCAACATGGTGAAACCCCATCTCTACTAAAAATACAAAAATTAGCCGGGCATGGTGGCACGCACCTGTAATCCCAGCTACTCTGGAGGCTGAGGCAGGAGAATTGCTTGAACCCCAGAGGTGGAGGTTGCAGTGAGCCAAGATCGTCCCACTGCACTCCAGCTTGGGTGACAAAACAAGACTCCATCTCAAAAGAAAAAAAAAACAGCACCAATGAAGCCTAGTTCTCCACGGGAGTGGGGTGAGCAGGAGCACTGCACATCGCCCCAGTGGACCCTCTGGTCTTTGTCTGCAGTGGCATTCCAAGGCTGGGCCCTGGCAAGGGCACCCGTGGCTGTCTCTTCATTTGCAGACCCTGATCAGAAGTCTCTGCAAACAAATTTGCTCCTTGAATTAAGGGGGAGATGGCATAATAGGAGGTCTGATGGGTGCAGGATGTGCTGGACTTACATTGCAAATAGAAGCCTTGTTGAGGGTGACATCCTAACCAAGTGTCCCGATTTGGAGGTGGCATTTCTGACGTGGCTCTTGGTGTAAGCCTGCCTTGCCTTGGCTGGTGAGTCCCATAAATAGTATGCACTCAGCCTCCGGCCACAAACACAAGGCCTAGGGGAGGGCTAGACTGTCTGCAAACGTTTTCTGCATCTGTAAAGAAAACAAGGTGATCGAAAACTGTGGCCATGTGGAACCCGGTCTTGTGGGGGACTGTTTCTCCATCTTGACTCAGACAGTTCCTGGAAACACCGGGGCTCTGTTTTTATTTTCTTTGATGTTTTTCTTCTTTAGTAGCTTGGGCTGCAGCCTCCACTCTCTAGTCACTGGGGAGGAGTATTTTTTGTTATGTTTGGTTTCATTTGCTGGCAGAGCTGGGGCTTTTTGTGTGATCCCTCTTGGTGTGAGTTTTCTGACCCAACCAGCCTCTGGTTAGCATCATTTGTACATTTAAACCTGTAAATAGTTGTTACAAAGCAAAGAGATTATTTATTTCCATCCAAAGCTCTTTTGAACACCCCCCCCCCTTTAATCCCTCGTTCAGGACGATGAGCTTGCTTTCCTTCAACCTGTTTGTTTTCTTATTTAAGACTATTTATTAATGGTTGGACCAATGTACTCACAGCTGTTGCGTCGAGCAGTCCTTAGTGAAAATTCTGTATAAATAGACAAAATGAAAAGGGTTTGACCTTGCAATAAAAGGAGACGTTTGGTTCTGGCTCTTTGGCCTGTGTCTGTCTGTGTGTGTTGTGTTTTTCTCTCAGTTCTTGGACACTGAAGTTCTCTCACACTGCTAAGAGCTCCCTGCCTTCGTCTCCACCGTGAACGCTCTGTTTAGCATCCAGGCCTTGCGGGGAAGTGGCCGCTCGTCAATATTTGGTGCAGCTGTGTGGGGCTCCGGGCAGGAGAGATGGAACCAAGCAACACATGTGAATTTGGTAGGCTCGACTACAAAGGTCCTTGATTGAATTACAGTGCAGCTGTCAGCAGCTGTTTCAAAGAGGCAGGGGGTAAATTAGCTGTGTTTACTGCTAACATAGTTGAAAGATTTAGTCATCCCAATAAAATAGAGGCACCACAGAGAGAAAAAGGGCAGGAGGTGCACGCCCAAAACTTTAAAGCGGTGCCGGCCCCAGAGCTGACACTGTCCAGTGCAAATGATTGGGGCAGTTGCTGGAGCGCGACTGTGGACGTGGATGGCCCCCAGCAGGCCTGGCGAAGGCGGCCAGGGCCCAGTGTCTCGCCGAGCATGGAGCAGCACTTGGCTGCGTAGCGTGGAGCAGCAGTTTGGACGCCTTTCCTCTTTGAAGTGCACACTCAGGTCACCTGATGGCTGTTGTTGGAATCCCAGCCTGATACTTGGACAGGCCGCCCATTCTTCCCCTATTGCCTGGAATAAAGCGGCTGCTCCTAACAAGTCCCAGTCCTTGTGATTTCCAGACCCTCCCGCCATTGTCCGGACAAGCAGTTTAGCGTTTGTTCCATTTTCCAGGCTGAAGGCCAGAGCCACACACTGGAGGTCTAGATGTGGCCTGCACACGGGTCTTATTCCCCTGGCATGGTGGTGTTTATCCATGTCTTAAAATGTGGATTCGTTGCCAACATGTTTTTGAATATCAGAAGATGAGGGTGAAGAAAAACTCCCCAAATCTGGCTTCTCTTGAGAATCGGCAGGCCTGGCCACTCTGGGCCCCACACACACATGGCTGCTCTGGGTGGCTGCAGAGGGACAGCTGGTGCCCAGTCTCCACTGCTCCCTATTGCCTCTCTTACAAAAGGGTGAATGTCAGTTGCTGTTTTTAAAATTGTAGATGCGTATTTATGTGCATCCATGTCCCTAATGTCCCTATTAAGAGCAGGATAGTAGAGGCTAGCCTGGGAGAGCCGGGCACTTTGGAAAGGACAAACATTCTTTCGTTACCGCTGTCCCACTTTCCCTTTTGGCCCTCTGGGCAGGCCCTACAGGCACGTGCGTCTGTGGCTATAGCACCACAAATGGCCTCACCTTTCCTCTTCATCTTCCCCCCTCCTGGTTTACCACCTCTCTTGCTCATTTTCCCCCTGGAGCGTTTTCTCGTTGCCTCTCTTCTCAGTCCCGCTCACTGTCAGGCACAGAGAGGTGAAGGAATTTACTCAAAGTCCCCAGCTAATAGTTACTGGAACTGAAATTTAAACCTCAAAACCTGGGCTCAACCCCAGGCTTTCCTGAGCTGGAATCTCCCAGGGCTGCTGGAGAAACATGGGGATTCCTGGCCTGCAGCTCCGAGCCTGCCAGTGTCCGTCCGCCATCCTGTGTGTTGGGCCCTGACGACTGAGTTCCTGGACCATTGCTCAGGGCTCGGTCTCCCTCCTGCTTCCAGACTGCCTGAGGGCCTTCCTCTGTGCGCACCAACGCTGAGTGTTAGCTTCTCTGGTGGGTGGGGCCGATGGCCAGCCTGCTGTACCGTGGACGCTGCACACGGGTAGTCCTTTCCCTCTGTCTTCTCCTCCATCGCCTGGTGACAATAGTGTGTGGACCGTGCTGGGGGGCTGGGAGGGTTAGCAGTGGTCACCGGGGCCATCTACAGAGTGGATTCTCACAGGCATGTTTTGAGTCCTGCCCTCTGTTCAGATCTTTTGGAGACAGTGAGCATGTGAGTTTCCTGGGGCTGCCATAAGAAATCACTACAAACTGCTGGCTTAAAACAGCACAGATTCATTCCTGTGGCTCTGGAGGGCAGACGTCCAAAATCCAGGTGTCAGCAGGGCTGTGCTTCCTCTGGAGGCTCTCGGGGAGGACCCTTCCCAGCCTCTTCCAGCCTCTAGTGGCTCCAGGTGTTCCTGGGCCCGTGGCTGCATCATCCCAATCTCTGCCTCTGTCTACCCATGGCCTTCTCCATCGCTCCACTGTGTGCCTTTTTTTTTTTGAGACGGAGTCTCGCTCTGTTGCCCAGGCTGGAGTGCAGTGGTGCGATCTCGGCTCACTGCCAGCTCCGCCTCCTGGGTTCACGCCATTCTCCTGCCTCAGCCTCCCGAGTAGCTGGGGACTACAGGCTCCCGCCATGACGCCCGGCTAATTTTTTGTATTTTTAGTAGAAACGGGGTTTCACTGTGTTAGCCAGGATGGTCTCAATCTCCTGACCTTGTGACCCACTCGCCTCGGCCTCCCAAAGTGCTGGGATTACAGGCATGGGCCACCGCACCCGGCCCTCTGTGTGGCTTTGATAAGGACACCTGTCATTGGATTTAGGGTCCACCCAGATAACACAGGATGACCTCCTCCTCTAGATACTTCATAATATCTGTGAAGATCTAGATACTTAATATCTGTGAAGACCCTCTCTCCAAGTAAGGGCACATTCACAGGTTGCAGGGATTCAGATGTGGGCATATCTTTTTTGAGGCCACCATTCAATCCACCACAAGACCCTCTCCCTTTCCCACCACAGGGTTCTCAGGCCCCACAGAGCTTCTCCGTCCAGCCTCAGTTGGTCCTCACTGTTCCTGGTTGGTGCCACTGCTGCCGCCCATGCTGGGCAGAGTGAACTCTGGAGCTCCTACGGCTGGAACTCAACCTCAGCTTCCCACCAGCTCCAACCCTTCTCATGTGCACTGCTGGGGGCACTCTCTGCAAGGGGGCTGGCAGCTGGACGGGGGCTCCAGGCCAGAGTCCCCCATCCAGGAGCAGGTGGCCATAAATAAGGATGACCACGGTGGCTTGGGGCAGCCAAAGTGCGATGCGATGCCCTTTCTAGGAGCAGGGTGGGCTCTGGGGACAGCACGAGCTTCCTCTTTGGCCGGAAGTGTTCATTCTTCATCTGCTCACTCACTAATTCATCGTGTGTCCACCGTACACCAGGCACCATGGCGGGCAGTGGGTACAGGTAACAGAACAGAAGTCTGCGCTCACGGGAGTGGGTCCTGATCAGGGGATACAGCAAACAAACAGGACCCAGCCCCATGCCAGCATGGCTGTGGTCCCTCCTCCATCCAGAAATAAGACAAATTGTTGTTTTTGACTGTGTTGGCATCAAGGTGAATATCATCCAGGAATAGTTACATTCATTTGTTCTGACTTTGAAAGACATTAAAATATGTTTGTGGCCCCGAAAGTCCCATGGGCCTAGTCACTGTGCCTACCGTGTTTAGTGGAGAAGCCAGACCTGATCGAGCCATTTAATGCCAAGGAATGACGTGTGTCGGGAAGCCACAGCATGTAGGGGGACAGGGAGGACAGGGTGGTCAGGGACAGACCCTGAGGAAGGCCCTTTCAGCTGAGACCTGAATGCAGGCAACGTGGGCTGACAGGGATGGAGGTACTGCAGGGAAGAGGTCTTCCACCTGAGGGAGGAGTGTGTGCAAAGGCCCTGGGGTGGCAGGCGGGAGGAACAGCGAGAAGGCCACGTGGCTGCGGCACAGGGAGGCAGGCAGGACGTTAGCAGAGAAGGAGCAGGCTGGTTGTGCATGGCATTGAGGACCACAGAGGGACCCTGGGCTTCATCCAAAGTGCACTGGGGGCCATTGGAAATGCAGATACCAGGGGAAGCCACGGTGGGGAGGGTTAAGGGTACCTGGAGGAAGCAGGGTTCCAGTCCCACCTTGCACCAATCAAGCTGCTGCCCCTTCCTCCTCCTCGTCCTGGGAGGTTGCTCTGCAGAGACTGGCCGTGGGATGGGCGCACAAGCCCACTCTGTCTGGTGTTTAGAGCGGGAAGTGGCACCCAGTCAAGGTTGCATGTGGAGGTGGCTGAGAGGACAAACACTCACTTCCCCTGGGGAAGACATCTGCTGCCTTCTTATTTATCTGGGACAAAGGAGAATTCTCATGCCACCAGGCAAGAGGCAGCACGTGCTGGGCAGAGGGGCCGGGATTGGCTCCAGCTCAGAGCCCAACCCAGTTACTTAGTCAGCTGTGAGACCTCCATCTGGGCAACTTATCACCTTCTCTGTGCCTCAGTTCCTTCATCTGTGACATGGGTATGGTGCCTACCTATACTTAGGATACTTAAGAGCAGCTGCATATAACAGAAAAACCCCAAATAATAGTGGCTTAAAGAAGATAAAAGTTTTTCTCTCATCTGAAAGTCTGAAGGTCAGCCATCCAAAGACAGGGTGGTAGTTGTCTTACTCTGCCCCTAAGGATCTAGGCTTCTAATTTTCTGCTCTGCCATCTTAATTCATGGCTTCATCCTCACAACCTACCTCATGGTCCAAGATGGCTGCTGGAGCACCAGTCAGATCTGTTGTATTAGTCTGCTCTCATGCTGCTGATAAAGACATACCCGAGCCTGGGAAATTTACAAAAGAAAGAGATTTAAGGGACTTTCAGCTCCACATGGCTGGGAAGGCCTCAAAATCATGGCAGGAGGCAAGGAGGAGCAAGTCACATCTTACATGAATGGCAGCAGAGAGAGCTTGTGCAGGGAAACTCCCGTTTTTAAAACCATTGGATCTCATGAGACTCATTCACTATCACAAGAACAGTGCAGGAAAGACCCACTCCCGTAATTCAATCACCTCCCACCGAGTTCCTCCCACGACACGTGGGAATTGTGGGAGTTACAATTGAAGATGAGATTTGGGTGGGGACACAGCCAGACCATATCATCTGTGTTCTAGGTTCGTGTGCTTTCTTTAAGCAGCCAACCCAGAGATCAGACGCAAAAGGTCCACTTACCTCTCATTTAGCACAAATGCAGTCACACTTAGCTACAAGGGAGACTGGGAACTATAGGTTTTTATTCTGGGTGACACTAGGCACAGCCAAAAATCAGAAGTCCAAGTCCTATTACCAGCAGAATTTTAAAGACTCTGGTAATTGGCAATTACCTATCTGTATTAGTTTCCTATGATTGTAACAGTTATGATGGACTTAAGTGGTTTAAAACATCACCCATTTATTCTCAAAATTTCCATGGGTCAGGAGTGCAAGTATGGCCTCGCTGGGTTCTCTGCTTAGGATCCCACAAAAGCTAAATGCAAGATGTCAGCTCTGTGTTCTTATCTGCAGCTCAGGGTCTTTGTCCAAGCTCATTCAGGTTTTGGCCAAACTCAGTCTCTCGGAATTGTAGGACTGAGGCCCCCATCTTCATGCTGGCTGTCAGCCAAGTCACTTCCAGCTCCTGAGGCTTCTCTCAGTTCCTTTCCATGTGGCCCTCTTGCAACTTGGCAGCGAATCCTTCAAAGCCAGTGGGAGAATATCTCTTACTTCTTGCAAGGGCTCACCTGATGAGTCCTTCAAAAGCTAGTGGGACAATATCTCTTACTTCTTGTAAGGGCTCACCTGATGAGGTCAGACCCACCCAGGATCATCTCCTATTGCTTAACTCCAAGTCAATTGATTAGGGACCTTAATTACATGGGCAGAATCCCTTCATTTTGGGGAGCAATAGCCACCATATTCATTCAAGGGGTGGAGATTATATGGAGGGCAGAAATCTTTGAGGCCCTCTTAGAATTCTGCTTCCCACAGTACCTAAGCTACACCACACACGGCAGGTTGCGCTAAGAATAAAGTATCTGGTACAGAGGAGGTGCAAAATAAAACAACAGGGACTGCAGTGGAATCCAGGGGCCTCCCACTAAGAATCCCCCCACCCCATCCGATGATTTCAACAATTTGAGACCTGAGTTTTATGTGCTTGGCGTTATTATCTGTAGGCCCTCAATTCTTTATAGAGTCACTTGTCACCCCAGTTATCCTACATGTGCCTGGGAAGGAGGATGGGATGACTGGTCTGAATCTTTGCAAAAGACAGTAAAAGCTTCTGAGCCCTCCCTCTGAGCCAAGGACCCTTCTCAAGGCATAACAAGTGCTTCACACTTGATCTCACTCACTGAACGCTCACAAACCTGAGAGCTGCGCCACAGACTGCCTTTGCGCCCCTATAGACCAAATGGGACCTTTAAACGTTTGCTGGGCTGGGTCCTCACAACCCCAGGGGGAGTTGTTCACACAAGCGTCAGTGGAAACAACTCCTCCAGGGTGGGGCAGTGCAGAGGGGGCCCTGGCCAGCCCTAGTCTGGGGCATCTGATGGCAGGACCAACCCTCCCTCACAGGACCCAGCCCTTGTCAGGGCCCAGCCCACACTGGGGTTGGTGCCCGTCTATCCCTGACAAGGACACTCACAGTGACCTCCTTCGGACATGTTTTTCTTCTTGCCTGTGGATCAATTCCTCCTGGCTCAGACCCCTCCAGGACTCTGGCACTGATCTCTCTTGGTCTCGGATTTGAGGAAATAAAAATAGAAGAGGAAAAACACAGAACTCTCCAAAGCTTTGGAGTGGCTGCAGCCATCTGGATGGAGGCAGCATGCGCCTGGGCTGGAAGAGCCACGGTCCCTTGACTGAGTCTCGGTGCTTCTCCCCGTCCCTCTCAGACACGGTTCTCATGGTGGACGAGATGGGGCCGGATCTTAGGCCCGGGATTCTGCAGAATGCAAGGCTCAGAGCTTGCCTAGCTCTGAGTGGCTTGGAGACTGGTGTGAGGACTGAGGGTGTCCACAGATCACCAACCCACACCGGCAGCCTGAGTTGGAAGACAGGTACGAACTACTGGCCGGCCAAGAGTCCCTCAGGTTCTGTGCGCAGGAGGGCCTGGAGTTTGGTTTCATGCTTTTGTTCTTGCTGTCGTGAATTTATTCATACCTTTTGAACAAGGGCCCCGCATTTTCATTTTGCCCTGGGCCGCGCAGATTCTCTAGCTGGTCCTGTGCCCAAAGGACAGAGCAAGGACTCAGAGTCCAATTCGGCGTCTGCCACGTTCATCATTCAACAAGTCCGTCTTGAGCACCTGCGAGCTGCAGGCAGTGTTCTGGGCAGAGGGATATGCTGGGGTCAGGAGGGAGGGGTGCCCGGGCTCTGGAGTCAGTGGGGAGGAAGCCCAGGCTCTGGGGTCAGGAGGAAGGAGGCTCCGGGCTCTGGGGTGACATGTCCCCCTGCCTGGACAGGCTCCTGAGTGCATCATCAAGGAAACCCTCAGGCAATGGCAGGTGTCAGGTAGAAGATTAACAAAGTAGGCTGGGCAAGGTGGCTTACGCCAGTAATCCCAGCACTTTGGGAGGCTGAGGCGGGCAGATCACCTGAGGTCAGGAGTTTGAGACCAGCCTGGCCAACATGGTGAAACCCCGTCTCTGCTAAAAATATAAAAATTAGCTGGGTATTGTGGTGCATGCCTGTAATCCCAGCTACTCGGGAGGATGAGGCACGAGAATCTCTTGAATCCGGGAGGCGGAGGTTGCAATCAATGAGCCAAGATTGCGCCATTGCACTCCAGCCTGGACAACAAGAGCGAAACTCTCTCAAAAACCAAAACCAAAACCAAAACAAAAACAAAGTAGCCTGGGCAACATAGTGAAACCCCATTCTACAAAAAATACAAAGGTTAGCCGAGTGTGGTGGCATGTATCTGTAATCCCCTCCACTTGGGAGGCTGAGAGGTAAGGATCATTGGTCCTCAAGGCTGCAGTGAAATGTGATTATGCCACTGCACTCCAGCCTGGGCAACAAGGTAAGACCCTGTCTCAAAAAAACAAAAACAAAACAAAACAAAAGGATTAACAAAGAATCCCTGTAGGAAACAAAATTGGCTCAAATTAGGACCAACTGAAGGCGGAAGGTGGAAGGGAAGGGGCTGGGACGTGTACAAAGTTGTGTAAGGCGGAGTGCATGGAATCCATGTAAAATGCCCCCAAGCCTAAAGGGATGAGGGAGACACTGAGGCTAAGAGCCAGAGGAGACCCTTCCTGGGGAAAGGCAGTGAAGCTGGAGAGGAGAAGTCAGCCTTGCCACTAGTGACGTTAGGGTTTGGAGCACTGTTTGTGTGGGGCCATCCTGTGCATTGTAAAGTGTTCAGCAGCAGCCCTGGCTTCTACCTGCCAGATACCAGTAACATCCCCCAGACATTGCCACGTGTCCCCTGGGGGACACAGTTACCCGCAGTTGAGAACCACTGCATCAGAAAAGCTGGAGTCAGACAATGAGGCTGGAGCCTGAGGCCTGGGGCGAAGCCGGGGGTTTCGAGGGTTGGGGTCCACTTACTCAAGGATCTTCAGGTGGACAAGTGAAGGAGCTGGGGTTGAGCCCTGTCCTGCCTCCTGGAGACCCCAGTGACATCCAGCCTGCTGGGCTGGCCATCATGAGCCTATGGTCTGCCAGCGTCTGCCTCCTTATGAGAGCCGCAGGGACCTGCGGGAGGCTAGGAAGGGGCATGGAGAGCTGCGAATTTATTGAAGGGAAACTCCTGTAACAAATACGGCCACCGGACAAAGGACCTTGTGTGTCTTTTTAAAGGAACAATTTGGAGCTTTTCTGAGCTGCGTGACCACGGGCACATCACGTAGCTCCTTGAAGCCTTAGTTTCCTCTTCTGTAAAATGGGCACAGTCATGATAACCTTCTAGGTTGCTGGGGTCATTCATTAAGTTGATGTCAGCAGAGCATTTATCACAGAGCTGGCTTATTGAAGCTGCCATCGTGATCTGATGACATTTAGGGTCCTCTGCTTAAAGCCCTCCAAGGGCTCCCCCCTCACTCGGGTAAAATCACCAGAAAGGCCATGCAGGACACACCCCCGCTCCTGCTGGCATTAGGTCTGCCCCCTCCACCCCGGTCTTCATTTCCTATGACTGCTGTAATACATGACTGCAGACTTAGTGCCTTAGAATGACACATATTTATTCTTTTAAGGTCAGACGTCTCGGAAGAGCTGGCTTATTCGGGAAGCTCCGAGGAACCTTGCCTTGTCCAGCCTTTTGGGCACCCCCACTCTTTAGCTCACAGTCGCTCCCTCCATCTTCACAGCCAGCACTGAAGCATTCCCCACTCGCTCTCATTCAGACCTCTGCTCCCAACAGTCTTGTCATCTCTCTCTCTGACCGTCTCACGGAAACCCTGTGATGACATGGGGCTCACCCACATATTTCAGGATAGTCTGCTCATCTCAAGATCCTGAACTCCATCGCACCTGCAAAGTCTTTTGTGCAAGGTGTGATAGAATCAAAAATAAATATTTGGTCCTGCCACAGAGTTTCCAAAACCCTTGGAATCCCCTCAGCGGGCTGATGGGAGCATCGATTGTCATTCAGACCAATCCTCTCCTGACCATACCTGAGTTTATGCTAATTAGGTAACCCTTGAATGGCCAATGGAATCAACCCTCCAGAGCGAAACTCTGTCTCGAAAAAAAAAAAAAAGAAAGAAAGAAAGAAAAAAGAAATGCTGATTAGAGGGTTAGAACTTTCAGCCCCACCTCCTGACCCTGGGGAGGGGAGAGAGGCTGAAGGTTGATCTAATCACCAATGGCGAAAGATTTAATCAGTCATGCATACCCCTCCCTGAAAGAAGGGGTTCAGAGAGCTTCCAGGTTGGTGAATGCGGGTTGATTCTGGGACCAGGAATGCTGTTTCTGCAGACAGCTGCAGGGCTATTCCCTAGGCTTCTTGAGGTCTTTGTCCAAAGTCACCTTTCTCAGAGTCTTCTGACCCCTGTTGACCCCTGAGTCTCCTCCTGACCATCTCTTTTCCCCTGTCACTTGCTTTCTCTCCTTAATACTGATTGTCACCCAACGATGGAATGCCTTACAGAAGACTAGAGAGCAGCAACTTTGTCTATTTTGGTCACTGTGTGTCCCCAGTTCCCAGCACAGTGTTTGGCACACAGCAGAGCTTATTTGACATGTTTTGATGAATAAATGTCATTGTTGTTACCAACAGGCTGGAAATCAGGACACGTGGGCTCTGCCCCTCACAGTTGAGTGACCCTGGGGAGGGCCTTAACCCTGGTCTTCTGGGCCTCCCACTTTCAGGTCAAGGTTACAGTCGGGGGCCTGTGGGTGGGCTTCATCTGATTGGCCCCTTTGGTAGTGCTGGGCCGCATCTTCGGGTCATCAGTGAAAAGCGTTCTCAGGTGTGCCCAGGAGCACGTGCCCCCACAGAGCAGTGACCTTACCTGCTGACCCTCATCCCAAACCCTGTAGCTGTTTCCTCTGCTCTTTTTTTCGTTCTGGAAAAGGAAGTGGCTTTAGGAAGGACATTACGTGTGATGAATCTGACCTTGGATGCATGTTTGCTCAAACTCACATCATTGTTTAATGCCACAGGCAAGTCACTGAGTAACAGACTAAATAATTCCCAAGAAAAGTTTATATATGTGTGTGTGTGTGTGCGTGCATGTGTGTGTGTTGGCAGGGGGTATCTGTGGGGGCGAAGGTGGAGACTGATGGTGGGTGGTGACTTTGGCCACAATTTGCTCCAAGGTCCACATCCTTGTACTTGACCCTCGGTGGTGCATATCTAACACAATTAAATTATAGAAATGCTGGGCCAGGTGTGGTGGCTCATGCCTATAATCCCAGCACTTTGGGAGGCCGAGGTGGGCTGATCACCTGAGGTTGGGAGCTGGAGACCAGCCTGACCAACATGGAGAACCCCCATCTCTACTAAAACTACAAAATTAGCCGGGCATGGTGGCACATGCCTGTAATGCCAGCTACTCAGGAGGCAGGGGCAGCAGAATCACTTGAACCCGGGAGGCAGAAGGGTTGCGGTGAGCCAAGATTGCACCGTTGCACTCCAGCCTGGGCAACAAGAGCGAAACTCTGTCTCGAAAGAAAAAAAAAGAAAGAAAGAAAAAAGAAATGCTGAGTAAAAACGGTTTCGAATGCTAAAGCCAGCAGAGAAATTACATATTTGAGCTCTGACCCTTTGTAACAGAATCCAGATCTGTGGTATCTCTATTTTGGGAGGTTTTAGCATAAGCCATCTTACACATTCCCTCTCACCAAGAGTTAGGCAGCAATGTCTTTGTCCTTCCACCTTGCAAGGTCACTCTGACCTGTGGGTGGGTCACCCAGAGGTGCTGTGAGTGGGACAGAAATAGCTGCTCTGAGCAAATGCCTTTCCCAGCAGTCTCTGGGGAGGATGATACTCCAGCTTGGCAGAGCCCCTCCAGCCCTGCAAACAAGTGCTGGTCTCTGTTTGACCCTTATTTAGCGTGTCGATGAAGGAAGGAATGACAGATGACCCAGGCCCCAATCCTGGCCTGTCCTTTGAGTGGTCCCTAAAATAATACCATTAGTGGGGCCAGGCACAGCTTCTTATCTGTGGAGTGGGTGCACTGATAACACTGAGCAGGTCCTCACGGAAGCCCTGGGTGAGGAGGGGTAGCAGCTGCGGGCCTTGGACATGTTGCGAAGGTCTTCGCCTCCTGGCTGGCCTGCTGATGTTCCAAGGGGTATAAATAGTCCGACGGGCTCCACGTCTGATTGTGCAGGCATGGCGGCAGCGGCAGAGCCTGGCACACCTGGTATGTGACACCCAACCAAAGCCACGGTGCACAGGCACCTGCTGCTGCCTCTGCCGCCATGTCCTCAGCCAGAGTGGGCCCTGTGAACTCCTCCTCCCAGCCTTGCCCAGCCGTGACCTCCTTGTCCCTGCTTCAGGGACAGGGATATTGAAGGGTGCTCACCTTCAATATCGTGCCTTAAGCATTTCTGTGGCTGCCCACAGTTCATCATCAGAATGCTTCTTTTGTTCACATTTATTATTCTTGGTCCTAGATTTGGAAATAAAGAACGGCACACAGGAAAAGGTAAAAAAAAAAAAATTGTCCTTAAATCTGACCTTCTCCTTCCACTGGATATTAGCTATACTTATTTTTAGACTTTTTTTCTATCCATACTTACATTGTTTTGCTGTTGTTTTAATACAAAAGGGATTATACTCAATTTTTGTAGCCTTCTCTCTTCACTTACTGAATAACAAATGTCATCCTGGGCCCCAGACCCCCCTGCAGCCCCGTCTTTGATGGCTGCCTGGACCACCTGCAGGAGAAGCCCCTCAGAAGATGGGTCCCTGGAACCTTTGCGCAGGTTTGCTGAACCTCAGGAGTTCACTCAGCACATCGTTCGCTCTCAGCTGCCCCAGCAGGAGCTGCGCAGAACCGCCTTGGAGGCGTGCTCAGAGGACACTTCCTCACTTTTATAATGAATCGTGAGCACTCTCTCCTCGCTTTGGCCGGCAGAGCCTGCCTTTCTGGCCACGTGGACGTCTTCATGCAGGGTCCTGCTGGCCCCTTGACATCAACAGGCATGAAGCTGCAGCCATCCTCTCCCCTCCCCAAGTTTTGGGCACCACCATCTCCTAGTCTCTTGAGACTGGCCCCTGGCTTCTCCCGTTACCCCAGCCTCAGTCCCATCCAATCTGCTCCCCATTGAGAAGTCCAAGTGGACCCTCTTCTCCGGCCTCACTGCCCCCAGCCCACTCCTTGGGCTCCATCCCAGCCTCTTCCTTGGCGGTCCCCCAGCTACTCTCCAGTCCTACGTGCAGCTGCATCTTCCAGATCCACCTGGCACGGCATCTCCTTCTGCCTCAATGCCTGGGATTCAGGACCTTGATCACAGCTGGGTTTTGTATAGAAATAAATAAATAAAACTGAAAGAAAAAAACACGAAATGTTAATATTGTTTATATGAGGTTGGTGGGATTATCAGTGATGTTTATTTCCTTCTTTATGATTTTCTGTGGTTTTAAGACTCCAATGAGTACATATTTATAGAATCAGAAAAATACGTATACATGAAGTATAAATATGTAAAAAATATGTAAAAATTAAAAATATATTTTCAGCAGGAAGACACTTTGGTGGCCTCCTATTGCCTTCATGGTGGGTTCTCAAATGGCCCTGAGGCCCTGGGGCCTCTCACACCATGGTCTAGCCTCAACCACCCACCCCGCGGCCTCATCTCCCAGGCCTCTGAGGCTCCTGTCTGCTCAGGGCTTGCTTGGCCCCAGAACCTGACTTGGGTGTGTGCCTTTCCACGCCTCTGTTCTGTTGATCAATGTGTGACTAGCCCTTTCAACATCCACACTCACAAGGACTCACTTAGCTCCTTACTCTGTGCCAGGGACTGTTCTAGAAACGAGCATGCAGCAGGAAGCAAGACAGACAAGGCCCCACTCTCAGGGCTCACCGTCTGGGAGGTGAGACAGAGGAGACATCATCCGCCAACACAACCAAACAAGCCCAAGACAGCCCACCCCAAAGGAAGTACCGCTCAGGAGAAACAAGCCCTCGTGGATGTTTACAGAGGACTGGCGATTGCGACAATGCTTGGGGACAGTTTTCAGAGGTGGCTTCTCTGAGAAGGTGACATTTCAGCTGAGACCAGAGCAACAAGGGACGTCACCGTGAACCCAGTCCCCACAACCCCTGTTCACAGGGGAACCATGATCCTGTTTATGTGATTGTATTTTATTTTTAATTTTCTATTGAAATGTGATACCCATACAAAAGGGCACAACATTATAAGAATGAATACTCCCAAAGTGAGCCCTCCGCACCTGAGAGAGATGAGCAAACAGCATCGTGGTTCCCAGAGGTGCTCTTGTGCCCCTGATAGCTTTCGTCCCCTCCTCTGCAAGGGAAACCACTACTCTGAATTCTCACCCTGCAGATTGGTTTTGCCTGTTTTAGGAAGTTATGTTAACAAAATAACATAATATATGCTCTTGTGTGGCTGAAATTTTTCTCAGTGATGTGTTTGTGTGAGGTTTACCAATGCAGTTGTGTTTCCTGCAGTTCATTCATTTTCATTCCTGTATAATATTCCATGATGTGAATGGAGCAAATTGGTTTCTCCATTCTACTGTTGATGGGCATTTAGTAGTTTCTAGTTTCTTGCTAATGAGAAAATGCTACCACGAACATTCTTGAACATGTCTTTTGGTGAACTTATGTCTGTGATTCTGTTGGGTCTAATCCTAGAAATGGAATAGCATAGCTGGACCATAGGATATGTAAATGATCCACTTTAGTTGAATCTGCCCATTAACTGTTTTCCAAGGTGGCTGAACCTTTTACACCCTTACTAGCAGCATGTGGAAGACCCATTTGCTCAACATCCTTGCCACTGTGTGATACTGTCTTTTTCATTTTACATTTTCTGGTGAGCTATTTTATTGAATTTTGAATTTACTGATTTGAATTTGTTTGGGGGGCTTCACAATCACACATAAGTATATGAGGACACAGTCAACTTTAGAAACAGAAAAGGGGCAAGCTCTCTGCTAGTTGTTTGCTGCCGTGCATTGCAAACCTTCCATGAGCCAGGTGTGGCCTGAGCACTTCCATCCTTTATCACAGTCCAGCCTGCAAGGGAAGATGCTGTTATTGGCTCCAACTGACAGTGGGTGCTGAAACCCAGCCCAGCTCCACTCCCAAGGTGTGTGTGGGGTCACATTTACCCAGAAAGGTAGGACCCTTCCTCCTCCCACACGAAGGCACCGGATGGACTTATCGATGGCCCAGGAGAAAAGCGGATTGGCCCAGAGACAGTAACTTGCCAGGGGCTCACAGCTCAGTGCAGGGTCTAAGGCCGGATTTGTCCCACCCCAACTCCTGCTGCTAACTCCCGCACTATTCTGCCTGTTGGAATGGTTCCCCTGCCCAGGTAAGAGGGAACCTAGATTCTATTCCCACAGACCAGCAATTTGTTTTTCTCCTCTTGGCTTCTGCTCCAGGCCTTGAACATCACAAACGTGGGGCCTCTTGATCAGAGAACTTGAACTGGAACCCAGGAAAGAGCCTCGTGCCCAAGCCCGGATGTGGGTGAA
Organism: Homo sapiens; assembly: GCF_000001405.40. Classification (NCBI taxonomy): domain Eukaryota; kingdom Metazoa; phylum Chordata; class Mammalia; order Primates; family Hominidae; genus Homo; species Homo sapiens. The sequence goes on along the minus strand of NC_000020.11, from coordinate 57,153,883 downwards.
TTAAAATAAAAACAAGTGACTTTACTGGTAGTCCACTGAGCGCAGCACGAGGAGGAGATGTGGCCGTTTTCCTGCTCTCTGGCCACTGTAGATGAGCAAACCTGATCATTCAGGCTAAAAAATTCACTGTGCCCTGGTGGTCCCCACCGATCAGGGAGCCTGCCAGCTCGTTCTGCGCTCTTCCCACACCACGACAGCTGTGGGAAGGAGAGGGAGGCATTTATTTATTTAGGATTTATAGATGGCCTGTTTCCAAAAAATGGTTTTGAGGAAGACTTACTACAAAACTTAAACGTGAAAAGCAGGAGGTTGAAAATAAAATTGGAGTAAGACGCTTTTTAAAGAGAGCAGAGAAGTCGGTGGTGGTCAGTATCTGGGATAGGAGAGTCACACCATGTTGCTGAAGGGCCACCTTGCGGGGGATCTGAGCACGATGCTGCTGACGCTGAGAAAGCAGATCAGAGAAAGAGGAAAACGGGGCCCTGACGAGGAGACTGACACTGTGGTTTGCCTGGGACTGGTTCATAGACAGTGCCTTTTTGGTGTGTCTTCACATGGTAGATGGGGTGAGGGGACTCGCTTGAGCCTTCTAAAAATAAGAGCACTAACCTCATTCATGGGGGCTCTGTCCTCACGCCCTAATCACTCCCCAGAGTCCCCCACCTACTAATACCATCACCTTGGCAGTTAACATTTCCACCTATGAATTTGCAGGGGGTGAGGGGACATGAATATTCAGACAAGATATGCTATGGGTTTTCACAAGCTGCAGAAATTTAAGTGTTAAAACTGAGAAAGTCCCAGGCAAATGAGGTTGAGTTGGCCACCTTAGGTCTTGGTGACATTATTTGAGCTGCTGAATCCAGCTGTACCTGAAAGCAGGCCACTCCATGGTTTTGGGGTGTATATACCAGTGAATGCCTTTTGATACTTTTTTTCCCTGTAGAAAACTGTCCTTTTGTTACTTTTTAAATTGAATTTATATGTGTACAACAGTAAATAAAAAGTTAAACTTTAATACAAGATTGATAATAAAAAGCAGCTGTGTCCTACCCTGCTCTCCACCACCGGCTCCTCCTCCCAGTGGGGATACAAACTGGTATCTATCATTTTGCAATTTCTTGTACTAGACACTTGATGAAATCTTTGAATCTGGACTCATATCCTCCAGAGGAAACTCCTTTTTATTTCTACTCTTTTATCCGTTTCTTTTTTCTTTTCTTTTTCTTCCTTTTCTTTGTTTTTTTTTTTTTTTTTTTTAGACAGGGTCTCACTCTGTCACTCAGACTGGAGTGCAATGGTGCAACCTTGGCTCACCACAACCTCCGCCTCCCAGGCTCAAGCGATTCTACTGCCTCAGCCTCCTGAGTAGCTGGGATTACAGGCGAGTGCCACCACGCCTGGCTAATTTTTGTATTTTTAGTAGAGACAGGGTTTCACCGTGTTGACCAGGCAGATCTTGAACTCTTGACCTCAAATGATCCATCTACCTGGGCACCCCAAAGTGCTGGGATTACAGGCATGAGCCACCGCGCCCAGCCGGTCCCCCTACCTTTTAATACCATCACCTTGGGGTACTGGTCGCTTACTAAAAATACAAAAATTAACCAGGTGTGGTGGCACCGGCCTGTAGTCCCAACTACTTGGGAGGCTGAGGCAGGAGAATCGCTTGAACCTGGGAGGCGGAGGTTGCAGTGAGCCAAGATTACACCACTGGACTCTAGCCTGGGCAACAGAGTGAGACTCCATCTCAAAAAAAAAAGATTAAAAGGTGGGGGGACTTTGGAGACTGATTAAGGAATGAGGGCATGAATAAGATTAGTGCTCTTCTTGAGTGAGACCCCTCATCCCATCTACCATGTGAGGACACATCAAAAAGGCCCTATCTATGAACCAGAAAGTAGACTTTCACCACATATCAAATCTGCTGGAGCTTCGATCTTGGAATTCCCAGCCTCCAGAACCATGAGCAGTAAATTTCTTGGTGAGTTTTATAAATCACTAAGAATGTGGTATTCTGTTACAGCAGCCTGAAGAGACTGAAATATTTATTGACCACTCATATGAAAAATGATGACTGAAAACCTTACACCACCTCCATATATAGACTTCTCCCACATGCTCTTGATATACTGATCATAATTTTTGGTAAAGTGATTTTTTAGTATTTACATAATTATGGTCACATAAATATTGTTTATCTCTGTACCATATAGTATTTTATGGCATCATTTCCTTTCTTGCACAAGCTTTTGTTTTTCCTGGAGTTTATAATTGCCTTTAGAAAACAGTCTGCTTAATTTTCTTTGGATCCATCATTATGTCTTCCCCCAACTATCGAAAAGTACCCTAAAATTTTCTCTGCACAAACACATCAGGTAACTTATTGAGTAATTTTCTTTTTGTTTTAGTTTTTTCAGTTATTTCTTGTGGTTCTCTCTCCGTGGCTCCCGGGCTGGCTGTACCACTGGGACTGTCAGAGGCATGTGAACCAGAGCAATTCCATCTTAAACGGGAGCTGGGTACAATGAGGCTGAAGCCTACTGGGCTGCATTCCCAGACAGCTAAGGCATTCTAGGTTACAGGATGAGATAGGAGGTCAGCACAAAACACAGGTCATAAAGACCTTGCTGATAAAACAGGTTGCAGTAAAGGAGCCAGCCAAAACCCACCAAAACCAAGATGGCCACGAGAGTGACCTCTGGTTGTCTTCACTACTACACTCTCACCAGCGCCATGACAGTTTACAAACAGCCTGGCAATGTCAGGAAGTTACCCCATATGGTCTAAAAAGGAGAGGCATGAATAATCCACCCCTTGTTTAGCATATCATCAAGAAATAACCATAAAAATGGGCAACCAGCAGCCCTTGGGACTGCTCTGTCTATAGAGTAGCCATTCTTTTATTCCTTTACTTCCTTAATAAACTTGCTTTCACTTTGCCCTGTGGAATTGCCCTGAATTCTTTCTTGTGTGAGATCCAAGAACCCTCTCTCGGGGTCTGGATCAGGACCCCATCCTGTAACAGGACTTCTCTTCAAATTCTCATGGAACTTGCTGTTGCTTCCCTCCTAAGACAGGTCTCCTTTCCTGGATCCTGTGCCTTCCTCCTTCATGGCTCACACTGCTGTGTGCCTGCAGCAAGTTCTCCAGGAGATGTCTGCAAAGAGATACAAGGGAAGCAAACTTGTGAAGCATTTAAAATCTGGAAACTTCATTATTTTATCTCATACTAGTCAACCCAATTCTAGTTTGAGAGTAATTTTCCTTTAGAAGGCAAACAAGGTTTGGCTCTACACTGTTCACAGTTGCAATATTTCTAGCATTGCTGTTAAGCCAATTCAGGGCTATTCTGATTTCTGTTCTTTTGCATGTAAAACTTTCTCCCTTATTTCCCTTTAAAAACCTGTAGTATCTTCTTTCTTTTCAGTTTTCTGAAGAATTTTAATATTAGGATAATTTCTCCCTCCATTCAATCTGTTTTCTTTTTCTGAAACTCCTACAAGTTGGAAGTTGGGTTCCAGGATGGAGCCTCTAATTTTCTTACCTCTTACTTCTTGTTTTCTATTCCCATGTTCTTTTGCAAAATTTTGGAATATTCCTTCACCTTTACCTTCTGACTGTCCTATTGACTAATAATTTTATGAGAGTGAACACTTGCTTCTCTGAAGGATCTTCTTTTTTAAAAATAGCGTTTCCTTCTTGTTTCATGAATTCAATCTTTTGTCTCTGTGAGGGTATTAACAATGTGTAGCCTAAAGTCTGACCTTTTTCTTCTCTTGCCCAGATTCCTATCTAAGAGGCGTGGGGAGTCCCCCTCAGCAAACCGTCAGAGCTGTCTTGTTTAACCCTGTGTAATGTGGCTCACTTTCCAACCTGACGCTGGCATAACCTCACATGACAGATAAAGAAGGAAATCTAAATATTATAACCTCGAATACATTTATTTGACATATCTTGAAATAGCCCTGCAAGGCTGTCTTTTGTAGGGAAAATCTGCCTTCTGTAGAGAATCCCCTTCCCTTTCCAGGCCTTATTCCTGATCCAGGAGAGAATTAGCTAAGAGTCTGGCACTTTTTCTTTTTAAGTCTGATAACAAACATTTACAATCGATTCTGAATCTTACTACCTGGAGGCTCCATCTGCATAATGGGAATCTTGGTCTCCACAACCCCTTATTTTAACCCAGAGCCTTCCTTCTATTGATTCTAGGTCTTTAGGCAATAACAACTCTTTCAACCAGTTGCCAACTAAAAAATTCTTGAATCCACTTATGACCTGGAAGGCCCTCTCCCCCACTTGGAGTTGTCCTGCCTTTCCGGATGGAACCAATGTACAGCTTACATGTACTGATTGATGTCTAATGTCTCCCTAAATTGGATAAATCCAAGCTGTAGCCCCACCACCTGAGACACATGTTCTCGGCACCTCTTGAGACTGTGCCTTGGGCTATTGATCACTCATGTTTGGCTCAGAATAAATCTCTTCAAATATTGTACGGAGTTTGACTCTTTTCGTTGACAAATGTTTCTCGCTTTTCCTTTCCCTGCATCATCATTGCTTCCTGCGCCTTCCATCATTTTCTGCTTATGGGTTTCAGCTTCTGGTTCCATGTGATGGGAGGCTGGTGTCCTCCGCACACCCCAGGTCCTGTTTTCACCACAGGGTCACCTCCACCCTTCACTGTGCTGGCATCTCAGGCTTTGGAGACTCAGGTTCAATGCCTCTGCGGGGCAGTCCTCCCAGCAACTTCTGGGAAGGCAGTAGTACTGGGGGCCTGATTATCCGGGCCTCCTGCTGTTGTCCCCCAGCCCATGCTTCTTAACGGCCAGCTTTTCCGTGGGGCTATGGGGGGTCCCTTCCCACCTGCTCTCCACCTTCCTGCGTTTGGCGGGGCCCTTCGGCTGCTGCTGTCACCTCCTCTTTTCCTGTTTATTGCTCATGAGGTTTATACCTTTGCTTAACAGTTTGTTCCCTTTATAAAAAGGTCTCTGGATGGAGCAAAGAAAAATGCCTGTGTTCCAGTCCCTGTGTTTAATGCGAACAGGGTGATCCATTGTCCAGGTTTGTCCAGGACTCACTGGTTTTAAAAATTGTCCAGGTTTCTCCAGGACTCGCTGGTTACCTCCCAGGAAACTCCTCAGTCCAGGGGAGACCCTTTCATCAGCCATGATGTCTGAGGCTCCTTTGCTCCATGGATTTCTGAACCTGTTCGCGTTCAGTGTTCCCCAAACAGCCCCTGACAGCATCCCAGCTCATTCAGGAAGCGTGCCCTCATGGCCTCAGAGAACGATGCAGACGGAATCACTCATGTCAGACACCCGTGAGTGTCTGGAAAAGTCCCTGTATTTCTGGAAACCCCAAAGATAAACGGTGTGCATGACTATCATTACTGAAATTGCTGGCTGCAGCAGAGACGTGCAAGTCCAACGGCCGCCTGGCAGCACAGCCCCCGCCCGCGCAACCTCTGTAATTATAAGACAGCATTTCAAATGGTTCCAGTCCAAACAAGACCTGGAAGTGCAGAGAGCAGGCTGGTCGTTAGGGCTGAAGATTAACAACCACCATGGAAAAGTCTGGGAGGACTTACTCACGGCCAAGGGCAGGGCTGGAGGTGGTGTTCTCACCATCTCTGCTGCAGTGGGGCTTGTAGCTGGAAGTGGGAGGCAGCTGACCTTTCTCAGGACCCCTGTCCACCCCATGCCATAAGGATGGCATCAGGAGATGCCCTGTTATTCGGTTGGTGCTTCTCCACATTCTACTAATAAAGTACACATTTGGATTAGGACTTAAAAAGGCAAATATCTTTAGGATGACTTGAGCTTAGCAGTCACTCACATGTTAGAATAAGTTAATTTACACAGAGATGAAGGAAAGCCCAGTGCAAGGCAGTTGCTGGAGGGCAGGCAGGAGGGTGACATGGCAGAGGAGGGGCTGGTGGGGAAAGAGGACCATCTGGTGTGTGCCTTGATGGTTAGCTCCCACATCCACCCACTCATTGCCTGTGTTATTTGACCTCCCTGAGCCTCAGTTTCCTCATCTACCAAATGGATGTAATTATAGCACCTACTTCATAGGGCTGTTGTGAAGATGTAAAAGAAAAATAAATGTCATGTGCTTAGCATATTGTGATAATATGCACATAATTAAAGTACACGGTGACTATGATTATGGCTTTTATTATTATTACCATGTTTATTTTGTTATTCTTCAAGAAACACAATCGACTCTGTGTCAGTGGAACGTATCCCTGCTCTGCTGTAGGTGGCCACTGTCTGATTTGGGAGGTGCAGGAAAGAGCAGACCGCGAGCCAACCTTCAGCTAAGCAAGACTGTCTTAGTCCACATGTGTTGCTGTAAAAGAATACAAGAGGCTGGGTCATTTCTAAAGAAAAGAGGTCTATTTGGCTCAAGATTCTAGTGGCTGGAGGGTTCAAGACTGTGCAGCTGCATCTGGTGAGGGCCTCATGCTGCTTCCGTTCATGGCAGGAAGAGGAAGAGAGCAGGTGTGTGCAAAGAGACCACATGATGAGAGAGGAAGCAAGAGAGTGAGACCGAGAAAGCCAGGCTCTTTTTAACCACCTGCTCTCATGGGAGTGAATCCATTCCTGGAGATTGAGAACTCACTCACCTCTGAAGGAGGGCATTATTCTATTCAAAAGGGATCCACCCCCATGCCCTAAACACCTCGCTCTAGACCCCGCCTCCCAACATGGCCAAATTTCAACCCGAGTTTTGGCAGGGACAAACCATGTTCAAACCATAGCAGAGACCACAATTAATTGGCATTCAATTCATCAGCCTACCCATTGAACAGATTCTGCTCTACCCCTGCCCTGCACTGACACATCTACTCTTCACAACACGTGGAGAACAAGCTGAGGGCCAGCAGGTCCTGGGAGAGGGCAGAGTCCAGCCAATCTCCTAGAAGCCTCTCCATCCGCCTCCACTCTCAAGGAGATGTGCTAAGCTTTGTAAGAGCCACAGGTGCTAACGAGAGATCCAGTCAAGTCAATCAAGTTCATGGATCTTGACCATGGCAGAGAGACAGGTCAAGGTATCTCAGCAAGATATCCACCATCAAGGGATCATGGAGAAAGGTGACTGGAATGTTCACTATCCCCATTTCCTCCGATCCAGAGATTTCTGGTTAGTTGAGCTTTGCCCAGCCAGGGTCCTTCCCGGAGAAGCATCATGACGTGGTCCCTGCATCCGTTCCATTGTCTAATAAACATGCAGCACACCAGCCGCCTGGTCCTTGAGAGATTCAAGGAGCTCAAGTCTCATGGAGGACACTGACAAGTATGAGGCAATCACACTGCAGCTGAAGAGGTAAAGCCCCTTGGTTTTTGTTAACATCGGAAAGGGAATAAATAGATGAGCATGTACGTGAGCTAATGAATGTATGAATGAATGTGTGAATGTATGTATGTATGAATGCATGAATGAATGTATAAATGTATGAATGAATGAATGTATGAATGTATAAATGAATGTAGAATGAATGTATAAATGAATAAATGATGAATGAATGAATGAATGTATGAATTCATGTATGAATCAAGGGGAATGAAGGAAGGAATGTTTGAATGAATGAATGAATAGAAGAAATCAAATACTTGATATGGTAGAAGTAAATACAGGTTTGGTGGAAGCCCAGAGGACCAGAACTAACACAACCTCAAAGATTCTGCAAGCTGAGTTAGTTCCTCATTTCCTGTGACTCTCACCTCACCAGTCTCTCTGTCCCTATCCATCAATTCTCATTCATATTTTCTCAAAGGCCCAGAAACAGGCTGGGCTGTTTATGGAGAAGAAGAGAGCAGAAAATTGGGCAGGTGAAATAGAAAATCCTCTTTGGATGTGGTAGTTGTGGAGTGCATAAGTAAAAGAAGGAGCGTTCAAACATTTGTCAGATTTTTGTCCCTGTCACAAATATCTGGAAAGATATTTTGAGGCATGGATTAATGTTCCTTCAATCTTTCTTTCCTGTTTGGAACGTGGATGTAATGCCTGGAGGCACAGCTGCCATCTTGCAGCTATGAGGTGAGAATCAGAAGATCAGAGAGGGACACACCTTAACACTGGGGTAGGAGTGAAGAGGGAGGTGAAGACCACCCCACAGGAGTCACCACAAATTTATTTGAATGTTGACTGTCCTGGGAAGCTCTCCATCTGGCCACCGCTGTCCTGAGCCTTCTATCATCCACATTCTGAACCAAGGCATGACGACTCTGCCTCTGGCACAGTCAGAAAGCTGATCCTGCCCTGGGGAAGGGCCATGTCACATGTTGTCCCACTTGGTGCTCTTTCTGACCTCTGTTTCATGCAGGGTGGAGTAAGCAGCAGGGAAGATGCCCCAGCAGGGCCCCTGATTCCTCCTCGCTGATGTATTTATTTGGGGTCTCTCCCCGCAGGAGTTGGCAGTGAATGTGTTTTCCCAAGAATGAGGACTAGATACAGTGAACCCAGCGGGGGAGCAGTCATGTTGGGCACTCAAGCGGCCAGGGCACATGAATGTGTGTCTGTGTGTATGTGTCTGTATGTATGTATGTATGTGTGTCTGTGTGTGTGTGTTGTGTGTGTGCATGTGCGTGCGTGTGTGTGCACATGTGTGTCTGCATGGTGTGGGCACGGGACTGTGCTGTGATCATGTGTTATTATAGGTGTCTGCACCTTAGAGTCTGCAAAGCACTTTTAAACTTACACATGTCTCTATTTACATATATGTGCGTGTCATATGTAGAGATATATAAAGCTGCTCTCTCTCACTTTGTTGAGATATAATTCACATACCACACAACTCACCCACTGAAAGTGAACAATTGAATATTTTTAGTATATCCAGAGTTGGCAACCACGACCACATTCACTTTTAGAATATTTTTATCAACTCCAAAAGAAACCTTATATCTATTAGCAGTCACTCTGTGTTATGACTGAATGTCTGTGTCCCTCTAAAATGTATCTGTTGAAATCCTAACTCCCAGTGTGATGGTGTTAGGAGGTGGGGCCTTTGGGAGGTGATTCATTGAGATTAGTGTGCCCTTATCAAAGAGGCTGGGGAGAGACCCCTGGCCTTTTGCGTGAGGATATAGCGAGAAGATGGCTCCCACCACAAGTCGACCCAGCTGGACCTCGATCTTGGGCTTCCCAGCCTGCAGAACTGCAAGAAATAAATTTCTGATGTTTTCAAGCCACCCAGTCCATGGTATTTTGTTAGAGCAGCCCGAACTGATGAAGACATTCCCCATTTCTACCCACTTTACCCTCAACTCCTGGCAACCACTAATCTACTTTCTGTGTCTATAGATTTTCTAATTCTAGACATTTCATATAAGTGGAAACTTAGTCTTGTGTCTGGCTGCTTTCACTTAGCATCGTGTTTTCAGGGTTCATCCATGCTGTAGCAGGCATCAGTACTGCCTTTGTTTTTACGGATGAATAATATTCCATCGTATGGAAAGACTACATTTTGTTTACCCTCTCATCAGTTGATGGACATTTGGCTGTTGCCACTTTTTGGCTATTATGAATAACGCTGTTGTACATATTTGTGTATGAGTTTTTGTGTGTGGATATATGTTTTCATTTCTCTTGGGTGTGTACCTAGAAATGGACTTGCTGGATCAGATGGTAACTATTCTTGGGGACTTGCTAGACTTTTCCAAAGGGGCTGGCATCATTTTCCATTCCCACCAGCATTGTATAAGGGTTCTGGTTTCTCCACATCCTGGCCAACACTGGCTATGTTGACCATAGCCACTGTAGTTGGTGTGGTTTTGATTTGCATTTCCATAATGACTAAACATGTCGAGTGTCTTTTCATGTGCCTATTGGCCATTCGTACATCTTCTTTGGAGCAGTCTATTCAGACCCTTTGCCAATGTTTTAATTGGGTTGTTTGTCTTTTTATTAGCGAAGCACTTTTATAGGCACACACTCTTCTGCCCCATTATGCTCCTGCAGGGTAGGTTGACTGTGTTATCACTCTCATCTTACAGTTAAAGAAACTGAAGCCCAGAGAGCACTCACCAGGACCAGCTGCATCATTGGCAGGGCCCAGTGCAAAGTAGAAATGCAGAGCCTTTAATTAAAAAATGGTTAAGCATTTCAAGATAGCGAAAGGAGAGCATTAAACCAAGCATGGAGCCCTGAGTGGCTGCAGAGCGCTCTTGCCCATAGAGCGGCCCCTGGGTCTAATCTCCTGTCATAGAAATATTAATAGATAATCTTTGTGGAGTGGTTACTGTGTGCCAGGATCTGTGCTAGACACTTGACCTGTAGCACGTAATGAGTCTCTACACCTGGCCTGTGGGGTGGCTGCCACTCCAGTCTGCATCGTGCAGATGAGAAACGAGGCTCAGAGGCATTGCCTTGCTTGCCCAAGGTTGCAGGTACAAGTGGCAGAGTGGGGATCCCACTGAGAACTGACCGACAGCATCGAGGGCTGATGCTGTTAGCGTGGTCTGAGCCATCTATGAGGCTCAGCTGATCTTGAGTCTGCAATGAGGAGTGCGTGTGGGAGGCAGGGGAGGAGGGAAGTGAGGCAAGAAAGGGAGGAATCCATCAAGGGTGCGCTCAGGGGCAGGCCATTGCTTGTGGAGAGCGGAGCTTCCCTCTTGCTGGGGAACTCTGAGGAAGAGTGTGGCCCTTCCGAGCAGCATGGTGGCTGAGGTATTTATCCAGAACTCTGTCCATCATAGTCAAGGGTGACTCCCAGTGCTTAAATAACATTTAAAGAGTGCTGCTATGCGCCACATGTTGTGCTGAACTCACCCTCGCTTCCCAGCGACACCGTATGGTAGGCACCATTGTTCCTACTTTGTAGACAGGGAAACTGAGACCCAGAGAGCCGGAGAGGCTACACCTCCCAGTGATTTGTGAGGCTGGGCTTCCAGCCCAGGCCTTCTGGTCCAGAGCCTGTGCTGCCGCCCTCTGCATAGCCTGGCCACACACACTCCCTGCTGCAAAGCTGGCACTGCCACCCTGCTGTGGTCCCACTGACCCGTGAGCCTGGCCCATCCCCTCCGGCCGGGAGATGCAGGAAGCGTGAGTTCCCCCAAGTTCTTAGACCGTCCTGGACCTGGACCTGCTCAGACCACCGTCCCTGCTGTCCCCAGTTCTTCAGGGCTTCGGTTTTTGTCACCGTGCCATACACTTCCTCGGTCCCCTCCCGCTCCAGCCACTTTGATGTAGTTCCTGTTCCCTGTCCTGCATCTGGCATGCACATGGCAGGGCAGGCGTCTGAGCCTGTCCCCACAATGTCCCTTCTGCCACTTCTCCACAGCTGCTCATGATCCCAGTATCCTCCAGACTCAGTCTTCCCATTGGGAGCTCATATTTGGGGGTGGGAGTGAGAGTCAGAGCTTGGAGGCAGCTTCCCAGGGGAGACAGGAAACCCTGGCACCCAGCCTCTTCTCCAGGCAAAAGAACAGGGCTGGTGTTCACTGTGGCCGCAATGAAAAGCTGCAAGTTGGCAACGTTGGCCCTGAGCCCGCTGGTGCCTCCCCCCATTGCCCTAGATGCTCCCCACATCCAGCATCCAAAAAAGCAGCACCCACACAGTGAGGACTTCCAAACACCTGCTCCATCCGTGCCTTGCTAAATATTTTGCAAAACATCCTTGCAAAGCAGCGGGCAAGGGCGGGTGGGGTGAGTCTCTAGGCTAGAATAGGCCACACACCACCCATCCGCCGGTTGCAGTCTCCAGCTAGGGCCTCTAGCTGCTTCATGGAGCCCGTGGTGAAGCTCCCGCAAGCAGTTGTGTGATATCAGCCAGTGAGTGCCTCCACACATGGGCATTCTGCAGGCCAAGTGTCTCCAGGCTGAGTGACCGAGCCCCTCTGAGCCTTCATTCTGCATTTGAATATGTCCGTGGCAATGCCCTACTTGCAGGGCTGTTTGAAGATTCAGCTAAGCAATATACTCAAAAGTGTTTGCCTTGGCACCCAACACAGTCAACATTACAAAAAAAGTAATATTATGTATAAATTTAAAACAAAGAGGGACAGCCATGCTGATTTGTGACCTACTTTTAAACATGAACTCATAGAATTTGCCATCCTGGTGGATGTAGTTCTACAGAGCAGTTTTGAGCCTAGGTAGCTGAGAGCACAGACTCTGGGGCCAAGCTGCTTGGATTGCAAATGCCAGCTTTGGCAATTGAAAGCTGTGTGATCTCAGGCAAGTCACTTAACCTCTCTGTGTGTCAGTGTCTACATCTATGAAATGAGAACAAAAACCATACCTAGGTCAAAGTATTATTGTGAGAATTGAATTAGTTAATACGTAGAAAATGCTTTGCCCTGTTTCTGGCAGGATGAGGGATGTTTACACAGATTGATTATTCCTTTATTATTTATCCATGGAATAGATATGCCTTCTCTTTGATTATTCCTTCTAATTGATTCTTTCTAATTCCTTCTAATTGATTATTCCTTTATTATTTATCTGTGGAATAGATATGATTTAGTTTGACTTATCAAGCAAATTTTAAAATTTTTAATCATATTCTCTTTATTTTTTGTTCAGTTTTTATTCACAGCAAAGTACATGATACACGGTCATTTTGTGACCACTGACAATAAAGGTAGGGCGGTAAAAAGAAAAGGAGGAGGAGCAAGCATCTTGAAGGACCGAACAAAAAACAACCTAAGTTAGAGCTGGGGTTTGGACCAAGGCCTGTCTGTATGGTACCAAAGCCCATTGAGCTAATCAAGGTGAAAAGCTAGAAGCTTTTAACATTGGGATGAAAAGCCAAAACAAAAACAAAAACAAAACAAAACAACAACAACAAAACAAACCAAATGCATTTAGTAAACACCTCAATTGCCAGAGAATGCTTTCTTGCAATAAAGATAGGCTCAGACCTGATATCTCAGTTCAAGCCTTGCTCCACCTTTAGCTAAATGACCTCAGTTAAATCACTCCCTGTCTCTGAGCCTCAGTTGCCCCATCTACAAAATGGGGATAATAAAAGAACCTACCCAGGATGTTGTGAATCAAATGTGACCATGAGTGTGAAAGCAAAGAGTGTGTAGCCAATAAGCTTCCCTGGATTGAAGGTGAGAAGGAGCTGGATTGGAACCCAGATCAGCCACTTCCTTGTTATTTCCGCAAGTCAGCTCCCCTCCCGGAACCTCAGTTTCCTCATCTAAAGCAAAAGAGGAAAAAAATGGCGGTTTCCCTAATAATCATATGTCGGCCAGTGTTGCCCTCACCTGGGAGCTGATGCTATTGGCTCAGGGTCACCCCTACTATTGGCCAAGCCTCTGTGGCTGCAGAGGGAACAACAGCTTCCCAGGATGGTTCAGGTCCAGCCCTTGACGCCCCCATCACTCCTGTCTGTGGGAACAGCATAGCCCTAGGCCACTGTGGGGCAATTGCCCCTTCCCCGGGTTAGTCTGATGAAACCTCAGGTGTCACTCTGTCCGTGTGCTGCTCTATCACTGACTTTTCTGAGGATACAGAACAGCTTCAAAAGTAAGAGCTGCTTAGTGCATGTGGACCTCGAACCAGGTGTGTGTGTGTGGTTTGTTTTTTTTTTTAATATAGTCACTTTAAAAAATCACTTGGCGTGTTGCAAGGAGCACACATTACTTTTATAAATTTCTGTTTGTTGGTTTTTAAATAGAGATGGGTTGTCACCATGTTGTGCAGGCTACTCTCAAACTCCTGGCCTCAAGCAATCCTCCTACCTTGGCCCCACAGTGTGTTGGGATTACAGGCATGAGCCACTGCACCTGGTCACACATTACTTTCATAGTGAAATAAAATTAAATCAAGAAATTACAAAAGTTAAATTAGACAAATGAGGAGTTTTTTTCTTGCCATAACTCCATCTACAATTTCTCCCAAGGCTCACTGATGACAGATGGGGAGACCAGTGGTTATGGCCTTGTGGCTGGGTTCAAATTCCAGCCCTAATGTTTACTACTCAATGATCTTGGGCAAGTTTGCGCTGAAACTCAGATTTCTCATCTGTAAAGTGGGCCCACAACTGTGTCTCACATAGAGTTACCGTATGACTCAGCAGTTCCCCTCCTAAATATATGTCCAAGACAATTACAAGTGTTAATTATGCTTCAAAGGTGTTCAAACAAAAATTTGTATGTGAATGTTCATAGCAAAACTATTCCCAATAGCCAAAAGGTAAAAGCAACCCAAACATCCATAACTAATGAGTGCATAAACAAACTGTGGTCTGTCCATACTATGGAATATTTTTCAGCCGTAAAAAAGAGAGAAGTCCTGCTACCTGCTACAGCATGAACGAACCCTGGAAATAATTCTGCTAAATGAAAAAAGCCAGATGCAAAAGGCCACATATTGTGCAATGCCATTTATAGGAAATGTCTAGAACAGGCAAATCCATAGAGACAGAAAGAGGATTAGTGGCTGTTAGGGGCTACAGGAAGCGGGGAATGGGCAGTGACTTCTCGATGGATATGAGATTTCTCTCTGGGGTGATGAAATGTTCTGGAATTAAATAATGGTGACGGTCGCACAATTTTGTAAATGCATGGAAAGCCACTGAATTGTACATTTTAATATGGTTAAAACAGTGAATTTTGTCATATGAATTTTACCTCACTAGAAAACAAAAGATAAATAAAAAGTAAAGAGTTGGGCCTGAGGCCGGGCGCAGTGGCTCACACCTGTAATCCCAGCACTTTGGGAGGCCGAGGCGGGTGGATCACCTGAGGTCAGAAGTTCAAGACCAGCCTGGTCCACATGGTGAAACCCCCATCTCTACTAAATATACAAAAATTAGCCAGGCGTGGTGGCAGTCGCCTGTAATCCCCGCTACTCGGGAGGCTGAGGCAGGAGAATTGCTTGAACCTGGAAGGGGGAGGTTGCAGTGAGTCGAGATCGCGCCATTGCACTTCAGCCTGGGCGACAAGAGCAAAAATTTCGTCTCAAAAAAAAAAAAAAGAGTTGGGCCTGAAACGAAGTCACACCTGTGAAGCATTTGCACAGCCCCTGGCATGGAAGAAGTGCCAGCTGAACTTAGCTCCCGGGAAATAAAAGTGAAGACGTGCACAGTTCTAAAGCGTGCCGTGTACCCCAAGCCTGAAAGCTCCGCTCCAAGAAGCCGGCAGTCCGTCCTGGGCCTGGGAAGCTGAACAGAAGCCCTCTCCATGAACTCTTCCAATCCTAGTTTACGTGGCACTCGAGGACTCAAAGGAAATTAAGGCCAAACAGGGAAATTGCAGGGGAAGTAACTGCAGTAAAGGAGAATGATATGAAACAGTGGTGAGTCCTCTTTCTTCATGAAGACCGACTCAGGAAAAATAAAAATCTTATGTGTGGCATTCTTTTTCCCATTTAATAATGAAAGTCGTTAAAGTGTGTCCCATAGAAAATATATAATCTTACAACATAGACTACATACTGTTTTGAATAACAGTGCAGGCTCCGAAGCCAGACTGCCTGGGGTCAAATCCTGCCTCTGAAGCAGAGGCTGTGGCGCTTCAGGCAAATGGCTTAACCTCTCTGTGCCTCAGTTTCCTCATCTGTACCTACCTCATGGGGTGGTTGTGAGAATTTCATGCAAAGTTGTTGGGCTGGTGTCTGGCACAGCAAGAGGGCTCCATAAATGCTAGTGTGTATTAGAGATATTATTATACAACAACTATTCCTGAGAAAACATTTCCTATTTTTTTCAGCCACGAAAATGTTAATTTCTGAGCAAATGTCACGAGCACAACAGGGAGACAGCTTTCCTTTGTTGTTGATGTCGCTGTTGTTGTTGTTTTAGAGACAGAGTCTCACTATGTTGCCCAGACTGGTCTCAAACTCCTGGCCTCAAGGATCCTCCTGCCTTGGCTTCCCAAAGTGGTGGGATTATAGGTGTAATCCACTGTGTCCAGCCAGGAGACAGATTTCTGATCCTTCAGTCTGAGATTTGACTTTGTGAATGAAATGGGTCATGGTGATTATAGACCAGGTTTTCTCAATTTGGGCACTATTGACATTTGGGGCTGAATGCTTCTTTGTCTGGCGGGGGGGAGGGCAGTGTCCTGGGTATTATAGGAAGCTTTTAGCAGGATCCCTGGTCTCTATCCACCACCTGCCTCCCCACCCCTCAACTGTGACATCAAAAATGTCTCCAGATATTGCCAAATGTCCCCTGGAAACAAAATATGCATTGGTTGAGAACCACTGCTATAGAAAGACCAATGGAAAAAAGGAGACAGTTATTACATTTTATTATATTTTCTCTGTTTCTAGAGCAGTTTTGAGAAATACTACATTGGCGTGAGTTTTCAAAGATCACATTTTAGAGTGACAGATGATGTCTCAGTTTGAGGGAGTGAAAAGACTTTTGAACTAAGCTTAAAATCCAGGCTGGGCATTGTGGCTCACGCCTGTAATCCCAGCACTTTGGGAGGCCAAGGCTGGTGGATCACTGAGGTCAGGAGTTCGAGACCAGCCTGGCCAATATGGTGAAACCCCTTCTCTACTAAAAATACAAAAATTAGCCAAGTGTGGGGGCATGCACCTGTAATCCCAGCTACTTGGGAGGCTGACGCAGGAGAATGGCTTGAACCTGGGAGGCAGAGGTTGCAGTGAGCTGAGAGTGCACCCCTGCACTCCAGCCTGGGCAGCAGAGTGAGACTCTGTCTCAAAAAATAAAATAAATAAAATAACATAAAATAAAATCCAGTGTTTTTGCCCTGGCCCCGCATGGGTGTATGTGTAACTTGAGGCACATACTTGGTGCCACTCTCCGTCTCCACTCTGTCATCTGTCACCTGGAGACAATCGCAGCAGATCAAATGGCTTCTCCAGAACTTGTGGCCGTCAGCTGAGCCAGTGTTCCCCAAACTTCACTCACCTTCACAATTTTTACCTTCACCAACCAAATGACTGTATTATTCTTTAACATTTTATTTAAATCAACCGTACCCCTTTTTTCTCATTTAAATACTTACTTTAGCCCCGACTTAAGCAATTGTCTTTGTCATGTGTGATATGCTTGCTATGTTTTTAAAATACGTTTAAACATAAATAAATAAAATAAAAATGTTTGTTGGTGTCTCGCCTAAAATCATCTCACGTGCTACCAGGAATGTTCAGAACACCCTTTGTGAAACACCAAAATAAACTCTTACAGGGGAAAATCCTTTGCAATGTAAAAAAAAATTATAGATGCTAGACATGACTTTGATTCACTTGAACCAATACTTGGTAACAGAATTGATGTTC
Organism: Homo sapiens; assembly: GCF_000001405.40. Taxonomy (NCBI): domain Eukaryota; kingdom Metazoa; phylum Chordata; class Mammalia; order Primates; family Hominidae; genus Homo; species Homo sapiens. Next base: position 57,136,669 of record NC_000020.11, on the reverse strand, counting down.
AACTCTCACTGAACATCGCAAGGAGACCAGTTGCTTCTTGTTCTGCTTTCCTGTGGTTCATTCCTCCTCCACTTCCGTCACTTGAATGTGGAGAGGTGACGGGCCTTCTGTGCTTGGTAGGAAGCTGTCTGGTGGCCTAGAAACTCATTTCCCACACTGGAGAGCTGAGCTGGTTTTGATACCCCCCTCTGATGGACCCTGGTTCTCTCCAGAAAACCTCCCATTTGTTTGGGTGGGCATGGCAAATTTGAATAATCCGAGAAATTAAAGGGTGCTCGAGGGAGCCTCCCTCACTGTCAGAGCGGGCAAGGCGCACAGGAGAAGCGGGCTTGCTTTTCCAAGAAGGCGACGACGGGAAGATGTTGTTCAGGGCTTCTTCAACTCCCCTTTTCGCTACTCAGCTACGGCTTCCTCTAAACTTCCCCAGCCTTTTCTAAACCCTAACTCCAGCTCCCTGGCAGCAGGAAATACTGTTGCACGAACAGACAACATTATGAGTACAACCCCTTCCCCACCTCAGCCCACATCTCTCTTTGGGGAGAACTGTCCCACCCAAGAGGGTGGGCCTCTTGGCAGCCATGTTTGTGCACCACCACGCTGCCTGGGTGGCCACAGCCGATTTGGCTCAGAGACAGCATGTGACCCACACTGGGCCAATCAGAGGCACTTCCTGGGGAATTTGCCCTGACAGACACAGAGCCTGGGGCTGGAGATTTTCTGAGATGCCTCAGGCTCCTTCCCACAAATTTCGCATCAGCTTGAGCTCAGTGGGAGTAGAATCTGCCACCGACAAACTCCTAAGATGGCTTTGTTCATTCCCACCTTCATCATAAATCAGGTCAGCTGGGAACACGGGAAGGTTGCAGAACCCACCTTGCACCTGCCTCCCCTGGTGTCCACCTACGCATTTACTTAGGGGTTTGGAGGCCAAAAAACAACAGCAATGGCCTCAATCGCTGTAGGGTGCTGAGTACTTAGTGCAGAGTCAGGATTAGGGTATGACGAGGGAGGTACTTGCCTCAGCCACAGAATTTAAGGCGGTGCCAAAAAGTCATCCAGATAAATGATATTTTAATGCAATGCATTTAAAAATCAAAATTAATGCCCAAAATTCCATGATGAACAAAATATCAGCATTTTAAAGAAAGACAGGGTCATTCGCAGCGCCGTGTCAAGCCATATTGGAGCCTGAGGCAAAAGGAAAAATCGGTAATACGAATTGTGTCTTTATTTATTTTGATTACCGAGTTTTTTGGCAGTTCCTTCTCCCCATCTTACATTTTGCACTCTAGGTGAACGCTTCACTTGCTCTGTCCTCTTGCCAGCCCTGACTGACTGTGTGCTGGCCCTGGGCTGCCGGCCTCATCTACTTTAATCCTCCTTTCCGCCTGGACACCTCCCATAGCCCATACCTGGTCTCTTGACTCCTCTCCCCATGCTGGCCCACAATCTATTTTCCATCCAGAGCCAGAGAGATTTTTAAAACGCAAATTAAATCTCATTACTCTCCTACTCAGAATCTTCAAATGGATGCCTTCACACTCAGAGTAATAGCTAGACTCTTTGGCCCCAGAGCCGTACACATTGTGGTCCCTATTTTGCCACCACTCTCCTCCCTCCCTTGGTTCCAGCACAGGGACTGCCTTGCTGTAGCAGGAGCACTCCACGCCTGTCCCTGCTCCAGGGCCTTTGCACCGGCCACAGCCTTTGCTGGAACACTCTGCCCCTGAGTGTTTGCCTGGCTCACACCATCCAGGGTTCAAGGCCAGTGTTGCTTCCTTAGAGAGGCCTTCCCTGGCCATCAATCTAAAGTGGCCCCATCCCTGGTCCCTTTTGGGTACATCCCATCCTGTTCTCTTTATAGTATTATCATGACCTGAAGTTTTGTCTGTTAATCTGTTTGTTTCCTTATTGGTTAAAGTTTTTTGTCTAGACTGTAAGATCCATGAGGGCAAGGACCTGGTCCTTAATGCTCCCCAATGGACCCCCTGTGCTCAGCCCACACTCTGTAAGCGTTTTCAGAATTAATGAATGAAGTCTAGTTTTCAGATGAAGAAACTGGTCTGCAGCTCTTTCCAAAGCTCTGAAGGAGTGCACTCTGAGCTCTAACCCGGATCCTCTTTCTCTAGGTGGTCACTGGGATTTTCTGTGTAAAGATTCCTGACCCCCGCCCCCCATCTCTTCAGCTCCCCACACCCTCAGTCTGGCTCTGATTACTGGGCTGCCACCCACCCGCAGACTAACAAACGTAGAACAGCTGTGCCGCAGGAAATCGCCTCCAACTCAACCCTGATGGTGCAGGGATGTCTTTAGTTAACGTAAATAGGCTTTTAACATTCATTTTTTTCTCTTTGTGCAAAATACCTATCATTAATTCTGACTTGCGAGATCAAACAGTTAACAACGTGTTGATCCTAGCTTACTTTCAAGTGATGTATTGTATCATTTTGGAGAGTTATGGGGGGCTGATACTTTCCTTGACAAATGCATCCGAGTCCCTGAGAAAGGGGCCGGCCAGCATCCTGGGAAGGAAGCAATTAACAGCTCCGCTCTGAGGGTTCTGCACACCATTGCGTCATTCCTCCACGTTTTATTGAACACTGGCTTTTTCTTTTGTTTTCTGGGTTTTTTTTTTTCCAACCAAAGGAAATGAGCTTCTCTAATTCATCACTTTGAGCAGCATCAGAGGTAGAGTGGAAAATAAAAGGGCTTCACTGAGCATCACTGGGGTTCTTTTTTCCCCCTCTCTGTGCTGACATGGCTCTGCAGGGTCATTTTGTGAATGGAATCTTCTTGATGTCTTTTGATTGGAGCCCTCTCTGTCTTACCGAGACCCCATGGCTTTTCTGCATTTTGTACCTGAAACACCAAGAGTTCCAAGACAAGAGCATATACTCAAACACCTCCAGGGTCTAGAGAAATATAGAGTGACATAGGCTAGATATAAGACTCTAGGGAGTGGTGGCAGTTTTGCCACAGTCCCCAGCACTCCCTAGTGTCTTGTACCCAGCCTATGTCGCTACTCAGAGCCACACAATTGTGGCCACAGTGGAAACAATTTTAGAAGAATCTGGAAATCTGGATTTGTGTGTGTGTGTGTGTGTGTGTGTGTGTGTGTGTGTGAAAACTGAAAGACACCATGCATGCCAAACAAAAACAGGGGGCCAGAGGCCAGCTGTGTCCAAGCCCTGCTCCCCACCTGAGCTGCTTAAACTGGAGCATGTTTAGCCTCAGGATCCAAGTCAGTGGGTGAAGGAGTCGGAAAAACCTCAGAAGAAATAAGGTTCATCCTCTGGGAAGGGTAATTTGATTAGAAGCATTTTAGGGGAGAAAGTTTGTGAAATTTCACTCAAAGACAATTAAGCACATCATTCTGATATTAGATATAGAGGAGAGGGTAAAAAAAACAAGGGAATATAGAAAACAGAACTTCAAAGAAATTTTGCATTTGCGGCGGTAGACTTGGGGAACTCCTCTGAGTCTTCAGCTCACAGGCTCCTTTTCTTCGGCTTCCTGGAGCATTTTGATGGAAAAGTTGAGAAACTTAAGAGACTTGGTTTTTTCATCTGTGAATTAGGTGTGATAATCGTAACTACCTCTTAGGATGGTTTTGAGTGATCAGAGAGATAATAGTGCATATGGACTTCCTGGCATGGACTGACTCTTAAAGTACACTTCAGCTGTGATTATTACTATTGTTACTCCTTAGAAACAATGACATGTTGCTCCCAAGAGTTGTTTTGGTCATGAAAGCACAATGGATTTCTCACTTTCTCCCATCTATTCATTCTCTTCGGCTGAACTCCACCCCGCTTCTCTCTGAAGCTCTCCTGATTTCTCAGTCCCTGCTGCTCTCTCTCCCTGGTGTATGTGCTGGTTTACGTCACACGCAAATGCAGACACTTGGCCTCGTGTGGCTGTCCAGGTTGACCATTCAATTTGGAGATCAGGCCCTCAGCCCTCCCTGGTGAGCCTTCAACAGGTGCGGGCTGTTGTCAGCTTGCCCGCACCAGCTGGGGAGGGGAGGCCACCTCCCCAACCTGCCACCCGTCTGTCCAGTCATCTCTCTGTAGCAGGCATAGCTAGGTCCCATCACTGTCCCCAGACTACCCACAGAGCATAAGCATAGCAGGAGAGAGCATTCAAAATTAGCCTTGGATTTCTTATTCTGTCTTCGTAAGAAGGGTGTGAATTTTAAACCATCTCAGACAAACAGGGGCAGGCCTTCCAGCCCACGGTTTTCCAGGCTGATTCCCTGTATTCTTGAACATCTCCTTCCAGCTCCTGCAGCGTTCCCTCTTCTGGGATGCAGGGCCATGGACTGGAGCACTCCCCTCAGCCTCTTCCAGGGCCAGGTGTGCGCTGACACACAGTAGGAGCTCATGGAAATTCGGTGGAAATAAAAGCATGCCAGATTAGTTTCCCATACAGGCCATCTGCTTCAGTGGAAATCATTTCTGGCAGAATTTTGATGACATTGGGGCATGTTGAGTGATTTATGGAGCCGTTAAACATACACTAAATCAATCTTGCTCTTTTTTTTTGTAAAGGTTGGGGTGGAGAAGCAATATCCCTAAGGGAAAAATAAAAGTCTCCAAGCTAGGACTTTCAGCCTGGGGCCTGACATTGCACAGAAAATGGCCACTGCAGTCTCACAGGAACGCAGCCAGTCAATGTGAGTATGATAGCTTTCATGTTCCCTGAATCTTACAAAATGTGTATCCAATTAACCACTACTGAAGGGCCTTATTTATAAAATAATACTTTTGTGGTCAGGTTGCACTTTTTCCACTCATTTCGGGTGGACGGGGCTCAAGTTGCAGGTTCCGCCTGTGATTAATGGGGACAAACATGGGGTTTCTGCTGGCATCCACGGTGCTGGGCGGAGTCTGGCCAGAGCAGAGTTTTGTGTGGAACTCAAACTCGGAGACCTCTCTTCTCATTTTGGCCTCTCCTGAGGAGCACCAGGGTGAGGGAAGCTGGGAAGAAGTCTCAGGGAAGGAGGGATGAGGCCATGCGAGCAGTTAAGAGGAAAAGTCATTGATCTCGGGCAGCAGAGGGTATAGTGCTGTGCAGTCACATCTCTTTGGCTCATTGGAGGGGGACGTCTGGAGAATTTTGTAGTGTGTGGGGAAGAGCTCCCTGGGCCACACGAGGGCTGGGTTTCTTGAATGCTGTGTACCTCGTTCTCCAACGCTGGTTGAGTTGCTATAATGAAAGCAGAGCTTAGCGCAGGGAGATTGAGATTTGGAGCAGGTGGGAAAGTGCAGAGGTTGACAAGCTTTTTTTGCAAAGGGCCAGATAATAGATATTTTCAGCTTTGTGGGCCAGACCGTCTCTGTCGCATCCACTCAGTCCCGTCGTTGTAGCGGTGAACGAAGGGGGCGTGGCTATTCCAGTGAAACTTTATTTACAAAAACAGGCAGTGGGCCAGATTTGAGCCAGATTTGAGCAAAACAGCCCTGGTTTGCTGACTCTGGTTTAGTCCAATGAGAATGGAGACTCCCAGAACTGAAGCAAGCTGACCACTATACCCAGGGACTAAATACATTCGCTGTGTCCACAGTGGGCATGAATTTCAGTCTGCAGTCTACGGTGTGCAAGAAATATAAGTCTAATGGAAGTTAATTTATCTTTCAAGCCCCTGTTCCAAGTGGCAGAAACCTAATTTTACGGATTTGGGTTCTCCCTTTCCCTAAGTATTGCTCCAGTTCGGGTGGTGGGGGGTGGGGGAGACCCAAATAGCCCAGGCATGCGAGTGATGTCAGCCTGGATTCTCTCCAGGTGACCCAGACATCCGTGGAAACTGCCTCCTTCCCTCTGGAGTGGTCCTCAGTTCTCACCAGTCGCACCTGTGCCCTCTGCATCTTGAGAGCAGAGCATCTCCGGGAGTGCTTGGCCGCAACTCCCAGAGCAGCCTAAAAGCCCGGCCCATGGGAAGATTTCATTGGATACTGGGGCGTTCTGAGCCGATGAAACCCTGTGAGGCTTCCAGGCACCCAGGCAGACATTTCTTCTGTACCTGCTCCTCTGTGTCTCAGGGAGATGTGGGGAGTTTGCCAGCTCCTGTATTCTATGAATGCTTGACCTAGATTTTCTGTGCTCTTGGATCCCCAGAGTAGAGTTCTATCACTTTCCCCCACGTGACTTTAGGGTCTTGGGGAACAGGAGTGTGTGGACCTCTTGCATGTTCACTATTGTGCAAGTCAGCTATTGACAATGTTGCATAACACACCGTTACTAAGCTCGGTTTCTTGGAACAGTGACAGCGGTTGATCATGATGCAGGTGATCTAAGCGGGGCCCTGCTGGAGGTCTCTGCTTCAGGCTCAGGGTCCGCTGGCCTTGGTTATAGGACACAGGTTGGGCTCATGCAGCCGCACATGTGTTTGTTCTGGGGCCCAGGCTGAAGGGGCAGCAGCTTATCCTGGGCGTATTCTCCTCATGGCAGATCACTGGGGCACAAGAGTAGAGCCCAAACCTGCAAGGACTTCGAAGGCCTCTGCATGTGTCACATCCATTGCTGTTCATTGGCCAAAGCAAGTCACTTTGCCAAGCCCACCATAAACAGGATAAGAGGCATATTCTGCTCATTATGCAAAGGAGAGGGGAGTGACTGTGTGTTGAACAATATTCCAAACTATTGCAAACATCACACGAATCTGTTAGGAATGCTTCCATCAGTGAGGAACAGAACATTCATCTAAACTTCGCTTAAATAGTAGAGATTTGATAATCTCATCAACAGGAAGTCTGGAGATAGTGGAGATAGATGGTTCCAGGACTTTTTTTTTTTTCTGAAGACGCAGTCTCGCTCTGTCACCCAGGCTGGAGTGCAGGGGCGAGATCTTGGCTCACTGCAATCTCCACGTCCCAGGTTCCAGAGATTCTCCTGCCTCAGCCTCTTGTGTAGCTGGGATTACAGGCATGTGCCACCACGCCTGGCTAATTTTGTGTGTGTGTGTGTGCGCGTGTGTGTGTGTGTGTTTAGTAGAGACGGGGTTCCACCATGTTGGCCAGGCTGGTCTCGAACTCCTGATCTCTGGTGATCCGCCTGCCTCAGCCTCCCAAAGTGCTGGGATTACATGCGTGAGCCACCACGCCTGGCTCCCTTAACTAAGTCAGCAATGACCTCCCCCTGGACTCCTGGCCTGCCATCCTTTGTGCTTGGCCCTGTATCATGGTGGCCAGATGACTGCCAAGGCTCTGAGTAGAGCAGCCTTAAATGACAGCATTCTGAGAAGAAAAACAAGGAAGGCCCTTCTCCTCCCACACCTTGATCTTATGGAGGAAGATCTTTGCTCTCAATTCCACGCAGGCCCAACTCTTCTGCCTCCTGCCTTCTCCGTCTCGGGCCTACAGATACATAATCCCTGAAGCAAAGAATCATTTGCAAGAAGACCAGAAATCTGGTGGCTTTGTTTGTGATACAGCATTGTTGTATGCAGAATGTCCCCTCAAAAATGTCCGCACCCTAATCCTTGGAGCCCGAGAGTATGTAATTTTACATAACAAAAGGGACTCTGCAGATGTGACTAAGGTTGGGGATGTTACAGTAGGGGATTATCTTGGATTTTCCAGGTAAACCCAATGTAATCCCATGAGCCCTTAAAAGCAGAGAACTTTCTCTGGCCAAAGTTAGATGTGGCAGGAGACGTCACATTCATGGCATGAGAGGGACTCAACTAACCATTGCTGGAGGAGGCACATGTAAAGCGCAGACAGGACCGCAGCAGCTTCTCAGAGCCTGTCCGGGCTCACAGCCAGCGAGGAGCGGGGACCTCAGTCCTTCACACACAAGGAACTGAATCCAGCCAGCCACTGAATCAGCCTGGAATTCCAGCTCTGGATTCCTCCCCAGAGCCTCCAGGAAGGAGCTCAGCCCTGCCGACACCTAGATCTCAGCCTTGTGAGATCCAAGGCCGAGACCTCACTGAGTCCACTGGGACTTCTCACCTACAGAAGGGGCATCAGCTTATCGGCAATAAACGGCTGTGGGTTTAAGCCCATCACGTTGGTAATAATTTCTTACAGCAGCATTAGGAAACAAACACAGGCAGCATTTCTCCTTCCCCTGCTCTGGGCAGCCGAGGGGAGATCACATGGGTAATCCTTGGCCACCGTCAGGAATACAAGCATGTGCTCTCTTTAGAGAGCAGCCTCTGTCTAGTGGACACTAGACACTGCCACTCTGCCAGTCCAGTGTTTCTCACCCTGTAACTCAGAACTGCTTGGGGTCCTTGTGTAATATGCCTATTCCTGGGCCCACTACATGCCTGCTGGGTCCCACTTTCTGGGTAAGGTCCAGATCCAAGCCTCTTAACATGCTCCCCAGATGACTTCGCAGCAGGCTGATGTCTGAGCTCCATGGTCTCGGTGGCGTGGGCTTGGCGGAGGCTCCATTGCTGGTTGAGCACGGGAATCTCTCCGGGCAGGAATGCGTACTTAACATTCAGATTCCTAAGCACAGGCACTGCCTCCACTGTGTGGCTGGCAGCCCACGTGTAACGCCCCATGTCCTCTCTGTGCTTATCATTCCTGTATCAGGAATGGCAAACTCCTGCCCCTTTCTATAGCCTCTAACCCCCAGGGTGGCAAGTGAGTGAATTGGGAACTGATTCCAAGAAGGATTAGCTGGGCAGACAGAAGGGAGCAGGTTTCTTCTGTGGGCACCTGGGGGTCAGTTTCACTGGGGGCTTCCCATAGGTGGTTCAGGAGGTGCCTGGGAGTTAGCCCTTGAGGAGATGAACAGTGCATTCACTCCTACCATTAATCATTGCCTGAGGGCTGCTCCCAGGAGAGTGTTAACCCCTCTGCCCTGAGTACTTCTGGGGAGCACTAGCATGTCCTGGCACTGGGAGCTATTGCGTTCTAATACCCGGGAAAAGTGAAGGCCAAGGGGGTAAGGACAGGGCCCCCACAGCATCTGCTAGAGTCCTGTTCACTAATTTATCTGCCACCTCCCTTTGGATGGAAAACCAACCTCTTTCCAGATCAATGAGTACACTTTCCTAATATCCATTGTTACAGCTGCAGAGCGTGGCCTCATAATGGATGATCCCGGAGGATGGTACCATCCCCTGCCGTTCCACATTCAGTTATATCAGGTTTTCATCTCTGTTAAGAAGAGGTTTTTCACCAGTACCTTTTTTGAGAGCCACATCTTACAGATTTCTGAAAGTTCGTTGCTAACTTGAAAAGAACTATTTGCTTCTGTCCCCTGCCAGCAGGTGAGGGTGACTGCACGTAGATCTCATCTTGCTTCCTTTTGTTTCAGTTTGGGTAAAATCTGGATAAGAAGCAGGCAGCAAAGAGCAGGACAGCCTTGTGCAGGTGGTGAGAGGAGCCTCCACCAGTGCAGAAGGTAGCGGACAAAGCAGGAGAGAGGCAGGGAAATGCAAATGGCTTCCCTCAAACACCGTGCGGTGCATTTGTCTTATTTTCTGGTAGGAGTAAAAGCGACCCCATAAAACTAACAGTTTATCTTCAAGACTTGGGATACTTTTGACTCTAGGGGGATGATCAAAAGAGAATGTTGGAGGGAAATATAAACACCTTTGGGGTCACAGGTTAGCACTGAGCCTTGCTTTTGGCAGCGTAATTAAGAGTCCTTTGACATGGGGGGCGTGGGGCTGACATCTCCCTGTGACAACAAATTCTGCCCGTGCTCTGCCTCGAACTTCCCAGCACAAAATTCTGGGCCTCCTCTCTCCTGCCCAGCCTGAAGGCATCTGCCTCCCGCACAGCTACAGAGAAAGAGATGACTCAGCCCCCAGGAGTTCGTCCACACTTGCCCTTGTTAGCAGACGCCAGTGCGCATGTGGCGGCCCCTCTCCCCAGCAGGCCCACCCTTCCTTCTTTCTTTCAACGGGTCCTGAACCTCCATGAGGCCCAGTTCACTGGGCCCCCGTTATCACAAGTCCAGGGTACCAGTTGTTCTGCCAATTCCTGTATTCATCCAGTCAACAGATAATTCCACAGTACAGAGCAAAGTGGAGAAAAACTGCATCGTGGCATCTTCCCAGGAGACAAGACGGAGAACAAACAATGCGCAACCAAGCAAAGGTCGTTTTGCGTGATAGCAAGGGCCGTGCAGGAAACAAACAGGATGTGGTAAGAGCAACCAGAAGGGCCACAGGATTTATTTTAGAAAGACCATCAGGTAAGGAGCCTGCCCTGCAAGAAACTGAGATGCAGGGACCCCATGATTGATGCCCTTAAGTTGCTGAGTGAGCTTGTGTATTTGAGGACCCAAGAAGGCCAAGAAAACTGTACGACTGTGAGCAAGGAGGAGGATGCTAAGAAATGAGGCCAAATGGCAGGCAGGAGCCAGACCACAGAAAGCCTTAAGTCCTCGGGGGAAGAGGAGGCAGAGTATGGAAGCCTCAGTGAAGTCTGTTCTGAGGAGACGTCACCTGAGGAGAGGTGGAGGTGCCCTGGTGGGTTTTCACATTCAGTCCCTCACTCATTTATTCTGCAAGTATGGATTGAACAGCTACTATGTGCTGGACGTGTGACAGAAAGAAAAAAAAAAAACCCTGTCTTCAAGGAGCTTCTGTTCTAGAACAGGGTTTCTCAACCTCCCCACTGCTATTTTGGGCTGGATCATTCTTTGTGGCAGTGAGGCTTTCCTGGGCATTATAGGATATTTAGCTGTGTCCCAGCCTCTACCTGCTAGACGCTGGTAGCACCTGCACCCCCCAAGTCCTGATAAACAAAAACGTCTCATGGAGCTCCATCCCTTGTGGGAGACATTGCTGCCTGGTTGAAACCACTGCTGTAGAACTTGACAGCAGAACTCATCTTGGGCAGGCATCTTAGGTTGGGTGTCCCGGCAAATCTCAGAGGGAGATTTGCTGCAGAGGTTGCTGGGGGAAGAGCTTTGGGATCAGTGGGGTGGGGACGTCAGCAAGGTGGACAGAGGATGCGGATGGGGATGGATGGGGATGTGGTGACCGCAAGGGCCTCAACCGGGTCCTGTGCTCCTGCAGAGGTGTCCTGCCTTGAGCAAGAGACCAGGCCTCCCTACCCCATAACCTGTCAATGGGCACAAGGTCACCACCTCCTGGGACAGGGTGTGATGTTGGGGATACGGCTTTTGTCAGCCAAAGGCCTTGGTCACTGACACCCCCAGCAGCCGGGGAAGACTGTCCTTGTGTCTCAGTTACTGTGTAGGGGCCTTAGGTTGACACAGGAACAATTTGATATATAGGCAAAGGATTGAGATTTGATTTCAGGCCAACTGGGGCTATGCTGGCCTTTAAATATGTCCCTGAAGCAGAGATGTTGCTTTTTAAAAACAAAATTGAGGTGAAATTCACATAATGTAAAATCAACCATTTGGAGGCGTGAACTTCAGTGGCACTTCGTGTGTTCACTGTTGTGCAGCCATCACCTGTAGCTGCAAACATTTTCATCCCTCGAAGGGAAACCCCATACCTGTTAAAAAGTCTTTCCCACTTCCCTCTGCCCCAGCCCCTGGTAACCACGAATCTGCTTTCTGTCTGCACGAGGTGACCCACTCTGAGTATCTCCTATAAATGGAATTATACACTCTGTGGCCTTTTGTGTCTGGCTTCTTTCACTTAGCAGGATGTTTTTGCGGTTGGAGCTCAAATTTACAATGTAAATATTCCTGGGGAGGGCGATGCAGCTTCTTAAGTGACTGATGCTGCGTCCTGTCTTGAGAGCCAGTATTAGGTTCCCGGTATGTTGCCTTTGAACTGAGCAGTCATGATCCAGCTGCGGAATCATCCCATGTGGCAGCCGCCACCTGTGGAGGCCCCTTATGTGTGGTTGTTAAAAGTCCACGTGCAATTCTGAGGATGTCCCCAGGCTAAGAACCTCTGGAAAAGTGTTTTCATTTTATGCTCTATCACCTAACTCTTAGACCTATATAAAAATATGCCTATAATAATGGTATAATCTATTCACAGTTATGATAACAATTGTTTACCCCCTTCCTCATTTTATAGATAACGATGCAGTGGGTCAGAGAGGTCCAGTTAGTTGCTTGCGGCTATTGAGTAGCAAGCTGGGATCAGAGCCAGGTTTGCTTGACTCTTGAGGACTAAAGAATTGGGGGAGGAAGTGATGGCAAGAAGAGGAAAGGGGATGAGTGGAGAGACAGATGCCGTGTGTTTCTCAAACCATCTGATACTCCTCTTGGGCTCCCAGGAGACACTTGCAGCTCAGTGGTGCGGTGGGATGGGTTTGCCAGACGAAGGGTGGGTGGAAGTCACTTCGAAGCCTGGCACTTGGAGCCTCCTGCAGGATCTCTGCCCTCACCTCTTCTGTCTGAGCTTTGGTTGGCTGGAGGCCCTGGGACCCCTAGAGCCTGATGATGGTAGGGGCCTAGCCCCAGTCGTGACTTGGGAGATGGTCTCACTTTGTTAGATTGTGAGAGGGGCAGGAAGTAAACTTTTACTGTGTATGTTAATTTCCAGTTTCTGCTGTACACATTACCACAAACTCGGTGGTCTTAAACATCAAAAATGTATTATCTTATAGTTCTGGAGGTCAGAAGGCCTAAAGTCAAGGTCTCACCAGGACTGTATTCCCTTCTAGAGGCTGGAGGAAGAATCCGTTTCCTTGCCTTTTCCATCTTCTAGAGGCCACCTGCCTTTCCTGGCTCCTTCCTCTGTCTTCAAAGCCGGGAGTGCAGCATCTTCAGATCTCTCTCTGCCCCTGTCTGTGCTCTGTCATCTTATCTCCTTCTTCTTCTGCCTCCTTCTTAGAAAAACCGTTATAAGAGGTCCAGTTAATCTGTCTATCCCAATATCTTTAATCACATCTGCAAAGTCCCTTTTACCATGTAAAGTATTATATAGGTTCTGGAAATTAGGACCTGGTCACCTGCGAGGGGCCATTCTTTACCCAGCATTCAGTGTTAAGCCACTGTGGTTTAGGGATTATTTGTTATAGCAGCACACAGGGTTACCCTTACTGTTGTCCAACCGAGGATGTCGACTACCAAAATTAAACTACTACCTCCAATTGTGCCACACTCAGACCTGAATGGGAATCAAGGAAAGTGGAAATGAATTCCCTTAAAAGGGCAGGTCTTTCTGTTTGAGTGGAGCATGAATGGCTGTTAGGAATTACTCTTGCGAAAATTCTAGTTGCCAGCCACAGAAGCTAATGGTAAAAGGAAGACAGGATGAGAACTGAAGAGAACTGACTTGTCATTCTCACTCAGCTACCAAAAAGGCTTAGAGCAATTTGCTTTCGCTCAGAGAGCCTCACTTACTTCCTCTGTAAAATGAAGGGTTTCACCAAGTTTACAGTGAAAAAACATTCGATGCATATGCTTCGCCTATCATTCTGTGCCTGAAGCAGACATGACTAATCAATCACAATGAAGCATTCCGTCCCACTCAATCCAGCCTCAGCTCCACACACTTGCATTGTGCTGTGACCCAGGCAGCTATTCCCAGTTAAGGGAGTTCCTTCAAGATGAGACCCAGCTAAATCTGAGCCTTAGATGATCGCTAAGCTCTCTTTTAATTTTTGCATTCTATGAAACCATGATTTTGTGAGCAACCTCATCCTAGCAGGGGGAAGGTAAACCAAATTGTGGAATTTCAGAAAGATTTTCCCAACAGTTAGAGCCACTCAGCTTCTAGACCTGTGTAAATAAAGCCCCAGGCAGCTTTAGCTTGGGGGTCAGGCTCTCCTCCTTGTAGCCCAGCTTCTAAATTACATGTTTCAAATTTCCCTTCCTCTGGTTTGGGATGCCATGGTTTGGAATGGGGGAGGGCTATTAACTTTTACAACCATGGAATACAAATAATATTTCTCTTGGAGAATTTTCTCATTCCCCAGGCCATTTCCCCAAGATCCAAGAGTTCAAAGTTATTGCAGGGTGTTGTTGAGTTGTATTACTTAAACCCACAGAGCCCATTTAATATTCACTCAGGCCCCAGTGCTCAAACTTTTATTCTTAGTGATTTCAAGCATGACTTCCCCACCCTGTGGCTGCGTTGCCACTTGGTACACTCCCTTGTTTCTTCTTTGTGATCATCCTAGTTAAATTGGCTTCCGGAACATGTGATGGGCTTTTTCTTCTCTGGAAGGACTGTTGATCTGTGCAAAAGCTGGTCTTGCTTCTCTTTCATACCTCTGTGTGTATAGTTTAAACATTTTTTCTCCTGTGTTTTTCTACATTTGCTGTGATCGTTAGGGTTTTTGACAAAGTTGTGATGTCTGAATGCTCAATTTGTTTGAATGTTAGATTTTTTTAAAAAATAGAATTTGCCTGTCATTGGACCCTCCTTAGGTAATTGGCATCTCTGAAATCTAATTAAATGGAATTATATGATAGTGGTTATTGCAGGCACAGGCTGTAGGGGCAGGCTGGGAGTTGCATGACCCTAGGTAAGGTATTTAATCTTTCTGAGCCTCAATTTTATCTAAAAGCAAGGATAACAAGAATAGCATCTATTTGTGGCAAAATCTGATCATTGTCCCTCACTATGCATCTCCCCTTCTTCCTTAGCAAGAAAAACTCTGATTCTTACTTGGACCTGTGACAAACTGGAATAAAAAATCACATTTTGCAGGCTGGGCATGGTGGCTCACACTTGTAATCCCAGCACTTTGGGAGGCTGAGGTGGGTGGATCACCTGAGATCAGGAGTTCGAGGCCAGCCTGGCCAACATGGCGAAACCCCGTCTCTACTAAAAATACAAAAATTAGCCTGGCATGGTGGCAAGCGCCTATAATCCCAACTACTTGGGAGGCTGAGAAAGGTGAATCGCTTGAACCCAGGAGGTGGATGTTGCAGTGAGCCGAGATCGTGCCACTGCATTCCAGCCTGGGCAACAGAGCAAGACTCTGTCTCCAAAAAAAAAAAAAAAATCACATTTTGCATTTTTTCTTGCACCCAGATCATGTATGTGACTGAGTTCTGTCAAAAGGGGCATAAACATGTGCTCTTATAATTTCTAGAAAGTGTCCTTAAAGGGGAGGGGGGTGATGTCCTTCTTTGTTGCTTCTTCCTTCTTGCTGACTGGAGTTTTGTGTAATGGCTGGATCTCCAGCAGCCATCTTGGACCATGTGGGTGACCCTGAGAACATAGACCACACAGGGTTAAACATGAGGAAAGGGTTGGAGTTTCCCAATCCCAGCCTTGCATTGCTTACCTCTGAACTTCTAAATTTTCTTTAAACCACAGATAGTTTGGGTTTTCTGTGACTCTTATTGGACTTGATGCTAACTGATATACGCTTACCTCAAAAAGTTGTGACGATTGAATGGGTCAACAATGGATTAACAGCTTTGAAATACTTAGCACATGGTCTGGAATTGAGTTGGTCCTCAATACATGGTAGTTTTTATTTTTATTATTCTTTTAAACAAAAAAATAGCATCACATTTGAGTTGTTTTATTTCTTACAGGAGAAATCCGAGCTGAGCTCGTGTGTAACAGGAGCCTGTGATGCTCCGAATGTCTGCCGTGGCCATAGGCCCATTTGGACCTAGATCCTATATTCTCTACTCCATGATCCTTCTGGGGTTCGCAGATAAAATACAGAATGCCCAGTTAGATTTGAACTTCACGTCAACAACAAATAATATTTGAGTATTAATATTCCCAAATATGGCATGGGGCATATTTACACTAAGATATTATTTGTTGTTGGTCTGCAATTAACATTTGTTGGCCATCCTATATTTTTATTAATGAAATCTGGCAACTCTAGGCCTATGCCTCTCTCACAGCTACCTGGCCTAGGGATTGTTATAGATGGGTTTCTAAGGAAGCAGATTAGGAGGTGAAATTGGTGTGAAGGAAGGTCACTGGGGAGTGTTTCCAGGATGAACGTGTGCAGGGAGGGAGAAGCTGGGCTTTAGAGATGTCACAGCCAAGACCTCAGCTAACTCACGGAAGTCTGGAGTCAAGATGGCCCTTCAGGAAGGTCATGAATAGGGGAAAATGGGGCCTGGACTTTTCTGCTTTTTCCTTGACCATTCATTGCACATGGGCCACCCCAGGAAGGGGCCTGACTTTGAGGCAGGTGGCTGTCAGAACCTGAAGACAATTCCTGGAGAAGGATTCTGCTAGAATGATCAGCCATCAACACCCCCAGCAGCCTGGGGAATGTGCCTCAGATCTGAGGGAGGATCTGGGTGGCACATTATGGCACCCACGGCAGGGTTAGATGCTTACCTCCAGAGAAGCCATCTATGGCTTGGCCAGGACAGCAATGCCACCAGGGACATGCAGTGCTGGTGGTGATGGCCAAGCAGTTAGGCCGACTCCCTTAGGGAGCCCACAAAGGAGCACTTAAGAGGGGGTCTGGGGCTGACTCACAATGGTGAGTGTCCAGTGAGTGGGGAGAGGACATGCCCGGCTCCAGCAGGAAAGTGCCGCCAGTTCTGTGGAGTCCCAGGATCTCCAGGGAGCCCCCTTTTAGGATGCTGGCCTTTTAAGCTGTTTTCTGTCTTCCTTGCTTCCCAGGGTTTTCCTGAAACAAACTCTCATCATCTGAGAGAACCTGCATGCACCTCTGCTCCCTGCACCCCAGAGGGAACCAGCAGTGTGCCCTGGGAAAAGCTGGGGCCCCACAGGTCCCAGTCTCTGAACAGGGTCTCGTATAAAGAAGCACCGTCCAGCAACTATTGCAGCATTCACTGGCATCTCGAAGACAGTATCAACGAGTATCTACATCACAACCCGTAACCTCGCTCCTCAAGTTCCCTGTCCTCCCCTCCCAACCCCTGTACCCACAGCTGATCGTGAGCCTCACACCCACCCACCTCCAGCAGTGCCAGATTCACTCCTTACTTCCCCACTCTCTTCATATGGAGAGTGACAGCTTCCCTAGGTGGGTTAGAGCCGCTTTGGGCCCATCTTTCTGATCTTGTCTCTCTTGTTCCATTCTCCAGTTTTTTGTTCTAAAATATCTGGCAAACACGTCATTTTGAATTAGTTTGGGGAGGTCAGGGTGCAGTTGGGGCAGGAACATTTCCACATTAACAATTCTTGCTCTCACCATGATACTGATTTTTTTTCTGGAGACAGAGTCTCGCTCTGTTGCCCAGGCTGGAGTGCAGTGGGGCGATCTTGGCTCACTACAACGTCTGCCTCCTGGTTTCACACAGTTCTCATGCCTCAGCCTCCCGAGTAGCTGGGACTACAGGTGCATGCCACCATACCCAACTCATTTTTCATATTTTAGTGAAAACAAGGTTTCACCATGTTGGCCAGGCTGGTCTTGAACTCCCAAGCTCTGGCAGTCTGACTGCCTCGGCCTCCCAAGGTGCTAGGATTACAGCTGTAAGCCACTGCACCCGGCCAGATACTGATTTTTTTTAACCCTACTATTTACTGGGCACATACTACACATCAGGCGGTGACCTCAGTATTTTCCATTGAAAAGATCGTTTAATCCTCAAAATGATTTCATAAAACTGATTAAAATCCCTAATTTATAAGTAATAACTGAGAGAGATCAAGTACTCCAAGAAAGAAGGAAAAAGGGAGAGAGAGAAGATCCTTGTGATGATGAAATCCCTTAGACTTTGCCATCTCATCTTTCTCCTGCCTCCACACAAGGTCGTAGAAGAAAACAACATGGACCACTTGCCAGCGTCTCTTTGAACAGAGAAGCTACTGCTGTCTAAGGTAGGTTTTATTAGAGCCCCAGGAAATGAGAAATTATTATTTCAGAAGCATCATTTTTCCTGCTGGGTGGATGTACAGAATAGTTGGGGGAGATGTATTTTAGCCGTTGGTCCTGGTCACTGTTTTTTTCCCTGTTAATCCCAAGACTTTTTTCTTTTTCTTGTTCTTTTTTTTTTTGAGACGGAGTCTCACTCTGTCACCTAGGTTGGAGTGCAGTGGCATGATCTCTGCTCACTGTAACCTCTGCCTCCCGGGTTCAAGAGATTCTCCTGCCTCAGCCTCTGGAGTAGCTGGGACTACAGGCACATGCCGCCACGCCTGGCTAATTTTTTGTATTTTTAGTAGAGACAGGGTTTCACTGTGATAGCCAGGATGGTCTCGATCTCCTGACCTTGTGATCCGCCCACCTCGGCCTCCCAAAGTGCCGGGATTACAGGTGTGAGCCACCGCGCCCGGCCCTGAGACATTCTTTAAAAGTTAGAATTACAGGCACCTTTGCTGGAAAGCAGGATTCCTGGGCAGGTGACAGGCACCAGAGCAACCTCTGAATCTCGGAAAAGGCAGCTGTGTTCTTATGAATGTTTCCAGTGCTGCGCCAAGGCAGCCTCCAGGGGTGGTGGAGCTGCTGGTTTCTTACTCTGAGGCAGGTGGGGCCCTGCTCTGTGAGGCGGGCAGTGCTGCGGGTGTAGTGGGGTGAGCGGTGCTTAGGTGGGGTGGGGTGGGGTGGGTGGTGCTTAGGTGGGGGTGGGCGGTGCTTAGGTGGGGTGGGGTGGGCGGTGCTTTGATGGGGCGGGGGTGGGCGGTGCTTAGGTGGGGTGGGCGGTGCTGCAGGTGTAGTGGGGTGGGCGGTGCTTAGGTGGGGTGGGCGGTGATTTGATGGGGTTGGGTGGGCAGTGCTTAGGTGGGGGTGGGCAGTGCTTTGGTGGGGTGGGGTGGGAGGTGCTGCAGGTGTAGGGTGGGTGGTGCTCAGGTGGGGTGGGCAGTGCTTAGGTGGGCTGGGGTGGGCGATGCTGCAGGTGTGGGAGAGTGGGCGGTGCTTAGGTGGGGGTGGGCGGTGCTTTGATGGGGTGGGGTGGGCGGTGCTTTAATGGGGTGGGGTGGGCAGTGCTTAGGTGGGGTGGGTGGGCGTTGCTTTGATGGGGCGGGGGTGGGCAGCGCTTTGGTGGGGTGGGGTGGGCGGTGCTGCAGGTGCGGGAGAGTGGGCGGTGCTTAGGTGGGGGTGGGCGGTGCTTTGATGGGGTGGGGGTGGGCGGTGCTTTGATGGGGTGGGGTGGGCAGTGCTTAGGTGGGGTGGGTGGGCGGTGCTTTGATGGGGTGGGTGGGCGGTGTTTTGATGGGGTGGGTTGGGCAGTGCTGCAGGTGTGGGAGAGTGGGTGGGGCTTAGATGCGGGTGGGGCGGGCAGGGCTTAGGTAGCGGGTGGGCAGTGCAACAGGTGAGGTGGCCGCCTGCTGTTCAGTCTCCTGGCCTCCATGTGCCCTCCTCTGGTCAGTGCATCTTGCCTTCCTTCTGCAGAGCCACCATCCCCAATCCCAGGCACAGGGCTTGAGGGAAACTTATTTTCTGCCCCCACCTTCCTTAAAGGTGGAACTCATGACTGAGACCTGAGCCTATCAGCCGGTCACGTGATCCTGGCCCAGGGCTATTGGCTGTGGGAAGTGGATGCTGCCCGCCCTGTTGTCCTGTGGGAGCTTGAGGGGATGTACATCTGGCATTGCTGGCAGGCATTTTGTTCCCATGAGGGAAGAGTCTGGGAGAGAAGCAACCTGGTGGAGAGTGGGCCTAAGACACGGAGAGAGGATGTTGATGCCGTGAGTTCCCAATCCCGCCGCGCCCGTCAGACTTACCCTCAGCTTTCCAGTCTCAGGAGCCAACACTCTTTCCTTCAGCCAGATCAAGGTCCTTGTCACTTACAGCCAACACCACAACTGATACAAAAGGGAAGGACACAAAACAATTGTGGAGAAAGCCGTCTGGATGGAGCCAGCAGCTTCGCTACCATCGAGTGGCATTTCCAGAGAGCAGATGCACGCGGAGGGGTGTAGTTTGAAGGAAGACCTGGCGGGATTTGCTAATGAATTGGATAGCAGCGTAGTGAAAGAGACCCTCAGGAATGACTTCCGGTTTTTAGGCTAAGGAATTGCAAGAATGGAACCATGAACGGAGATGTTGGTTTAGACCAGTCGCCCTCTGGACCAAGCTGCTGTGAGCATGGATTTAACAAAATGTCAGCCCCACTGGGTATGATTTTCAAGTATGAATTCAAAACCTATGGTGAGTTTCTACCAGTTTAATCAAAAGTCCTTTTATTTTGTTCTGGGTAAACACAGCTACGTCTGGGGTTTGCATGCAAAGCAGTGGCTTTGACTTTCTTTTCGTTTTTTTGTAAAGCAGTATTCATCCAGTTATGAGAAAACCACTTTTGCTTATTGACCTTCTAAAATGTCGGCATTGTAAATCAAATCACTTGCAAAAAATCCTCCAAAACATAATTTTTCAAAGCTTTCATCCCTAAAGAAGTCAATGTATAAGGAATAAGTGGTGAACGAGCCAGGGTCCTCTTCTCCTCTCTAGAGGAGGTAAAACGTCCTGGGCTGGGAGAGAGAGGAAGAGAAGCCAGAGGTTGGATGGTGGGCAGCTTTTGAGAAGGGGTTTCATGTTCTGCCCTTCCTGGGTCAGTTTCATGGAAGGTCCCCAATGCACGAACAAATCAGAGAGGCCTGGAGCGGTAGGAGCTCAAGGGCAGAGCCATGAGCTGCGTTCCGGCGACAGAGGAGACATGGCTGGTTCGCGTCGTGTCTGCATCTGAGCAGAGAGCTTGCCTCTGCTTTGTGAGTTTCTCCAGCCCTGAGTGGGGAGTGGAGCAGCCTCTTCCCCTACCCCACCCCTGTGTCCAGGGATGCTCAGAAGTCCCCGAAGTAAAGGCAGACTTGGAGACACCTGGAGCCTGGGAATGCGGGAGGGGATGGACTGGATGATGTCTTTGTGAATCTCTCAAGGATGGGCAGGATGTGGTCCATCTCAGTGGATAGTGGCCTGCAGCGCAGGTGACTGGCAGACAGGTGTGTCCCCAGTCTCCACTGCTGCAGCCGGCAAGGCCCTCTGGAAACCTTGCTGCAACCTCTGATGGGAACAGCCCCGGTGGATGGGAAGCTGCTGTCTGGATGAAGAGTGATTCAAGGAAGCTATGGATGGAGTTAGGGAAATACAGCATTGCATTTCATTCTGGGTCTGATGCGTGTGCCTGACTCAGGGTGGGGCTTCTCTGGGACTGTTAAGAAGTGTGTATGAGTTCTCTATGAGAATTTAAATGTGCATATATTTGGGTCCCTCCAAAATTCCTAGGTTGAAGTCCTCACCCCTACTGTGATGGAATCAGGAAGAGAAGCCTTTGGGAGGTGATTAGGTCATGGAGGGTGGGGCTCTCATAGATGGGATGAGTGCCGTTATATAAAGCCAGAGCAAAGAGAGCTCCCTTGTTCCTGCGTCTGTGGGAGGACGGCGCCACCCAAGAACCAGGAGGGACACACTCAGCAGACACCCAATCTGCTGGTGCCTTAATCCTGGACTTCCCAACCTCCGGAATGATGAGCAATAAAGTTCTGTTGTTTGTAAGCCATCCAGTCTGTGGTGTTCGGTTATAGCATCCTGAACAGACTAAGACAATGTTTTGTAAGAGCCCATTTGGGTTTCCTGGGTGGCCCACAGGAGCTATGCAGGGGTTCTGGGGTCTGTGCCTTTGGGACTAGATGACGCAGCTGTCAGAGCCTGTGGCTTGGCTTGGTCAGCGCCTGCCCTTCCCTCCAGTCTCCTCCATCTTGGCTCCCACCCCTCCTGCCCCCACTGCTCCCCCAGCTCCAGATTCTTCACCTTATGATGTTCCATAAAGGAATGCAGCTCTCCCCAGCTCAAGTCCCACAGCCTCTCACCTGAACTCCTGAAGGTGCTCAGCAGAACCCAGAGCCCTCCATCTGGCAGGATGAGTCCTCACTCTAGGAACCATGGGAACCACAGACTCCACCTGAGGCAGCAGCTGCTGCGCACAGAGCAGGTGCTCCACAGACCTGGCCTCTCCCAGCTGGCTGGTCCTCGTGCTTTCTTTCTAGTTCCCCTGTCTTCCCTTCCCTCAACTCTGGGGCAGGGCTGGGGGAGGGGGCAGTGCCTGTGTGATGGAGCCCAGCTGGCCCGGAGGCACCTCCTGGCCGGTACCACTGTCCTAACCCCTGACCCCTGACCTCCTGCACCTGGCTCCTCAGGCCCCTCCTCCCCCTGGCTGGATCACTTTTACCTTCAGGGCAGAAGGTGGCAGTCCTGATCACAGGTCCAGGGTGTTTAGGGAAGCAAAGCTAAGACCTTCTGAGAGAGAGTGCTGTTTACACAGCAGGGATGGGCAGAGAGCCGAGCAGGACCAGGACAAATGGCCCCAGAAACCCAGGAGACTGCGAATCGCACCTTGAGGCCTGCCAGTGACTGCTTTTTCCCTTGGAGGGTGGTGTGGTTCTTTCTCATGTAGGATGAAAACCCCTCTTTCCCAGAGCCCCTGGGTCAGGCTGTCATACCTGCTGGGAGAGATTCATGGATTGCAGTGAAGGGATCAGAAACCCCAGAAGCTCCAGGCCAGGAGCAAGCAACTGAGTCAGATGCTAACTCAGTTTGCAGCCAGGCTGATCCTTGCCTTTCAGTGGGTCCTGTGGAGCCACACGTCACCACCATCACCACCACCACCAGTGCCACCACTACCACCATCAACAGCAACCACATAAACATCACCAGGACCACCACCCACAATACAAACAACACTACCACAAACACTAACATCACAAATACCACCACCACCATCAACACCACCAATACTGCCAGGGCCACCCCCATCAACACCACCAATACTGCCAGGGCCACCCCTAGCAATACAAACAACAATACCACAGACGCTAACATCACAAATACCACTACCGACACCAACACTGCTGGTACTGCAAGGGCCACCAGCATCAACACCACCAGTACTGCCAGGGCCACCACCAACACCAACACCAGTACTGCCAGGGCCACCAGCAGCAATACAAACAACAATACCACAAACAGTAACATCACAAGTACCACCACCACCACCAACACCGCCGGTACTGCCAGGGCCACCACCACCAAAAACACCACCATCATGTGTAACTAAAATAAGATTCTATGCCTCCCACTGACTGAATGGATCCTCCTCTTGGCCGAGGACTTTCCAAAGTCAACCCAAAAAATTAGTTTAGGCCATGATGGGCAGGGGGGTCAGACATGCCTCATGAAACCCTTTGGAGTGCAGGCACAGCTGACCAGCATTGACATTAAACCAGAGAGACCTTGAGACTGACAAAACAGGCTCTTTGTAGCGATAAGATACCAAATTCCAACCTGACTCTAGCATAGCATCACATGACAGATAGCAGGCCCTGAAAGAAATCAAAGTATTTTCCCCCAAAATAGATTTCTTTGACATATTTTGAAGTGGCCCTGAAAAGCTGTCTCTTGTGGAGAAGACATAAGAGATGGAGATGGAGATGGAGATGGAGATGGAGACAGTCTACATTCTGCAGAGAATCTTCTTCCCTTTCTAGGTCTTTTCACTGATTCCAGAGAGAATTGACTAGAGGTCTGGCACCTTTTTAGATCTGATAGGGGACATTTACCAACTACTCTCTCTGAAGCCTGCTACCTGGAGCTTCATCTGCAGAGTAAGAGCCTTGGTCCCCACAACCCCTTATCTTAACCCAGACACTCCTTTCTGTTGATTCCAGGTCTCTAGATAGTAACTGAAATCTTTCAACCAATTGCCAATCAGAAAATCTTTGAATGCACCTATGTCCTGGAAGCCTCCCTACCACTTCGAGTTGTCCCACCTTTCCAGACCAATCCAATGTACGCCTTACATGTATTGATAGATGTCTGCCTGTACCTTCTGTCCCCCTCAAATGTACAAAATCAAGCTGTAACCCAACCACCTTGGGCACATGTTCTCAGGACCTCCTGGGGCTGTGTCACAGGCCTTGGTCACTCATACTTGGCTCAGAATAAATCTCCTTAAATATTTTTCAGACTTTGACTTTTTTCATCGACAGTCATCACACTAACCATCACCACCACCACCACCAGTACCAACGGCCATCAGAGCAACAATGCAGCTACAGTGGATAGAGCCTCTACTGCATCCTGGATACAAAGGACTTTTCATGTCTAAATTCCTTTGATTGTCTTTATTTTAAAGACGAGGAAACAGCAGAGGAGATCAGGAACTTGCCCAAGATCATTTAGCAGTGCTAGTGCAGCCGGCGTTCAAGCCCCGGGTTGTCTCTTTAGGAAGGAAAGAGACCTTCACTGCAGAAACCTTGGCCGGCCGTCTTCCTCTTTCGAGGACCATTTACAGGCCACTGAGAGGAGACAAGCTGGCTGAGGAAATGGGCCCAGCTCCCTCTTAACCCCTCACGTGGGCTGCATTCATGGAGGTATGGTGTGGGGAACAAGGGAGGACATGGTGCTGCTGGAGTCCTCATGGCTCATACCACACCTGGAACATGGTGGCCATGCCTTGGCACCAAGGCTTATGGCACCAGTGGGCCAAAGTGGACCCAGAAATGGGCATGACAGTTTTCCTTGGCCTAGTCCCCTGGCTCAGTGAATGATTCCTCAGGCATCCTCGAGGACCACAGAGTTATCCTTGCCTCCTTTCCCTCACCCCTCACAGTGAAGCAATGGCTCCTGGACCCTTGCATCTCAGATATGCCCAAGCTGTAGCCATCCACCTCCAAGCCAGCGCAGCCAGCCTGGTTCTGGTCCCAATCGTCTCTCTCCTGATTACTCCACAGTCTCCTCTCTGGCCTCTTTCTTTCTGGATTTTCCAGATGGGCTTTCTAAAATGGAAATGTGCCCCCATCATGCCCCTGCACAAACCCTCTGGTGGCCCTGAGATAACATTCATCGCATGGCCTGAGGTTGCTGGAGGTCTGGCCATCCGTCTGCCCCTGCAGCCTGGGCCTGCCCCTCCCCGCATCCCCTGCTCCCTGCTGCTTGAACATCCCTGAAGATGTCATGCTGTTTTGCTTCCAGGAATTTCCACACACTATCTCTCTGTAAGGAGCATGGACCAGACTAAATAATAATTGATTGGGCATTTACTATGTACCAAGTGTGATTTTTAAAATTTTACATTTATTATCATCATGAAAATCCCAAATGTCTCCCATTCCTGTGGTATATTTGAGGAAATTGAGGATCAGAGTGGCTCCTGTCGGGGGGAGCTGGATGGGTGCCCAGGCAGCTTCTGATGTGTGCTCCTGACACTGCACCACCCCTGCCTTACAGCACAACTGTGACTCTAAACCTGCAGCTCCAGCTCCGAATGAGGGGCCGAGTGAATTGCGTCCTTGCAAGGGCACGGGAGCAGTGTGAGGGCTCAGAGCTTGGTTGGGTCTGGGTTTCAGTCCTGACTGTGTTGCTTCCTAACTGGAGGACCTGGAGCAAGTGACCTAGCCTCTCTTGGCCTCAGTTTCCCCTTCAGTAAGATGGGGCATAAAAACAATACCTTGCTGGATGTGGAGAAACTGGAACCCTTTTGCACTGATGGTGGGCATGGCACAGCTGCTGTGCAAAACGGTATAGCAGCTCCTCAAAGAACTGAAAATAGAGTCATCACTTGATCCAGCAATTCCAGCAATTCTTGATACAAACCCAAAGGAATTGAAAGCAGGGTCTAGAAGAGACACCTATGTTCATAGCAGCGCTATTCACAACAGCAGAAATGTGGGAGCAACCCAGGTGCCCATCAATAGATGAATGGATATGCAAAACGTGGTGCATCCACACAATGGAATATTATACAGCCTTAAAAAGGAAGGGAATTCTGACACAGGCTCCCGCATGGATGAACCTTGAGGACATTACTCTAAGTGACATAAGCCAGTCACAAAGTACAAATACTGTATGATTCCACATATAGGAGCTCTCTAGAGCAGTCCATTTCATAGAGACAGAAAGCAGAAGGGTGGTCACTAGGTGTGGGGGAGCAGGGAAGTGGGGAGTTAGTGTTTAACAGGGACAGAGTTTCAGTTTGGGAAAATGAAAGGGTTCTGGAGATGGTGATGGTTGTATAATATTATGAAGGTACTTAATGCCACTGAACTGTACACTTAAAAACGGTTAAGATGGTGAATATTAGGTGTATTTTACCACAGGAAAATTGAGAAGCAAAGCAAAACAAAACAGTGCCTCACTGCCATGGTTGAGTCGGAGGGAAAGAGTGCGAATGCAGCCGGAAGACTTAGCACAGCGCCCCGCACACGCCGAACCGGAAGACAGCACAGCGCCCCGCACACGCCCAGCCGGAAGACTTAGCATAACGCCCCGCACACGCCGAACCGGAAGACAGCACAGCGCCCCGCACACGCCCAGCCGGAAGACTTAGCACAGCACCCCGCACACGCCCAGCCGGAAGACTTAGCACAGCGCCCCGCACACGCCGAACCGGAAGACAGCACAGCGCCCCGCACACGCCCAGCCGGAAGACTTAGCACAGCGCCCCGCACACGCCCAGCCGGAAGACTTAGCACAGCGCCCCGCACACGCCCAGCCGGAAGACTTAGCACAGCGCCCCGCACACGCCGAACCAGAAGACAGCACAGCGCCCTGCACAAGCGGATCTGGAAGACAGCGCAGCACCCCGCACACGCCGTTTGGGAAGACTTAGCTCAGCACCCCGCACACGCTGAGCCAAGCCCCGCCGAGCCAGCTGAGGCTGCTGCTGCTGCTGCTGTTTGCGCTGTCGCTATTATGCGTGCATAGCGAAGCCTGCTCAGACAGCCTCACGGAACAGTGGTCAGCTGGAGACTGCCTTCCTGTGGGGGGCTTGTCAGTCCCATCAACTGGAACTGTCATCTTCTGGAGGATTTTTCTAGACTGGGAGCATGGGCTGTTTGCAGGAGCAGCAGCGACCCCAGCCCTCAGAGTCTGTGCTCCGTTTGTAGCCTAAGTGCTCAGAGCCTGGCGACACAACTACGAACATGGAGAGCTTGGGGCTGGGGTCAAGGCCGGGGGTGACTCCTGGCTGGGCCCCATCTCCTAATCTCCTGTGAAATGGGGGAGGGTTGCGGTGATGATGCAGACGATGGGTCCAGCCCAGGGCCTGGCCCTTGGTGGGCGATTGGGGGTGCTGTTTGCATGAGACTAAGCGCCACCCCCCAGGCCTCTCTCCTTCTTGATACGGGGGGATGAGTCCTTTTTTCCAGGGTGTGTCTACAGAGTGTCTCAGTACCAGAACTGGAACTAGAACACAAGCTTTCTCATTGCTGGGCTGGGCGTGGTTCCTCTGCGCTGGGCCTTCCAAATTAGTGAGGTGTGCTCCAAGCCTGCAATAACAATTAGAGCTAATATTTATTGAGCTTTCCTCGTGGCTCTTCTTTCGTCCATACAGTGAGCCTGGGCGGTGGATGCTCTTAACCCCACCTTGAGGATGGCTAATATGCATTCAGAGAGGGTGAGCCTCGTGTTCAGATCACAAGCTGGTGAGCGGCAGGGCAGGACTTTGAACTCAGGCAGTCTGATGCTAGGTCCACCCTGGTAACGGCCTCATTACATTGTGCAAGCAAAGAGGCTGGGACCCTCCAGGCCTTCTGGAGGTCTGGCTGGCCCTGCGGGGACTTCCCAGCAGCTGGGTTTGCTCCAGCTCTCAGTGTTTCCTCCTCTTGCCTCAGTTCGTTTCCCAAACTGCAGCCCCGCAGCTGCCACTGCTGGCTCTGTGGGGACTGGGAGGGGGCACTGAGATCACAGGGAAGGGCTGGCCCCGTGGCTGGAGGCCTCACCCCAAAGCAGCTCTGGGGACTGTGCCGGGCCTTTGTGAGCCGTACGTACTCATTAAGCCGGGTTGAATCGAAGGTCAGATTTTACTGCAGATCTGGAAAGATCCTTGCTGGTCAGGCCAACCCAGAAACCAGCACTACAAAAGGGCTACAGGGGCTTTCCTGGCCATTTCCGTGGAAGCTTTTATGACTTGGTGGTTGAAAAATCAAGAGCTGAGCTGAGAAGTCCTGTGGCCCCCTTGAGGTCCAGCGTGCTGGCATCAGGCGCCAGGAACCTTCAGTGCTGGGGATGGCCTGCCGGGGGCCTCGTGGGTCTTTTCTCAGCTCCACGGTGGCAGATTTACCCAGCAAAGGTGTCCTAGGCTGAAATCAGAGCAGGATGAAGAAGGAGGCAGAGGCAGGGAGGTGTCAGAGGAAGAATTTCCCAATGGTCAGATGTGGAATGTGAGTGGTGCAGGTGCAGAGAGAGAGAGAAAAAAAAAAATACCTGGGCAGCTTTCTGCTGTCATCTTCCTAGTGGTAGAGTTTTTAAACAGCCACGTGCCCCACCACTCCCTCTGACCTTACTGTTGGTAGTGTGACTATGCTGTTGCACTCATCGACAGGTGGGGTCCATCCTGCCCTCCTGGGACCTGGGCTGGCCTTGTGACTTGCTTTGGACAATGTCATGTGGTGGAAGAGAGGCTGTCCCAGTTGCAACCCTGGGCCAGGAGATGCCGTACACATTTCTGCTGTTATCTCTTGGGCTCCACCTCTGCTGGGTAAGCAAAACCCAGCTAGCCTGCTGGAAGATGAGAGGCACAGGGCCCAGCCAATGGGCTGACAGCCAGCCACCACTATGCATATAAGCCATGCCGTTTTAGACTTGCCAACCCCAACTGATCCTCCAGCTGACTGCAGACACAAGTTCAAGCCCAGCCTTGATCAGTGCCAACCAGCCTTGATCAGCAGAACCTTCCAGTTGACCTATACACTCGTGAGAAATGCCATGGTGGCTGGGGGGTGGCTTGTTACTCAGCTAGGGATAACAGATACGCAACTCACTGCTTCCCTTTGTCAACACCCCCATTCTGGGTGCTCCCTCTTCCTAGCCGATCTCCACTGCTGTCACATGTTTAATTGTTGTTTTGCACATTAGCGTGTACACTCCATGAGGACGAGGACGCGGGCTGGCTCTGCCCCATTCACTAGTACCGCCACATGGCTGGGACATAGTAGGCCTTTAATAAGTATTGGCTGAGTAGATTGATGAATAAATTAGTACTCATTTGTGAAGTTTTTTGTTTGTTTCTTCTCATTTCTTTCACAGATCTGGACGTATTTATTTGGTTTGATGTTTCTGTCCTGCACTGGGCTGTAAGCTCCCTGAGTGTGACCCTGTCTTCATCTCCATGGCAGCCCCAGTGCAGTGTCAAGCACATAGTAGGTGCTTCATAAATAGTTGCTGAATGAAAGAATGAATTTGTGTGTGTGCCATGCACTGCTGGCAATCTAGAGGAGGTGAGAAGCCTCCGTGTTTGTGTTTGTGTTTGTGTGTGCTTGTGTGAATGTGGAGAATTTCTACTCCATCCTAATCCACCGTAAGGCCGTTCTACAAGACAAAGTAAATTTTCACTGGTCCAGTCTGGGTGGAGGACCAGGCAGCAGGGGAATGAGTGGAATGACTTTTGTGGTCAACAGAATAACGGCTCCAGAGACGTCCACGTCGCAGGACCTGCGCATGTGTCCTCTTACACAGCAGAAGGGGCTTTGCCGATGGGATCGAGTTAGATCGCTCTTGACGTGACGAGGTTATCCCAGATGACCTGGCAGGGCCCAGTGTAATCACAAGAGTCCTTATAAGCAGGGAACAGAGGTGTGAGAAAGACTGCAAGATGCTGTGCTACTAACTTTGAAGGTGGAGGAAGGGGCCGTGGGCTGAGGAGTGCAGGGGCCTCTAGAAGCTGGAAAAGACAGGGAAACGGATTCCCCTCAGAGCCTCCAGAAGGCACACAGCCACGCTGGCACCATGCTAGTCACCCAGTGAGACCCATTTTGGGGTTTGGATTGTCAAAGAATAGACGTGTGTTGCTTTAAGCCACTTAGTTTGTAGTAATTTATTACAGCAGGCAGAGGAAACACACACAACCCTTGAACCATCTTCTTTAGCGAAAATTACTAGGAGTTTCTCAGTTTCTTCTGAGGGCTGGTGTGACCTCAGGGGCCAGCAAGAAGAGCCTCATCCCTCAGCCACCTTTGAGGAAGTAAACATGGACTTCCTCCCTGAGCTGTGGGGGAAATACGGGAAGATCGTCTTTCAGATCAGAACATGGAGGAAGAGAGAGGAAGTGAACTGATCCCGGGTGTGCAGTGACAGTGCAGGCAATGCCTGGCTGGTTTTGGAGCTGGGGGACCCCTAAGACCCAAGAGGGATTCTCTGGACCCACCAGAGAAACAATGAATGGAGGTAAATCTCCTTGGTCTCAGTTGGACCAGGTGTAATTCAGACTCTGTAATGGATTTTTTAAAATGTTTCCCTGCCCAGCATCTATTCCCTTATTCTGGAAATGATTCCAGGTTTTTTTTTCTGGAAAACTGCTCTTCCTCCAGTTTCATGATGTGGCTCTTATCACCCACACCCTCATAGCCAGATGTGGTTCTGTGACACCGGCTTAGCTAACCAGGGGACGCTGCTTCTTTGGCCACAGTGATTGGTCCAGGATGAGCATGTGACCCATGTTTGTCCAATCAGAGCCAATGTGGACCTTTTGCCTGAACTCTGGGGCGAAGGGAGTTGCTGTTGTTGCCGGGGGCTCAGGGAAGACACGATGAAAGCCTGGCTTGCTGGAAACGATCCGCCATCCCATAGGGATAGCTTGCGTGAGAATGGAGCCAATACACAGGAAAGCAGAGCCCAGAGTGGAGGAAAAACAACAGAGAGAGAGGGAGAGGGACAGACTGACCGATAGACAGATAGAGGCAGAGACAGAGACTGACTCTTTGTCAGAGCACCTGGATCGAGCCATACCTGAATCAGAACACTCCCCAAAAACTCCTTGGTTAGCCAGAAAAATCCTCCCTTGTCCTTCCCTAAGCCAGCATGGGTGGGATTTTCCATCACTTGCAACCAAGAAAGTCCTGACCGATACAGAACCGTAAGAGCAGAGCCATTAGGATGCTTTCACCCCTTTAGGTGGGAGCCCCTCTTTCATTTTGTAGTTGGAGAAACTAGAACCCAGAAAGGCCATGGTACTTGTCTGAGGTCACACAGCAAGTCACTCCATAGTCGGGACTGGACCTGAGGGTGGAGTTCCAGTTTAGGACTCCTTCTCCCACCCCGTGGTCAGGAAGGTCAATCTGCCCCATTTCCCACCCCCACTCCCCAAGCATCCTCTACATAAATGTCCCTGAACCTGAGAAGCAACAGGAGACGGAGGTTAAGGTTTCCAGGTTTTAGGCTGGCTTCCCACGAGGCTGCACAGAGATCTCGACCCAGGCCTTTGGCATCCTACGTAAGGAATTCTGGATCTGAGAGCCCCTGATTGTGGCAGGGGGCTGCAGATACAAACAACAGACTTGCCATTGCATCCTTGACACATATCTTATTAGTTACAGTATTTATGCTCTCTAACCTCAGTTTCCTCATCTGTAAACTGCTCATAACAATAATATCAGTATCATTCATTCAGTCATTTGACAAACATGTAGTGAGTAACTACTATACGCCAGACACTGTGCCGGGCAGTGGGAAGTCGGGGTGTCCATGAGGACAAAATCCTGCCCTCTCTGTCCTTAACAGTTCAGTAGCTCCTTAGGGTTCCTGTGAGGATTAAATAAGACAGCATGAAATTGAGGGAATTTGATGCGGTGGAACTCTTTGCATCTTGATTGTGGAAGATGATTTTGTGACTGTGGAGGTTTGTCAAAACTCACAGAACTGCACCTTGACTATACATACATTCTACCTCAGTCAATGATGCTCAGTTTCATAAAAAAAATTAAAGAGTGTCTTCTCTTTCCATTAGTGGTTAGGCTTATGTTGCAAGTCAAAGGAGAAAAGCTTCACATACAGTGAAAACTCATTAAGATAAAAAATCCCTTTAGAGAAGAAGAGAGAGCAGGTGTCAAGCGCTTGGCCTGGCTGCAGACCGAGTCAAGTCCTTAGCACCAGCCATTGTCACCAGAGTCCTCTTCCCACTGTTGGTTTTCAGCTGTTTTGAATTAAGTGTGTCGTGACTCCCTTCCCTGAGCTGAGATCACCGAGGAGTGACCGCGGCTCAGAGCCCATGCCTAGGAGCTTCGAAAGGCAGAGCTGACAAGTTGAGTGGCCCTAAAATCATTACCAGGAAGGAGCTCAGCCACGGGGCTGCTTGGAACCCGGCCTGGGGCCTCTTGGCAAGTGCAGGCTGGAGGAGGGGGATCAGGCCAGCCCCACGTCCCCCCTGCTGATCCTCCCACCCTCTCTCCCAGCCTAGTGTCCAGGACTTGTCCCCAAGTGGGAGTCCCAGGAGGGCAGGGACCGTGGCCAGGTGCACCCCGTGTTGTCATAATCTCTCCACTGGCCTGAATGCTCCGAGGAGACCAGGATGAATGTGAATCAAAGTGTGGAGCCTCCACTCCCAAGAGGAGAAGAGAATCGAGAATTAAGCCTGTGAGATGTAGCTGTACACAGAGAAGAGATGAGGGCGGCAGGGAGCCCTCTGAGGAGACGACATTCTTGATTCTTGAGCATGAGTTGGAAGAAATGGAGTCAGCCAGGTGGATATTTGGAGGAGCAGAATCCCGGGTGAAAGGAATGACTGTGCCAAGGTACTGGGGCAAGAACATGCCCAGTGTGTTCCAGGCACGGCTGGGGTGGAGGGAGCGGGTAGGCGAGATGGAGACACAGCAGGAAAGCCAGGTGGTGAGGACCGTGGCCCAAGAATGGGACCTGGAGTTTACTCAGAGAGAGAGACAGAGTAGCAGACCTGTTGGAATGGGAGCAACAAGGCAGGGTCTTCCCCCCAGCAAGCTCTGCTCGGGGACGGAAGGTGCGGGGGGCATGTTGTCAGCGATCATGGACACCAGGCCAGGACTTAGACTTCTGGAAGGACGCGTTCAGCCCTGCCTTGTAGTCACCCACACTTCCGCCTACTGCCAGGGTTTTCTACCTCGGGAATAACACACGGGCTGTATCTTGAGGATTTGTTTTCCTTTTTTCTAACAACACAAAAAGCTAACAAGTGAGAATAGGCCTTTCTGTGTGCCAGGATCTACATACTGGATGCATATATATATATATATATATTTTTTTTTTTATATGGTGCCTCGCTCTGTCACCCAGGCTGGAGGGCAGTGGCGCAATCTCGGTTCACTGCAACCTCCGCCTCGTGGGTTCAAGCGATTCTCCCGTCTCAGCCTCATGAGTAGCTAGGATTACAGGGGCACACCACCACACCCGGCTAATTTGTGCGTGTGTGTGTGTGTGTGTGTGTGTGTGTATTTTAGTAGAGATGGGGTTTCACCATATTGGTCAGGCTGGTCTTGAGCTCCTGACCTCAGGTGATCCAACTGTCTTGGCCTCCCAAATTGCTGGGATTACAGGTGTGAGCCACTGTGCATGGCTATCCATGTATATCTTTGAAGGCATCACCTGCCTTGGAAACATGAGACCGAGGACTTGGTCACAAATCAAGTGGACGTTTTGGAGTGTCAGCACAATCTGTGTCCATATTTGCCAACAAGTTTTTAAAAAATGATGTTTTCTATAATCCTGGATTTGCACGGTGCGATCTTGATGGTGTCACCTTTCTCCCCGTTTCTATCCCAGCAATAATCTTAAATTCTACTCAAAACAAAGAGCTCCCTGTTGGCAGTTAATCCTCAAAGGGAGAGCTTTGTTCGAGACTAAAAAACCTCATTCAACAACGTTGGCAAGAGCTGGCATTCTTTGTGCCCACTCGGCCCAGTGTTTTCAGCTCTGACTAGGAGCCTGCATTTGAGAGCTTAAGTTCATTTTTTTTTCACCCCTTGCAAGTAGACCTCTCTGTCACAAGGCGCATTAGTGGAGCAGGTATTTAAGGGAATAATAGAGGAATTAGAGCAGCCGCCAGGAATAGAGGCAGGGGGCTGGGGGAGGATCTCCAGGTGTGCTGAGCGAGGGGGTTTCTGGAAAATGGGACCCAAGGACAAAGGAGGAGCTGGGTCTTCCAAGAGGTTCTCCCCACGCTCAACAGACACACTTTTGTATTCATTTTCAGTGCTGTGTAACAAATCGCCATAAACTTTGTGACTTAAAACCTCCTTTTGCTACCCATCAGCTCTGGAGGTCAGGGGTTTCACACAGTGCGACTAGGTTCCCTGCCCCAGGTCTCGCCAGGCTGAAGTCAAGGTGTTGGCAGCCTGCGTGCTCCTCTGGGGCTCTGGGTGGTCTTCCAAGCTCATGCGATCGGGCAGAATGCCATCCCTGGGGGGTAGAGCTTGGGTCTTACTGGCCGTCAAGGTCACTCTCAGCTCCTGGTGGCCACCTCATTCCTGGCTCCGTGGCCCCTTCCATTTTTGAAGCCAGCAACCGAGAATCTCCCTCACATCAAATCTCTTTTAGGCTTTGAATCTCCTTTTCCAGAAGGGGCCTCGTCCCATTCCCGGGCTCACCTGGTTGTTAGGTCAGGGTCCCTTCAACTCACACAGTCATGGTGCCACAGCAGAGCTTGCTCCTGGAGCGCTAGCCCATGGCATCCACAGGCCCTTCCACACTGGAGATAGGGGGGATTATGAGGCAAGGGGTGGGCTCTGACAAGGGTCACCCTGGCATTCCACCTGCCACGCCTACCTTCATGGCCATGAGCAGACACTCAGAGCTGCTCACCAATGCCAGGCCTCAGGAGCCCCAGCGATGGCCCCGAAAGCCCCACACTCTCCATCGAAGCCGGGTGGTTAGGGCCTGAGGCCTGGGCCCCAGACTCGGGTATAAATCTTAGCTCTGGGCTCTTAGTCATGTGACTGTATCAGCCAGGATGGGTTAGATTATGCCGAGGTGACAATCGAGCCTAACATCTCTATGGTTTAAAAACTGAGGTGTATCTCACACAAATCACATGACTGAGGTGTACCTCTCACACACATCACATGACTGAGGTGTATCTCACACACATCACATGCCTCTTGCAGGTTGGCAGAGAGACAGTGCTACCATGATCACTCAGAGACCCAGACAGATAGAGCAGCCATCATCTTAAATGTGGCCAGTAGGCAGGCCAGTGGGAAAAGAGAATGTGGCCTCGGCAAATCTCATGGTCACCCCTGACGCTAAGAAGGCCGGGAGGCGCCCTCAAGCAGAGAGAGCTGGAGTGTTTTTGAATCTTCCGTGAACACTCCGTGAAGTAGGTAGGTGATCTTCAGTGAGTTTTTTTTCTAGTCTGAGCCTCAGTTTCCTCATCTGTAAAACAGACACGAGAGTGTGATCTGGCCAGAGCTGGGATGCCGTGTGTTGGATAAGTGTGAGCTGGGTTCTTGCAACGTACAAGGTCATGTGAGCTCATCTACTCCTACAGCAGCAACCCCCACACGACCTTGTGAACATGGTAAGAAGTGCTGAATTATACCTTTTAAAATGGTGAATGGTGTGATATGTGAATTATCTCTCTCTTTCTTTCTTTTTTTTTTTTGAGATGGAGTTTCACTCTTGTTGCCCAGGTTGGAGTGCAATGGTGTGATCTCGGCTCACTGCAACCTCTGCCTCCCAGGTTCAAGTGATTCTCCTGCCTCAACCTCCCGAGTAGCTGGGATTACAGGTGCCCGCCACCACGCCCGACTAATTTTTGTATTTTTAGTAGAGACAGGGTTTCACCATATTGACCAGGCTGGTCTCGAACTCCTAACCTCAGGTAATCCACCTGCCTCTGCCCCCACAAAGTGCTGGGATTACAGGCTTGAGCCACAGTGCCTGGCTGTATCTCAATTTTAGCAAGTCAGCTTGCTTTGTGAAGTTCTCTTATGTCTATTTTGGAGTTGATGAAACCAGAAATCTATTGTTCCTTACATGCCCAGGGTCTGTTTTGCTGCTTTTCTTGTGACAGCACCTAGTTTTTCTCTGAGAAACTGCTTTTCCACCACTTTCTTTGGCCCTGGTGAGCTTCCCACACTTGCCCCGCCCCAGCACATCTGCCTGCTCAGGTCAGGCATGGGCGGTGGCCCCACGCTGGCCCTGATTCTTCTTTCTCTTCATACAATCAGATGGAGAGGCGACGAGATCTTAGGGGTACCCATCGATCAGAATCCTGCCCTGGGACTGCTAGGATGGGAGTGGTGTAAGCCTGGATCCTTCCTGGACTCTACAAGGAGCACATCTGTGGGGAAGATGGTGAGGCTGACACAGAGTGGAAATAGAGAGATGGACAGAGCCTGAAGATGCACTCCACATCATCAGAGGCTGGTCCCATCCTGAATGTCAGGAGTTCTAACTAAGGTTAACAAACTCTGATGCGAGCCTTTATTTTCAGCCATGTCTGGAGCCAAATGCTCCTCCCCAACTTCCCAACCACAGGAGCCAGTGAAGTTCTTCTCCTGCTGAAGCTGCTGTGAGTCAGGTTTCTAGCCCTTGTGATATGGTGTAGGATGTGTCCCCCACAAA
This sequence comes from Homo sapiens, assembly GCF_000001405.40. NCBI lineage: Eukaryota > Metazoa > Chordata > Mammalia > Primates > Hominidae > Homo > Homo sapiens. The sequence continues at coordinate 57,100,619 of NC_000020.11, read as the reverse complement.
TCTCATGTGAAAGGGGAACCCCAGTGTTGGAGGTGGGTCTGGTGGCAGGAGTTTCGGTCGTAGGGGCAGATTCCTCACGAATGGCTCAGTGCCCTCTCATGGTGATGAGTGAGTGCTCACTCTGGGAGTTTCTCCGAGAGCTGGTTGTTTACAAGAGCCTGACACCTCTGTTTCTCTCTCTTGCTTTCTGTCTTGCCATGTGACAGACTGGTTCCCGCTCTCCTTCCACCATGATTGGAAGCTTCCTGAGGCCTCACCAGAAGCAGATGCCGGCACCATGCTTCCTGTACAGCCTGTAAACTTCTTCTTTATAAATGACCCATTCTCGGGTATTCCTTTATAGCAATGCAGATGGACTAACACATCTTGTAATCAGAATGATTCCAGCCGACACAGTGGCCACTGCATCTGTAGAAGTGTTAAGGAACAAGATATAACAGGTGGGCTAGTATGCTGCTTCAAGGAGTGGAAGCCTCCATTTAGAGGAGCTTTACTGCTCACATAACAAGAAGGCTGGAGGGAGGCACGTGCTGTCATTGGTTTAGCAGTTTGCTGATGCCCCTGTGATTCTCTTGGGCCTTTTCTCAAGGCCACCAAATGGCTACTGGAGCACCAGGCATCATGTCAGTGGGCATGAAGAAAGGAAGAAGATGTGATGTCAATGACATCTGTCCCTTTTAGCATGAGATCAAAAGCTTTCCCAGGTCTCCAGCAGACACCCCTTACATCTCACCGGAAATGTATGTGACGTGTGGCTGCAGAGGAGTCTGAGAAAGTGAAGTTTGCTCTTCCAGCCCTTAGAGTGTAGGAAAAGAAGAATGGGGTTTGGGTTGGCTGTAGGCGAGGAAGTGAAGATTCTCAACTCTATGTGTTTATTCTGGTTATCTCATTTGGAACTGTCTGACATGCTGAAAGTTTTTGATTACCCAAAGGGGGAAATGGATTGTAAAATATAGATTGATAAGCCTATCTTCAAGACATGAGATCCAGGAAGAAAGAAAAACAGCACTGAAAGGGGTTTGGTAGTTAAATGCTTGTTTTATTGATGAGAAAACTGAGGCTCAGAGAGGCCAAGTGACCTGCTCCACATCACACCAGCAGTCACAGGTGAGGTGGTGGTGTGGGAAGAATCTTGCTTGGCTGGCCTGTCTGGGGCTCACATCTAAATCCTGGCTGAAGCCTCTGGCAACCATCAGTTGTGTTTGTCTCTGTGGGTTTACCTATTTTGGATATGTCGTATAAATGGAATCACAATATATGTGGCCTTTTGTGACTGGCTTGTTCAACTTAGCATAATGTTTTCTTTTTCTCTTTTTTTTTTTTTTGAGATGGAGTCTCACTCTGTCACCCAGGCTGGAATGCAATGGCACAATCTTGGCTCACTACAACCTCCGCCTCCCAGGTTCAAGCAATTCTCCCATCTCAGCCTCCCGAGTAGCTGGGATTACAGGCACCTGCCATCATGCCCAGCTAATTTTTGTATTTTTGTAGAGACTGGGTTTCACCATGTTGACCAGGCTGGTCTTGAACTCCTGACCTCAGGTGATCTGCCTGCCTTGGCCTCCCAAAGTGCTAGGATTGCAGGCGTGAGCTGCCGCGCCCAGCCAGCATAATGTTTTCAAGGTTCATGCGTGTTGTAGTTGTATTAGCATTTTCTTCCTTTCTGTGGCTGAATAATATTCTGTGGCCTATTCTGGTGTGCTTGGACCACATTTTGTGTACCCATTCATCAGCTGATGGACATTGTGCTGTTTCCACATTTTAGGTACAGTAACCGATGCTGCTCTGAGCAGGAGCATACATGGACTTGTCTGAGAATCAATTTGCAGTTCTTTTGAGTATATATCTTAGAGTGGAATTGCTGGGTCATAGGTTCATTTAACTTTTTGAGGAACTGCCAGGCTGTCTGCCACAGTGGTTGCACCATTTTAATTCCCACCAACAGTATCCGAGGGTTCAAATCTCTCCACGGCTTCACCAGCAGTTGGTATTTTCCATTCCTTTGATTATGGCCATCTTTGGTGGGTGTGAAGAGACATCCCGTTGTGATTCCGATTGGTATTTCCCTAATGACTAACAGTATCTGGCATCTTTTCATGTGTTTGTTGGCCATTTGTTTATCTTCTTTGGAGAAATGCCCATTGAAGTCCTTTGTCCATTTTCTAATTGTCCTGTTTGTCTTTTTGCTGTTGAACTGTGATATATATATATTCTGGATACTAGATCCTTATGCAACAGTTAGCTTCTAATGTTGGCAAACCAATGTTAACATTTAGAACTGATTGGCCGGGCGTGGTGGCTCACTCCTGTAATCCCAGCACTTTGGGAGGTTGAGGCGGGCGGATCATGAAGTCAGGAGATCGAGACCATCCTGGCTAACACGGTGAAACTCCATCTCTACTAAAAATACAAAAAATTAGCTGGGCATGGTGGCGAGCACCTGTAGTCCCAGCTACTCGGGAGGCTGAGGCAGGAGAATGGCGTGAACCCGGGAGCTGGAGCTTGTAGTGAGCCAAGATCATGCCACCGCACTCCAGCCTGGATGACAGAGCGAGACTCCATCTCAAAAAAAAAAAAAAAAAACCATTTAGAACTGATCAGCAAACTTGCATCCTTGCTTTTACAGTTGGGTGTCATCCGGGCGAGATATGAAAACAAAGTTTCCAGTTTTAGAGGTATAACCTGGGCTGGTCGGCTTGGCCATGCCCTGCCGAGTGGGAGGACCTTGTTAGATCGAGTGTGTGGCCCGTGCCTCTTTTTTTTCTTTTTTAAATAAACCTTTAGTTACTAATGTGAATCCCTGTGTTCCCATCATCCAGCTTGCTCGTTTAGCAGGCTGCCCTCTTTGTCTCAGACTTGTTTTTAAAAGGATTAAATCCTTACAGAAACAGCTGAGGCCCCCATACTCCCTCCCTAATCCCATGCCCATGGCCCCTTTAGGAATTATCATTATCTAAAGCTGCTTTCCTGAAGGATTTGAAGCAGCTTATAATAGCAAGCACAAGACTCGAAATTGCCATCTATCCGACATTAATGGGACGGGAGCCGGTGGGAAACTCTTGAGCTCACCTTTCTTCCTTGGGTTCTTGAGATATCACCTGAATTCTGTCACCTATCTAGGTGCCATATCCCCTGTCCTGCTTGACAGAGAGTGGGAGTGCCTAGGACACTCCCTCCATGTGACCAGAGGGAGGACGGGCAGGGCTCAGGGTGGCTGGCTTCCAGGGTGTACAACTCTGGCAGTTGCACAGGGCCATGCTCACAAGTTCTCCAGGCTTGGTTTAAAACTCTCCTGGCACCATCTGGAAATCTTTAATAATTCTTAATAATTATGTAGCCACTCCTGCCCATTTTGGGTTACCAGGTTTAGCAAATAAAAATATGGCACCCCCAATTAAATATGATTTTTAGATAAACAACAAATACTCTTGTAGCATAACTATATCCCATGCAGGTAAAAATACAAGACTTCTAACTAATTTTGATTTTCAGATAAACAATGAATAATTTTTTTAGTATATCTCATGCAATATATGAGACATACTTATACTAACTCATTATTTGTCATTTTTCTGAAATTTAAGTTTAACTGGGCATCCTGTATTTTATCTGGCAGCCTTATGCCCATTACCTCCATGTGTCAGGAATGGACGTTTCCTGTCTTGTTGTAGAGACTTGGTAGAGTAGCTGGTAGGTTCCAAGTTAAGGGAGGAAAAAGAGACCAAGCTTTGTCTCTTTTGTAAAATGGTGCTGAGGTGAAAACACGTGCCTGTATCTTGCACGTGGAAAGGACTGGGTGCCTGCCCTCCCTCCTGTGCAGAGGTTTCTGCTCACAGCCTGGAGGCAGGTGGTGTAGACTTGGGTGATTCAGACCTCCGAGTCTCTGGTCTTTCATATCTGTGGCTTTGGGCCTTAAGGCAGCCCTATTTCTGTTGGAGAAGCAGGGGGTGAAAGAGGTAACAGAGAGGAAGGGGACGAGAATTTGGAACACACATATCTAGAGTGTCTGTGTGCCAGGCTCTGAGTGACGCTCTGGGGTCCCAAGATGAGCAAGGAAAACTGTAAAGTCTGGAGCATTTCCTCCCAAAGTGTGACATGGGCATGGGTCATGGGACCCTGTTAAAAAGGAGGCTAATGCCACGCAGCAGGGCAGTCTATCATTCTAACCCGCTCCTGGGGCTCTGACATGACTGTCCTGGACCATGTTATGAGTGTTGAGGGGCTGGAACATGCAGGGGCTGATGGGGAGTGACAGTGGGCTCTTGAGGGGCAAAAGGAATCTTAGTATTTTTATGTAGGAAGCATAGATATACGTATGGTGGGTAAACAGGTAGGCGGTGTGTGTGTGGCATTAGCACTTTATGGGGAAATGAATAAGAAAAAAATGTCTAAAAAGCTTCCCTGGCCGGGTGCGGTGGCTCACGCTCGTAATCCCAACACTTTGGGAGGCTGAGGCAGGTGGATCACCTGAGGTCAGGAGTTCGAGACCACCCTGGCCAACATGGTGAAACCCGGTCTCAATTAAAAATACAAGAATTAGCTGGGTGTGGTGGTGGGTGCCTGTAATCCCAGCTACTCAGGAGGCTGAGGCAGGAAAATCCCTTGAATCTGGGAGGTGGAGGTTGCAGTGAGCTGAGACCATGCCATTGCACTCTAGCCTGGGTGACAAAAGCAAAACTCCATCTCAAAAAAATAAATAAATAAATAAAGTAAAATAAAAAGCTTCCCGGGGGGAGGGGAGACATTAATTAAAAAAAAGAAAGATTGAGAAACATCAGGTTAGAGGAAGAGATGAGCAATAAACAAGTTGACCAAGTTATATAAATGCATCTGAATCCATCGGTATAATAATCAATGAAATAATTCAACTATGCTAAGGGCAGCAGAAGAATTAAACAGAGTGATCCGACCAAGAGTAATGCAAAGAGAGCTACTTTGGCCAGGGTGGTCAGGGAGAGCTTCCTGGAGGAGGTGACCTTTAAGTAAGTTCTGAAAGATGGAAGCCCATCACACAGAAAGCCAGAGGCATTTCGGGTAAAAGGAACAGCAACCAGAAAGGTTCAGAGGCAGGAAGTAGCTTAGTATGTTCTAGAAAGTGATCAGATGGTCTTTATGTAGATCCCACTCTCTTTACTACAATTTGATGAGAGATTGTTACTCCCATTTTACAGCTGGGGAAACTATGGCTGAGTAACTTGCCCAGTGCCCCTGTATCAGTCAGGGTTCAACCAGAGAAACAGAACCAGTAGGAGGCAGATATTCAGGGATTTATTGCAGGGAGTTGGCTTAGGCGATGGTGGGGCCTGGCCAGGCAAGTTGGGAATCGTGGAGGATAGGCTGGGTCTCTGGGGCACTGCTCAGGCCGCTGTCACAGGCGGAATTTCTTCCATTGCAGGGAGCCTCCGCCAGCTCTAAGGCCTTTCCACCGACTGGATCAGGCTCGCCGGGTCATCCAGGCCAACCTTTACTTAAAGTCAGCTGATGACGGGCTTTAATCACATCTACCAAACGCCATTGTAGCAACACCTAGATGAGTGTTTGGTTGAATAACAGGGGACTGCGACCTCACCAGGTTCATGCGTCAAATTGAGCACCTCAACACCCCATCTAGTAAGTGGTGGAGCTGAGGTTTGAACTGAGCCTGACCTTAAGCCCATTTTGATTACCATGAGCAATTAATTAATTGATGCAGCGACCTCACGAGGCAGGTGTTGTTAGCCCCACCTGCCCAGGCTTACTGAACATTGCTCCTAGCCGGCATTCAAGAGATACTTTCTTAAATGAATGAATGAATTTGTTTAGCCAAGATTCTCAGCCTGCTCTAGCACCTACTTACTTCCCACCTGCCCCATCCTGTCCTCACCCATCAGGAGCTGCCCGGGTGATCTGAGCAGTGGGGACTTTTATTCTGGTGAGGAAACCCAGTGTGGGACGAACTTGCTGTGGAGGGAAATGAGGGGTGCAACCCAGGTCAGGGTTCTGGCCAAGCCTGAGGCGTGCCACTGAGGTCTGTGTGCCCACAGAGGCGGAGGTCCCGGGTCTCTGTCCTGTCTTCTAGACTACTCAAGGGCCTGGCCGGGAGGGCCACCCACCCAAGACAGTCATCCTGGGCTGCAGATGGCCACTCAGCATCTCGCAGCCACAAGCAAAGGACAGGCTCGGTGACCAGGCCCTGGCCTCTCCCATGCCTGACCGCCCACCGGGCTGGGACTGGGGGAGCAGAGGCCGCTGCTTTGATGCTGGTCTGCTCTTAGCCATTTCCCGGATGACTGGCTCGTGAAACCGAATATGAGGGATCCAAAGACTTTTATGGGGGACTTTTCTGCTTCCAGCAAATTCCAGGACACGATTTTACAACCCCCTGATTCCAGGCCTCCCTTTGCCCCCACTCCCCTTCATCTGCAGGGAAGGTCTGAGGCTTCTACTGAGTGGCGGGTGGGGGGTGTCACTGAGGTGGGGGTGACCAGGCAGGAACAAAGGGGGGGATAGGACAGCTGGGCAGAGGGTGCCCCGGAGATCAGGGCTGAGTCCCTCAGCAGGGTCTCAGGTTAGGCGGCTGCAGCCGGTATACCCGGAGACACAGCAAGACCCAGGCTTGGTCCACATTGGAAGGAGATCCAAGGCCCAGGGACATTGAATTTCCATGAGGAACAGCAAGATCTGTCCACATGGGAGGGCCTGGCCATCCTGCTCCACTCAAAGGGACAGCGCAGGGCAGGGGTGGGGTGGAGACAGAAACACGTATGGAGATGCATAGAGACGCCTACAGACAGACACAGGGAAGGAGCACGCAGACGGGGACACAGCAGCACCCATGGAGGGAGAAGGGACTGGAGATGCAAGGGAAATGCGCTCTGAGAGGCGAAGATGGGGATGAGGCCTCGGAGCAGCCAGAAAAGAGAAGGGCACAGCTGGCATCCAACCTCAGCTGTAGGGTGACATGTGGGTGTTGTTTTACGCCGCCAGGCTCATGGCCATCTGTGACAGAGGAAGCTCTGGGTCTAGAGGGAAGCTCCTCAGGTCTGCACCCTGGCTCTGCTGCTCACTAGCTCAGGCAGGACCCTGACTTAACTGCCCTGTGCCTCAGTTTCCCCTCTGTAAAGGGGGATGGCAACAGTGCCTGCCTCATAGGGTGGCCATCAGGGCTAAACAAATTAATAGATGTGTACACGAGGAGTACAGCCTGCACGTAGGTGCCCGCAGACATGAGCCGTCGCACTGCCCGAGTCATTATTTCTACGTCACACAGGCGTTCCCCTCCCCCACCCACCCTCCCACCAGCCTCGTGGGGAGTTCTCTGAGCATCCATTTCACAGTGCGGAGAGACAAGCACCTCCCCACAAATATTCCTACACAATCACTCACCCCCACCCTCATGCCTGTCCAAGGTCCAGTGAATTTGTCACCCTCCTGGAGTGCCGTGTCCACCCCAGGTGGGCAGGGCTCTGCCCCTCCCACGCCTGGGCAGCCGGGCACCTGGCCTCCCTGCCCAGGGGCTGGGTGCTCTCCCACCAACTCAGGGAACCCAAGAGGGGAGGGTCAGGAGGCTGGTGCGGATGCCCACCGGCTCGGTTCCTGTGCTGCTCTTGGCAGCCCCCATACCCTGGAGTCCAGTTTCCTCTCCGTAAAGCGGGCATCATCACGACAGCGCCTGCTCCCTAGACCCCGGTGCGGATTGAAGGAGGGAGAGCAGAAAAGCAGGCTGGCATCTTCCCGGCTCCCAGCAAGTCTGTGCGGGTGGAAGGGTGGTTGTAATGGATGCAGGCGGTGGGTTGGAAGTGTGTGTGCCTGTGCTTATTCTCCAGCTGGGCCTGCGTGGAGGAGGGGTCAGAGGGGAGGTCCTCCCAGCTGGACGGACTGATCCCTGTCGGGGTGTGTCCCGGCCTGGGGACCCTCACTGCCCTCTGGCCCTGGCAGGACTCGCAGGCCTCTGGGGATGTTATGGCCACCTGGCAGGTCCCTACCCCTCCCCGCAAGTCTGAGGCTCTGGGGTCACCGCTCAGGGCAGGGCTCTTGCAGGGCACCTTGGGTAGGGCACAGGCAACTCTCAGGGGGATGACAGGCCTGTCCTGGCATGCTGGCTGTGTGGAAAGGGGTGTGTGTGACAGTGTTTCTGAGTGTGTGTGTGCACGAGCCTGCATGTTGGAGCGTGCATCTGTATGAGTGTGTGTGTGAGTGAATGTGCAGGGGTCTGTGTGTGAGCAAGCATGTGTGTGAATATGTGTTTCAGTGTGTGAGGGACTGGATGCGTGTGAGTGCGTGAGCATGAGGCTGCGCGCGTGCCCGCGTGTCCCTTGTCAACTGTGAGAGCGCAGGCCGGGGGCACAGTGAGTGCGGACGCCCTCTGGTGGGTGCTCAGCATATTCTCAGCCGGTGGCAAGAAGCGTGCGGGGGAGCGGCTCTCTCTGCAGGCCCTTGCGGAGGGCAAGCTCGTGCGGAGTCGCTCGCTACACGCAGGTCCTGAGAATGAAGCCAAAGCTGTGGTTGCCGAGCGGGCCTGCTGCCCCTGACTCGCCACCCAGCAGCTGTTCCCCGAGCGCGCACTGCGAGTCAGGTGCAGGGACACCGGCTGTGCCCCCTGAGCCTATGCTCTCTCCACGCTGCCCTCCCTGGGCTCCTCCTGTAACCTCTGTCTCCTCCCCTTCCCCCCTCTCCTGGGGGTCCACCTCCCAGCACCCCCTATGCTGTGCCTGACTTCTCTACTGGACCTGAGTCCCGGAGGACCTCACTTTATCCAGCTGCCAGCCCGCTGGCATGGCGAGTGCCTCATATGTGGTCGTTCGATGAACCCCTCTCTGCTTTGGCTGCCTGGCATCTCGTCATTACAACTTTCTCTCCTCCAGGAAGCCCTCCATGATGTCACATCACCCCCTCTCGGGGCTTGTGTCTGCCTCCTTCAGCAGACTGCCTTGTTCAGTACTGTATTGCCTGGCACACAGTAAGTGCTTAGTAAATATGTATTTGTTGAGAAAAGGAATGACTGACTGACTGAATGAATGACTGAATGAATGAATGGGAGGCATGGGGATGGGGAAAGAGATGAGGGAAGGGTAAGAACCCTGACTAATGTGGACAAGTAATGACAATCCCAGCGACCTCCCAACCTTCTCCTTGTTGAGGTAAAGAGCTGCTGACTGGGACCCGGCCTGTGACCAGGCCTGGCCAGCCCGGCAGGACCCAGTAATCCAGAGCCAGCGGCTCAGGTTGAGTCCCAGCCTCAGCACTCACACTTTTGCGGGTGGAGAGGCATGAGTGGGTGGGAGCGAACACAGGTGGAGGGTGAACGCAGGTGGGAGGCGCACGCAGGTGGAGTAGTGCGTGCCAGTGGAGGTGTGTGCATGGGTGGTGTGTGCCAGTGGAGGTGTGCACATGGGTGGTGTGTGTGGGTGGAGATGTGTGTGGTGGTGGAGGTGTGTGCGGGTGGAGGTGTGTGTGTGTGGGTGGAGGTGTGTGCATGGGTGGTGTGTGTGGGTGGTGTGTGTGGGTGGAGGTGTGTGTGTGTGTGGGTGGAGGTGTGTGTGTGTGGGTGGAGGTGTGTGCATGGGTGGTGTGTGTGGGTGGAGGTGTGTGTGGTGGTGGAGGTGTGTGCGGGTGGAGGCGTGTGTGGGTGGAGGTGTGTGTGGGTGGAGGTGTGTGAGGGCGGAGGTGTGTGTGGGCGGAGGTGTGTGGGCGGAGGTGTGTGTGGGTGGAGGTGTGTGTGGGCGGAGGTGTGTGTGGGCGGAGGTGTGTGTGGGCGGAGGTGTGTGTGGGTGGAGGTGTGTGGGTGGAGGTGTGTGTGGGTGGAGTGTGTGGTGGTGAAGGTGTGTGTGTGTGCGGGTGGAGGTGTGTGTGCGTGGAGGTGTGTGTGCATGGCGGAGTGTGTGGTGGTGGAGGTGTGTGGGTCTGGAGCTGCACCAGCTTGTGCAACTGTGAGTGTGTGTGGCAGGAGCACCTGAGTGCGTTCGTTTCCTCTTGCTGCTGTGGCAAATTTTCCCAAACTTGGTGGCTTAAAACAACACTTGATCTCATAGTCTGGAGCTCGGAAGTCTGAAGTGGGCCTCACTGTGCTAAAATCAAGGAGTGGCAGACTGCATCCCTTCCTGAGGCTTTGGGGGGAACCAATTTCCTGGCCTTTTTAGTTTCTAGAAGCCACCACATTCCTTGGCCTGTGGCCCCTTCCGCCCTCCCCAAATCCAGTGGTGGCCGGTGGAGTCTCTCCCTGCATCACTTCAACCTCCGCTGCTCTGTCACATGGCCTTGGTGTGACTCTGACCCTCCTACCTCCGTCTTATAAGGAATCACACTGTGCCCACCCAGCTAACCTGGGAATATCTCCCCACCCCAGGATCCTTAATTGAATCACACCTACAAAGTCCCTTTTGCCATGTAAAGTGACATGTTCACAGGCTCTGGACATTATTCCGTGAATCACACTGGGTAGATAACTTCCCACTCTGAATCTCAGCTCCTGCGTCTCGAAAACAGGTATGAGCTGTGCTGGCCTCGGAGGATCCCAGCTCCCGGGCTGTGTGCACCTGCACGGTTCCTGCCTCTGGATCTGCGGGAAGTGCAAGGAGCCCTGGGGGTGGGGAGGTTGTCAGGGCGTGGGCCCAGCTCCCTACCGGTGCCGTGCCACTTAGACACCTTCTGTGAAAGGCCTGGTCATAGCAGCAGTGCCTGCTCCAAAAGGACTGTCCTGGCACCTCGTCAGAACCGTGAGGGTCCCCACTGTTGTAACTTTGTCAGGACACAGGCAGGGACACCTGGCGCTGGGCAGCCCCTCTCCTGCCTGTGTCAACCCAAGGGCCTCCTCCCTTACAGGTGGCTGCTGCCCTCTGCTGGCCGCCGGGGGGTCCTCCAGGGTGCCCTGTGGCTGCTTGGGGCAGCCTCTTCCTGGTTCCCCTGGGGTTGGGGATCTTCCTGGTCCCCACTTTGGGGTGGACTCAGGCATGTGCACCTAGAGGCTGTTGTCAACACTGCTATTAATAGAAGGCCACCTCCTAAGGTGAGGCAGCCCCGACTCAAACAACGCCTGGCTCTGCTTCAGGCAGGAATCATGGCCACTCAGTGGGTCTCCTGGTCACTGTCCGGTGGTCAAGTAGCCTGATATCTACTCACTGGTGTCCTGGAGCCACCCAGACTTGTGCTCTGGCCCTTCCTGGCTGTGTGACGTAGAACAAATTACTTTACCTCTCTGAGTCTTGGTATCCTCTTTTGAAAAATGGCATTAGTATCTGCCTTGCAGTGCTGGAGCCATATATATACTAGAAAACATAGTCTCTGACATTTGTTGAGCATCTACTATACACCAGGCCCTGACGCCCTTCCTGCATCATCATATTACCTCCTAACTGGGCTTATCAAATCTTTTCAAGAACCTTAGCAAGGAGGTGCTGTTCTGATCCCCATTTTACCGATGAGGAAAGTGAGTCTGGAGACCTGAGGTCTCCTGCCCCAGGTGTACACAGCCAAAGTGGAAAACCAGGATGCAAACTCAGGTCTGTCTAGACCCACAGCCTCTTCTTTTTACCCTGTGTCTCTTGCTTTCTGGTCTCAGCAGAAGTCCAGATTGGCTAATACATATGTTTTTGATCGGTTTAAAAAAAAAAACAAATAAAATTAATGACTTAATGAAAACATTTTGTTTGGTAGCCATTTTCTTCCAAAATAGGGGGTGGCCAGGATATTATAAGAGGTTCTCAGGGCTTGGAGTTGGGGACCCCAGCCTTCAATGCGTGTCACCAGGACGTCTTCAGCAATCCTTCCTGCTCAGCCCCCTGCCTTGACATGCAGCGAACAACAAAGATCTCTGGGAGCAAAACACTCTTGGATCCTAAAACCCTCAAGAAAAGACATCCCGTCCACCCCTTCCCACCCATGATCACCAGTTGCACAAGTCTCCTTTGGAGTTTTTATTGTCAGCTCTTTCTAGTTTCAAAAAAGCTCCTAAAACCAATTCTACTTTGGGTAACTTGGCTTTTGTAACAGCAGAAGCAATGTTTGGATTCCAATTAGCAAACCGCAAATCCCTGTGGCAGCCTCTCTTTTGGGGTGAGTCTAACAGCATAGAATCCATTAGGAAAGGCTTAAAAGGAACATAACGCTTAGGGTCTATTCCGTGCCAGGTGCTTTGTGTCTATTACCTTGTTTAATCCACACAGAAACGGTGAAAGGTTTGACTTTTTACAGACGGAGGAACTAAGCCTCAGAGAGATTAGGGGGTCCCCAGGGACACATGGCTTGTCAGAGGCAAAGCCAGATTTGAACCAGATACCTCTGTGTTCCCACCTGAATGATTCCACCCCCGACACCAACCCCTTTCTCTATGTGCTCACGGATGGCCCTGTCCTGCCCTGGTCATCCATCTGAGTCCAAACCAGGGCTGGCAAACTTTCTCTGTAAAGGACCAACTAGTAAATACTTTAGGCATATAATCTCTGACACTGTAGTGTGAATGCAGCCATAGACTACAAGCAAGCACAAGGATGTGGCTATTACAAGAGCAGATGGCGGATGGAATTGGCCCCGGGCCATCGTTTGCCACCCCTGGTCTTAGCCAACCAGAGCAATCAATTCCTTTTGCCAAGTGTCGTTAGGAAGAGACACAGGCTGAAGTTCATAAGTCCAGAGGGGACGTCCACAGAAGGAATTTGGGAAGCGGTTTCTTTAGTCTTAAAAAGAGACTCTAGAAGGAAATGTTTATTCTCTACATCTGGACATAGCTAGTGAGGAGGTGATGGCTGGAGCTGGTGCAACCCTCGTGCGCCATGAGGAGATGAGCCTTAGGACCAAACTTGACATGTGGAGGGTAGAAGGATCCTGGGTCTCTGATAATGTCACTGAGTCCATCAGCGAGCAACCTGGCACTGCCACCCTCCTCTGGATTCGTGATGAAAATGATAAAGAGTTATTAAAAGCATCTCTGGTAGAAGTGTGTTCCTTTGTAGCTAAAAGCCTCCTGATTCCTGTCTTGCCTGGGTTTATTCTGTACAGTGCTGAATAGAAGAAATGCCAACCTGATTTTATTCCAGAGGATTTCAGTGGCAGCCTGTGAGTCAGCCTTGTATGCACAAAGCCACAGGTACAGATGTGTGTGGAAACGGACAGCTTCCCAGCAGTAATTTTTGATTTATGTTATTTTTATAAATCATTATAAAAAAACAATTCTGGAGCCTGCGCTTTCGAGTCTCAATGCGGAGCAGGTGTGTGTCTGATCATAGAGAGAGGTGCAGCAGGGTGAGCTCTCGTCAGCCCTCTCAAGCCACCTGGTTGGCAGGTAGGTGGCGTGGGAGCTTGCAAAGACAGCCCAGCATGCGCACAGGCTCCCTTGAAGGAAGGGCAGGAGCAAGGCCGCAGGGAGGCGGGCGCGGCTGTTCAACAGCAGACACGTGACCAGGGAGCACGCACAAGTGGCTGTTCAACAGCAGACACGTGACCAGGGAGCACACACGGGTGGCAGTAGGACCACTGAGGTCTAGAGGTCAGGGACGCCTTCCTGAAGGAAGAGGCCTCTCAGCCAAGCCCTGAAAGGTGTGGGCGGTTAGAAGGGAATGGGGAAGGGGTCGGGGTTGGGGTGGGGAGAGCTTTCCACCTAGACAGCAGCTTTGCACGGGCCATGTGAGAAGTGAGACGGTGCAGGATTTCTTCAGGGAGCCCCTGAGACAGCGAAGTTGCCGCAAAGCTGGATCTTACGTTCTGATGCTAACATTTGCATTCTGTTAACACGATTTTTGAAAATCTCCTGTAATGTCGATAAGTAACAGCGTTCACGCATTTGTGAGCATGACTTTGTAATGGCAAAACCCTGGGATAGAGCAGTTTTCTCAGCCATGGCACCATCAGCCTTCGGGGCTGGGTAACTCACGGTGGGGGCGGCCAGTGCATTGTGGGGCATCTGCAGCATCCCTGGACTCCACCCACGAGATGTCACTAGCAATCTTCCCTCCCAGTCAGGAAAACCAAAAATGTCCCCAGACATCAGCTACTGATGCCCCAGGGGGGCAAAATCCTCCCCAGTTAAGATCCCAGGGCTAGACTAAAAGAAGGCAGGTCTGTCCACTAGAGAATGGCCTGGGTGGGCAGAGCGTCCTGCCCTGGAAGACTCAGCCACGTTTCTGGTGATGAACGGCCGGTGAGGAGTGGGGATTCGGAAGTGCTGCTGCCTACCACAGGGGTTGCTCCCGTTGTATGTTACTATTGAGCCTGTGGACCCAACACACACTCACAGATGTGCTTGCTACTCAAGGATGGAACAAGGTCATGGCAGCAGGCACCCTTGGTTGCCTTCCTGTGTCCTAACGGCCCCTGATGTAGCTCCAGGTCCAGCTCTCAGGCCCATGAGCCCCTGGGAGCGCAGGTGCCAGTCCCGGTTCCTGTGAGTCAGTCGTGGTACTCCGGGTCCTATTGATGGTGATCGGTTTCGGGATGGGCATGTGACCCAGTTCTGGCCAATGAGGGGTGAGGAAAGGTCTGATGGGAGCTCCTGGAAGAGGTGTCCTCACTGATCCAAAGACCCCAAAAGGCCAGGATCCTCTTTTTCCACCCCCTGAAATCAAAACAGCCATCCTGAAACCACGAGGGAGCCAGTCTGGGGTGGCGGAGTGGAAAAGCGAAAAGCACCCGGCTCCTCCAGGCCGCGCGGGCTGCTGCATTCACCAGCTTGGGGCTGCCCTGAGGCCTCTGGGGAGGGAGGTAACACACTTCTTGAGGGTTTAAGATGATGGGCATGGCAGTTTCTGGTTTTTGCCACTGAAAGCATCCTGGTATCAGACTTCTCAGGAAGGCTGTGCAAGGGTTCATGTAGTAGATGTTCAATGCACACGCAACATTCTTGGAGATGGGATTTGAAAGCATCACACGACCCAGCCGTCTCTCAAGCTGCTTCTGTCAGGACCACTGACTGCTATCACTCAGCGCAGACTCCTGCACAGTGGGGTCTCATCTTGAGGTTGGGGTGGTGACAAAGTGAGTGTACAAGTTAAATGATGACCCGATGACAATGCTATATGGGCCACGGGCATCTGGATGGAGATGGGCCCTGGAACAGAGGAGCCTCCCTGGCTTTGATGCTCACAATAAACCTGGGACTTTCCCATAAAGTGGAGGCCACCCCATCCCCCGCCCCAGGGACTCTACCAGCTCTTCTTTATGGTACAAAAGAAACACTTCCCATAGTTCATTAAAGCTTTTTATGTTTTTTTTAAATTAAAATTAAAAACAAAATGAGTAAAAGAAGGCAGAGAAGAAAGAGCCCCTCCCTGAAGCCACATGGTTGTCCCAGTGCAGCTGAGGTCCGCCCCACAACAGACTGAACCCCACACCCCACCCCCAGGCAGGATCTTCCTGGGGATCCAAGGGTGACATGCAAGATGAATCCAGGCTTTGCAAGGCCAAGGATGGTGTCTCCGTGTGCCACCTACCTGGGCACAGAGCTGTGGGAAACCCAGCCCCTGAGGGTCTGCAAACCTCCTCACTCCCAGCTGAATCCGCTTCCTCCTGATACAGTGGAGGAGCCTGCTGTGAGGCCCCAGTGTCCGCACCTCAGCATTGCCAGTAGGAAGATGCCACCCCGCCCTGTGACTGTCAGGTGGCAGGATGTGCCTGAATTGGGGCAGCTGCCCCCACCCCCCACCTCCTGTTCTGAGCCCTGTTGGGGCCCAGCCTGGCCTAAAACCCAGCACATGTCAGTGGTAGGGGAGCTGGCCTCTCCTTACCCAAGGGCCACCAAATGCTAGTGGCTTCTCTGACCCACCCGTGGTCGAGGCCAGAAACATTGGATGGCTCAAGATGTCTTGACATATCCTAGGCTGTGGCGGCCACCCCAAAATGGGAAGCGGGGTCTTTCCCAGGCCAGTTGTCCATTCTGTCACCCAGCAGCTCCACCATCATGGTCTCCTCCCCTGGTCACTCCTCTGGATGGAGAAGACATCCCCTCATCCAAAGACACGTGGCCTCAGACTGTGGGAGCGGGACTGTTTGCTGACAGTCGAGGACTGAGTTGTCACCTTTGTGAACGGCATTATAGGAAGAGTGGCCGGAGAACCGACCTGAGAGAAAGCAGAGGTTGTGCGGATTTCCCAGGGCTGTGAGACAAGTCACCATCCACAGAGGGGCTTAAAACAACTTCCCATTTTGGGGTGGCCGCCACAGCCTAGGATATGTCAAGACATCTTGAGGCATCCAATGTTTCTGGCCTTGGCCGGGGGTGTGTGGGAGAAGCTACTAGCATTTGGGTGGCCTCGGGTAGGAGAGGTCAGCTCCCCTACCGCTGACAACATGTGCTGGGCTCCAGCAAGGGAGCCTCTCTCAGTTCTAGAGGCCAGAAGCCCGAGGTTGAGTGGGGCTGCGCTCCCTCTGGAGGCCCGAGAGAGGCTCTTTTCTTGCCTCTCCCAGCCTCTGGTGGCTGCCAGCGTTCCTTGGCTGCGGTGGCCTCACTCAGGTCTCTGCCTGTCCTCACACGGCTGTCGCCTCCTCTCTGTCTCTCCTCTGTGTGTTACAAAGACACTTGGTGCTGGACTTAGGGCCCATCCAGATACCCAGGATAGTTTCATCTCAAGATCCTTAACTTGATTACATCTGCAAAGACCCTTTTCCCAATCAGGTGACAGTCACAGGCTTCTGGGTTAGGGCATGGACACATCTTTTTGGAGGCCACCATTCAAGCCACTTTGGGGGTGAAATTAACACACTGCAAATGAATCCAGCCAGACAGCCTGGATACAGTGGGACATGCAGCAGAGCAGCCAGAGTGAGGATGGGGCCAGATGCCCTGCCTGCCCTTGGCAAAGGGGCCAGTGTCACCAACAACCAAGGAAGGCCGGGGCGTCACTCAGATGACAGGAGGCCAAGGGATGTGGCAAGTAAGGCAATGCCTGAGCCTGCATCTGATCTTGGATGGGAAGAAACTGCTATAAAAGTTACTCATGGGGCAGCTGGTGGAACTTGGACAGGGCCTGGAGGCTACAGAGTTATATCGAGGCTGGGTTTTCTGATTTGAGTAATTCTATTTAGGGGAATGTCTTTGATCTTAGAAAATCTGCACTGAGGTATTAGGGTGACGGGTGTGATTGCAGAAGTCCTGCAGCCCCTTTACCCAGACTCCCCAGTGCCTCTCTGCACACACACACACACGCACGCACACACACACATGCACGCACACACATGCACACACGTGCACACACACAAACATGCACACACACACATGCACGCACGCACGTACACACATGCACACACGTGTGCACACACGCACACATACACACATGCACACAAACACACACCCACATACACATACGCACACACACCTACATACATTCACATGTGCACACACTCACACACATGCACACACATGCACACATGCAAGCATGCACGCACACACATTTACACTCACATACAGGTACACACCCTCTCTCATGTACACATGCATGTGCACTCATATACTCACATGCACACACTCACACATGCTCTCATGTATGCTTACACTCATGTACACATACACATAGGTGTGTACACACACTAACATGTATACCCACACATACACAGTCACATACATTCACACTCACTCGTGTACACACTGTGCACATGCATACATCTCACACTCAGACATACTCAGCAGGAGGTCTTCCTGAGAGTCTCGTGACCACTCAGACCCTTGGGGACACCGGGAACACTTTTGAGACTGTGAGGGACAGACGCATCCCCAGCAACCTTGGCCTTACAGGGGATGCCCTCCTTTCAGAGTGAACCCCAAGGTCCCCGCTCTGCCTGCCAAATCCTTCCCCTCCCCCAGCCCGACTTCACCTCCTCCATGCTCCCCTCGCCTGCTCTGTTCCAGCCACAGCGGCCCCTCCCTGCCCCCAGATCCCTGGCCCGTGCCTGCCTGAGGGCCTTGCATGTGCCATCCCCTTGGGCCAGCCGGAGCCCCTTGCCCTGCATCCGCCATATGCTCACCAGCTCCCCTCCTGGCCTCCCCACCCCAGCCACTCTGTTTGGAGCAGCACCTGCACTTCTGTTTCCTCCCCTCACTCCATCTGCCTCCGTGGCCCTCACCACCACCTGGTGCTCCTCACGCTTCACATAGCTTTCTTGATGACTTTCCATCTGCCCCCCTAAAGGGAGGGATCTTGTCAGCTGTGTTCACTGCTGTAGCCCCAGTGCCTGGGCTCGGTGAGTGCTCAAGAAATCAATGTCACTCAGCATCTCACAGGCCCATACAGAGTGCTGGGGTGACCTGGGAGAAAAGGGGATGGGATCCTGCTGGCCACATGACAGCCCACCCGTCTCGGCGGGACAGCTGTCTCTTGCAAAACCACTACCTTCTGTCAGTGTCCCCTAGTGCCACTCCAAACCCCAAGTCTTCAGGGTCCCCCAAATCTGGGAGTCACAGAAGGGGAGAATTCTGCATGCACAGGACCCCACCTGTGTGTCTGTGTGCAGAACCAGGTCCCTGCCCTGCCCTCCCACACCCACGTCTGTTTCTGGAAGTTCTTGGCTGCCTAGCGTCTGTGGATGCTCACGAAGCCACATTTAGGCTTCACTGAAGCAAGCAGCAGAGGGCACCTGGACATGTCCACAGGTATGACTTCAGAGCCCTCCTGGCAGCTGCTGGCAGAGAGCCCTTGGCAGGCGGGTGGACATCCTGGTGTTCTCAGCACAGAAAACTGAGATTAAGGACCACGCAGACCAGACAGGAGCCTGGCCATAGGACATCCAGTATTGGGCTCCCGGTGGGAACTCCCCTCAAATGTGCACACACTCCAGATCCCACCCTGGAACTTCACATTTAGTAAATCTAGGCTTGTTGCATCTTTTAAAAATTCACCAGCGTTAGCCCCAAGAATCTAGATTTCATGAAGCTGAAGTTCCAGGGCAGGAGTGGGTGACGGGTGCCTTGCTGTCTGTGATCCTGCCTACAGGATGAACAGGACACATGTGTGCCAGGTGCTGCTGAGGCTTTGATGCTTGGTGGCATCTTGTGTACATCCCAGGTAGAAATCACCTGCCCCATTTGAGAGGAGACTGAGGCTTGGAGAGGTCAGGGTGGTACCCAGCATCTCCCAGGTGGGAAGTGATGGGCAGGGATTCACTCTCAGGGGTGCCTGACCCCAGAGCCTGGATCTCGCAGTGACCCTCATGATGGCACCAACAGTTCTCATAATTGAAGGGAGGCTCGGCTCTTCAGGTCCCCAGGCAGTTAGAAACCTGTGGTATGGGATGCACAGGGGCCCTGATTCAGCCTGGGGCTGGAGGGATCAATGAATGCTTCCTGGAGGAGGCTACATTTAAGCTGAGGTCATGGGAAGTGTGTCCCAGGCAGGAAGAATGTCACATGCAAAGGCTCCAAGGTGAGTGTACTCATGGCTTGATTGGAGAGCTAACAACAACACTGGCCCATGCTGTAATATTTCACCTAGGAGCAGAGAGCACTCTGAGGGCACAGCAGCTTGACATTTTCCTGAAGATGCTCTGCAAAATATCTCAAGCAGCATCCCCCAGCCTCTGAGCTAGCCTCTTGGATCATGTAGATGTTTGGTTGCTGGAGAGGTATCCACTGGACTTGGCATCCTTGGCAGGTGACTCATATCTGACCTGGCCCATTTCATGGAACAACATGTGGCAGATGACCTCCAAGGGGCCAGAATGCTGGAACATCCATGATCCTTCTATTCCTTGGAGCAGCCAGAAGGTGGGGCTGAAAGCATTAGACTGTCCAGAGTGACTGACTGCTTACAATGAGGCTTTTGTCTTTCAGATTTATTTATTTATTCATTCATTCACTTTGACAACAGCTTCCAGTATCTGTCACTTGTTGGACTTTTTACTGATGAGATCTCCTTTGACCCTCACAAGACCCCTACAAGGTATATTTTATTGCTTCCATTTTTTAGTTGAGAAAATGGAAGCTAAGCCAGATGAAGACACCTTCTGTCTCTCTGGAGCACTAGGATGGCTTTTGCCAAAGGTGCCCTACCAGCTTCAATGGGAAGCTCAGTGAAGGGGAACAAAAACCAAAAGCTGTGCATTTGCTCACTGTATCCTCATTCAACACACATTTATTGAGCATATACTATGCACCAGGCCCTGGGATAGTGCTGAGAATACACTGGTGAACAAGACAGGTGTGTTCCCTGCCCCCATGGAGGTGTACACTCCAGTGTGGGAAACAGGTAATGACAAAATGAAGAACTAAGAATTCAGGAAGTGATGGGTGCCAATGGGCAGACATTGGGTTGTAAAGCAGGAGGGGACAGAGGAGAGTCTCTCTCTGGAGAGACTAGTGAGAAAAACTCAGAAAGCAAACTTATTCCCCTTATTCTCAACTTGGCCCTAAATTTGGCCTCTCTCTGCACACAGTGCTCTGATTAAATGGATACACAAATTTCCTAAATTGCCACTGTGCCAGGAACCCATGCTTGATTCCACAGGATTAAAAGTTGGCAGGGTAAAAATCCACACACACCATACCGGGGTGACACTAAGCATCCCTCCCTCTTGAGAATCCCCAAGGTACATAGGAAACCCTCAGACTTTCCAGATCAATGGGAAAGGAGTGTGAAAAAACATTCCAGGTTATTTGAGCCCTAGGATAGTTGGAGTTCTGGATAATTCAGCAGATTTTAAGTCTAAGTCAGAGGGGAAAACTGGGACAAAGTAACAAAAACATGACTTTGTGGCTGTGGGCTGCCAGGGGTCTGAGGACTCAGATCTAAGGTGGAAGAGGTATGACTAAGCAGGGAAGGAAGGGGGAGGCAGGCACAGCATGATTTCTGTTCTTAAGGGGCCAGGGAGATATTCTCTGCTGCTCAGGGAAAGTCAGAATCCCCTGGATGGAGAGCTTCAAAATGCACTATCCCCCCACCAGACCCCAGTGGATACCTATGAGTCAACATTCTTGGGGGAACTCAAGAATGTGCATTTTCAACAAGTTTGCTAGTTGTTTAAAATATGCATTCTATGCCAACGAGTTGGATAACTTAGTAGAAATGAATAATCTGCTACTTCCTGTGATTTTCATAAATAAATTCCTAGAAACACACAAGCTACATAGATTGAATCATGAAGGAATAGAAAACCTGAACAGACTAATATTAGTAAGGATTTTGGATCAGTAATAAAAAACCTCCCAGCAACAAAAATGCCCAAGTCCAGATGACTTCACTGGAGCATTCTGGCAAACACTTGAAGAATTACTGCCAATCCTTTTTAAACTCCTCCAAAAAATTGAAGAGGAGAGTACACTTCCAAGCTCATTCTATGAGGTCAGCATTACTCTGATACCAAGCCAGACAAAGACACTACAAGGAAAGAAAACTAGAGATTCATGTCGCTGATGAATATTGAAGTAATTATCCTCAACAAAATACCAGCAAACTGAATTCAACAGTATAGTAAAATGATTATACATCATGACCAAATGGAATTTGTTCCTGGAATGCAAGGATGGCTCAACATATGAAAATAAATCAGTGTGATACACCACATTAACAGAATGAAGGGGAAAAAAAAACCCTAATCATCTCAAATGATGCAGAAAAGCATTTGACAAATTTAACATCCTTTCATGATAAAGATACTTAATAAACTAGGAATAGAAGAAAACTACTTCAACACAATAAAGGCTATAGCTAAAAAGCCCACAGCTAACACCATAACCAACATTGAAAGACTGAAACCTTTTTCTCCAAAATCAAGAACAGGGCAAATATGCCTTTCTTGCTACTTCTGTTTAACATAGTATTGGAAGTTCTAGCCAGAGCACTTAGGCAAGGAAAAGAAATAAAAAGCATTCAAATCAGAGAGGAAGAAATAAAATTGTTCCTGTTTACAGAGGACATAATCTCATATGTAAACAACCATAAGGATTCCACAAAAAAAGCTGTTAGAACTGATAAATAAATTCAGTGAGGTTTCAGGATGCAAAATTAACACACAGAAATCAGTTGCATTTCTATACATTATCAATGAACATTTAGAAAAGGAATTTTTTAAAAAATTCCATTTACAATAGTATCAAAAAGAATAAATATTAAGAATAAACCTAACCAAGGAGGTAAAAGACTTGTACACTGAAAACTATAAAACATTGCACAAGAAATTAAAGAAGACACAAAGGAATGGTATAACATCCCATGCTCATGTATTGGAAGACTTAAATTCTTAAGATGTCACCTACAGATTCAGTGCCATCCTTATCAAAATGCCCCATGGCATGTTTTGCAAAACTAAAAAAAACACCCTAAAATTCCTGTGGAATCTCAAAGGAATCTGAATAGCCAAAAAGCTTTGAAGAAAAATAACAGAGTTGGATGACTCACACTTCCCGATTTCATAACATATTACAAAGCCACAGTAATCAAAACAGTGTGGTACTGGCATAAAGACAGTTACATAAACAAATGGAATGGAATAAACAGTCTAGAAATAAACCTTTATATGTATACTCAACTGATCTTCAACAGGATGCTAAGCCCATTCAATGGGAAAAGGACAGTCTCTTCAACAAATTGTGTTGGGAAAACTGGATATCCAAGTGCAAAAGAATGAAGTTGGGTCTTTATCTTAGACTGTGTATAAAAATTAAAGGGATTATATATCTAAACAAAAAACCCAAATGTTTAAAACTCCTAGAAAAAACTTAGGGGGGCAATCCTCATGACACGAATTTGGTCTTGGATATGACACTACAAGCACAGACAAAAAAAGCAAAAATACACAAATGAGACTAATTTAAAGTTAAAAACTTTTTCCTCAAAGGACACAATCAGAAAAGGTAATAAGAGAAAAGGTAATAAGAGGCAGAATAAGAGAATATATTTGTAAACCATATATCTGATAAGACGTTAGTATCTAAATATAAAAAGAACTACAACTCAGCAACAAAAATCATGTAACCTGATTTTAAAGTGGGCAAAAGACTTGAATAGACATTTCCGTAAACATAATATACAAATGACCAAGAAATACATGAAAAGATGCTTCAACATCACTACTCATCAGAGAAATGCAAATCAAAAACCACAGTGAGATATCACCTCACATCGATTAGAATGGCTACTATTAAAAAGCCCAGAAAATAACAACTTTTGGTGGGAATGTGGTCCCTCTCCGGGCCCTCGGTTTTAGTCTTCCCAGGGGAGTTGGCATGGCCACTGTCACCCTGTGCTGAAATCTTCCAGTAGCTTCTCATTGTCTCAGAATGAAGCCCAGTCTCCTTCCCTGGGCCTCCAAGCCGTGCATCATTTGGCCTCTCCTCTCTGTCTCTCCAGCGTCATCTCCCTGAATGGTTCCTGGGCTCCCTCATCCCAGCCACGTGGAGCTGCTCATGGCTCAACACTCTGAGCTCCCTCCCACTGCAGGGTCTTTGCACTTGCAACCCCCCTTGCCTAGATGCTCTTCCTGTAGATGGCCACAAGTCCGGCTCCTCTTGTTATTTAGATCTCATGATCTAAACCATTGCCTCCAGGAAACTTTCCCTGACCACTAAATCCACACTGGCCCTCTTCCCAACCATTCTTTTCCACACTCCTTGGCTTTGTTGTCTTCATAGCTTTTGGTGAAATGCGTCATTGTGTTATTTCCTGTGACCCCCAGCTCCAGTGAGAGCTCCATGAGAGCAGAGAGTTTGATGGGTTTGATGGTGACACTCCATGGGGTAGGGCCAC
Source organism: Homo sapiens (assembly GCF_000001405.40). Taxonomy (NCBI): domain Eukaryota; kingdom Metazoa; phylum Chordata; class Mammalia; order Primates; family Hominidae; genus Homo; species Homo sapiens. The sequence goes on along the minus strand of NC_000020.11, from coordinate 57,076,983 downwards.
TAGCAAAGATGGACAAGATGGTTAGCTGTCCTAGATCTCACAGAGCAGGACACACCTTCCTAAAGCCAGACTCCCTAGGACCACTTCCATTCCTCTCACAGCCTGGGGAGATCCTCTATCTCTGAGACTTAAGAGAACCTAGCCAGTTGGACACTCCTAACCACCTGGGCTGATTTTCAGCTTGCAACTTGCAGCAGAGAATGGGCGTTCCAATTTCAATTTCAGTTCATGATTAGGGCCTGGGTCATAGGGACCCAAAGGAGCTGGAACAGGGTCTAGACAGGCAGCTCCGACTGTAATCCCTGGGTGTGGTGAAGGCGTGACCTCCACACTGCTGATTAGTGAGTGGGGTCTGGGAGGGGACCATGAAGCCGATGAGAAGCTGGGCATATCTACTCCCCTGATGCAACCCGGGCCCAGCCAGCAATTGGTGAGTCAGCACGTACTGACTCGGCCTGATCCTGGAATTTGGCACAGAATTTGGCTCAGCATAGGCGTCAGCAGGAGAGGGAGCACCGCCTGAGAGGTCGGGAAGCCCAAGATAATATGTGAGAAAGTGTTTCCATATTTTTGAAGTTTCCAGAAGTCAGGAGGCAGTCGAAAGAATCCAGAACTTTTGGTAAAAGCAGCCTGTCATTTGCAGCCGTGGACTCGGACAGGTCTGTTGAAACTCAGTCTCTTCTTCTGAGTCATCCCATAGCGTTGCCCTGAAGATCAAGAGATAATGTGGAGGGAAGTGCTTTGTGGACCTCCAAGGCCAAACCATAAGTCTGTGAGGCAGGAGGTCTGTGTGCAACTGAAATGTAAACTCCTGGAGGCCAAAAACATAGATCTTATCCCTGGTGCCCAGCATTTGGTGGGTGCTACATAACTCTTGGATGAACGTGGGCTGGTGCTGTGTTTACCAGGCTTATTGGTCTTGAATAAGAGAAACCCAACCTGAACCAGCTTCAGATACAGGGGAATCTGACAGAATGCTCCAAGGGCAGCATGCAACCAGGCCAAGGGAACCCAGCAATCAGGACTCAAGCACCTCTTGTCTCTGAACCTCTGCCTCATTCTCTTCTCTCTAGAAAAGATTGGATTCTTTAACTTCTCATGGCCATCAGCAACATCCAAGGTTTACATTCTACCATGTAGGTCCCAAAAGAGTATTTCCCAGGGAAGTATACTGATTGGTTCAACTTGAATCCTGTGCTCATCTCTGGACCAATCAAAGGAAACCAGGAAGTTATAATCATAACACAGTATGGCTGCTTCTACTGACACCAAGTTAATGGTGGTGAGGGGTTCTTGGGAAGGTTCTTTTTCTATTCTTAGAGATGAGGTGCTGAGCTGATAATCCCATGGGTGTGTATGAAAGAAGTCAATTTATAAGAAAGAATTAGTTTTTAGACGTTTATAAAAAGTAACACATTCTCATTGTAATAAATGCTGGTTACAGAAGGGGAAAAATCAACCATCATTCAACAGCTCAGAGATAGTCACGGTTAACCTTCTTCACCTCTCTCTGGCTGTTCCTTCGAGGTCTCCTTTGCTGTTCCTGAACGCTGGAGGGCCCCAGGGTGCATCCTTGGATCTCTGTTTGTTCTATGCATATTTACTCACTCCCTCGTGAGCTCATCCAGCCTCTTCCTGTCCTGAAGATTTCTCAGTTTCCATCTCCTGCCTAAGCCTCTCCCTGACACCTGCCTAGTATATCCAGTGATCCCAACATCCCAGGATATACTAGGGACTGTATATCCTGAGCAACCGTCAAAGTTGGTCCCTTTTGGAGGCTCTGAGGGAGAGTCTGTTCCAGCCTCTCTCCACGCTCCTGGGCTTCTGGGCAATCACTGGCATTCCTTGGCTTGCAGCCATGTCACACCAATCTCAGTTTCCATCATCACATCACGTTTTCTCTGCATGTCTGTGTCTGTCTATGTCTCTGTGTCTCTTCTTCCAAGGACACCAGTCATACTGGATTTGGGCCCAACCTATTTCACTATGACTTCATCTTACCTTGATTATATCTGCAAAGACCCTGTTTCCAAATAAGGTCCCGTCCCCAGGTCTCTTCTGCATAGCCACTGTTTACATATTCCTGTCTTCTCTAAGCCTAGATGCTGCCAGAGTCCCTCTCAGAGCCTTGAAATCCCCTCTGAGGTTGGCTAAGTGAAGATCACCATCCCCACGTTGCAGGGGAGTCTTGAAGAGATGTTGACATGTCCAGGATGGAGCGAGGCATCCCCAATGCCAACGCCCAACGCCAACACCCACCTTCCAGCCACTCACGTTCACTGGCAACAATTTCAAAGCAAACGCCTCAGCGTAGGCTGTGGAGGGAGGGGTGTATGCACTGGCGGGAGGCTGCCTGCTCACCATTCAGCTTTGGATCCCTCCTAACCGGCACCCACCAGGCCAGGCCACCAGTGTCCCCTTCAGGACTTTGCTTATGCAAAGTGGAATGCCCTCTTCTGGGCCCCACACAACCCACCTTGTCCTTCCACCTCAGAGCTAGTGTCCTTTTGGGTGACATCTGCCCTGACCCCTGCCCCGTTCCCAGACAGCGCCTGGCACCTCCCTGGAGCCATCCGCGCTAAACACTGAAGCATGCTCATGTTGCCCTCGGTTACTCTCCCAGTTTCCACTGCTCGGCTGAGCACCCGAGGCCGGGACAGAATTCAGTTCCTGAGGGCCTGGCCAGTTGCAGAGGCCTCTCAGCCAGGTGAGCACAGCAAGGTAAAGGGTCCTGGACCACAGGGGAGCTCCGGAATCAGGCAGAGCTGGGCTTGGATCTCCTCGGATCTCCATCCTCCCATTTAATCTCTGTGCTGTCTTGGGTAAGTGCTTGGGTTGGATCGTGTCCCCCGAAAAGACATCCTCAAGTCCTGATCCCTGTGAATGGGACCTTATTGGGAAATGGGGTCTTTGCAGATGTAACTAGTTAGTATAGGGTCATACTGGATCGAGTAAGTGCTAAATCCAGTGACTGGTGTCCTTAAAAGAAAGGACACAGACACACAGAGGGAAGAAGGCCACGTGACACAGGACACAGAGGTTGGAAGGATATGTCCAAAAGCCAAGGAACACCAAGGATGACCAGCAGCCACTGGAAGCTGGAAGCGGCCAGAAAGCGTCCTCCTCTAGAGCCTGTGGAAGAGCCTGGCCTGCGGGCACCTTGATTTGGGGCTTCTAGCCTCCAAAAATGCGAGAGAACAAGTTTCTGTTGTTTTAAACCACAACCGCAATTTGTTACGGCAGCCCTGGGAAACTAATGTAAGTTACCCTATCCGTGCCTCAGTTTCTTCATCTGTGAAACAGGTATAAGGGCACCAACCCAAGGTGATCCGGATGATGAAATGACAGTTTCCAGCATTTTCCTCCTGTGTGCCGGGCACTGTGCCAAGTGCCATAAATATGTTAACTTATGTAAAACGCTGTGTAATTCTGCTTTAAAATCTTATTATGCTCAGATTACATGTTTTTTAAAAAAAGTGTTGGCTACAAACAGTATGTATAATTCTGTTTTAAAATCGTATTATACTCAGATTTCATGGTTTTTTAAAAACTTGTCTTGGCAACAAACTGTATTTGAACTATTGGTCAACACTTTTAAAATAATGTTATTGAAGTATTATATACAATAACATGCACAGAGTTTAAGGGTGGCATTTGATACATTGTGGCAAACATGTACACCCTTCCACACTCAGAACAAGACGTGGAACACGGCCCCCCTCACCCCAGGAAGACCCCACCTCCTTCTGCCCTGGGTGGCCGTGGTGCTGCTTTCTGGCTGCAGATTGGTTCTGGCCTTCTGGCCTGTTTTCGAGCTTTATGTAAGCAAGATCACCCCGTTTGTCCTCTTCCAGGTCTGGCGTCCTTCCCTTAGGCATCTGTGTTTCAGCTCTATCCTTGCTGCTGCTGCACCCGAAACCTGCTCCTTCGTATTTTAGAGTACCCACTGCATGGGGCACCAGTTTCATGATCCGCTGTCCCGATGCCTGTTCCTTGTTTTCAGTCCCCCGTTCTACAGAGGAGGAAATGAGCCGCAGGGAAGCTTTTGACTTGGGCAAGTTCTCACCGCTACTGAGTCTGGGGTTGGTACGGAGTGACGCTCTCAGCAAAGGTCTATGCTTCTATGCGTATGATAGTGCCTTGCTATGCCAGGCGTGTGGGGAGTGTGCCATGCTATGATAATGATTATTAAGAAATGGCTTAATTAAATATGTGTGATTACATTTATTTCATTATTAAATTTCAGAACCAGGAATGGTAGCTGGTCTCAATGGTTCTACCCAGGACCCAACTGCTGTCTGTCAAATAGGTGTTTGTTCCAAGCAAAGACCTGGGTACTCCCACACTGCGGCTGGAGCCAGCCCTGCAGTAGCCCCACTCCTTCCGAGAGCCCCTCACTCACCCTTCTGGGGGCCTCATTGAGGAAGGCTGAGCAAGAGAATGACATTAAACTTCAAACGTCTCTTTGTCTCTGAAATTAATGGAGAAGAGAAGTCTTTAATGGGTTGCAGACTTGTCTGTGGGCTACAGTGACATGACTCAGCCCAATCATCCTCCCAGCTCTGGCCATCTTGGCTTAGCTGTTTACCAAGAGACCAGGGGATGGAGATGTTGAGGGCTTAGGGTGACGGAGGCAGCACCAAACCTGCACCTCCAGCCCTGGTATGCTGGCATTCAGGAAAGCTGTGCTCGCCTAGCGTGGTCTCCAGTTTCCTTTTGGGGAGTGATGTAGTTCCCTCCTCTCAGGAAAGCAGTAACTCAGTCCTGCCTGGCAGTGGGAGAAGGGCTGTAGAGAGATGTAGAGAGGTGTTTCTTAGCCTGTCACATGCCCAGGAGTTCCCAAGGGATCCTGTGAAAATGCAGTTTCTGACTTGGGAGGTCTGGGGAGGGGTCTGGGACACCGCATTTCTACAGAGCTCCCAGGAAATGCTAAGGTTTCTGGTCCGTGAGCTGTAGATTGCAAGTTGCAATCTGACTTAGGGTATATTCCCATCAACACACCCGCACATACGTGCACACACAGGCTGGAGGGGGAGGTGGAGGGTGGGCATAGAGCTATCTGGGGCTGACTCCAGCTCCACTAGGATTCACCTGTGTGTCTTGGAGCAAGGTAGTCCATCTCTCAGAGCTCCAGTTTTCTCAGCTGTAAAATAGGAGGAAAGCCAGTGACTACATCAGGCTGTTGTGAGGATTAAAGGAGATCACATGTAAGGGGGTTTATGATGAGAAAGGGCCGAGAGAGGAGAGACAGCTAGATGGCGAGAGAGACAGAGAGTGAGGAAAAACACACACAGAGACAGAAAGACAGGGAGAGAGACAGAGAGCCAGGGCGCCAGCAGGCAGCATTCCTTTTCAGACTCCTCTGCACTGTGTGAGTGCCCTAACCGGTTCCTTCCCTCTCTCTCCCCGCTTTCCTTTGTGTATTTATTTATTTACTTGTTCGATGGTTCATTTATTTGTTTTAATACCCCCCGACATCATCTGGGCCATGACATTCTGAGCCACATGATGGAAGGCTCAGGAATTGTTGTAAAGTGTCACTTACATCTCCGATGTTTGTGTGAACAGCACGCACGGCGGTGACAGTGATAATGGAGGTCACGTGAGCTCTCTGATGTCTCATCAGGTCCCGCTGGGCAGCCAGTATCGGCTTGTAATGATCCCTGCAGACAGGTCAGGGGAACTTGCCACAGCGCTGGGTCTCAGTATAGCACTTGCGGTAGTTTTTATTCTCCTCTTTGCATTTTTAGAAGTATTTTCCTAAGTGTGTAATATTTTAATGAAACATAATGTTTGTTGTTAGGGCACATGTAATGAGGACCCAGTATGGGCTATATAGGCGGCTAACCAAGAATGTAATCAGTGTTCCATTCAATCTGCGTGTTCAGTCATCGCTGGAACATCCCAGCCTGTCAGATACCCTCTGCACTGTCAGAAATTCCCTGCATTACGCTTCACGCCTTCAACTCTTGAAAGCCTGATTTTTGGAAGGGCAGGGGTGACTCAAAGACAATTGTTGCCTTTTGCAGCTGATTCTCTCCGTAATATGGAACCCCAGGATTTGAGACAGCATCAGTGGCCGCCTGCCATGATGCCCCAGGAATGTCTGGTCCATCTCCATAAGCCAGGGCTTGGCAGGAGCTTGGTTTGTGGATGAGCCAAGTTCTTGGGTGGGACCTGCTATGATTTGAGCACTGGGGACTGGTCCCTAAAATCTCTCATGTCCATGTTAAAAAGAACTGTTCTCTTGATTGCTACTTCTCCAGCAGTAAAGCACTCACCTAGGTGACAAGATCTCAGCTGTGACTGGGCTGAACATGGCATTGGCCAACCAAGCTCTAGAGGTTCCCATCTGTTTGGGGTCAGCCCTGGAGCAGAGGAAAGTCTTTTAAACTGGAGAAGCTGGGCCACACATTCCTGGGGAGAAGAGTGACCCTTGGAGGCCAAGTTTCTCTTCATCTCATGGAAAAGGTGGGGGCATTGGGCGAGGTGGGGCTGGGAAGAAAACTCAAGTCAGCTGCCAACAGGCCAAGCCCCCCCACCTGGGAAGAGGCTGAGAGAGCTGCCTGGAGCCCATAAAAGCCAGTCCCCCTCAGGGCTGGCTCCAGGGTTTATTAAATACTAGGCCTTCTAGACTAGGAAAAGACTAAACAAAATGTGGTTTTCCTCTGTGAACTGATTGCATCTGGGGGTGCACTTCCCGAAGACCAGTCTGCAGGGATCCCTGGCCTGGTGTAGACATTCTGCCCCTTGACCCTGGTCTGAGGCCCTGGACTAGGGTCACTGGCTTCCCTGAGGACAGCCCATCAATGCCAGGAGGGGGAGGGGAGTGGGTCAGTAGCTTAGGGAGGGGATGAGGATGGATCCACAGGCCCCGTGTTGTTCAGTGTGGAAGCTGGTGGGGCCTGGGCAAAAGGAGAAGATAAGAGTCTAGTCCTGGGATTGCGTCCTTCCCTGCCACAGCAGCTACTGTGAAGACCAGGTACTTAGGAAGAGTGGGACCACTCCAGCTAAACCAAGTGACCCTGTCTTCCCGGAAACTGGGCGGTTCCTCTCCTGCGATGTGGGGAAGGGTGAGAATGGGCTGGTGGAGATGCAGGTGGAGGGCAGGTGGGAGGATTCTGAGGCTCTGCGGCACTACTTTTGCACCCTCCCCTCATTTTCCACGGTGATTCATTTTCTTTTCTTTGAGTTATCGTTGGAGTAAGAAATGCAAACAAGGCAGCTACAGTCCTTAGATCCTTAGGTCAGACAAGTAGCATTCGCAGTCACAGCTGAGTGTCTTGGCCTGAATACTGTGGCCGGTCAGAGAGCAGCTGGGCGGGGACCTGTGAGCAGATTCCTGTCCTTGTTCCTGTCCTGTGGCTGAGACCATCCATCCGGGGCCAAATGGTGGATTCCCTCTTCTGTCTTAGGGAAGTTTCCTTTTCGCCTGCAGGAAACCCTTGGGAGCAAGCACAGCTTTTCAGAACCCATTCTGACAAATTACAAAATAAGACTTTTGCCCCAGTTTTTCTCTGCACGATTTGACTTAATGTCAAATAGTGTCATTGGTCTTGATGAAAGTTATTTAAAAGAAAAAGTGAAATTGTCCATAAAAGCCTGCAGTTATAACCAGAAGTATCTGGGTTAGGTGAAGCTACAAGTTACAAGACAGTCTTGTCCCAGATTCCTAGGAAGAAGGGGATTGGCTTCAATCCTACATGCTTTGCTTAAGATTGATTTATCTCAAATAAGTATTGAGATGCATTTATTACCACCTACTACCTATCAGCTGCTTAGCCCTGTAAACTTCTATAAGCATGCCCAAAAGTCACCTCCTCAGTGAAGCCTTCCCCGGCTTCCTCAGGTTGCCTCTTCTGCATTCCTATGACATTTTATTCACCTGTCTATCACAAGACTCTCCAGTTTATGTATTTCTAATAATAAAGTAACCTTAAGGAAGCTGTGACCCATGAGGGTCAATGACCAAGACCTTGGAGAAGTGATGTGTGCAAGATGCACAGTTCTGCAGCCAGAACGATGTTTGAAAGCACCTCCATTTGCTACTTTCAAAAGAACATAAAGAGCGTAATGGAAATTCATCATGTTTGGTTGCCTGGCCCCATTTCCCCTTCATAACCATGACAGTTTTGATTCAAGGGCTTGCCCTCCTCCATTTACAGATAGGGCACTGGGCTTACAGCACCCCTCCCCTCCACACAAGACAGACAGAAGTAGGCACATGAACCACACCAAGTCAGTCAGATAGCCCACTTTGGAACCTGAGTCTCAAGCAAAGGGACAAAGAGGCTGACATTGTTGGTGTTTCATTCCATCGCAGAAACTGCACCTTGATCAGACTGTTTCTGCTACCTGCCTCATAGCCTGCAGCCTGCCTTGCTCCTACTCATTCTCAGTCCCACATCTGCAGCCTGCCCTCAGTTCTGTGATGCTTCCAGTGAATTCCCTTTTTCTAAAGTCAGCCAGGACTGATTGCTGTTGCTTGCAACGAAAGAATCCTAGATCACTCAAAGTTCCCCAATGCTTGACTTCCTGCCACTTTTTTCAGATCCCCTTTTCCTTATTCTCCCATTGTCTGACACTTATGTTCCCTAAGTGTCTTCTTTCCTCATCTCCAGTGCCATTTCCCTCCCCCATCCTGCAGGAAAATTTTACCTTTTCTGCCCACTCTTTTCTCTCTCAGCTCTTTATTTTGTAGATTGTCTTAATCAGTCTCTTTAAAGCCTTTCTCTGTCCTTCCATCAAATCCAGGCTTTCTTGACCTTCTGGCATCCCAGAAAGGAGGTCCAAGAACCCAAAGGGTTTGATAGAGAGTGAGTCTCCCCAGAGGGCAGGAGACAAAGTGATGGTTGAACTGGACTAACGCCCCTTTGGCCAGCAAAGGAGGGGTTGTTGGTAAATGCCTCATCTTTACTCTGTCACATGAGAAAGGCTGCCACAGGTGAAGAACTTGTGTGCCACTCCCACACTCATCTCCCCTCATCCTGCCAATGAGGGAGACTTCCTTCCACCACAGTAATTTTACGTGTCAACTTGATTGGGCCACAATTAATGCCCAGATTAAACATGATTCTTGGTGTGTTGGTAAGAGGGTTTCCAAATGGGATTAACATTTGAATTGGTTCACTTAGCAAAGCAGATGGCCCTCCCCAATGTGGGTGGGCCTTGTCCAAATTGTTTAAGGGCCTGTATAGAACAAAAGGCAGAGAGAAGAGGGCTTCACCCTTTTGCTTCCTGTCTACCAAATGGAGCTGGGACATCTCAGCTCATCCTCTCTCGCCCTTGGACTAGGATTTGCAACATCAGCTCCCCAGGTTCTCAGGCCTTCAGACTTGGGCTGAATTATCCCAGATCCTCCTGGGTCTCCAGCTTGCAGATGGCAGATAGCAGGGCTTCTCAGCCCCCGTATCTATGTAAGCCAATTCCTCTTCATACATATATATATATACATATATATATATATCTTCTATTGCTCTGTTTCTCTGGAGAACTCTGACTAATACACTTACCATCCCCGTCTTCCAGGGGTGGAAACTGAGTCTCAGAGGTGAAGACACTTGTCCTAGGTCCCCCAGCCAGGAGGACTTTTTTCCTGGGGTGGAATTCACATCTGCCTGTCTTTGGAGCCCTTACTGAAGCCCAAGGCTGTTATGAGGGCTTTCTTGTGTTGCTATAAAGGAATCCCTGAGGCTGGGTAATTTACAAAGAAAAGAGGTTTAACTGGCTCACAGTTCTGTAGGCTGTACAGGAAGTGTGATGCCAGCATCTCCTTGGCCTCTGGGGAGGCCTTGAGCTGCTTACAGTCCTGGCAGAAGGTGAAGGGACAGCCTGTGTATCACAGGTCAGAGCAGGAGCAAGAGAGAAGTGGGGGGAGGTGTCACACACTTTTAAACAACCAGATCTTGTGAGAACTCACTCACTACCATGAGGGCAGCATCTGCTAGGAAGGATCGCCCCCAGGACCAAAAAACCTCCCACTGGACCCTACCTCCAACACTAGGGATCACAATTCAACATGAGATTTAGAGGGGACAACATCCAAGCCACATCAGCTTGTGTCTTCCCTGTTAACTCTTCCTTCCTGCTAATGATACTGTAATCAACAGAGCCCTGAGCCACTGGCTAGAGGAGGTCTGGTTGTGATTTATTCCAGTTTGGCCTCATCTGTAATCAGAACCACCCTAAACAGGAAACAAAGGGATGTCTCCATCCCTGGGACCCCAGGAACCCCGGCAGGGCCTCCAGGAGGTTCTGCCAAGGGTACGACCCGTGTGGGCTGCAGCCCTGATGTTATTCCTTCCCTGAAAGTGCAGCCCTAAGGAGATTGTCACGGAAGGTGCACTTGTGATCAGCAGCCTGAAATTGAGGTTTCCTCACCCAGGGACAGAGCCATGTTCCCAAACACCTGGAAAAGATGAGTCCAGATCGCTTCTCCCAGCCAGCAAAGTCAGAAAACTGACTGCAGCTTTTCATTTCTCCACTGGTCTTTGTTGTGCAGACAGAACTTAACAAGGAGAAAGGGTTTGGGAGGATCTGCGTGTCTGCTCAGTTTTCTGTCTTTTATTTATTCCTTTGGTGGGTTCATGACATGGGAACTGCTAGAATATGCCCATTGTAGGAAAATTAGCAGATGCAGGCAGACCAACAGAAAATTGTTTTAAAACCTCTACTGTGACTCATCCGCAGAGCATCACAGTTGATAGACTGGTATAGAATGGGTGTTTCTTTTTTGAAAAATGAAATACATGCTTACATTCTGCTTGGTGACCTGCTTTTTGAACGTGATGATCTTCATCGGCGCTCTCAACATTGGAAAGCATGGTGTAGTAGCTATCTGTTTTGTGGGACTGTTTCGCTCTGTTTGTTCATTAGCCAGGCCAGCTCCATCCTCCCTTCCGACAGGACTGCTCTGATTTTCCTTTGAGAATCTTTGCTCACAGCGTGCAGCCTTGGTCCCCCTGTCTCTCTCTCTGTCTCTTTCTCTCTCTTCTCTCTGTCTGTCTCTCTCTCCCTTTCTTTCCCTCTCCTCTCTTCCTTTTGTTGAGACAGATAACTTTCTGACGCCTTCCCTTCACCCCCCACCCGACGTTTTTCTGTAATTACCAGGATTCCAGACTCTGGGACATAACAAAGCCCGAGGTAAACCACAAGCATTTGACACGGCCTCAGTCTCAGTTTGCAGAGGGCCTGTTTGACAGCTTCGAGAGCCACATGAAGAAGCTTCTCAGTTCTGAGCAGGGCTACCCTTCTGGGCTGCTCAGTGACAGATAATATTTTCTAAGACTTTAATTAAATCCAAACCCCTGATACAAAGGGGTGGCCCTCCATGGTCACTCAACAGCCCAGGGGCCATCTGGGGCATGGTGGGAGCCAGGGTCCCTGGGGAGTCTGAGAGCCGCTGAGGCTGAGGGCTGTCCTCAGCTGGATGTGGCGATTCCACAGCTGAGGAATCTTGAGCTTAGAAAATCCAAATCATTGATGATGGGCAAGCAAACATGATCAGCCTTTGCCCTGGAGGGAGACATCAACTTTGTAAACAACGGCAAACAAATCTGGCTGCTGCCCCAGAGGGAGACACTTTTCTGTCTACTAAGTTGTTTTCTTGTAAAGACAGTATAGAAGAAAAGCTGTCAGTGCCTCTGCTCACAAGATGTGCAGAAATGGGAGACACCATAGAGAATTTTCTCTCAATGTGAATGAAACAGGAAGAGGAGAAGTGTCAAGAAAGATGTTTCTTTGATGTTGTCAGAGTGTGAGGCTGAGATGCTAGGAAGCTCTAATCCAGCTATTCACTCATCATCCTGTAGCCTCTTCCCTTGTGTTCGGTATCTCCCGTGGCAAAACCTAGCCTCATGGCTCCTGTGGCACAGTGGCTGGCTGACGTAGCAGTCAGGATGTGCTTGGCAGCAAGACACAGAAGAACCATCTCCAATGGCTCCAATAATAAGGAATTTGTTACCTCACCAACATGAAGCCCGAAAAGGAGTCAGTGGCTCAAGGACGGGCAGATTTGGAGGTTCAGTGGTGCTACTAAGACCACAACTTTCAGCCCTGCCATACTCCCCAAATTGTCCTCATCCTCAGGCTTTGCTTGTGGTTGCAAGGTGGCTGCCAGAGCTCCACACATAATATCTTCATACCAACACAGAAGGAGGGAGAGCAGTGTCTTCTTCATGAGCCCGCTTAAGAGTGGTAAGAAAAAACTTCCCCAAAGCTCCCAGCTTCCAGATGTTCTGTCAACTCTTATTGGCTAACATTGTGTCACATCCTCTTTACCTAAGCCAATCACTAGCAAGAAATGGAATTACTATGACCACCTTGGACCAATCAAGTTTCACTGTTGAACTGAGCCACCCCCGAAGCCCATGGATTCCAGATAACTGAACCAAAATAGGATAAAGACAGGTAAGTGACAGGGCTTCAGATACAGCAAAAATATGTAAATAAAAATGTTGTGGACCAGGCCTGGTGACTCTTGCCTATAATCCCAACACTTTCGGAAGCCAAGGTGGGAGGATCCCTTAAGCCCAGGAGTTTGAGACCAGCCTGGGCAACATAAGGAGACCTCGTCTATACAAATCATTTTTTAAAATTAGCCGGGCGAGGCAGTGCACACCTTTGGTCCCAGCTACTCAGGAGGCTGAGGTGGGAGAATTGCTTGACTCGGGGCAGTCAAGGCTGCCGCAGATGTAATCACGCCACTGCACTCCAGCTTGAGCAACAGAGCAAAGCCCCATCCCCGCCTTCCCCCTAGAAAACTAAAACAAAAACCCAAAAATGTTGTAGACGCCCAGTTAAATCTGAATTCAGATAAATAACAAATACTTTTTGGCATACGTCCCATGCAGTTTTGGGGGCAGGGGTGAAGGCCTAATTGAGCCGATTTGCCTGCTGCTGCTAGGAGGAAGCCTAGTAGTGGGGTGAGGCGGTATACTTATACTAAAACTTATTCACTGTTAAGCTAGAATTTGAATTTAACTGGGCATATTGTATTCTTTCTGGCAGCCCTAATAGCCAGTCAACACTGTCTGCTAGAGTTGGATCATCCCAGCAGCTGTGTGGTGGGAAGTTTTTGTCTGATTAGAAGAAAGCAAATCTATTTGGCTGAAATGGAATTCTTGGTAATGATCTCTCCCTGATACCCACACTGCTCCTCATGCCCCGAGCAGATCTCAGCACAGATGCTGCTGCTGTTCATTACGTTTTGCTACTGTTCATCATGTTTCCAGTTGGAAAACAGAGTCAGTTTTCCCCTTAATACCCTTCCCCCAATTCAACCCATCAGTTTTAATTCTCTCAGTCCTATTTCCAAGATACATCCTGACTTTATTCCCTCTCTCCCTGTCCACTCTCATCACCCCAAGCCAGTGATCTTCAACCAGGGTCCATTTTGATGCCCAAGGAACATTTGACAATGTCTGCAGAGAGTTCTGGCTGTCACAGCTCAGGGGGAGGGGACCCACTGGTGTTTGGTGAGGAGAAGCCAGGGATGCAGCTCAACATCCTACATTGCACAGGACGGCCCCACAGTGAAGACTTACCTGGCTCAAATTTCAGTAGTGCCCAGTGGAGAAACCCTAGTCTAGGCCAAGCGTCTTCCACCTTGGCTGAACAGCTGCCACGTGCCCCCTTGGTCTGCCAGCTGCCACTGGCTCTTTATTGCCCTAAATGTCCCCTCACCTTATGATTCCCCAATTAAATGGTTTCAGTGACCCCTCTCTACTCTTCTTTGTAAACAAAACCCACATTCCCCCATGGCCTACCTGCTGCCAGCCTCCCACATGCACCTTCACCCGGCCGCTTTTGCTTTGTTCTTTAAATAATGGCTTCCTCTTCCTGCCAGTCCCAGCTCCCATGTCATCTCCTTCAAAAAGGCTTCTTGGGCCTCTGCTACCTGCTGCCACCTGCCACACTTTACCCATTTTATAGCCTCCATGTGACACAGACAAGAGACAGGGAAATACTGGGTGGAAGAGGGCAGCTCCCTGGCAGAGGCCCCGCCCCAAAGCCTGGAAACCTGCAACCCTAAATGGGAACAGGCACTCCTGTTTTCATGCCCAAATGTTGCCTTTTGGCCTGCCATGGCCCCCTATCCTGTACCCATATAAACCCCAAACCCAGGTTCCACGAGCAGATGAGCAGAAGAATGGAGTGGTGGAGGAGGAGAGAAGAGAAGGAGCGTCTGAACGTCTGCTGGGGACAGTCAGAGAGATCGGCCCAGGGACAGCCAAACTCCAGGGAAAGATCATCTTCCCACGCCATTCCCTTTCCAGGTCCCCATCTGTCCTGCTGAGAGCCACCTCCAGCACCAAATAAAATCCCTGCATTCACCATCCTTCAAGTCCATGTGTGACCTGATTCTTCCTGAATGCTGGACAAGGACCTGTGTACCAAGACTGAGCTGGTTAACACTTAAGCCCTCCATGGATGGCAAGGCTAAAAGAGCACACTGTAACACACGCCTACTTGGGCTTCGGGAGTCACAGGATCCCACCTCCTGGATGCTGTTGTGGGGCTGGAGCCCAGGGGTGCTCACCCTATCTCCTGCACCTGCCTGTCTGCGTGCTCTCCCTCCTGTAAGGGGTTTGAGCACACACATGAGCCGTACCCTTGTTGCACATCCTGCAAGGGGGTTCAGGGAACTCTCCTGTTTCACATAGATATCCTTGTCAGATTCCCAATCTTTTCAATGATCTTATTTATAGGCTTTCCTATTGGTGAACATTTTCCCTGTGGCCCCTCCAGAAGCAAAGCTTTCTGAGGCAGGCACACTCTGGATCCTGCCCTCAGCGATACTGCACATGGTGTGTCCTCGGAAACCGGCACCGATAAGTGTCCAAGACATATTTATTGACTAACTGAAAGACACACGTTTACATAAATCCACCAGTGAAAATCAGGGTTGGGTACAGAATTTGCAGGGCCCAGTACAGAATGAAAAGGCGGAGTTCCTTGTCCAAAAATTATGAAGAATTTCAAGAGAGCATTAAACCCAGGGCAGGATGCTTCTAAGTGTGGGGCCCTGGACACATGCCCGTGAAGCCATCCCTGACTACGATATTACAACCACGGCCAAAGAATAATTTCTTAACTAAAAGTTCTTACTTCACTCAGTGCCCCCCAAACTCAAGTCCCAGCAGGGGTTCATTGGTAGGAATCCAGCTAAGAAAAATGTGGACAATGGAAGTAGTTTTTTTCTCAAGGCTAAACTGATGTCTCAGGGCTCAGTCTTAACTATTCTGCAACTGCTTTCCTTTTCTATTTTTGCTGGGAAAGTGTCTTCTCTTTTGAGAAGTGATGGTGATGCTGGATGTAATTACAGAGTACAAGGTTTGAGACTCTCACCCCCAGTGTTTTGGGTGCTTGCTTTGTATGTTGCCCTACTCTGTGGACTCCGGCATCTGAGAAGCGTCCTTTGAAGAGTTTAGTGGGATGGCTCCTATGTCCGTTCCCTTTCAGCAAAGAATCTGAGAGCATCATGGCCAGCAGAGGGGGCCGCAGGAATGCCGAATCCCCCTGGCAGGTCCCACATGTGGAGCTGCTCTCCCATCTCTCAGCTACCAGGGACGTACTTTATTAGGAGGAGAATCAGAATTCTATGAAACTCACCTGATGACCCTCCCTTTGGCATTTTGTATTTGCACGGTCTTCTTGGGCTAAAGCCTTTTTGGCTGAAATCCATGGTTCTGAGCCCTGGCTGCGTGTCAGCCTCACCTGGTGCGTTTTAAAAACATAATGTCCTGAGCTCGCCTCCCAGCATTTCTGATTCAGTTAGTCGGGGATGGGGCCTGGGCATCGGAGTTTGTAATGTCACTTCCCATCCCTGCTCTTTAATTCCAATTCTAATGAGTTGAGAACGCCAGCCAAACAGAATCTCTATCCGAAACTGGTGGTCTCATGGGAAAGGGAGTGAGTGCTTCTTTTTGGGGCCTGGGACAACTGTCTTCATTGCCTTCTTAGAGAAGGACAGTTTCAGCAAAGCACCAACAGGGCATGCCACAGGTTTGGGCAGGAAGCCTTGGGTGGTGCCCTGCCTCATGCTTGGTGGCACCTGAGCAGCTGTCCCTGACCTCTGCCTGGTCAGGAGCTTGTCCCGGTTTTCCTGTCTTGCCTGCGTCATGAGCAGGCCCACCCCTGGAAATGTGGCAGCTAGGTGTCTGGGCCCAGTGGGCTCTGGGTTGCAGCTGCTCCTTGCAGCCAGTGCATTGAGAGAACAGGCTGAGGTGCTGCCTTCTCCCTGAGCCGCCTCCTCCAAACCCTCGTGTAGCTCTGTCCCCAGCTGAAATATGATGACATTTACAGACTGCCTGTGAACGTGTTTCCTAATAGTAACCTTTTCAACAAAAAGAATAATTCAAAGTTTATGCAAAAGGCAATAGAAACCCCAAATGACTCAAAAGGTATTTTGGGAGTGGTTCCTCCCGCTGATCAAATGAGTAATCCTTCTAAGAGAGTACAAGCAATTTAATAAGAAAACTGTCTCCACGGTGAAGTTGCTTGAACCTGGGAGGTGGAGATTGCAGTGAGCTGACTTTGTGTCACTACACTTCAGCCTGAGCGACAGAGTGAGACTCTGTCTCAAATAATAATAATAATAATAATAATAATAATAATAATAACTCGTTCTCTGTCAGCAACCGCAGAGGCAAATCTCAAGACTTCACAGCCCTGCTCACCCGCACCCCACCCACTTCCCCATTGCCTCTGTCCTGAGATGGTTCCTTTCTAATATTCTGAAAAAGAGTTTGTGTCTCCCAGCATTACATTTATACAGGCATACCTTCTTTATTGCAATTTGCTTTATTGCATTTTTTACAGATTGAAGGTTTTGTGGCAACTCTGCCTCCAGCAAGGTTCATGGTGCCATTTTTCCAACAGCAGGTGCTCACCTGGTGTCTCTGTGTTGCATTTTGGCAGTTCTCACAATAGAGCTAATCATTTCATTATTATTATATTTGTTATCGTGATCTGTGGTCAGTGATCTTTGATGTTACTATTGCAGTGTTTTGGGGCACCACGAACTGTGCCCGTATAAGACAGTGAACTTAATTGATAAATGTGTGTGCCCTAACTGCTCCACTGGCCATTCCCCCATCTCCTCCCTCTCCTCATGCCTCCCTATTCCCTGAGATGCAACAATGTTAAATTGGGCCAATTAAGAAACCTACATTGGCCTCCAAGTGTTCAAGTGAAAGGAAGAGTCGCATGTCTCTCACTTTATTATTTATTTATGTATTTTTTGAAACAGGGTCTCTCTCTGTGGTCCAGGCTGGAGTGCAGTGGTGCAATTATGGCTTACTGCAGCCTGGAACTCCTGGCCTCAAATGATCCTCCCACCTCAGCCTCCTGAGTAGCTGGGGCTACAGGCAAGCACCACCATGCCCGGCTAATTTTTTAAAAAAATCTTTTTTTTAGTAGAGATGAAATCTCACTAGGTTGCCCAGGCTGGTCTTGAACTCCCGGGCTCAAGCAATTCTCATACCTCAGCCTCCCAAAGTTTTCTCAATTTAAATCAAGAGCTAGAAATGATTAAGCTTAGTGAGAAAGGCATGTCAAAAGCTGAGACAGGTCAAACGCTAAGCCTCTTGTGGTAAACAGTTAGCCAAGTTGTAAATGTAAAGGAAAAGTTCTCGAAGGAAATGAACTTTTCCGTGAACACATGTATAAAAAGAAAGTGAAACAGCCTTATTGCTGATATGGAGAAAGTTTGAGTAGTCTGGGTAGAAGATCAACCATACATAACATTCTGTTAAGCCCAAGGATTGCTAATTCAGAGCAAGACTCTAGCTCTCTTCAATTCTGTGAAGGTTGACAGAGGTGAGGAAGCTGCAGAGGAAAAGTTGGAAGCTAGCAGAGGTTGGTTTATGAGGTTTAAGGAAAGAAGCCATTTCTGTAACATAAAAGTGTAAGGTAAAGGAGCAAGTGCTGATGGAGAGGCAGCAGCAAGTTCTCCAGAAGATCCAGCTAAGATCACTGGGGAAGGTGGCCACACTAAAAAACAGATTTTCAATGCAGATGGAACAGCATTCCATTGGAAGATGCCATCTAGAACTTTCATAGCTAGAAAGGAGAACTCAATTCCTGTGTTCCAAGCTTCAAAGGACAGGCTGACTCTCTTTTTAGGGGCTAATGCAGCTGTTGATTTTGCACTGAAGACAATGCTTATTTACCGTTCTGAAAATCATATGGCCCTTAAGAATTATGCTAAATCTATTCTGCCTGTGCTCTAGCAATGGAACAACAAAGCCTGGATGACCATACCTCTGTTTACAGCTTGGTTTACTGAATATTTCCAGGCCACTGTTGAAACCAATTGCAGGGAAAAAAGGTTTTTTTCACAATATTTGTTCATTCGCAGTGCACCCGGTCACCCAAGTGCTCTGATGGAGACGCACAAGGAGATAAATGATGTTTTCATGCCTGCTAACACAACATCCATTCTGCAGCCCATGGATCAAGGAGTAATTTTGATTTTCAAGTCGTCTTGTTTAAAAAACACATTTCATAAGGCTATACCTGCCATGTATGGTGATTCCTTGGATGGATCTTGGCAAAGTAAATTGAAAACCTTTTAGAAAGGAATCACCACTTTAGATGTCATTAAGAACATTTATGATTGATGGGAGGTCAAAATATCCACATTAACAAGAGTTTGGAAGAAGCTGATCACAGTCCTCATGGGTGACTCTGAGGGGTTCAAGATTTCAGCAGAGGAAGCAATTGCAGATATGATGGAAATAGCAAGAGAACTGGAATTAGGAGTGGAGCCTGAAGATGCGACCAAATTGCCGCAATCTCATGATGAAATTTGAACAGCTGAGGAGTTGCTTCTTATAGATAAGCAAAAAAAAAAAAAAGGGGGGGGGATTTTTTGAGGCTGGGTGAGATAGCTCATGCCTGTAATCCCAGCATTTTGGGAGGCTGAGGTGTGTGGATCGCCTGAGGTCAGGAGTTCAAGACCAGCCTGGACAAAGTGGTGAAACCCCATCTCTAATAAAAATACGAAAATTAGCGGGGTGTGGTGGTGCACGCCTGTAATCCCAGCTACTCGGAGGCTGAGGCAGGAGAATCACTTGAACTTGGGAGGTGAGGGTTGCAGTGAGTGGAGATTGCTCCAGTGTACACTGTACTCCAGCCTAGGTGACAGAGCGAGATTCTGTCTTTAAAAAAAAAAAAAAAAAGGTGGTTTCTTGATATAGAATCTACTCCTGGTGAAGATGCTGCAAACATTGTGGAAATGACAACAAAAGATTGAGGATAGTGGATCAACTCATTTGATAATGCAGCAGCAGGGTTAGAGAAGATTGACTCCAATTTTGAAAGAAGTTCTATGTGGATAAAATGCTATCCAACAGCACTGCATGCTACAGAGAAATATTTTGTGAAAGGAAGGGTCAATCAATGTGGCCAACTTTGTCGTTGTCTTGAGGAAATTGCCACAGTGGCCCCAACCTTCAGCAACTGCCACCCTGATCAGTCGGCAGCCACCAATATTGAGGCAAGACTCTTCACCAGCAAAAAGATTGTCTGGAAGCTCAGACCATTGTTAGCATTTTTTAGCAGTAAAGTAGTTTAAAATTGGCCCGGCAGGGTGGCTCGCGCCTATAATCCCATCACTTTGGGAGGCCAAGGCCGGTGGATCACTTGAGGTCAGGAGGTCAAGACTGGCCTGGCCAACTTGGTGAAACCCTGTCTCTACTAAAAATACAAAAAAACGGGTTGGGCGCAGTAGTGGGTGCCTGTTACTTGGGAGGCTGAGGCAGGAGAATCGCTTGAACCTGGGAAACAGAAGTTGCAGTGAGCTGAGATTGCGCCACTGCACTCCAGTCTGGGTGATAGAGTGAGACTCGGTCTCAATAATAATAACAATAATAATTTTAAAAACAAATTAATTAAATTAAGGTATGTACATTGTCTTTTTAGACATAATGCTATTACACACTTAGACTATAGCCTGGTGTGAATATAACTTTTTATGCGCTGGGAAACCAAAAATTGCTCATGACTCACTTTAGTGCCATATTCACTTTATAGCTGTGGTCTGGAGCCAAACTCACAGTATCTCCAAGGTGTGCCTATACTTTAAACAGCCAGGAGAGAATCCACAACTACAGACACACCAGAGTGCAGAGGACTTGAGTCATCCTTTCTTCCCACAAGACAAAAGAGCAGATGGACCGTCAGACCCGCTCATTGACCGTGCACCTGGTCACCCAAGAGCTGTTTGGAAAGAGGTGGCTGGGAGAGGTCAAACCCCATGTCTCTCTTTTTAAAAATCCTCACATCTTTGACTCCTACGCAGGGGATCCTACTCTAATCCAGAGATTTTTTCAAATGCCACAAGCAGAAACGTGTCGTGTAACACTGTTGACCCTAAGAAGGAAGAGAAACAGTGAATAAGGAATTAAGAAAAACCAGGACAAAGTAAATGTGTCTGTCCAAGCACTGTGACCTTGACATAGACCCCAGATTCAGATCAGGGCTCCAGCCCTTGCCTTTTGCTTTTTGGGTACATCAGTTTCCTCTCAGGAGTCTTTGTTCCCTTAAAAGAGTAAGAGCAGTAAGTGCCCCCAGAAGGTTGCTGTGAGGTTTAAATGAAATGAACTGCTTTGGGATATCAAATCCAGGCAAAAAAAAAAAAAAAAAAAATTAACTGCGGAGTCCCATGTCCAGGGTCTGGTATGCAGCCTGGCTCCATAAATACCAGTTACTACTGAGTAATAAACATGGAAACCACAATATATTTAAATCAATCAAATGAAGCCTGGTTTATCCTGAGTCTCCACGTAGTAAAAATTGGTTCCAATATAATTTAGCCCACATCAGAAGTCAGATTTGAAATAAGTATTACGGGGAAACTACAAATTACATTTTTAAAGATTGGTCTATAATTATAGGCTTAATTAATTACACAAGGGATTTGTTCTTGAAAAGGTGTGTAAAATGTGTCCCATTTTGCACCAGAGAGATGGCCCATTGGAAGGAACCCTGTCATTCCTACAGATCTGTGAACCTTGGAGTTTCCACACCTTAGGTTTTTATTAAAAGGAAGGCCACCTGCTGTTAGTTGGACATTCAAGATATACTGTTTAAAAACAAAAAACCAAAAACAAAGAAGTACGTGTTCTCTGGATGAAGAAAGTTAACCCAAACAGAAGAGGGTGGATTTAGAATTACAAGTTTATGCCTTCATGTTCCCTCTCCCAGGTATAAACATCAGTTCAGGTCTTGGTGTGAACTCTTCCAGACTTTCTTCTACACGTGTACAAATATCTGCAACCAGTAGATCTGTTTTTTTGACTTGCAATTATCCTCTATATTCCATGCTGCAACCTGCTTTCTTCACTGACCAATATATCCCACCTGTTCAGCACCCATTCTCGCGAATGCCTGCTGAGCATTCAGTAAGAAGAGTGTTACGTTTTAAGAAATTTCAGTTCTGCTTTATAGCTTTCCGGTCTCAAAAATTGGTGAACAAAGGTAAGCAAGACAGGACAGTCTAACATAAAGGTCTGCTGCCCCCGAGTTCCCCAATCCCCCTCTGCAGAGGGCCTGCTGTTTACGGGTGTGTGTGGCCCTGCACTCTGCGTACACGAGCACATGATTACCCATCTCCAGTTCTGTTTTGTTTCTAAACCCACTTGGGATTATGCTACATAGACTTCCTTGCACCTTGTGCCAAGAACAAGAGGAAAATTCAGCCCAAGTGGGAATGATCTTAAACAAAAGCAACTTTAAAAAATAAATACCTCTAAAGTGAGATTCTCCCATGAGGGTACTGACTGTTTATTTTCGGTTGGGTGTAAAACTCTTGCCCCGTGGCTGCTGGTGGTTTTCTGTAGGTTGGACCGATTCTAAGTCTTTCCTGAGAAGGGTGGTGTTCAGCCTTCCCTGAGAAGACACCAGCACTCTCTAACCCCTTTGCAGGCAGTTACAGGTTTTCCTTCCCCATCCCTGGAAATGAGGCTGTCTGTGGAAAGCAATGGTGGAGATTGAAGGGCGAACCCATCCCAGTTCTGAGACAGGAGAATCGCTTGAACCTGGGAGGCGGAGGTTGCAGTGAGCCGATTTCGCACCACTGCACTCCAGCCTGGGTGACAGAGCGAGACTCTGTCTCAAAAAAAAAAAAAAAAAAATTGTCTCACAGCCTGGGAACCCCCTCAGTCCCAGGCAAACGAGGACGGTTGGTCACGATGGGTAGAGAACCGCCCGCAATTGGTTCTTGGGAGTTCTGCCAATGCCCAGAAGGTTAGGTCAGCTACTGGAATGCTCTCCCTGGAAGGCGGGCGTCGGGGCAGACAGTGGACCTCTGTTGGGGGCGCATTCCCTAGCCTTGTTTGTTGAGCTGCCTTGATGCTGGCGGGAAGCTGTGTCCACACAGCAGGCAGCAGGGTTATCCCGAACACTCTTTGTGCTCACAACAGACTGGGTTGTGTTTGCGACTGGCATTCAGCTGGTGACGAAATGGCAAGCCGAGATACTGGTGTGGCGCCTGACGTTTTGGCCTCAGCTGTGAGAGCCAGAGAGCCGGAACCCTGAACCCCCTTCTCTAGAACTTTCTCCTCCAGGTCAGGCCGGCTGACCTCCGATTCTGTGTGGGTTGTGGGCCCTGAGATCCCAGACCCCTGGGTTGAGACCTGGCTCATCCCCAAAGGAATACACCCCGAATGTGGGAGAAGGCGCTGGCTGTGGGAGCGCAGGCCGGGACTTGATCAGGTTTCGCCCTCACCCGAGGCACTCATGAAATGATTTGGTGCAACCCTCCACCTTCACCCCCTCTTCACGTGGCCTGGCCCCAGCACCTCTAGGGAGGTTGGGAGATGTGGGTGGTGATA
The DNA here is from genome assembly GCF_000001405.40 of Homo sapiens. Taxonomy (NCBI): domain Eukaryota; kingdom Metazoa; phylum Chordata; class Mammalia; order Primates; family Hominidae; genus Homo; species Homo sapiens. Next base: position 57,054,145 of record NC_000020.11, on the reverse strand, counting down.
GCAGACAAGGAGGGCTGAGTGGGGGGCCCAGGGACCCCTCGCTTGGCCGCCCCCGCAGCCACCCAGTCTCAAACATCTTTCAACCTCAGTGGGTTTCACTGTGTTTGGTGAATCATCTCTCTTCCCGCTTGACAAGTGATACACACATTTCATCAGATAATCCCATGAGGTGCAGTTATTTTATTTTCCTGTTTATAATCAGAGGATTATAAACAGGAAACAGCCCCACCCCTCACTCTGGGTCAAATCCTGCTGATTTTATTTGTCACCCACATTGTTTAAAAATTTTTTTTAGTAGCTGCGAAAGCAGCGTTTAAAAACGAAGAGATCACACTCTACAATCTAGATTGCCTGATGCTCTTTAAAACAAACAAACAAACAAAAAAAAAAACAACAAGAAATTGGGATCAGTAGGTCTGGTTCCAACAATCAGCCAGAGTGATGAGCAGAGGCTCCTGGAGACAGGCACAGGCATGGACCCTCCAGGTTGCCGCAATCCCCACCACTCCCTGCTGTCACACCTGGCTCCGTAGGGATTGGTGGCTGAGACCCTGCCCTTTACCACCATTGAGCAGAATGAATTTCCTGTCTGCTCCTAGGTGTTTGCAGGCAAAGTAGCTACACTTTGTACCGTGTGTGACTGTGGGTTACCTATCCAATATCTCCCCTCCCTCCCTCCTTCGTTTCCTCCTTTCTTTCTTTCAGTTAAATGACTTTATCTCTGGAATCCCTGCAGGTAGAGCTGGCTCATGAGATGTAAGGCAGGGTCATTGCATGGGGCTGCTCTGTAGGCTTCTTAAAGTCAAGTTGGCTCAGCTGAGAAGTGCGCCCTTTCTCTCATTGCCAATTCCCTTGCTTCTTTCTCCTGCCTGGAATAAGTTATGATGGCTGGAGCTCCAGCAGCCATTCTGGACGACGAGGAGACCTACGACTCTAAGAAATCTCATGCTAAGAATGAAAAGCAGAAAAACAGAAGGAGCCTGGGTTCTCAGTGACTATGTGCCCTTGCCAGCCCAGGTTTGCTCTTCTCTAGACATCTTTTAGATGAAAAGGAAATAGGTACCCCTTGTTTAAGTCACTTATTTAAGTTCTCTTTTATATGCAATCAAATGGAATTCTAACAACATACTTTTTACCTTCATTTCCTTTCTTTAAGAAAGTAATTTGCAATACTACTTTAGGTGTTTATCAGGGCTGTAACTTTGCTGTGTGGACTTGGGCATCCAAAAATTCGTATAGAAATCAGTGCCCAGAATCAAGCTGATCCTGGGATTTTATATATATATATATCTGAACACAATACATATATATATATCTGAACACTATATATATATATATATCTGAACACTATATATATATATCTCTGAACACGATATATATATATCTGAACACTATATATATATATGAACACTATATATATATATATCTGAACACGATATATATATATATCTGAACATGATTATTTCATCAGACAATCCACTAAGAGGTTAAAAGAAGAAAGCCTGCAGTGGAAGTGTACTCTTTCTTAAGAGTGCTAGATTGTTTTCTTAAGGTTCTACATTTACCATGGGAGTTTTGGGGTTCTGGTGCTCTTTTTCCCTTGAATTTTTTCTTAGGGCTGTGTAGTCTTTCTCACAGGAGCCCAGAACTTAGGTTTTATCCTCAGGCTTAAGCAACCCAAATATTAAGATTGAATTTTTCATTTGAAAATTGAAAATTTCATTTCTAATTTTTCTTGGAATATTTAGACACAGAAAAGAAACTTTTCCCTAGTCCCTACACCAGTGCGCAACAATAGAAGTTTCTGTGATGATGGAAGTGAAGAGGCCTCCATACCTGCTCTATGCAAATGGCAGCCAGTGGCCACATGTGGTCTCTGAGTTCTTGAAAGTGGGTAGTGTGACGGAGGAGCTAAATTTTAAATTTCATTTAATTTTTATTAGTTTAAATAGCCCTACGTGGCTCATGGCAGCCATATTGGATAGATCAGCACTAGCTTCTTCTCTGTAGATTATCGGAATTTCTTTTTAAGCTTCTAGGGGAGAATTCACTGCCCTTCATCTTGACCTCTCCATTTCTAAACCTAAATATTGCCTCAATCCCTCAAGCTGCCTCAAGTCCAGGTTTGAGTTTCAGTCCCCTGCCTTCCAGTTGACACTGGGGGCACCTTCTTCGTCCTATTGAGTCTTGGGAGTTCCCTCTGTACACAGCCTCTCAGGGCTGTCCTCCAAATTGCATTAAATGGCATGCCATATGCAAATGACACTCAACAAATAATAGTTGTTCGGTGAAGAGTAGCTCCTTCCCTGGCCTGATTTAGCCTTATTTGCCCTCATAGCTCATCTCTTCTTCCACAGTTTCAGCTCCTGGAGAGCAGATTCCTGATTCTGCAATCATGTGTCACATAAAGATGTTTCAGTCAATGACAGATTACATATATGATGGGCTGCATATACTGTATAAGATGGAGTCCCATAAGATTATAATGGAGCTGAAAATTTCCTATTGCCTAGTGACAGTGTAGCTGCCATGATGTCATAGTGCAATGCATTCCATTTTCTATGTTTAGTTATGTTTCAGTACACAAGTACTCACCATTGTGTTACAGTTGTCTACAGTGTTCAGTATAGTAACATTCTGTACAGGTTTGTGTCCTGGGAGCAGTAGGCCGTACCAGGTAGCCTAGGTGTGTGGTAAGCTATACCTTCTATATACCATTTAAGTTCATGTGAGTACATGCTACAGAGTTCACAGAGCGACAAAATCACCTAAGGATTCTGTTTTCAGAATGCATCTGCATCGTTAGGCAATGCATGATTGTACTTTGAACCTGGCCCGGTGCTCAGAGCTGTGCAGGAATTGGAAAGGCAAGTGACTCAAATAGTTTCCAACACAATCAGTCACCATGTCCTGGTATGATCTCCATAGCAGTGAGCCCAGCAGTTAGATGTGGGACTGGGGAGTCAGTCAGGATTACCTTTCAACTGGTTCTCAAATTCAGGAACAGTGCCTCTAACCAGGTGGCCCCAGCACAGTCCCTGTGTTGCTACTGGGGAACTGTGCAAAGTGTGTCATGGTTTTGTCCTGGTTGGACCCCATAAACACTCGAAGGCAACCAGACTGACTTTGAAAGCAGAAGGTCCTAGTTTTTTGGGGTCCAGCCCAAAACATTAGCCTTGGGGCCATGTTTTCTTTTTTCATTTTATTTATTTTAAGAGATAAAATCTTGCTCTGTCATGCAGGCTGGAGTACCAGTGATCACTGCTCACAGCAGCCTCTAACTCCTAGGCTCAAGCTATCCTCCCACCTCAGCCTCTTGAGTAACTGGGACTGCAGGTGTGTACCACCATGCCTGGATAAGGGGCCATGTTTTGTTCCAACACAGGCATTCTGATCTTGTCCTTTTAATGGAAAGGCCATCAGAAGTTTGGGATATGGATTCCGTAGGAATGAAGTTTAAAACACAAAATGACTCCAGCTAACATGTGTTCAAGGGCTTACTAAGTGCCAGGCTTTGTACTAAGTGCTTAATATGAAGTATGTTCGGACACCATCAAAACAATGTTATGAAAGGCAGTCTTCCTCCCTTATCTGTGGGGGATGCTTTCCAAGACCCCCCAGTGGATGCCTAAAGTCACAGATAGTACCAAACCCTATGTACGTTTTTTCCTGTACAGTAAAGGGCAGATAGTGTGGCCAATGTGGACACCCTGGACCAAGGGAGTACTCACATCCCGGTGGGACAGAGCAGGATGGCTCAGGATTTCATCACACTACTCGGAACAGTATACGATTTAAAACGTACAAATTGTTTCTTTCTGGAATTTTCTAGTTTCAGAATATTTTTGGACCGCAGTTGACTGCAGGTAGCAGAAACCTAGGAAAACGAAACTGCCAATGGGGGACCACTGTATTCCTATTATCATGCCTGTTTTGCACAGGGAGAAACCGAGGCTCCCAGAGGTTAAAAAGCTGCCCAAGATCACACAGGTAAGCAAGTGGCTGAGTCAGGGCTCCGACCCGGGCCATGAAGCCCCATCTCAGCTGCTGTGGATATTGCCTGCTGCAAGCTCACTGTGTCAGCACCCACCAAAGATATACGCCGTGGAAGGGCCCAGTGAGAAAGCAGTGACCATGTTTTGGATTTCTCTCCAGGTAAATATTTTTTCAAACAGGCCTTCCATGTGGAAAGGAATCACCAGATCAAATACAGAATAGCCAGTTAAATTGGGTGTTTAGATAAACAATGAATAACTTTTTTTACTGTAAGTATGCCCTGACTTGCTTGTGCTGAGAAGAAGAGTTACTCATTGTTTATCTGCAGTTCAAATTGACCTGGACATCTTATATTTTATCTGCTCTGTCTCTGGCCACGCTGCTGGGCAGGCTTGACCACACACATCTGCGGAACTCTGGGTCTCCGCCGTACGAGTGGCATAGACGCCATCCTCAATGCAGATCCCCATCAAACCTGGAAAAAATAAAATAAGGCCTCCCAGGTAACTGTGAGACCTATAGGTGCTTGTTAGTTTCCTAAGCTGCTCAAGCTGCCGTGCTCTGACAGCTGTACTTGTGCTTTGCGGCGTAATTTACAGGCCCGCTGGAGGGGATGGCAGGGTGGGACCCTGCTCCTCTTATTTGCTGCCAAGATTTGGGGCTACCAGTTGCTCTTGTCAATCTTTGGCTTAATTATTTAGCAGTTGTAAAGGACTCATTAAAAACGCCCAAGTTTATTGGAAACACCTCCCGCCGCTCGGAGGCAGGCCAAATCGGGAGCCCGTGTACCCACATGTTCAGGTTGAGCCCAACAAAATTGCTGACTTTAATTACACTACTTGGTCTAGAAGGTGGTGAGAGTGGGGGGTGGGGGGAGGCATGGATGATGAGTGGGAAGCGAAGCGGAGGAGCGGCCCTGGAATCTCAGGGACAGGTCTTCAGAGGGTGCGATGCTGTGTGCTGACCCCATCCCAAACCCCCACCCCACTGGTTTCAGGCTCAGGCCAGCCCCTGTCGCGCCCCAGAGGTGGGCCTGCCCCTCTCCAGACCTCCAGGCTCTTCCTGCCTCCCTCATGCCTCTGGTGGGCCTGGTGAGTGTGGCTGTTCTCTTTTGTCTGAGTACTCATTGCCTGGATTTTATTACTTGAATAAATATCAAAACAAAGAAGAAAATCCTTCAACCAGCTCTGTCTTCATTTTCCACACATCCTTCCAGCCACGGGTTCCAGCCACAGGTTCATCCCCCAAGCTCCTCCAGAGGGGGTGTGTGGGAGCCCATGGAGGTGCTGGCCATGATCTCCCTGATGGCCCAGGTGACACACAGTGATGGAGCCCCTCTCCAGGCAAGGAGGCACCTTGGAGAGCAGGCTACCTTTTCAGAGTTCCCACCCCAGCTGTGCCTGTCTGGGCCCCTATTGTTGAATGAATGGAGATGTTACTCCCAATTTTGTCTTTCAATCATAATACTAGCCTCCTTTGTGAACCTTTTTTTTTTTTTTCAGTATGTGCCTATTTCTTTAGGCTGGCGCCCCAGGTTGGAATTACTGGGTGAAGATGAAATCACAGGTGGGGACTCTGATCCTTTATCACCTCTCCTGGGCCACCACCCTCTCACCTGGGCGTTCCATCGGCCTCCTCCCTGGGCTCCCTGCTGCCCTCCTGGCCTCTGGGCTGCCCATTCTCAACTTGGCAGCCAGGGGGTGCTGCTGCAACCAAAGTGTGATCTTAATGCTCCAGCCCCTGCAATGGATTCCTCCCCTCTCAGGGTGACAGCAAGGTCATCGCAGTGACTTATAAGCGGAGCAGAGCCAAGCCCTAGAGCAGAATTTCTCAACTACTGCACTTTTGACATTGGGCTGGGCCGTTCTCTGAGCAGGGGCTGCCCTGGGCATTGCAGGGTGTTTAGCAGTATCCCTGGCCCCCACCCACTCGATGGCAAGTAGTACTCCCCAAATTATGACAATGGAAAAATGTCTCCAGATGTCGCCAGATGTCCCCTGAGAACCGCAGGTGACGAGAGCCTCTGACTTCCCCTCCTCCCCTCCCTCCGGCACTTCGCTGTGGCCACGCTGGCGGTCTTGCTGTTTCTTAAGCCCTCAGCAGCTTTGCACTGGCTGTTCCTTCTCCCGGATGAGCCCTTCCCCAGATACCTGCCTGGCTCAGGCGTTGCCTTTTTAATGTCGTGACTCAAATGTCCCCTTCTCATTGAGGCCTGCCTGGACTCCCTCTTTAGAATAGCACCGGGCCCCCGTGACTTTATCAGGCTTTGTTTCCAACAAACTTGTCACCAGACACACTGTATTTTTATTTACTTATTAAGTAACTGGAACGCTGTCTCTGTCTCTCTGCCGGGATGTAATATCCAGAAGGGCAGGGATTTTTGTCTGTTTTCCTTGCTGCTGTGGCACCGGTGCCTGTCCCAGCACAGTACCTGGCCCCTAGCCAGGGCTCACTGAACGTCGCTTGAGGAAGAAACAAGGGATGACCTTTGATGCCAGAGTCAGAAACACGGTTTTTGGTGCCGCATGTCCGCCCCTCTCTGTGGACAGGGGGAGGCGGTGGGGAAGGCCCAGGTCTCCCAGAGCAACTGGTTTTGCTCCCTGAGGGGCTTGCTGGCCTCCTGGGGTGGAGGTGTCACCAGGGGCAGGATTCCTGCTGAGCAAGTGAAACACCCGCTGCAGGCAGCAGAGGGTGCAGCTGAGAGTTGGTCACGATTGCACTTCCGACTTTGGAGACCCAGAACCACTCCAGCGGAGGCCCTGGGGGAGCCCCTTCCCTTTTGGAGGAAGGAAAGGGAGACCTCTGTTTGCTGGCTGAGTCGGGGTGTGAAGCAGGTTGGGCAGGATGAGGAGGCCGAATTGGGAAGGAGGGGGAGGTGGGGGCTGGATTTAAATGGGGCCAGGCCTGAATTTCATCTCAGCAACTGCTCCGTAGGCCCCAGCTTTAAGAGGGGGTTCGCCCTCCACCCGCACATCCAAGACTCGTTGGAGCACTGGGGTGTGGTCTCCGGACAGTTCACAGGGATCTGCATTCCTGAGGCTGGGGGTGGTCAACGGATGGTCAAGATGAGCATGTCCCAATCAATGGAGGGCCTCCTTCCCCCTCCATGCAGGGTCTCTGTGCAGGGCGCTCGCCCAGGGCTTTGTCTGGGTCCTCTCCAGTTACCCACTCCAGAGGGGTCTCTGTGATGCGTCCTCGGCCACCCACCAGCATCACTAGTCCACAGGAGAGCATGTGAGGAGGGGAACCCCCGCCTGCACCCTGTGCCTGATGGCTCATTTGCTTCCATCCCTTCCTAGCAGCACTAGGAGGAGTCACTCTCAGGAGACCCACTTTATAGCTGAAGATACTGAGGACCAGAGAGGTGAAGTCTCCTGCCTAAGGTCACACAGCCCCTCAGTGGAGAAACAGAGATTCCAACTACAGTTCACTTCCCAGAAGTTTCCAGGACTTGAGCTTGAGGGTGAGGCAGGAGAAATCCTACTGAGAGCTTCTTTCCTCCTCCACTCACCAGCCCTGTTCTAGGGGCTTTGGACCTTGCTACTCAAAGTGTGGCCAAAGCCCATAGCATCAGCCTCTCCTGGGAGCATGTTTGAAATGCAGGTTCTTGGCCGGGCACAGTGGCTTACAGCTGTAATCCCAGCATTTTGGGAGGTGGAGGTGGGCGGATCTCTTGAGTCAAGGAGTTGGAGACCAGCCTGGGCAACACAGCAAAACCCTGTCTCTAAAAAAAAAAAAAATACAAAAAAATACAAAAATTAGCCAGGTGTAGTGATGAGCACCTGTAGTCCCAGCTACTCAGGAGGCTGAGGTGGAAGAATCGTTTAAGCCCCGGGGGCAGAGGTTGCAGTGAGCCGAGATTGTGCCACTGTCCTCCAGCCTGGACTGACAGAATGAGGCCCTGTCTCAAAAAAAAAAAAAAAAAAAAGAAGAAGAAAAGAAAAAAAAGAAAGAAAGACAGAAAGAAAGAAAGAAAGAAAGAAAAGAAAAGAAAAGAGAAAAGACAAAGAATTGCAGGTTCTCAAACCAGCAACTCGTTTTAACAAGATTGTCCCTCATTCTCAAACTTTACCTTTGAATCATCCCCCATGGGTCTGGAGTGGGGCCCAAGAATCTGCATTTCTCTCCAGGTGATGCAATAGCGAAGTTTTGTTCGCAGGGTCTTACTGTTCCCTGGCAGAGGGGGACCTCCAACAGATCGAGATAGCTGAGAAGAAGGCTGGTAAGACACAAGAAGCAATTCTGGACCTGGGCTTCTTGAACTTGAACATGCACCCGAATCACCTGGAGGACTTGTTAAAACGCAGAGTGCAGAGGGATGGGGGGAAAGAATGTGCATTTCTTTTTTTTCTTTCTTTTTTTTAATTATTATTATACTTTAAGTTTTAGGGTACATGTGCACAATGTGCAGGTTAGTTACATATGTATACATGTGCCATGCTGGTGCGCTGCACCCACTAGCTCGTCATCTAGCATTAGGTATATCTCCCAATGCTATCCCTCCCCCCTCCCCCCACCCCACAACAGTCCCCAGAGTGTGATGTTCCCCTTCCTGTGTCCATGTGTTCTCATTGTTCAATTCCCACCTATGAGTGAGAATATGCGGTGTTTGGTTTTTTGTTCAAGAATATGCATTTCTAACAAGTTCCCCGATGCTGCTGATGCTGCAGGCCCGGGGACCCCACTTCAAGAACCACTGCTCTAGCCCTACAGGTGAGCTACCAGTGCATAACATGGTGCTCAGGGATTAGGGTGGTCAGAGACCCAAGTCTGCAGGGCTCCAGTTCCAGCCATCCCCTGCCTGGAGCCTCCTCTAGGGACCCTCGGAGGATGGCCCAAGCTGGGTGAGGTGAATGGCTGCCCCATACTCCCCACACAACCGGCACAAACTCTGCTCTGCCTGATGCTCCAGGTTCAACCAGGAGATCCTCCAGCATCTCAGCATCTTCGTCCACATCCCACAGCAAGCACACCTCTGCTCTCATGGACAAGGGCCCCTGGGGGCGCTGAGGGAGCTCGTGTCTCAGGTGCTGAAGGTGAATGATGTGCCACCCCAGGTGTAGCTGGAGGGAGGTGGAGGCAGGAGGCTGGGTGGAGGCTGCAGGTGGGCAGGGTCCAGATGGCCCAGAGCCCAGCTGGTGTTGATTTGCAGCTGATGTGTCCTTTTAGCATCATCCAAGCTGGCTTCAGAGTCACCGCACTCACAGTTCATGTCTGTTCTCCAAATTAGAGCATCACTGTTATTTCGAAGTACGTGGTATGGAAAAGTTCAGTTTGGAATTCTTGCATACAATCGTAAGAAATTACAATATTTTATGTTGTTAAAAGAATCTTTGGATTCTTTCAATATAATTTTCACCTGTTCTTTTATGTTCCTTTTTTGAATATTGTTTTAAAAATGATTTTAAAAAATATATTCCTTATTTATTCAAAATTTCTCATAAAGAGTGGCAATTAGTAATTTCCAGATATCCCTAACAAAATTCTTGCTGAGAAATTGTGTGCTATCATGTCAAGCATAAAATCTGGCATAAGCTAGGAACCTATATGGAAGCAAGTTCAAGTTCTTTTTTTAAGGTAAGAAGATTTTATTTGGAAGCTTTAAACAAAACTCAGTATTAAATATACCCCGTAATCCTTTGTATTTTGTCTTTATTATCATTACACAGTACTTTAAATGCCATGAAGCTTTTCACCAAGCCTCATAACGGACTCCCCAGAGCCTGGCTGCCTAAGCCCAGGACACTGTCTAGATGCTACCATTTTCTATACATGCGGTGTTGCCAAGAGGCAAGAGCTGCTCCAGAGAAGAGGGGCTAGACTCGGGTCCAGCACAGGGCTTGGCATGTAGAAAGTACTCAAAAGATGGAAACGTGGGTTTGAATGAATACATTCAGGCTTTCTTTTGGCATAGAAGAAAAATCAGTGCATCTTTGCTTGGTCTTTCACAGGGCCCCAAATATCCATATCCAGAAGGGCAGGGATTTTTGTCTGTTTTCCTCGCTGCTGTGGCACCAGTGCCTGTCCCAGCACAGTACCTGGCCCCTAGCCAGGGCTCGCTGAACGTCGCTGGAGGAAGAAACGAGGGATGACCTTTGAGACCAGAGTCAGAAACACGGTCTTTGGTCCCGCATGTCCGCCCCTCTCTGTGGACAGGGGAAGGCAGTGGGGAAGTTAAAGCAGCAGCACGCATCCCTAGAAGCAGAAAATAGGAATCAAAGGCTCAGACGCCCTGCTCAGAGTGCCGGTCCAGGGTGAGTGATCCTTGTGTGTTCAGCACGCATTTTGGTATGCTAAGTTGTGCCAGACCTCTTCTAGGCACACCTCCGGTGCACAGCAAACCAGACAAAGTCCCTGTCCCGTGGAGCTCACATTCTGGTGACAAAAATAGTAATGACTGCACGGTAGGCCTCTTACACGTACTTTATTTGCATTAATGTACTTAATCCTAGTACCAACCCTTGAAGGAAGGTCATAATATTATCCTAATTTATAAAGGAGAAAAGTGGTGCTCAGAGAGGTTAAGTGACTTACACAGGGTCACACAGTAGAACCTGGGGTTCGAAGCATGTGCTAATCTTACTGTCAGAGAAGGTAACATAGGTGAAGATGGGCTTGGGAATAGTGCCTGGTGCTTAAGGCATCTTTTGAAAAGCCCAGGTGCTCTGAGCTAAGAGTTTTAAGCAGGGAGGGCAGGGTTGTGTCCGGAGAACCTGGAGCCTAGAGTTTCATGCTGGGGCATGACCACACCATGTGTCTAAACCTCTGCTGCTGGCTGTCTCATCCTTGTGATTCCCTTTCATCCTAGGAAACCTGGCAATATTCACTCGAGATAAAAATCAGCCTTTCAACCCATTCCAAATTGCAACTGGGTGAATCCTGGGACAGCTGCCACTGGCTCTTCAGGTTTAGGACTGAGCTTATGGCTCCAGTCAGCAGGAGTGGAGTCCAGGCAGAGCAAGCCCTGTGAGGAAACTCCAGGCAGACATTTTTGCAATGCGAGCAAGTTGTGTATTTCTGGGAATGGAGTCCAGCGTCCCCAGAACCTCTTTTGGCGAGCTAGTGCTGTCTTGCTTTTGTGTTCGGCATTGATGGAGAGCATTGTGGTTTCATTGCACCAAAGTTTGTGTTGGCAGCTGCAACATAGGCACAGATGTTTCAGAAAGAGCCGAGATTTCATTTTACTTTCCCCAGGTAGATGTTCAGACCATTCCAACGTTCGACAAATTATTGAATTCAGCAACCTGTTCTCCATATCCCCACCCTGGGAATTCCAGTTAGCTCTAAGAGCATCAACATAAAATTAGCAGAAGATTCATACTGAATTAATTTTAACTTTAAAATAGTTGCATTCTCTGAAGACGAAGACATCTGAGAAATCTGTGCTTAGGCCACGTTCAGAAATGTGGGCACAGATTAGTGGCCAAATGCCTTCGGGGAGTTGTATGCAAAGGAGAAAAGCTAGAAACGACCTAACGGCCCAACGATGAGGGGTGGTCAAAGGGTGGCACAGCCACAGGAAAGAGTGGCTATTGTACAGCCACAGAAGTAATTGTTTTCCAAGAGAGCAAAGGAACATGGGAAATTCTCATAGCTTAAAATTAAATGATTAAAACCTGTATTTTATACTAGTCATGAGTTTATATAATTAGAACTCAAATTTGTAGTGTGTGTGTGTAAATAACAGTCATTATCTCTGTGTAGTGCAGTTTTAATCTACCTGTTTTATATCTTTATTTTCCAAATTTTTTACTTTAATAACCTTTTGCTTCAGATAAAAATCAGGAACAAAACCATTATTTTAAAAGAGTGAGTATCTCTTGGAGTGCTAGGAATCTGTTTTTCCCCTTTCTCTTCTTTCCCCACTGCTTAATTTCCAACATAAGCACACTACTCTTTTAGGGAATAAACGTATTATTAATTTTACTTTTGGGGAAATAATAGAATGTATATTCCATTATGTATGGTGTGAGGGAAGAAGTGCATTTGATTCAGTGAAATGGTGTAACATTAAAGCAAGACACCTTTAGAAGAAAAGAAATTCACAACTTAAAATGGCAGTTAAAAAAATAGGGGATTGTTTTTGAAACCATTGGCACTTTCATAATCCCAGGCTCCTGAAAGATATCAAAACACAAAGCACATAAAGCAAAATGCCAACTAGAGAAAAGATTCATCTACTTCCATTTTCAAAAGCGCAGAAACAAGACTTCATTTGTTTCTTGCTAAAGATGTTCCCCTTTTCTCATCCCTCCCTCCTATTGTTTGAAGCCACAATAAGCTGCAGTAATTTTCCGGTGTCCTAGCATTTTACCAGCATTAGCCTGTTTTCCCCATCTGGAGTGCTTCACCCCATGTTCTCCATCTTGGGCGTCATCGGGGTGGTTGGCTGGGGCCTGCCCCGGGTGAGGAGCCCCCTCAACCAGACCTCACATGTTCTCCTACTCCAAAGATGCACTTGCTGGCGTTTCCTTACTCAGACCTCACAGCAACACTGTGACGAAGGGGCTCTGATGATTATGATTCCCATTTTACAGAATGGGAAACTGAGGCTTGGAGGGATAAAGGAACTCATGTAATCTTCTCCAGCCAAGAAGTGATGGAGCCAATATCACGTGCACGTCTGTCTTCTTCCAAACCTTTTACAGAATTCCATAAACCAGAAGGAAGCTCTGGGTTGAACAGAAAACCCCCAGATAGGTGTTTGCCTGGAAAACAGGCAAAAATTCTATGACTCGAAGCAAGGGGTGCACGGTGTATTTATCTGTAAACCAAAGATCACAGCAGTCAAGTAAAAGATTGCCGTGCCCACTGCCCAGAGTGGGTCCCCAAGGGGCCAGAAGCGGGGCACAGCTTGGCGCTGTGGTGGAAGCTGCTGCAGCTACTCTAAACAAGGACAGCTTCCACAACCTCACAGATGTCCCCAGCACGTGAAAAGGGCCCAACAGGCAAAGAGGGTGGAACAGGCCTCCTCTCCCAGCTTGGGTCAGCCCAGCAAAAAGCTATAAATCACGAGATTGCAACACGGGAGCTGTCTGAAATGCAGCCCAGTAATAAACAACCACGCAGTCATTTTTGTTATTATTTTTTTCTTTCTGAAACTAACCAGTTCAGTGTGAGTCACTCTGTAGATGCTGAGACCATTCCCGTGGAAGTCATGGTGCACTGAGCAATTGTATCGATGGGCTCATCTCAAAGATGACCCCCAGGTTCCAGAAGATTTCAAGGAAACTAGTCGTTGTCCAACCAGCCATGCCTTTGCCAGAGCTCACTGGGGGACTCCAAATTCAGTGACTATGGTAGGACTGCCAGATAAAGTATAACATGTACTCTGAGACATAGTCACACTAAAAATGTATTTGTTGTTTATTTAAACTCAAATTTAACTGGCCTCTTGTTTTTTTATCTGGCAACCCTACCTATAAACAGTGCTTGTTCTTTGAGCAAAGGCGATACATATCCAATGAAACTCTTCAAGACAGAAGGGAAACTTTTCCAAAAGTTAATCTGATCCTCTCATTGCTTTGCTTAAAACACTTTAACCATTTCCTATTGCCCGCAGCAGTGCTTTGCAAACTCAGAAGTGCATCAAATGGATGCACTGGAGGGCTCGTTAAAACAGATTTCTGGGCTCCACCCCCAAGAGTTTCTGATTCTGAAGGTCTGGGGTGGGACCTGAGAATCTGCATTTCCAGCAAGTTCCTAGAGGATGATGGTGATGCTGGGCCTGGCTCTATATTTTGAGAACTGTGTTTTTAAGATGCAGCCCAATCCCTCCACCATCAACCACAGTTGAGCCCCATGTGTCCCTTCATGGTCCAGCTCCTGCCAATCACTCTAGCCAGTCTCACACTGGTCTCCCTCACTCACCAGAAATGCTTCCCAAGTCCCCACAAGGCCTCTGCACATGCAGTCCCTGCCTCCCACTGTGACCCACTCGATCCTTATTACCTTAAGAGGGAGTTACTCTCATTTTACACATTTTACAAATGTAGAAACAGATTTGGCAGACTTATGTCCTGGCCAAGGCCAGATCAATAATAAGAGACAAAGTCAGGGATTTAAAATCTCATCTGCATGTCTCCAAGCCCACCTCTTTTCTGCCTTATTGTGCTACATCTCCAAACTGGAAGTATTAACTTCCATTTCAAGGCTCTCTTGAATGCTGGATTTTGTGAGCTTGCCACTTGATAGATATTTATTTGCCCTCAAACTAAGCCCTTGAGGTTTAATACTTTGGGATTTGGAAAACAAGTTCAGCTTCTCCCCTTGACAACACCCTTCAAGATCTAATAGACAGCTCACATCCTGTCGTCTCAATGTTTGTCTGAACTTAAGAGTGCTAGTCTCCCCATCCCTAAACACACACACACACACACACACACACACACACACACACACACACACACACATCCAAAGTCTATAGAGAGAGCTCTGATACTTAAAGTTGCTGTGGCAACCAAAAACCTGTTCTCTGAATCACTCCTTAATGGTAGGATGACATCAACTTCCTGTCTTCTTCTTGAAACTAATCTCAGCTCTTGGCATCTGCCAGTGAATGTGGAGCAAGAACTTGGGGACTTGGGCTCAGGTTGGGGAATGGAGCACAGGTTGTTGAGTTTAAAAGTCCAAGAGACTTATTCTCTTTCTTGAGTCACCTTTGGACTTTCTTGGTTCTCAGAAGCTTGGGTTTCACATAGGCTCTTTCCAGTCCATCCATCATCCATCCATCCATCCATCATCCACCGAACCATTCATCCATCCAACCAATCATCCATGCATCCATCTATGCATCCATCCATCCATCATCTATCCAATCATCCATGCATCCATCTATGCATCCATCCATCCATCTTCTATCCAATCATCCATCCATCCATCCATCCAACCATCCATGCATCTAACCAAACATCCATCCATCCATTCATCCATCCATCCATCCACCATCCATCCATCATCCATCCATCCATCCAACCAACCATCCATCCATCCATTCATCATCCATGCAACCATCCATTCATCTTCCATCCATCATCCATCCATTATCCATCCATTTATTCATCATGTGCTCACTGAGCATACCAGGCACACAGTCTTGAAGCTGCGGCTCCAATGGTGAAGAGAAACAGATGTGGCCTCTGGCCCTCTGGCCCCAGCAACCTCACCATCCAGTGAGACATAGGAGAACTGCTTGGCATGTGCTCAGGACACTCAAGGAGAAGAACAGAATACTGTGGGGGTGCCTGTCAGAGCCACCTCCAGGCTGGTGGGTTCCAGAAGAAGCCGGGTTTGAGCTGAAACCAGCAGACACTTGGCACTTAGCCAGGTGAATGAGGGGCAAGTACATTACACATAAGCACCCGGAACAAACCAAACCCCCTCCAGACCTGGAACAAAACACATGCTGCTTTTACAGCCTGGAACACTCTTCCCCCTAGGTCTTTGCACAGTGGCTCATTCTCACTATTCAGTTATCAGCTGTGAATCTGCCTCCCCAGGAGGAATTTCTCTAACCACCCTATCCAAAGCAGCCCCTTTTGGCAGCTAACAATGGATTATTTCAGGGAGTCGTTCAGGCAGTATATTTTTATTGGGCACTTGTTCTGTGCTAGGCACTGGGGAAAGCAGTGAGAAGACACTCACGGCACCTGCTCCTGGAGCGGATGCACTGTCATCACATCCCAGATGCTCACCACCCTCTGCACTCATCTTGGGCATTTATTTGTCTGCTTGTCTCCCCTGCTCCACTATAAGCTCTCAAAAGGCAGGGATCTTCCTGCCTTGTTCCCTGCAGCATCCTGAGAGCTTGGCACACAGTAGGAGCTCGGGAATGAATGAATGAATCAATCAGTCAATGAGGTCCACTCTCCAGAATGGTCGTTCTCAACCCGGCATGATTTTGCCCCCTACCCTGGGACATTTGGAAATGTCTGGAGACATTTTTGCTTGTCACTACAGGGGGCTTCTACTGATGACCAGTGCATAGAGATCAGGGACTCTGCTCAACATTCTACAACGTCCAGGACAGCCCCCACCACAGATAATGATGCAACCCAACATCAATAGTGCCAAGACTGTGAACCCAGCTCCACAGCCTCCATGCTCTCTTGTGTCCCAGACGGGCTTCCACCCTGCTACATGGAGGGTTCATAGACAGATAGTTCTCCCCACCTTTTCCCAAGGCTAATGCTGCATGTTTTCAAGCTTCAACAGGGGCAGAGTCCTGACTTGCAGGGAGCTTTGAGTGGGTGCCAAGGAAATAATCGGTGATGGTGGATGCAGTGAACACCTGGGGAGAGCTCACCTGGCTTTTGTCTAGAGCTGCAGCTATACCTCCACAGCCCTGGGGCTCACTCAAGGATGCGGAAGGCCTTGCTGCCCCAGCTTCCATTTGGGCACAATCCCAACACTGGGGAGCTCTCCTGACACCAAAGACTACAGTGATTCATGCTTTTTATATTTTACTATTATTTTGTATTTCTTGCACATTGTTTAACTCTTTTGTTCTGTTTCAGCATCAACCTTGGACTTGATCTATGCTCATTGTTAGGGATCCAGAGATCCCCATCTCTGCCCTCATGGTGTTTACTGTCTCGTGGGGGAAAGATGCTGATGGATCATGTGTGCAAATAACAATAGAAATACCAAGATGGTGTATCTCAGGCCAGTTAGAATGGGAATCATTAAAAAGCCAGGAAACAACAGATGCTGGAGAGGATGTGGAGAAACAGGAACGCTTTCACACTGTTGGTGGGAATGTAAATTATTTCAACCATTGTGGAAGACAGTGCGGCGATTCCTCAAGGATCTAGAACTAGAAATACCATTTGACCCAGCGATCCCATTACTGCGTATATACCCAAAGGATTATAAAGCATGCTACTATAAAGACACATGCACACGTGTGTTTATTGTGGCACTATTCACAATAGCAAAGACTTGGAATCAACCCAAATGTCCATCAATGATAGACTGGATTAAGAAAATGTGGCATCATGGAATACTTTGCAGCCATAAAAAAGGATGAGTTCATGTCCTTTACAGAGACGTGGATGAAGCTGGAAACCATTCTGAGCAAACTATCACAAGGACAGAAAACCAAACACTGCATGTTCTCACTCATAGGTGGGAATTGAACAATAAGTACACATGGACACAGGGTGGGGAACATCACACACCAGGGCCTGTTGAGGGGGTGGGAGGCTAGGGGAGGGATAGAATTAGGAGAAATAGCTAATGTAAATGACTAGTTGATGGGTGCAGCAAACCAACATGGCACATGTATACCTATGTAACAAACCTGCACGTTGTGCACATGTACCCTAGAACTTAAAGTATAATAAAAAAACAAAAGAAAGAAAGAAATATCACGATGGTGTGCGACTGATAGGAGATGCACGCTGTCCTAGGAGAGGGGATTTGACCTAGTCAGGGAGGGCTCCATTAGGGAGTTAAGGCTGAGCTGAGAACTGAAGGAAGAGTCAACTAAGAGAAGGTGGCTGGGGCGAAGGACGGGTGGGTGCCTTCAGGACTGCCCTTCAGAAGGGAGCCCAGTGCCTTTAGAACCCAGCAGGGAGCAGGAGGGTAGCTTCCCATGAGGCTGAAGACATAGGCAGAGGTGGATTGTGCAGGAATTTATGGACCCTTAAAAGGAGTTTGATTTTTCCCAGGAGTCTGGTGTTTATCCTAAAAGCAACGGGAAACATTGCTGGGATTTTTGCAGGGGGGTCACCTTATCTGATGTTTATGGTGAAAAGATCATTCTGCTGCTCTGGTGGGAGAGGATGGACAGAGGGCAAGGAGGTGACTGTGCAGTCCCAGCTGAATGCTTCCAGCTAAGTGGCAGAGGAAGAGAAGGACCCGGGTGCATGGATTCAAGGTCTGATGAAAAAACAAGAGGATCTGGTGATGAACTGGACGTGGGGAGGAGAGGAAGGGGCTGAGACCCCTCCTCAGATCCTGGCTGCCTCACCAGGATGGATATGGATTCTGTCACAGAGCTGGGCAGCTGGAAATGTCAGGGAGGACAGAATCATGAGTGTGGTTTTAGAGGACACTGGGTCGGAAATGCATTTGACCCACCCAGTGGGCACATCAGGCAGGCTGTTGGACAGATAGTTTAGAGCCTGGAGGAAAGCCCTAGGCACATGTGTGTGTTTGAGAGTCACAGTACAGAGGTGGAACTTGGAGCCACGGTCGCAGGTAAAACCACTGAGGCAAGTGAGAGTGAGAGGAATGGAGGTTCCCTGACTGGACCTGAAAGCCAATGTGTAAACCCTCAGTCCATAGGAGACAGAGAAGGAGCAGCCCGGGGAGGAGACTGTGGGAACGCTGGACCATAACATCAAGAGAAAACCATTTTCCAAAGAGAAAGGACTTCTGGGTAAAGATGGTGGGTTAATCACCAATGTTCACCATTTCTCCCACTGCAGGTTCCAACCAAAATGCAAATAAAGGATCAGAAAGGGTATAAACTCTCAAAGAAAGCAATGAATGGAACAACCCTTACTGCCACCTCCACTGCTCCACGTCACCCTTGGTCTCCCTCGGGTGGTCCCCACGGTTCCTATGTACTAAGCACCTCCTCTGTGCTGAGAAATGCCTTAAAGCATTTTACAGGCATGGTCTCTCCTGCCCTCAATAACCCTATCAGCAGGTTGCTGATTTTTATGGGTGAGAAAATCAGGGATCAGAGAGGCAAAGAACCTGCTCTGTGTTGCACAGCTAGAAATGGCTTAGCTGGGCTTTAAACCCAGGTGTTCTTTGCTTCCATTGTTTGTGCTTCAGTGGTTTTCTTCATTATTAAAGTGTTTTTTTTCTTTCCTGATGCTGTCCTCTGTAGTATTAATTAGAAATTCCCAGGTGGAGAAGAACGATTTTGTTCTGCCCTTTGATCTCCCACATGCAGACCCATAGTAGCTACTTCATCCTCATTGAATTAAACCCTCATTCCTCCATCGTACTTCCCATAGCCTCACCTCAACCCGTGGACTGAGATCAGAATTTGCTACTCTTTTCTCTAGGCTTATAATTCTTTATCATGTCCTTGAATCTGTTGGGAGAGAAACATAGGAATAACCAGGCCTAATTCCTCTGCCAGATTTTAAGTTTGAGAAGTCAGGGGCGGCGTTTGTCCGTTACTGCACCCTCACTGCCAGGCAATGGGCATGGCATAAACTCCTCATTCATTTACTCCTCAAACATTTGCTGAGCATCTTCTGTGTACAGGCATTGCCCCAGAAACAGGGACACAGTCCTTTCCAGCAAATGTAGCAACTCAAAACAACACACATGTGTTATCTTACAGTCTTTGCGGGTCAGGAAACTGGGCAGAATTTAGCTGTGTCCACTTTGCAGGGTGTTTCACAAGGCTGTCATCAAAGTGTCATGCAGGGATGAGGTCTCATCTGAGGGCTTGACTGGAGAGGATCCACTTCCACGCTCACTCAGTGGTTGTTGGCAAGATTCAGTTCCTCCTGGGTTGTTGGACTGAAGTCATCATGTTCTTTCTGGCCACTGGTTGGAGGCCCCCCTCAGTTCCTTGCCACACAGGCCTTTCTGGCAAACTGTTTCCTCAAAGCATGCAAGGCTAGAAGGCCATAGAGAGAGTCTACTAGGAAGATGAAAGTCACAATCTTTCATAACCTAATAATGGAAGTGATATTTCATCACTTTGCCCTATGCAAGGTGGCTGGAAGCTACTGTTGGCTAGAATCTTCTACTGGCTAGAAGCAAGTCCCTAGGCCAGCCTACACTAAAGGGGAGAAGCTCTTACAGGACATGAATAGCAGGAGGTGGGGGCACCTTGGAATTGGCTTTCCACATGGAGAGAGCCACGAAAGACACAAGCCAGCAAATGACTGAGCAAGAGAACTTCAGAGTCATAAGTAAGGCAGTGGGTGCCATGTTTGTTGGATGACTAACAAATACCTTCTCCATGAAGACAGGGATGGGTTGCCTGCCCTGTGCCATCAGTTTCCTGCCTGGATCCTGGCACGTCATAGCCCCAAGTGAATGCTGAATGAATGATGCAGTTATTTGCCTGGGCCCAGATACCGTGAGTAATTGCAGGGAAGGGGCCAGGTCTTTGGCTTCTGGTTCCAGGCGAAGATCAAATCTACCAAAACGCTCCACTTAATGGGTTTATTTCCTGTTTGGGGTTTTCGCCTTTATTTTTTTATTTTCCTAAAAGCCACTTATTGAATTTTCTTAACTCTGGGTTGGGTTTTTAGTGGTTGCTTGGGTTCATGTTTTTTGGGGGAATTAATAAGAAAGTTTCCAGTCTCACCCTGGAATGTGGTTTCAGGGCGTTTTCCCCTCTTTCCCTTAGCAAAGGCAGACACATTCATTTCAAGAGAGACAAGCACCTTTTCACGGAAACAGAAAGATCAAGAGGTTCTTTAATAAGCCATCAACTGCCTGCCCCTCTCCATTTTATTTTAACCTGAAAAACAAGACCGGAGTTTGGCTCTAAAAAACATTTGCCAGTGTCTGTTCCCCTGCAGCCCAGAATGGTGTGGGGAGCAGGCCTGCCCCTTGCAGCGGGAGGTTAGATGGGGGCCCTGGAGGATCTGCTCCTGGAGTTCCTGCCGCTGGTATTTTTCAAAGAAGCAGAAAGCAAGCTGAGTAAACAAGGACACCACACAAGCACAACCCAAACACGGACAGCCTCACACCCGGCTCGTGTCCCATTTATTTCAAGGAAAAATTCTCCCTCCAATCCACCCCCTTCTCTCCAGCCCCACTGCCCTTCCCTAGTTCAGGGTTGTTCTCCTCCAGCACTACTGACATTTGGGACAGGTTAATTCTTCGTAGTGAGAGCTGTCCTGGCATTGCAGGGTGTCTAACAGCATCCCTGTCCTCCACCCGCTAGAGGTCATTAGCAAAGCCCCACCTCCTCATCCCAATTTTGAGAACCAAAAATGTCTCCAGATATTGTCAAGTGTGCGGGGAGAGGGGGTGGGAAGACAAAGCTGCCCCTGTTTGAGAACCACTAGCCCAGTCTAAGCTCACAGTTCTCACCTTCTCGGCCGGCGCACTTCTCCTCCCCTCTAGCCTCAAAGCTTCCCCCAGGGCCACCTAGTGCTCTGCCCACACAGGCATTCGACACGTGTTCTTTGATTGCATGACAGCAGGACAGCACCTGTGTCCTCCAGGCCTAGGACAATGCCTGGGATGTAACAGATGCTCAGTAAGTATTTGCTGAAAGGTTGCTGGAGGCTCCCGCTGGAGGACTTGGCGTCTTCTGCTCTGCACCCCACCATCCAGCTCAGCCAGCCCCTGGGTTTCTATCACTCGCAGTCAAACTCATCCTTCCTGGGCAACTAATGATAAGGTTTTTAGGGTAGCCTTTATTTCTCTCATTTCGTCGATGAAGAAACCGATGTTCAGGATGGTTAAATAAGTTATGCAGGATCTTACAGTGACATAGCTAGTTTTAACACAGATCTGTCTGACCCCAAAGCAAAAACAGATTGAAAGGAATTTCTCTGAAAGAAACCTCAACCTCATATAAAACAGGAAAGAAATCTATAGGAAACTGATCAAGTATTGGGCTCTTTCCTCTGCCAGCCTTTTCTCTTTGGGGAATATATGACAAGTTTTGTCATCTCTCCAGGTCTCGGTTTCTCCCTTTCAAATTGCCAAGGTTGTAGCAATACCCCTAAACATCCCGGTAGCTCTAAAATGCTTGGATTCCAGCTCCTGCCTCTTCTATCCACAGACACCCTCGCACCCAGAGCTGCGGACACCACCCCACCTGGGCTGACATTTGCAGAAACCCGGAGTGGGGCTCTGAACTCTGGGAGGGGCAGCAGGACCTCTCTGGAAAGCACTCTCACTGCACATTTGGTTTCAGTTCTACTAATTTTTTTGCACATTTTGCTGTCACAATGTGATAAAATCGAGCAGATGTAAATTAGGAGCCAAGGAAGCCTGGGAACACATACACACACACATACACACACACACACGCATACACACACACACACATACACACACACAACACACACACATATACACACACACCACACACACCACACACCACACACATACACACACACATGCATACACACACATACATACACATACACACACACCACACACACACATATACACACACACCACACACATACACACACCACACACATACACACACATACACACACATACACACACATACACACACACACATGCATACACACACATACATACACATACACACACACCACACACACCACACACATACACACACCACACACACCACACACACATACACACACATACACACACACACACACATACACACACACCACACACATACACACACACACACACATTTAAAAAGAGAAAAAGGAAGGAAAGAAGAAAAAAGAGGGAGTTGTTGGAACTTCCTTCCCTGAGTCAATCCACCAGGATGTGGGGTTTACCTGGGGGGCAAGGGGTGAAGGGAGCCAGGAGAGCTGGCTGGGCCCTGCCTCCCAGTGAGAGAGAGGCCGACTGTGGGGGCCGCCCAGAGTGGGGGACAGCAAGACAGGAAGAAGTGGTCCCTGTGGTGCTGGGACTTCTGAGGCTGCAAGTATTTTTAAAGAGATGGAGGAGGAGCTACAAAATCCCATTACAGGTTAAGGCCCTGCAGGGCCTCAGGCTCCAGGGCAGCCGGTGGACAGGCGGGTGCTGGGAATGGTGCCAGATCTCCTGGATTCTTCAATCAAAACCAGAAATTTACATTCTTGGGTGAAGTCTTTCCGTTTTTAAATGTCAGGAAACCACTAGGGGCCAAACCACACGCACAGGCTGATCCCATGTGGTCTATGGGATGCGGGGCTGCCACCCTGGCCAGCTGTACTGCTTTGACTTTCTCAGGTTTCTCCCTTGCTCTGGGACATAGCCACATTTGTTATTGAACAGCACTTACTGCGGGCCAGACACAGACCTCAGGGGATGGCCAGTCTGCATTCATTCAATCCTCATAACAGTTCTACTGAGGGAGAACTGTGTCATCTCCCTTTTACAGATGGGGAAGCTGAGGCCCAAGGAGGTGCAAACCCTCCTTGCCCTTAAGTAATTTACAAGTCCTGGACAAATAATTCTCTGAGCCTCCGTTTCCCCAGCTGTAATAGTAACACATGTCTAGGGGTTTTGTGGAGGTGAAGTGAGATGCAGGGTAGTCCCCCTTTATCCATGGTTTTGCTTTCTGAGATGTCAATTACCCATGGTCAACCACAGTCTGAAAATATGCAATGGAAAATTCCAGAAATAAAAAATTCATAAGTTTTAAATTGTGTACCCTTGTGAGTATCTTGATGAAATCTTGCATCCTTCTGCTTCATCCTGCCGGGGACATGAATCATCCCTTTGTCCTGCGGACCCCCGCTGTCCCTGCACGTTAGTCACTCCGTGGCCATCTGGGTGATCAGATCGACTGTCACGGCATCCCAGTGCTTGTGTTCAAGGAATCCTTACTTATTTACTTAAAAATGGCCCCAAAGCACAGGAATAGTGACACTGCAGTATATTGTTTAATTATTCTATATTACTAATTACTTACTCTGCCTAATTTATAAATTAACCTCTATCATAGGTATGTCTGTGTAGGAAAAACATAGAATAGATAAAGTTGAGTGCTATCCATGGTTTCAGACATCCACTGGGGGTCTTGGAATGTATCCCCCAAGAATAATGAGGGGCTGCCATGCTATACCCCTCACAGCACATACGCTAATGCCCTTTAGCAATTACCATTTGTTATGGGTTGAATTGTGTTCCCTGGCCTCCCCCCAACCCCCACCATATTTATATGCTGAAGTCCTAACCCTCAGTTTCTTAGAATGTGACCTTACGTAGAAATAGGGTTGTTGCTGATTTAATCAGTTAAATTAAGATGAGATCAGATTATTATTTCTGTCCCAAATTAACCTGGGAGTTCCAACTTGCACCTTTGAGCTGGCGTCAGCATGGCACTGGACTCAAAGGAAATACAAACAAAACCCCCAAATCCTTGAAAAGGCACATTTATCCCCAGTAGGGCTTCCTAAGGATTAAGGAGGTTATTCAACGTATCAAGCAGCAAAACTTTGCACAACTTTCCGCAGACAGGTCTGCCAGTCCACAAAGTCCCAGGGGACAGGTGGCTGCTCGACCTCTCCTTCTCTTCTCAGTTGTGGTCTTTTTGTCTTCCTCTTGCTCCCTCTATCCCCATCCCAGACTCTCTGCGACAGGCCGTTAGCCTCATGTTCCCATCCTTCCCTGCAGTGCCCTTCCACGGGGGAAGGTGCACTCACACCCTCTGCATGCAGCAATTTCCTGTGACTTGTTTTGGCCAATGATATGCGGGTGGGGGTGGCGATGTTAATGAGCAGGATGGGCCTATCTGGAACACCCTGTGATATTTGAAGTTGGCTACAAAAATTGATCAAGGTCCTCCCTGTTTAAAACCTTTCATAATCCCCCGTGGCTCTTTGAGCGTGGAATGAAATCCCATCCGGAGTCGTCCAGACCCTGCTGGTCCAGCCCTGCCAAACTTCCAACTCCTCATGTACCACATCTCCCCGCTTAGTCTGCTTTCAGCCCTGCCAGCCTCCTGCCCCTTGAACCTGCTCTGTTCACACCAGCCACAAGGTCTTTGCACACACCTTTCCCTCTCCTGGAAGGCTTTCCTCTCCCTGAGCCTCGTTCACATTTGTATCCTCCCACCGTAGGCGTAAGCATCACTGGCTGGATCCAATCCCCCTGCAGAGATGTCTCCCCAGAGCAGGTAAGGCAAAAGCTGCACAGAAAATTCCTTAGGAGCTTTCTACTTAGAGATCCACATGTCATCTCTTGGGAGGGCCAGCCCAGAAAGAGTGAGGGGCTCCGGGCCCTAGAGTGGTCACTGAGTGTGAGGCCCCCAGCCATGACCTCTCCCATGCTCTACTCCCCTGAAGAGCTGAGCTCCTCATGAGGTAGCTGCTTTTAGGGTCAGTGTCCTACCAAAAACATGCATGAAAGCTTTCGAGTTTGCTTAAAGGGCAGAGGGACTGACAGGATTGGAGGGAGGGTCCCCTGTGCCATTCTGCCATGGGGCCCAGCAGGTCTCTCTCTCTCTCTCTCTCTTTCTCTCTCTCTGTGGAATGCACATGGCGAGTCTCTGTGAGGTGAGCACTTGTGGGATGGCCTCTGTCACATCCCCTCTGCAGCTTCTCTTATGGTTGCAATTTGGCATTTATCCCCATGGTTATTTGATCAATGTCATCTCCTTTATTAGTCTGCGAGCTCCATGATTCTACGTCCTCAGCCCCTAGCACTGAGCCTGCATATGGCGGATGCCCGGTGAACATTGGCTGAATCAATGATTCACAGTCTGACTTCAGCTCTCAATGTGAAGAATCCAGGCATAGAGTAGTCTGCTTGGGGGCCAAGCAGAGCAAGGGGAAGAGAATAATCAACCATCCCTCAAAGACCCTCAACCTCGATGAAAATCAATGAAAGTGTAATATAAAGGCAGACAGAAAATTTGGGTGGATGGATGGGCAGACAGATGAATGAATGGGTGGATGGATAAAAGGGAGATAAATTGATAAACACAGAGAAGCAGAGGCTGAATCTCGAGGTAGAAACATACAGAGAAGCATATAGAGAGATATCTTTGTAGGCATGCATAATCCACTGATGGAAAAACATAATGCAGCTTGCATTGGGTGCCATGTAAATTTGTTCCCAGAGAAGTCACCGAAGAGTTTCTTTGCAGAAAATTGCTAATCCCATTGTGATTTCCTGGTTAAAGAAAAGGTTAGACAAACACTCATAGAAATAGGCCCTTTCACTGAGGGGCAGCTCAAGGAGGTGTTCTTTTCTTCTTTCCTTGCTCTGGTGGCTCCTGGGAATTCCACCTTGGTTTAATTTAGAAACAAAGTCTTTAGCTCTTTCTCTGCTCACTCTTTCCACTCTCTCTGTCCCCTGTAATTGGCAACATGTGTCCATATCCAAAGCAGACCCTACCCTCAGGAAGGGGAATGATGCAGCCTCCAAGTCTTGGCCTTTCCTGAGCTTGCCACTGGGTTGCTATCTTGTAGTGGAATCTACCATTGGAAGCCCATCATCTGCTCTTCTCTGCTCCTAGTAAAAAGTGCAATAAATGTCTCTGGGACCTCCCCTCCCCCACTCTAAGCTCATTACATCGAGAGTGCCTCAAGGCTTCCATGATTGGTTCAGGGTCACTCAGTGACCCAGGGATTGAGCCACCCAATTAAAGTCAATAACACATGCAGAGATGTTTGCTGCGGCTATCAGCTCCCTCTCTTTTATCAGATGTTGGTGAGCATGTGAGATCCGTAGCTGCTGCTGCCATTTTGTAAGCCAAGACGCCAATCTTAGTGACATTGTTCGAATCTGGAATTGAGCTGCATCTGATGCCACTGGGTGAACTCACACTTTGCTTTTAAATCAAGTCAGACTGTACTGAGTTTTCCATCACTTGCTGTCAGTAGTGGACACTGTTGGTTGTTCAGTGAACATTCCCATTCTTCCTTCTTCCTCACTGAGAATGCTCATTAACTTCAGGTAGCTCCTCCTCAGGAGAAGCGACCCTACTCCCAGCTCAAGTGTGAATCCTGATCTGTGTAAGTCAGTTGTGGCAATCCCACTCTACTAAGCAGTGGGTTCCAGGCATGAGAATTTGAGGCAATTCCAGCCAGTGAGACATGAAGGGAGGCTGCCTAGAGGCTCATGGGAACATCGCCTTGCTCACTTGGCCTCTGGAAGTTGTGGTGTTGGGATGAGATGCAGAAGGGTAAGGCTGCCACCATCATGGACCATGAAGGGGCCCAGCCCAAGGGAAGTTGAGCCGAACCTGTCAGTCCACTGTTCTGTGGTTTCTCCACCGAGTTTCTGTGCCGGGGAAGAGGTCCTCTCTGATTCCCCCTTGCACCTTCACCTTTCGGCCTGCATGGGGCAAACCTGGCTTCAAACAGCCCTTTCTTCTCTGCTGCTGCCTTGAGACATATTGAAAAATATGTTCAATTACCTAAGAAATCCGTGATCATTATAGATCAGGGCTGTTACACAGAATGTTCTGGGACGATTGAAGGGTTCTAGTCAGCACCATCCAGTTCCATAAACCAATTGTCACATGTGGCTGCTGAACAATAGAAATGTAAATAGTGTGATTGAGGAACTAAATTGTTAATTGCATTTAATTTTAATTAATTAGAATTTAATTGTCACATGTGGCTGGCCACTACTGTATTGGACATCACAGAACTAGAACAATTAGAATGGTAGAAATAAGCATAAAAGGAAAAATGAATCATTCCTGATACCTCTAAGACACAACTAATATTAAACTCTTGATTATGTTTTTGCACGTTTTATCCTATGCATGTATATCCACTACCAAGCCTCTTTCAGTAATACATAAGGCTTAAACTTTATTTTCCCACTAATATATTGTGAACATCTTTCTATCTCACTGGATACATTTCTAAAGAACATAGAACAGGCCGGGCGCAGTGGCTCACGTCTGTAATCCCAGCACTTTGGGAGTCCAAGGCGGACAGACCACAAGGTCAGGAGATCGAGACCATCCTGGCTAACATGGTGAAACCCCGTCTCTACTAAAAATACAAAAAATTAGCCAAGCTTGGTGGCAGGCGCCTGTAGTCCCAGCTACTCGGGAGGCTGAGGCAGGAGAATCACTTGAACCTGGAAGGTGGAGGTTGCAGTGAGCCAAGATCACGCCACTGCACTTCAGAACAGAGTGAGACTCTGTCAAAAAGAAAAAAACAAAACCAAACAAAAACACTCCATCTCCTCTAAATGGCCACATTTAGCAGGTATGTAATTGTAGCCACCTTCAAATAAAGAAATCACTTAGTTCTCTCTAAGAAATCCCAAGAATCTTAATACTTAATCCAGCAGCCATGCTGAGTTTAGAAAAAAAAGTAGGAATTTAAACTTTCACGTGAAGTTTGAGTTTGACTTGAAACATTTAATTCATTTAAAAATAGAAATGTAAATGGAATCTGTATGTTTTCCTCCCTGCTGTCAGGAGCTCTCTTCTGCTCTGACTGACTCATTAACAAATTAACATGTTGTGATTCTGCTGTGAAAAGTTGCAAGATAATTGTTACAGCCACAGTCCTGAGGCTCCAGCGCTGTGCTTCCCAAACTCTTTTATAGAGTACAAATTAGATGCTTTTCCTATATGCTATCTAAATTTAATTAAAATTTGCCCTGAAGCTATGCTTAACAGCTTTGAAGTTACTGGAGTTTTGTCATCTTGGGGTGGTGAACATTTGCAGCTGCTAATGTCAAAATCTGTACCCATGGAAACCGTTTTCCCACTGCTTCTTCCCAGGACAAGCTCAAATCTGCTGGGGTTTGATTTCAACTTGGTTCAAAAATTATTATCTATGTAGAGAAGGAGTGTGCTTCCATGGACAAAGT
This sequence comes from Homo sapiens, assembly GCF_000001405.40. Lineage (NCBI taxonomy): Eukaryota > Metazoa > Chordata > Mammalia > Primates > Hominidae > Homo > Homo sapiens. The sequence goes on along the minus strand of NC_000020.11, from coordinate 57,025,726 downwards.
TGAGGTTTGGAGACTGTAACTGAGAGACACGGAGAATCCTCTCAAAGCTCTCTGATGAAGGGGAAGGTTACAGCCCCTTTGAATGTTTAATTTTTCTTCATCTATAAAATAAAAATCATCACCATTCTGTGTCCTGCTCAAATGGCTAAGTCACTCAAGATTTTGAAATTTAGAAAGATGAAGAAAACTGTTTTTCGAAGACTGAAAAAAAAAGAAAATTGTACCAGCTCAGCCCTGTGACCGAGGCATGCTGCCAAGTTTCATCTGTTTGTTTTAGCAAAGGTGTTTTGAAAGTTACATGGAAAAAGTAGTCAGACCATGAGGTCCTTGAGGAGCCCCGGGAAAGCACTGGTAAGTTGGAACAAATGTTACAGATTCCCTCCAAGGTTTCATTGAGGGTGTCTTGGAAGCTTTTGGGGTCATACTCCCCACCCCAGGGAGATTATATAATTGGGCAAAAAGTCATAATTGCCCACGCTCTGCCAGGATCCTGGTAGTTGAAGACACGGACTCAACTATCTCAACATAAGGTAGCCCAGAACCATGCAGAGATCACCCAGGCCAGCTTGGAGGCCCTGCTTCTGCCTTGGTCCAGGCCTGTGGTATAATAATAGCATTTCCTGGGCTTTTCTGGGGAGATTTTATCAACATTGGCAATGACCCGAGGGCAACAGATGGGAGGCTCTCTAAAAGCAACAAGTACTATCGTCCTTGCAGTGTGAACCCACAATGCATAACTCTGAGGCCACAACCACACACTACATGTAAGGGGAAAATTAAGTTCCAGAGAGCTCACTGATGATGGGACCACTCACCAGGAGAACAGCAAGGTCTCCTCTTGACTCGCAAAAGAGATGGCAGATGCCATCATTAAAGAGCTCACAGAGTCCTGTGAGTTCCCTGTGTCCTGCCAATAAATTCCCTTTTCCTTACATCAGCTGGTCAGTTTCTGTTGCTTGCACCCACTAAACCCTGGTGATTTATACCACGTGAAGAATTTCGCAGCCCAGTTACAAACACTGGGTCCTGTGTGCAGCCACAGTGAAGGCCTGCCCTCTGTCCAAAGCTAGAGGTAATCAGGGTGAATAAAGGCTTGTGTGTTGGAATGTGTGAAGGGGTTTGTCATGGGGTCAGGGGGCTATAAAAAGCATGATCTACTCCTAGCCCTTCCCTTTCTGTGTCGATGGTTTCCACCTTGTAATGGATGCATGCTGTCCGTCCAGCATCCTTCCTTTGGGAAAATGCATCTCCTCCGTTCCCTGTGGTTGAGGTAGCACTGAGTTGAAGGAAGGATAATTTTAACCCAGACTCCAAGGCCCTGAATTTTCCATCCACATCAGTACCTGCACTTTTAGATCATGATTTGGCTGTCTGAAGTCTCCATGTCAACAACTTGGAGTTTTCTCCTCCAGTAACTGATTGGAGCAAGCCGGGGCTCTGGGCATCAACACCATCTGCGGAAGCATCATAAGACCCACACTTTCCCTCCTCTCATGGTCCAGCCAGAGATCCTGCTTCTGATTGGCCCCCTCCCATTGGGCTGTGACGTCAGAGCCAGGGGCCCCCTTCTCACTGGCTTACTTACCCTTAAGACGGGGGCAAGTTGGCTGACTATTGGCCAAATTGCTTCATATTACTGCGAAAGAGTCGTTTAACAAGAGTAGAAATCAACAGAGTTCCACCGCCAGGGAGTTGAAACCCCTACAGCGTTATCTCGGATTCATGGTTCCTATGAGGCCAAAACACACTGAACTGACACATCCACATGAGGAGATCTTTGCTTCTCCTTTTCAAGGGAACTCAACTGAATTACACTGGGCAATTTTCAATACCCACGTGCCATATTGGTTTCCCAGGGTTTCTGTAACAAATGACCACAAACTGGGTGGGTTAAGACAACAGAAATGGATTCTCTCTCCGCGTTTTCTGGGGCCAGAAGTCCAAAAGCAAGGTGTCGGCAGGGCTGCGGTCCCTCTGAAGGCTCCAGGGGAGAATCTGTTCCTGGCCTCCTCCAGCTCCCAGTAGCTCCTGGCATTCCTTGGCTTGTGGCCGCCTCATACCCATCTGTGCCTCAGCCTTCACATGGCCTTCTTTTCTCTGTCTCACTGTGTGTCCTTTTTGGTCTTATAGAAGATCACCCTCATTGGATTTAGAGACCACCCAAATCCAGTATAATCTCATGTTGATCTTTACCTTATCTACATCTGCAGCGATCCTATTTCCAAATCAGGCCATATTCTGAGGTTGCAGATGGACATGCATTTTGCAGGGAAACTGTTCAGCCCACTACACAAGTGGGCACTGGCTTTACCTTATCCCAGCTTCAAAGCCAGGGTCATTGTGAACAGACTTCTAAGAAATGTTCTCTACCCTCCCACAGCACCTAGTAGGAGGCACCCCATGGGAGTCCAGGAGAGGCCTGTCTGGTGATTCAGTGGTTTCCATGCCCCTCAGCTAAGTAGCTGATTATGTACAACAAGGATCTGCAAACTCTAGCCCCTGGGCCAGCAGCCTGTTTTTATAAATAAAGTTTTATTGGAACATAGACTCATCCATTCATTTCCATATTGTTTATAGTTGCATTCATCCTACAAAGGCAGCACGTGTTGACCGGCTGGAGTGAGACTCTATGGACCACAAGCTTAAAATGCCTGCTGCATGACCCATTACAGAACAGTTCCCCAACCCCTGATGTGGAAGAATGAAAAATTCTCTCAACCCAGCAGGTGTGTCAGAATTTTTCTAGGGTAGATAATTGGGAATTAGGAAAATACCCCAATAAATATTCAAGGATGAAGAGGCCAGTACCCAAAGAAAGTGTCAGAAAGACAAGACACTTGAATTGATTAGGCTTAGCTAGATTTAACTGTTTTAGAAACAAAGCTGGCGGGGAAGAGCCAGGAGAGGGAGACAGGGGACGAAGCTGGGGCTCCAACTGGTAGAAATGGCAAATAAATTTTTGGCAGAACACTCTTTCTTTTGAAGTCACCCATGTTGCAGCAGAGCGACCCTCTGTTTTTGCCTAAATTTTCAGCCATCAACTGTAAACAGCAGCAAACACAGAGGCCTTGTGGGAGCCTGAATTGGAAATCAAGGGAAGGGTCTGGGTTCCACAGCCAGATGCCGCCAGTTGAGGGCCAGCAAATATGGACAATAAGAGGCGCTTTAGTTGGACACCAGAGGGAGCCCAGCTAGAGGGGACCAGGAGAGAGAGAGGCACGCCCTTCCCCGTAACCCCAGCAAGACCTGGGAGACACACTCTGCATCTCAAAGGACGGATGGCTCCACCAACAGGTGGACGAGAATGACATTTACATGCCCTGAAGCTGGAGAGAAGGGAGAGTTGCAGCAGGTTCTCCAGCCCCTGGAGACTTTCCCATACTCTTGTGTGTGTCTCTGTCTCTGGATGTCCTTTTCCAGGACTCTTTCAAATGTCACCTCCTCTCACCTGCCCTCTATGTCCCTTCAGCCTTGGCCTCGTGGCTGTAAAGGGCTCTGGACCCAACTTCCCGGGCAGGTTGCCCCCTGGAAGAATTCGGCTCACCCAGGCTGAGATTCGGAAAAGGCTGAGCACATCCCGGCACACAGACCTCAGACATCTCACCCTGCGGTGGGCTCCGCTTCAGAGAAGGATGCAACTGTGAGGAGGGCATGAGACATGGAGGCAGAAGTCTCGAGTCGGAGTCCTGGCTGTGCCACTTGCAGGCTTGGTGACTTTGGGCAAGTCACTTCACCTGGCTGAGTTGTCACTTGCCCCTTGGTAAAGTGAGGCCATTGCCCCTGCTTTACATGGTTTGTGTGTGGATCCAATGAGACATGTGCAAACTGTAAAGCGCCAGCCCCACGGGGCTCTCATGAGAGTCGGGAGATGCTTGGGGCAGAGGGACTGGAGAGCTCAGGCCAGGCTGGGAGGCCTGGACCAGGGCAATGGTGACAAAAGCATCCCACGAGCCAGGACCACCCTCCATCTACCTAGTAGGTCTGCTCTGCCCACGCCCCTTGTCCCTCCATCTCACCCACCTAACCCAAGCAAGGAAGAAACAGCTAAGCTGACTTGGGATCTGATAGCCCCAATGTTAAAATCTCAGAAGGGAGTTTTTGTTTAGGGGGTGTTGAAAAAGTATACGCGACACTCTGACAGGGCAGGGAGGAAACACTAATAAAAAGCGCCCAGAAAGTCATGTTCTGCCCTGGGCTGACTTTCCAGCTGGTTCCTTCATTTCCAGTGCCATCTCTCCCGACCCTACTCTGTATTTTAGTATGCACGGAAGGGACATAAGTCATAAATGTCAAATGTCACCTTCTCAGAGAAGCTTTGCCAAACCCCCAAGTACAGGCCCCCCGCAGCATCTCTCAATTCCTCTGCTGGATTCCCCACAGCACTGCTCACAGGGGAGCACGCGGGTTTACCTGGACGGCACCTGTCTCCCCAGCCTGACAGGACTCCCCACAGGGGCCGAGGCTTGGTTTGCTTTCTATATTCCCGATGCCTGGCCCAGCGGTTGGCACACAGTAGGGCTCTGTGAATATTAGTTGAATCAATGAATGAATGAATGAATGATGGCAGCATCTGGGATAGGGATGCCACTGGCTCTGAAAATGACTGCATTTCTCAGCTGCTGAGTGCTGAGGACAGACCAGCTGCATTTTGTTTGTTGCCTTTCCGATTGTTTTTGAGGCTTTGCAGGAGGAAAATCTAATCCGTATACTTCTGACGCATTTATAGTTTTCTCCCTAAACCATGGTACTTGGGGAGCCATTTCAGGTCTCAAATGCCTGTTTTAAAAAATAGCTTCTTAAATGTGTTGTTTTCCTCTTCCTCTTCTGAGAGGCAAGAAGTTTGGCTTTACCAACAGCAAATGTGGGTGAGCCCCAAATGTCAGGTGGCTCCAGGAGTGGCAAGGCGGGTGCCCCCGAGGGTCTCCCAGGATACCTCCAGCAGCCAACCCCAGCACCCCCTCTCTCCTGCCTGCAGGGGAGGAGCTGGGAGGCCCTTGGGTGGGGAGCACAGAGCCATCCAACATGAAAGCCGGCTGGAGGTGGAGCTTGTCAGGGCTTTCAATCAGCTGAGAGAGAAATATTTCATAATGGGCACTTAAAAGGAAGGGGGGCGGGGAGGCCGGCTGACCACCTCACCGCTTCCCTCCACTTTCATGATCCCTACCCCATAATTAGCGGTGTCGACATTTGAATGACACCCGTCTTTAAAGGGTGCTGCCAGCACAGACATGTGAATGGGTAATTATGCCTCTCTCTCTTTTCATTCTGGACGCTGAGCTGTACGTGGGCAAATGTGCAGGGAAGAAAGACTGCTGGAGAAATTTCCACTGTTAACTGCCTTCCTTGAGTGCAGAACCTGGGGACAACTCAGGGAAGTTCCTCGTATTAACATTATTTTGCAGAGAATAACGTGTGCAGACCATAGAACTTGCCAGAAACGGAGCCACAGGATAAGGCAGGGATAACAACACTTTTCTGTATCCTGCAAAGTTGGAAGATATCAGTAATAATCCTTAACATTTATCCTGGGTTTATATGAATCTGGGTGAATCACAGACTCTAAGCCAAAGGATCTTTAGGATATAAACCAAGCCAGTGCTTTGAATGCATTTTCTCACTTATTCTTCCCCAAAACCAAAACCATATGAAGCAGGCACAATTATCATCTTCATTTTACAGTTGAGAAAACTGAGGCAAATCACTAGGAGTCGCTGGGATCAAGAGATCTTTAAGGGGAAAGAATGGAAAATCCAATTTCTTTTTTACAGTTGTCTAGTCCAGCCATTCCTGGACTCCGGAGTTTCACTCCAGTAAAACTTTAAATAATAATAGTAATAATGGGTGGATTGACATTTATCAAAAAAAAGAAAAGGTGGACATCCTTCAGCATCAGCACTTCATAAAAGACGTGTTTGTGCTAACAAATAAGATGGCCTGGAAAAAGACATTTCCTCACATCAATCACGTGTCCCTAGAAAAGATTCGCTCTGTTTTTTGTTTTTTGTTTTTTTTCCCTCATCCTGCCAAGGGCTAGCTGAATTGCAGGCTCACGGTGGTCTGAGGACTTGCATTTAGGATATGACTGCCCTAGAGTAGAGGTTCTCAGCTAAGGGAAGGGGAGTAATTTTGTCCCCAAGAGGACATTCAGCAATGCCTGAAGAAATTTTAAAATTTCACAACCTGGGCTGGGCGTGGTGGCTTATGCTTGTAATCCCAACACTTTGGGAGGCCGAGGCGGGCGGATCACCTGAGGTCAGGAGTTTGAGACCAGCCTGACCAACATGGTGAAACCCCGTCTCTACTAAAAATACAAAAATTAGCCGGGCTTGGTGGCGCGCACCTATAGTCCCAGCTATTCAGGAGGCTGAGACAGGAGAGTGGCTTGAACCCAGGAGGCAGAGGCTGCAGTGAGCCGAGATCGCACCACTGCGCTCCAGCTTGGGCGACAGAGCGAGAGTCTCCCGCTAAATAAATAAATAAATAATTTCACAACCTGGGGGTGGGGGTTGCCCCTGGCATTGAGTGGGTAGGAGTCAGGGATGCTGCTTAACATTCTACAGTGCACAGGACAGCCCCACAGCGGAGAAGGCTCCCGCCTCGGTCCAGCAGCATAGTGTTGGGAAACCGTGGTACACAGAGGTCTGTGGGGATTTGGAAATGGTGCCATACACCAGTTTGTCAGAAGGGCAGAAGACGGGTTGCTTGTCTACACTCCACGTATGTCCTGAGGGGACATGAGGTGTGTTGCCAGGGAAAGGTGAGTGTATGCTCTGCCCCGTGCATGCCCCTCACTGTTAGGGAAACTTTGCCTTCAGGGGACCCCAGCATCTTCACCTCCTGTGAGTCGAATGATTTTCTATCATTTGGGAAAGGTCTCCAACAGTCCAGCAGCATGACCTTGGAACAGGATCTTTCTGAGGTCTGTTTCCTTTCTTCTGGCAAGTTCCACGGTCCCTCCTTGGTCCTCCGGGGCCTCCCGCTCTTGGACCGACAGTGTCGGCCTACACAGCAGCGGTTCCACTGGCAGGGCTGAGTTATTTTAGTCTGCAATATAGGGTGCTGTGTACGCACCCCGACAAAGGAGATCAAACAGATCTGTGAACCGTGGTTGTGATGGGAGCTAATTAGCATTTCATAACATTCGCCAGGGGAGAAAAAAAGCAATGACACTTTAGAGCAAATAAAACCCATTTGCAAACTTAATATTTTTCTGACGAGTTAATGTCTCTAACCATCACCTCCACAGTTCTGTAATTTAGTCCTTCAACAACTATTTGTCAAGTTCCACTCTAGGGAGGCTTTGCTCGCTGGGAATTCATTGGATAAAAGTCACCGTTGCATCTGGATTGGGACCTCACTGAGCTCACGTCTGCGACCTGGGATTGGCTATGGCTGAGGGGTCAAATTCCACCCGTCCTCTACTTTCGGACAATCCACAAGCTAAGAAGGAGTTTTAACATTTTAAATGGCTGAGGAAAAAAAAATAGAAAGAAGAACAATATTTTGCAACACATGAAAATTATATGAAATTCAAATTTTAGTGTCCACAAAGTTTTGTTGGAACAGAGCCACACTTATTGGTTTTTGTTTTGTCTGTGGCTGCTTTTGCACTACAATGGCAGAATTCGGTAGTCGTGACAGAAACTTTAAGACCTGCAAGGCCTAAAATATTTATCACCTGGTTCTTTATTTTTTAAAAAATTGCAGATCTCTGATTTAGGGAGAAACACTCAAGTAAACCAGGCAATTATAATTCTGGGAGAGAACTGCTAAGTTAGAAAAAGGATATAGCTCATGGGAGCCCAGAGGAGGAACACCAGCTCCACCAGGGATCAGGAGGGAAGGCTTCCTGGAGGAAGTGGTAAGGAAGTTGAGCTGTGAAAGATGAAGAAAGTGACCTTCAGGTTTCAGGGCCCCACAATGTCAGTTCTCCTCTCTCATCTCCCAGCTCTCTTTTTCCTGCACCCCACACCGCAGGGGACCTTTATTTGGGTAGGGGGAGGGGAGGGGGAAATGTTGTTACTTTAGTGCCTCTTTCCCCAAATCTGTGGTCTCTCCACTTGAGCCCTTCCTTTCCCTCTGAAGGCTGTTGGGAAGATGATTCTAGTTTCAACCAGACCTTTCCCCAAACATTCATTTCCACATCCCTGAAAGTAATAACCCTAAGGTGTGTGTTCATTTTGAATCTGCCATGATTTCTAGGAAGTGGCCTCGATTTGTCTGGTCCTGGTCCAGATGCAAGAACTTCTTAAAGTCTCCCCACAATGTCTTGACATTTTACTGATTTTCACTAGACAGAGGTTGGACAGCAGAGTGCTCCTCTTTAAGAGAAGCTGTTTCTTTAAACCTCTGAGTGCCCAGCTCATTGTCTGGCTCATTTGGATGAGCAGTAAATATCTGAAGAGCTGTATCGCTGGAGTCTGTTCCTGCTTGTGAGGATTTACGAATCTGGTCTGCCATAGGACAACCATCTCATATTGCCAGGTACTAAGCTGAATGGCTTACTGTTAGGAAATCCCTAATGCATTCATTCATCACTAGGAATTCATTAGAGGAGAGAATATTGGAACAATGGATGTAGATCCCTTTGCACAGTGCTTGGAAGACAGCAAGCTCTCAATAAATGTTGGCTACTATGTTTTAGAGACAGGGTCTCACTGTGACCCAGGCTGGAGTGCAGTGGCACAATCATAACTCACTGCAGCCTCAAATTCCTGGGCTCAAGCAATTCTCCCACCTCAGCTACTTTTGCAGCTGGGAACACAGGTATGTACCACCATGCCCAGCTAATTTTTAAATATTTTGTAAAGACAGCATCTTTCTATGTTGCCCAGCCTATTCTCAAACTCCTGGCCTCAAATGAGCCTCCTGCCTTGGCATCCCAAGTGCTAGGATTACAGGCATGAGCCACTGAGCCTGACCTTGGCTACTATTTTTATTTCAAGGCATAAGTGAAGGGCCATGGAAAATACTAGAATTTTCTAGACCTGTACTGTCCAATACAGTAACCACCAGCCACATGCAATTACTGAACACTGGAAATGTGGCTGGTCCAAATTGAACTGTGCTATAAGTATAAAACATACTGTATTTCAAAGACTTAGTACAAAAGAAAGAACGTAAAATTCTCACTAAGGATTTTTATATTGATTACCTGTCGAAATAATATTTTGGGTACATTGGGTTAAATGAACTTTATTACTTATTATTTGTTAAATTATATGATATTAAATAATTATTTGTAAAATCATTTTATTAAATTTACAGAATTAACCTCACTCATTTCTTTTTATCTTTTTGAATGCGGTTCCTAGAAAGTGGAAAATTAGGCCAGGCACAGTGGCTCACGCCTGTAATCCCAGCACTTTAGGACGCCGAGGCGGGTGGATCACCTGAGGTCAGGAGTTGGAGACCAGTCTGGCCAACATGGTGAAACCCTGTGTCTACTGAAAATACAAAAATTAGCTGAGTGTGGTGGCGGGCTCCTGTAATCCCAGCTACTCAGGAGGCTGAGGCAGGAGAATCGCTTGAACCCGGGAGGTGGAGGTTGCAGTGAGTCGACATGATGCCATTGCACTCTAGCCTGGGCGACAGAGTGAGACTCTGTCCAAAAAAAAGAAAAAAGAAAAAAAGAAAAGAAAGAAAGAGAGAAAGAGAGAGAAAGAGAGAGAGAGAGAGGAAGGAAGGAAGGAAGAAAGGAAGGAAGGAAGGAAAATTATAAGAATTATAAGAATTAGCAAAGTCATGTTTCTGGAACATTCTATTCTTTCTCCTGTGCAAGTGATTGGCCCACTCTGTGATTTAGACACCACCCTCCCCAACATCCTGTCCCAAACCTAAATTAGGGGCCTCCTGTTCTCATCCCTCGTAGCATCTTACCCATGTACCTGTGTGTGTAGCATCTGTATTTTTTTGTGAGAGTTGCTGTAACAAATGACCACAACCCAGGTGGCTTAAAACAGCGGAAATTCATTCTCACGTTGTTCTGGAGGCGAGAAATCTGCAACCAGGTATCAGCAAGGCCACACTCCCTCCTGAGATTCTAGGAGGTAATCCTTTCCAGGCCTCTTCCCATTCCTGGTGACTCCTGGTGTCACTGGACTTGTAGCAGTGTCATTCCAATCTCTGCCTCCGTCCTCACATGGCTTTCTTCCCTGTGTCTTTCTGTGTGTCCTCTCCTTTTCTAGGAAGGACACCAGTCATTGGATTTAGAGCCCTTCCTAATCCAGTATGATCTCTTCTTAACTAACAACTTCTGTCAAAACCTATTTCCAAATAAGGTTGTTTCTGAGGTTCTGGATGGACATGAATATTGGGGACTCTGTTCAACCCACTACCTTAGTTTGAAGTTTGTCTCCCACAGAGATCATGGGCTGTATGTGGGCTGAACCATCTCTCTCTTGTTCACTGTTGTATCTCCAGGCCTTGGCACTGTGCCTGGCACATAGAAGCTGCTCAATAAACATAATGAAACCTAACCTAACGTAGCATACTATAAGAGTGAAATTGAACTCTAGACAAACAAATTAGTTCAGATTTCTCTGGTCAGGCCAACCTGGGTTCAAATCCCATCTCTTCCACTCAGCTGTGTGTTATGTCACTTAAATGTGCCTCTGAGTCTCTCTAAATTCTGCTCCATCTGCAAAGCAGAGATAATAATACTATCTACCACATTAAGTTATGGTGAGAACTCAGTGAGAAAGTGAGCATGATAAGCTTAGCCTAGTGCTAGCTCAGAAAGCCCTGGTGTTAGCTGCTAGGATTATCGTACACCAAGCATTGCAGAGAGTAGCTCATTGCTGGAAGATGCCCCAAAGAACACCATCCAGTGTCCTATGGACCATGAGTAAAGCTTGCTGCCACTTGTGTAAAAAGAAGGAAAAGTGACTATATGCACATATTTGCTGACATATCCCTAAAGCATCTTTGGAAAAGTATAAAAAACTGGTAATATTAATTGCCTGGGCGGGGCATGGTGCCTCACGCCTGTAATCTCGGCACTCTGGGAGACCAAAGTGGGTGGATTGCTTGAGCCCAGGAATTTGGGACCAGCCTGAGTAACATGGCGAAACCTCATCTCTACAAAAAATAGAAAAATTAGCTGGGCTTGGTGGCACGTGCCGTGGTCCCAGCTACCTGGGAGGCTGAGCTGAGAGGATCACTTGAGTCCAGGAGGTCGAGGCTGCAGTGGGTCATGATTGTGCCACTGCACTCCAGCCTGGGCGACAGAGCGAGACCCTGTCTCAAAAAATATAGAGAGACAGACAGATAGATAGATAGATAGATAGATAGATAGATAGATAGATAGATATAGATAGATAGATAGATAGATAGATAGATTTGCCTCTGGGGAGGGCAACCACATGGCTGGAGTGAACGGGGGAAAGGAGTTTTCTTTTTCTCTAGCACATTTGTACATCGACTAATATAAAAATTATCTATTTAAAAAGTAAATCCGTTTTTACAACACAAGGTGCCCTATCAATGAAAATGATTTGAAGATATTAGGAGTGGGGTCAAACCCAGCATTCGAGTTGAGGGTGAGGGGCGAACGTGAGAATTGCAAACAGGTAGAAGGAAAACGCAGAGGTGAAAGATTTCAGGTGCAGCTTTTGACATGAACTGCCGTTCCTTCGAAGCAGCAGTTAATTTCATGAGTAAACGAGCTGGGAGCAGAACTCGTTCGCTGGGTGAACACCGGCCAGGCGGCAGATTCTGCAGCAGCGCTCTCCTGCGGGAGGGGCAGGTGGAGGCGGGGCCTTCCTTGGAGATCTCTGATAGGGGATCCTTCCCTCAGCACCCGAGGGAAAGGTCTTGAGCGCTCTGTAGCCCCGGACTGCGCGGGCCGGTGGCTTGCTTGTCGAGGCAGGCACTTTCGGAAAATTGCTTTTGACATGTATTCCCTTGTTTAGGTCTTGGCCATCCCCCGCACTCTATGTGCTCAGTGACCTTTGACATGAACTTGCTAACAAAGGTTACACCAAATCAAAATGGCATTCCAGAAGATTCTTTTCAGCAGCAGGTACTCCCTGACCTAGATTAAGTTTTCTCAAATGTCAAAACCCTGAAAAAGATACCGAAATTGACCAGAATCACTTGGGCAAAAAATACATATTTTTTTTTTTTGTGACCAAAGGAATGAAATCGGGAAATAAAAACAAAGGAAAACATAGGAGAGAGTGCAAAATCAAAGAGAAACATTCACTTTTGTAAAAATGTTTAAATTTTTTTTGCCCTTACAAAAATAAATAAACATTATTATACATAGCAGTGTTGGATTAAAACTAAGCCATGTGCAATGGAGATTTTGCCATAACTTGGCAGACAGAGAGAGAGTGTGTGTGTTTTAGTAAGGGTGAGGAGAGTATTAACAAGATGATGATTTTATGAGTTAGTTTTTCACTCTCTCCAAAGTGAAAAAGAACTGAATTGGAACTTTTATTGATAAACAAAGGTTTTTCATAGATTACAGTCTCTTAAAGGGAGTCATATTAGAATAAGCTTAGAAAATGTTCACTATTTTAAACGCACAGCCACTTATTTTGAGCTTTAAAAATTGCTTTCACATTTTTACTGTTACATTTCATGTTATTTGAATGGCAGAGAATTACTTAGCATAGCTAAAAATACGTTTGTATATACATACACAGGAAAGAAAGGAGAACAATCAAGAATGGAAAAAAATTAAAATTCTCACAGAGAGTAGGAACACCAAAGGGGCGATTCGGGGGTATCTCATGGTGGTTTGGAGCTGGGGCCTAGACAGACCTGGGTGTAAATCATTGATCTACCGTTTATGAGCTGTGTGATTCTGGGCAGGTAACCCACCTCTCTGAGCCTCAGTTTTCCCCATCTATTAAATGGGCATAATAGCAGTAACTATGTCACCGCTTGTGTGAGGTGAATGGAGAGGATGTTGGCTATTATTTTGATGGCAGCCAGGTGTGGTTTTTAGGTATTTACTTTTCCTCCTCTTGGTCTCCCCACCCCTGCCTCTTCCTTGTCTCCTTCGTTCCAGTGGAACGAGGCAGGGGAGAGCAGAGGGGCCTACAAGTCCGGCTGGCCTTTGTTTTTCAAAAAAAAAAAAAGAAAATTTAGAGCGAGCACAGAGTAGCTAAAAAGGAGGGTGAGGAGGATTTGTGGGCAGAGACGAAATACAGCTACGTGCTGCAGGGCAATGTTTTGGCCAACCATGGACGGCATATACGACAGTGGTTCCATAAGATTCTAACACTGTATTCCTCCCGGACCTTTCCCACGTTTAGATACACACATACTCACCGTTGCCTACAGTACCCAGTACAGTCACATGCTGTGCAGGTTTGGCGCCTAGGAACAATGAGCTACACCATGTAGCCTAGGTGTATATAGTAGGATATACCATTGAGGTTTGTGTATGAGGTTTGCACAATGACACCTAATGACACATTTCTCAGAACATATCCCCAGCATTAAGTGATGCATGACTGTATCTTCTTTTTTTTTTTTTTTTTTTGAGGCAGAGTCTCTCTCTGTCGCCCAGGCTAGAGTGCAGTGGCACCATCTCAGCTCACTGCAACCTCCACCTCCCGGGTTCAAGTGATTCTCCTGCCTCAGCCTCCCATGTAGCTGGGACTACAGGAGTGCACCACCAAGCCTGGCTAATTTTTGTTTGTTTTGGATTTTTAGTAGAGACAGGGTTTCACCATATTGGCCAGGCTCATTTTGAACTCCTGACCTCAAGTGATCCACCTTTCTCAGCCTCCCAAAGTGCTGGGATTACAGGCGTGAGCCACCACGCCCGGCCATGACTGTATCTTTGAAAATTGGGGAGGAGAATGTGTCCTCTTACCCCCACAACACACACGCACGCACACACACACACACACACACGCTCAGGCTGGCAGGAGGAGAGAGAGAACTGTTCTCTAGCTGCTCCTGGAGCCCAGGGGGACTGGCCCTGAGGCTTGGTGGGCAGGCAGGCCATGGGAATCCTCACAAGCATTCTCATCCTCAAGCATGGGAATGACCCCATATTTCCAAATGAGGTTCTGGGAAGGGCATGGAGGGAACATAGGAATGTAGAAGGTCAGGGCTGAGCCAGCGTTGCACATGCTGGGTTTGAGGGGCCTGAGGAGCCCATCGCACCCCTGTTACCTTGGGCTCCCCTGGCAGGAACCCACCTGGTCCCACGCTCGCTGCTCTCCCATCCTTGTCTCACGGCTGCACTGCTGGGAGATTATCTCTCAGGGGGACTTTGGGTCCAACCATCCAGTGAGTTGGGTCTCACAGGTGAAGCCATCAAGCTTCTGAGATGCTTTTGGAACGAGGGAGGGATGATAGGAAGGCACAAACCGGACACGGGGCACTCATGGAGCTGAGATTGACTAATAACTGGGCGGCCAAGTGAATTATGTTATATCCCAAGATTTAATCCCATGAAGCCCAGACCAGTGACTGTGCAGAAGAATATTTAATGGAGAATATCTGCAATGTGGGAAAAGCACCTTGTAAACAGTGTGTAGATTTCAATCCCCTAAAATAGATACAAACGGAAAAACTTGCACTTGAATGCTTGCAGAGGTGTTATTCACAATAACACAATAAAGAGTAGAAGCAAGGCAAATGTTCATCGACTGGTAAGATGCACAAACCAATGCGGTCTGTCCATAGCCTGGAATATCCCTCAGCCATAAAAAGACATAGAGTGCTCGCCATGCCACAGCACAGTTGAACCTTGAACACGTGAGACCAAGTGAAAGAAGCCAGGCAAGACTCCATGCATCAGATGCCTCCATTTATGTGAAATGCTCAGAACAGGTAAACCCACAGAGACAGGGAGTGGATTCATGGTTGCTGGGGCTGGGCAGAGAGAAGAAACATGGCGTGACTGCTAATGAAGATGGGGTTTCATTTTGGGGCCAAAAAATCTTCTAAAATCAGACTGTGATGATGGCCATCCAAGTCTATGAATATACTAAATAGCATTGAATTGTTCACTTCAAATACATTAATTTTCTGTATGCAAATTGCATCTCAGGAAAGCTAAGATAGAGAGGTAAATGTGTATGTCATATATATCTGTTTGCATATGTGCATATTTCTATTTAGGCTTAGGTATAATTATATGCATTGAAAAAGGACTGGAATCATTTTCACCAAAATGTTCATCCTGGTTGTTTCTCATTGGTAAGATTATGGGTGATTTTTTTTAACCTTCTTTTTGCTTTTCTGTATTTTCTGTTTTTTTTTTTAAGATATGTTAAGTGAAAACATAATGCAATAAAAGTTGCCTACAGTTATTGAGAGCCTGTTGAGTGCCAAACACATTATAATATGTCATTTGCTGTTTCAACAGCCACTCACGAGGTGGGTACCATCATCATCCCATTTTCTACAGGGAGAAGGTGAGACTTCGGGTGAAGAGGTGGCTCGCCCAGAGGCACAGTCAACAGATGATGAAGCCAGGACAGGAACCTGCAATCTGGCTCCTGCTAGTAGGTTAGGTTTGAACGCTACTTCTATCATGTGTGTGATTTGGGGCTTGTTGCTTTTCGGGTAGAAATGAATGAAGACAACAGAGGCTCAGCTCGAAGCAATAGGATTGTCACTGTGATTGACACCTGGGTGGGAGAAGGCTGGAGGCACAAGGCTGGGGCCTGGGGAGGCAGGCAGGCATGTGGGTCTGCTAGTGAGGGTGGGGGCACAGGGAAAAGGCAGCTCCCGTCCTGGGGCATCAGGGGAGTAAGAGTCCAGAGCACCATGGCTGAGTCTAGGCCATTGGGCAGGACTGGGCTCCAGGGCCTGGGAGCCACAGTCAGAAGCCTGGACGGACCCAGGGGCAGCGGGGAGCAAGTGAAGGGTTTCGCCTGAGGATCAGACAGGATCCCATTTGTTTTTAGAACGATCACTCTGGCTCCTGGGTGTGGAGTGGAACAACCTGCATTTAGTTAGAGATGAGCGCACAGACATGGGTGAGGGCCTCTTCTGCAAAGATCAGCCTCCTGCAAAAACTTTTAGTGCTGAGAACTTCAGGATACACCTGCTGAGAGGGGCATCAAGGACTTCAGCTCCTAACCACCCAGAGTGGAAGGCCATTTGACTTCATGGAAGCTTTTCAACCACAAAAGCCAGCTCCCACTCCCACAGCTGTTTCTGATTTGAGACTCAGCTGGGGGCCATCCCTCCTGGGGACAGATGTCAAGAAAGAGATCTCCTGAGTTCACCTGTGCATCCAAGGGAGATGGCTCCGAGATTTACAGAGGGACCCCTGGCCGGCTCTCATTACTTAGGAACCAGCGACCTAATCTCAAAGGGTTGGGGCCTTGTTCCCACTTCCTGAGAACATGACATGCTTGCAACTCCAGTTTCTCCTCCATTGGGGATTTTTTTCTTTTTCCCAAGCTCTCAAACCATTGGGTGTCTGGAAGCCTAAGTTGGCCCAAACCACACAGAGTGGGGGAGAGAGAATGCAGCCCCAGATCTCCTCTGCGCCAGGCAAATGCTCCCTGCTGTACCTTAAGTACTGGGTGAAAATATGTGGGGGCGAGGACCCATCATCAGAGTCCAACCCTCGTCAACCACCGCCACATCCACCGTGTCCTGAATCAGGGCTCACATCAACCCACCACGTGGGCTCCATGATTAAAATCATTTCAGGAGCCAGGCGCGGTGGCTCACGCCTGTAATCCCAGCACTTTGGGAGGCTGAGGTGGGCGGATCAGGAGTTCGAGACCAGCCTGACCAACATGGTGAAACCCCGTCTCTACTAAAAATACAAAAAAATTAGCTGGGCATGGTGGCACGCGCCTGTAATCCCAGCTACTTGGGAGGCTGAGGCAAGAGAATCGCTTGAACCCGGGAGGCAGAGATTGTAGTGAGCCGAGATTGCGCCACTGCACTCCAGCCTGGGTGACAGAGTGAGACTCCATCTCAAAAAAAAAAAAAAAAAGAGAGAAAATAAAATCATTTCAAGAATGAGGAGCTGAGGCACAGAGGGGTTAAGTAGGTCCCCCAAGGTGACAGAAGCAGTCAGCAATGGCCCCAGAATTCAAGGCCAGGCTGTTGGGGTCTTTCAGAGCCCATATGTGTCACCAGACTCTACATCTTCTCTCTTAGGAGTGCAAGTCAATGAATTGTTCACCCCTGGATTCCAGGCAGGCAGGAATTCTTGTTCATCAGCATGAGCAGATGCCACATCTTGAATTTTCCCTGCACGTTAAGTAAGGATTTGGCTCTCGCCTGTTCTCTCCTCCCCCACCCACCTCTGCAGCTGACTTTAATGGCTTTTGACAGTTATTTGTATAATTTGAGTTTTGTGGCATCACAAAGATCTTTCTCCTGGGGAAGATTACATGAAACTGTTTTGACAGCTCTCACCAAAGGGGTAACACTTAATATATAACAGTTCATCAAACAAAACCGGGATCCAAGAATACCTTTTGCTGTTAGTCATGATGATATCACCTTTAGGTCTAAGAAAAAAGAAGGGGAAAAAAAAGACAGAAAACCTTCTTTATGCTGTGACATTTCTGAGAGAAAATCAAATCGTTGAACTGATGTATTTTGTGAAGGTGAAAGACCTGTCTGTTCTGCACATGTGATTAGAAAGTTTTGGAAATGAATGAACACCATTTGTAAGATAAATTTAAGGAGCCCTGAGTTGACTCCAAGCCCTCTGAGCTTTTTCTTTATTCTCTCTTCTCTGGTTGAGGAGTTGTTAAGTCTCTAAATCAATCAGCTATCTCCTTTTGAAATCCTGTTTGAAAACACTCATTCTCCCCGAGGCCAGCTACTCTGTTTTTTTCCTCTCTCACTGCCTGGGTAATTTGTTTTTAACTCTGCAACCCTGTTTTTTCTTGTTGGGGAGCATTTTCCCATAGAATTTGTGTTAAAAGAGCTTTTGAGAGATAAAGGTGGACCCAGAGCTTTCTGGAAGAGGACTGGAGTGGGGGATAGTAGCGGGAGAGCCAGGTACCAGGTGCCTTAATGCTAATAAGCAAATGCTGCTGTTTCTTTTCTTTTCTATTTTTTTTTTTAAGATGGAGTCTCATTGTGTCAGCTCACTGCAACCTCTGCCTCCCACATTCAAGCTATTCTCCTGCCTCACCCTCCCAAGTAGCTGGGATTATAGGCGTGCACCACCATGCCCATCTAATTTTTTGTATTTTTGGTAGAGATAGGGTTTTGGCATGTTGGCCAGGCTGGTCTCGAACTCCTGACCTCAGGTGATCCACCCGCCTCAGCCTCCCAAATTGCTGGGATTACAGGTATGAGCCACCGCACCTGGCCAAATGCTGCTATTTTTTAAATCTCCCCTGTACCACCAGCCCCAAACCTCAAGCAAACACACAAAAAAACCAAAACCAAAAACAGAAAGAAAGATCCTTAAAATAGAAGAGGCTTTATTCTCAAGGGACTGAAAGTTCCTTCTGCAGATTTTTGCAAACTAGTCATAAGGGCAATTAACTAATTACTAGAAGTCAAAGAGGCAAAGAAAAAAAAGCTTCCTGTTAGAAATCTTGAAATAACTGTCCTCAACCTCCATGTTTAATGCTTGGCTCAGGAGTCCCCTGAGCATTTGCTCTTCTCCGGAGGATCTTCCCGGGCTCAGGCTTTAACGTTCTTTGGAAATCCCAGTTTTCCAAACCTTTCAAGGTACAGACGTTTGAACAAAGCTGAGAAAGGCCTATTAGTCATGGGGATGGGAAGGGGGAGATCCTTTTTAAAAGGCTTATCAGTGTCTTAAATCTAAGCAGGAGGTACGGTGAGAAACGGGGGAATTCCCTGGATGGTTCTTGTAATTGCTGTGAATCGCCACGGGCTTGGATGCAACAGAGATAG
The DNA here is from genome assembly GCF_000001405.40 of Homo sapiens. Classification (NCBI taxonomy): domain Eukaryota; kingdom Metazoa; phylum Chordata; class Mammalia; order Primates; family Hominidae; genus Homo; species Homo sapiens. The sequence goes on along the minus strand of NC_000020.11, from coordinate 57,006,904 downwards.
GGTTTTATATGGGCAAAAACTCTTAGGAATTTCTGATTTTGTTTTTGCAGCCTCCCTCCCCTCCTCTGTCATCAAGAGTCATAAAAACATTGCTCATTAAAGTGATAGATTTGGGGTTTTGTTTGTTTGGAGGTTTTTTAAAGGGAGCAACAGTGCTTGAATAGTTTGATCATGTCATGGGGAAAATACCAAAAACAAGATCTGAAGACTTAATTGAGGTAAATATAAACCATGTTTTGTTCCTTTTCTTCAGACAGGGTCTTGCTGTGCCACCCAGGCTGGAGTGCAGCATTGCAATCATGGCTCACCACAGCCTCAACCTCCCGGGCTTAAGTAATTTTCCCACCTCAGCCTCCTGGGTAGCTGGGACTACAGGCATGCGCCACCATGCTTGGCTCATTTTTAATTTTTTTTTTTTTTTGGTAGCGATGGGGGTCTCACTATACTGCCCAGGCTGCCAGGATCTAGACTCTAAAGACACAATCTTCAGCTGCAAAACATATCCCCACTTTTTCTGAGCTTTCATCTGAGTCAATTTATAAACAAAATGGGCCGGGCGCGGTGGCCTGTAATCCCAGCACTTTGGGAGGCTGGGTCGGGCAGATCACAAGGTCAGGAGATCGAGTCCATCCTGGCCAACATGGTGAAACCCCGTCTCTACTAAAATACAAAAAATTAGCTGGGCGTGGTGGCGCAAGCCTGTAGTCCCAGCTACTCAGGAGACTGAGGCAGGGGAATCGCTTGAACCTGGGAGACAAAGGTTGCAGTGAGCCGAGATCGCACCACTGCACTCCAGCCTGGCAACAGAGCAAGACCCCATCTCAAATAAATAAATAAATAAATAAACAAATGTTACATAATATCATGTCAGGAAGTGATAGGTGCTCAGTGATAAAAATACAGCAGGAAAAGAGAGGGCTGGGGGCGTGCTGTGCTGCTTTAGCTAAGCCAGTGAGGAAAGACCTGCCTGAGACTGGAAAGAGAGGCTGGAAGGAGGTGAGGGAGGGAGGCCGGCTTCTACCTGAAAGAGTTGCAGGGAGAGGTTTTCTAGATGTGATTAAAGCCTGCAGTCAGCTGACTTTAAATAAAGGAGGGTGGCCTGGATGACCCAGGTGGGCCTGGTCCAGTCAGTGGAAAGACCTTGGAGCCGGCAGAGGCTCTCTGCATAAGGAGAAATTCCTCCCGTGACAGCGACCTGGGCCTATGCCTGTGAGTCACAGCTGTTCCTGACAGCCTGCCCCACGGACTCGGGACTTGCCTGGCCAGACCCCACAGTCACCTAAGCCAACTGCGTGCAATAAATCCCTTGATATCTGCCTCCTACTGATTCTGCCTCTCCAGCTGAACCCTGACTGATACACCAGCCATTAGATTCTCCCTCATGGGTTAATGGTCGTAACCCACCTCGACGTCACCTTCCTTCCTCCTTAGGATTCCTGGCAGCTCTGACCCAAGGCAAAGGTCTCAGTTTCCCAGATAGCCTGGGCATCCCAGCCCCAGGATGCACCTGCTCAGGCTGTGTGTGTGGTCTGCCTGAGTCTCCTGCACTCTCCTTCCCTTCCCTGCTGGTACCTCACTGCCCTGGGGGCTCAGCCAAGATGCACCCCACCCTGACCTGGGGCGCTTTGCTTATCACCCAGCTGCCAGGGATGCAGCTCCTCCAGATTCCAGGAGCTTCTCTCTCCACATGTGTATCAATCTGGAAGCCCTTTGAGGATGGCATTCTTTTTCAGTCCCAATTAGCATCACCTAACAGCTCATGCTTATCAATAGCTTCTCAGTAAGGGACTGTGGACCTGAACTGGCCAGATCAATGGATGAAGGAGGAGGAGCCTCCTTTTTAAGAAGCCGCCCAGGACCCATGCTGGTTAATAATGCAGTTCCAGCCCTGTGGCCATCCTGATAAATTGTATTGCCCTGGGGCTGTCACTTAGGGCTTTGGAGTCAGAGATGTGCTGGTTTGGAATGCAGGCCCCACCACTGCAGTGTCCCCATCTCCAGGACAATCATAATCGACCCCATCTCGTGGGTGTATTGTGAGGACTAAGAAAATAAATGATTTCACTAATGGACAAGTATTCTTGGTGTCACCAGGTGTGAGCTTGCTCTGGGTACTGAGGGTGCCTCAGTGAACAAGCTGGTCCTGGTCCCTGCCCTCATGAAGCCTGGAGTCAGGGGAGGTCTTGCAGAGAAGACCGGTCCCCACCATGCTGTGTGGACAGGGCTCTGGTGGGAAGTGCTGTCATCAGCACCGGGGCTAACCACCCAACGGGAACGGCGCCAAGAGTGCACTCCTCTAGGGCCATGCTCAGCCTATCCTAAAGCCTTAAAGAGCTCTTGAGCTTCTGCTGACACCAGTCACAGCAGGGCACCCTACCTGCCTAACCTCCATCCATGCCTCTGACAAATCCTTACCCAGTGTCTGTTCTGTAGATGTTCCAGAGCTGGGGAGGCAGCTGTGAACTGAACACACAGCAATCCCCCCTCTCTTAAGCTCTTGAATGTGCACCAAAAATCAAATAAATAACGGCACAGGAGATGTCCAAGGTCGGTGAATCCTGTAGAGGGATGCAAGGGCGATGAGGGGCACAGGAAGTGCCAGGGTGGGGTTAGAGTTCCTTTTTTTTTTTGAGACAAAGTCTTGCTCTTGTCTCCCAGCTGCCAGGCTGGAGTGTAATGGCACGATTTTGGCTCACTGCAACCTCCACCTCCCAGGATCAAATGATTCTCCTGCCTCAGCCTCCTGAGTAGCTGGGATTATAGGCACCTGCCACCACACCCAGCTAATTTTTGTATTTTTAGTAGAGATGGGGTTTCGCCATATTGGCCAGGCTGGTCTCGAACTCCTGACCTCATGATCTGCCCACCTCAGCCTCCCAAAGTGCTGGGATTACAGGCGTGAGCCACCATGCCCGGCCTAGAGTTCCTTTCTTTCAGAGGGTGGTCAGGAAAGACTTCTCGAAGGAGATAACATGGTGAAGGACATGAGAAAGTGAGACATATTTATATTGTGGGGAAAAGAATTCCAGGCAGAGGGAACAGCGCATGCAAAGGCCCTGGGGCGGGAGGATGCCTGGCACGTCAGAGGAACTGCGAGGGGGTCAGTGTGGTCAGAGCAACAGAGCAAGGGCAGGAGGTCAGGGCTGTAACTGGGACAGGGCTGTATAGAGTCCTGGGGGGCGGGGTTGGCCAGGACTGTGGCTTTTTCTCTGAGGGCAATAAGAGCCCTGCAGGGCAGTGAGCACATGGCATTCTCAGGATCTGCTTCTGGCCTATTCCCTTGGCTTCGGGTCTCCTAAGCTATGAACCTTCGCCATGGCTTCTCCTCCTCCCCTCCTCCAAACCTCCCGTCCCTGTGTCTGGATGCAGGCACAGATTCTACGCTGACTGTTAATCCTAAATAACCAGGAAGAAGAAAATCTCCGAAGCATCCCACAAAGCCCTCCTGATGATTTTAACCAGCTTCCAGTTACTGTTTTCTTACTAAGGAACAGTTCAAGTCCAAAGCAGTCTTTTGTTCTTGGGCTGGTGCCTAGAGAGAAACTTCCCTCCTGCTTGCCCGCAGCCCACAGCCCAGGTGGCTCTGAAGACAATGTTGTCGTTTTCATCTGTTTGCCTTGAAGTGGGCCTGGGTGATAATGTGACACACCTGCACAGCGCATGGCAGCACTTCCTTCAGCTCCACAAGCGCCTGCAGCCAAGCAGAGGTGTGCATGGAAGGGAGGGCTCAGGACCCTCTGCCACCCCCAACCGTGTGAAGAGAGCTGGGCGCAGCAGGGGGAGAGAATAGGCTCAGAAGTGCTGAGATGACACATCCTTCCCCCGGAGCTCTGACACCAACCCCCTGCTAGGGGAGAACAGTGTGGCTTCCCTCCTGATAACAAAAGCAGCCATATTTGTTTCTACCTGGCTGCCAGGGCTCTAAGAAATAGAAGAGCAAGAGGTCTCAGTGGACCTCAGGGGACAGAGAGGCCAGGCTGTGAGTTGTGGCTGGAGACGAGTTCCATGGCTTTGAGGGGAGATGGCATCTGAGGTGACTTTATTTTCCAAGGAGATCTCACACTGTCAGTGCTGGAAACGCTGAAAGCCATTGCTATGGACTCCAAGAAATCCAGACAACAAAAACAGCCGTCTTACCTTATAGGTAGGGAAACTGAGGCTCACGCTGGAAAAGGGTCTTATCCAGTGGGGAGATATAGGCAAGCCAGAGCTTCGACCTGGAACTTCTGGTTTCAGTATCAGGTTCAGACAGGCGATGGGACTGACTGGGTCAAAACCAGCTCCCAATTCTCCATGCCTTTGCTCTGGACTTTAGCCGCTCACCTAGTTCAGCCTACGGACCCTGGCCCTGCCTCTCCAGATCCCCAGATCCACGGCAGGAGTGGACAGGAGAGGAAGGAAGGAGGGAGGGATGGGGCTCCAGATTCCATCTCACAAAACAGGAATGGTCAGGGGCCCTGCGGAAAAGTGGAAGAGCAAGAAACGAGTTTAATTCTATGTCTACATTTACAAAGGCTGCCCGCAGAGGTTCTGGAAGCAGTGACGTGAATATACGGGCAGGAGGGAGGAGGTTTGGAGTGGTTACGTACCTGAGCGAAATATCCATCCATCGCCAACTGCGCCTGTCGGACCTGCGTAGTCGATACACAGCTATTTGAGTGCATTTTTTAGGGACAGGGTAGAAACCACAGGAAGAGCCAATCCTTGTGAGCCACCCTCCCTGGTGGGTGTGGGGTGGGGAGGGTGGAAACGGGACTTTGCTTTCTGTTAGAAGTCCTCCTGCACCATATCTGATGTTTGTAAACCCCATGAGCATTCATTTCTTGAATGAATTTTTAGAAAACAAATTTATTTATTTATTTTTGAGAAAGGGTCTTACTCTGTCACCCAGCCTGGAGTGCAGTGATGCGATCATAGCTCACTGCAGCCTCAAACTCCTAGGCTCGAGCGATCGATCCTCCCACCTCAGCCTCCCAAGTAGCTGGGACTACAGGCATGTTCCACCAGGCCTCGCTAATTTTTTCTTTTTTTTTTTTTTTTGGAGAGACAGAGTCTTGCTTTGTTGCTCAGGCTGGTCTCGAACTCCTGGCTTCAAGTGATCCTCCTGTCTTGACCTCCCAAAGTGCTGGTATTACAGGCATGAGCCAACTTGCCCAGCCTGGAAAACAAATATAAAGAACCCTTTAATTCATGAAGATGAGGGATTTCAACATGCAAGGAGGCGAGGTGTCATTCTGTTCTCTGCACCAGTAAACCCCAGACGGTGACGTGTGTGTGACCTGGCCAGGGTGCAGACTCTGCTCAGCAGGTCTGAGGGCACCTGGGCCTCTGCATTTCTGCTCAGCAGGTCTGAGGGCACCTGGGCCTCTGCATTTCTAGCAAGCTCCCGTGGTGCCGAGGCTGCTGCTCTGGGGCTGCTGTTCACTTGCGAAGTGAGGGTCTCGGGTCAGCTGGGAGCCAGAAGTGTTGTTATTATGGGCATGGACTCAGGAATCAGACACATTTGGATTCCCTTCCTAGCTTCATCACTTATGAGCTGCGTGACCTCAGGCACGTTGCTCAACCTCTCCGTGCCCTCATCTGCAGACAGTGGTGCATTTTCTGTCCTGTTCTGGTGAGGATTCAAGGAGATGATATCTATAAAATGCTTAGGCAGTGACTGGCGCAGACAGAATGTGCAAAAAAGTAGCCATATTATTATGGTCGTTTTGTCATGAAAGTGAAATGGCTTTGAGAATTGCACAGAAGGTTTGTGGACAGTGTTTGTGCTCTGGAGTTGGGTGGTCATGGATTTGAATCCCAGATAAAACAAAATGCTTTGGAGCATCAGTTAGAGATGCCGACTGCATGATGTACAGTCATGCAGGGAATCGCATGAATGGGAGCCCGTGTTTTCCAGCGACCTGCTCAGACCTGCTATCTTTTTGCCACCCATGCGCATAGGAGTGTGCGTTCGTGTGTGTGCACATATGCATGTGTGTGGAGGTTCCCTCTGAGGTTTAGATTGGCAGTTCCGGGGCCTTGGTTCAGAGGCGTGTTTGTTTGGTGTTACCGTCTTGGGTTGCTTCCCTTCAAAGGCAACCTCAACGTACACAACGGTAAACTTACCCACATCGTGTCTGTACATGAATTGGGACACTGCCTCCCTTCTCTCCTGGGTATACCAAACATAACTGAACCTGCGCTGGTTTCTGCTTGTGAATGGTCTGGTTTGTTCTCCAGAGTGAGTCACTTTGGTTGTGTTTCGTCTACACTCTTCTCTTGCAGCCAGGGGAGACCAAACTCCAAGATCTGCAGCAATCAGGTTCCACATGAGGGGCTCCTCTGTCTCCCAGGCGTTCTACATCGGCTCATTCATTCCGTTCATGTCGTCATCCAGCAACACACACGTCCCAACCCTCTGGGCTTCAGGTCGCACAGAGGCAGCTGACTTGGGTCACTAGTTATTTCTTCCTCTTTTCACTATCATCTCACTGTCCTGGGCTGGTGTTTCTCAACTGCGGGCAATTTGGTCCCTTCAGGGGACATTTTGCGATGGCTGCAGACATCTTTGGTTGTTAGGACTGGGGATGGGAGTGTTCCTGGCCTCCAGTGAGTAGAGGCCAGGGATGCTGCTCGACACCCTACACTGTGCAGGACAGCCCCACAAAAGAAGTATCCAGGCCACAATGCCACAAATGCCAAGGTGAAGAAACCCTGGTCTAGGTAGCATCTTGCTCTTCAGACTGGCAACATTGATGTTTCCTGGAACTTGTTAGAAATGCAGAATCTTGGGTCTCACCCAGATCTGCTGAATCAGAATCCACATTTTAACAAGACCAACAGGCGACAGATCAAGACAGGTGCAAACACAGATCTGGAATGTTCAGCCTCTGAATTGTAATAGCCAAGGAGCTCCCATTTATTTCGAACCTACTATGTGTGGACCACGAAATGTCCACCCCCTCACTGATGCTCACCAGACCTCATCTTCCAGGCCCAAGGAGTTGAAGCTCAGAGACTGCAAGCTACCTCCCCAAGGACACCCAGCTGGTGAGCTGCAACGCCAGTATCCCGACCCACTCAGCCTATCCGAGCCTTAACCACCTGACCGCCTATTAGGGTCATCATGCCCTCGCTGATTCATTGAGGATCTCTGTGGGAGGGGACAGAACATGGATCGAATTTTAAATTTCCTGGGTGATTCCAGTCCGCAGCCACGGTTTTGAGCCACCACTGAAGCAGGGTCTCGCTCTGTCACCACGATGGAGTGCAGTGGTGCAATCACAGGTCACTGAAGCCTCCAACTCCTTCGCTCAAGCGATCCTCCTGACTCAGTCTTTTGAGTTGCTGGGACTATAGGTGCACACCACCACTCCCCACTAATTTATTTTCGTTGTTTTAGAGATGAGGTATTACTATGTTGTCCAGTCTGATCTTGAACTTCTGGCCTCAAGGGATCCTTCCACCTCAGCCTCTCAAATTGCGGGGATTACAGGCATGAGCCACCTCTCCTGGCCCACATGATCATTTCTAAAACTTATCTGATCATAAGAATCCCCTGAGGCCCTTGTTAAAAATGCAGATTCCCAAGTTGTTCTCTTGATATTTCTGAATCAATAGGTCTGGATCAAGGCCAGGGATTTGTATTTTTAGGAGGGTTCCTCTGTTAAGTCTGATGTTAGGCTAGTTGGAGACACTCTAAACATAAGGTCTGTCTCTCCATGCAGTCTCAGCAGGGCAAAATTGCCCCAAGGAGGGCAAATATTGTTTGGGGAGGATGAGGGAGAGTGGATAAGAAAGTCTTACACTTTTTATTGATAAAACACAGATAAACAGACAACCTAAAGAGATATGCAATATATCCATGGCATTAAGATCTCATAAGAAAGAACAGTTCAGGAGAAAACAAAGCCTAAAAATGATTATTAGAGGAAAAATCATGAAAACAAGTTATTATGTATTTAACTAGATATGTGGCTGACCCTAGACCCAAGCCTGACACCTGCCTGTCTCTGCTACCAGGAGAGATGAGCAAGAGTCAGAGACAGATTACCTAGGAGGTAGAAAGTGACCTGAACAGGAGAGAAACAATACATGGTTCACAGTAAAATTCAGTGTGGCTTGAGGTACTGTTACTGAACATCCTGTCTCTGGATAGACTGGCCCTTTGTCAGGTTCCTCCAAACCTCCATCCCATGTCTGAGGAGTTCTCTGCGTTATAAGGCAAAGAGCCATTCCCTATAGGAGCTCAACATGAGGCAAACTTATTTTACTAGACTCCCTTGCAGCTAGGACATGAACACATGACCTAGACTCAGCCAATCAGAAGCACCCATCCCAAACACATAGTGAAAGCTGCCAGTGCAAAGCTGCAGCTCCGGGCAGCACCGATGAAGCTGTGGGGAGGTGGCAGCTGCAATGGCTACAATGGGTTCCAGAAGCAGAGTCCAGAGAACAGTCTGGGGCAAAGTGCAGCATCTGTGCTCAGCAGGTGCAGCGGTGCACCATGCCATCACCTGACCAGTTCCACATCAGGATGAAGGGCATTGTCCCTGGCTGCATGAACCTGGCTCTGCAGCCTCTAGATAATTTCAGGAGCTGCCTGATACCATAAAAATAAATTGCATTTCTGTTCCTTGCAACTAGCAAATCTCACCAGTATGGAATTCCCTCAAAGATCCCAAGGGTTTATCAGCCTTGGCACTATTGCCATCTGGGCCAGAAGACACTTGGTTGTGGGGATCCTATAATACATAAGATGTTCACAGAGCACCCTTGATCCACTAGATGCCAGTAGCTCCTGCCAAGCACCTGCATTGTGACAACGAAAATGTGTCCAGGTATTGCCAAATGCCCCTGGATTGCCTGGTTAAGAACAACTGGTCTGGGCCCCGTTGTCACCAGAGTGGGTTGGTGTGCAATTTGGGAAACATCACCCTGGGTGTCACCCGAAATGATAGGCTCTCCCAACAGTTGCTAGGTGACAATTTTATATTTGTATCCATGTCGTCTATATGTGTAGCTGAAAATCTGAAACTGTGTGTGTCAAAACTGCTTTATAGTATAGTGATTACTTTTGAAGATTAGAATTGGAGGGTGAGAGTTTTTTATGTTACATATTCCTGTCCCATTTATATTTGTTACAGTGAATGTATATTAATTGTGGTGAAAAATATTTAAAAGACAGGCTGGAGAACTAGATGGAGGCAGCTGAATCCATTTTCCACGCTGCAAACAGGGTGATTTTTCTTTTTTTAAATTATTATTTTTTCAATAGTTTTTGGGGTACAGGTGGCTTTTGGTTACGTGATAGGTTCCAGAGTGATTTTTCTACTTTTTTTTTTTTTGAGACAGGGTCTTGCTCTATTGTCCAGGTTGGAGTACACTGGCACAATCTTGGCTCACTGCAATGTCCACCTCCTGGGCTCAGGTGATCCTCCCACCTCAGCCTCTCAAGTAGCTGAGACTACAGACATATGCTGCCACCCCACTTGGCTAATTTTTGTTTTTTTTTTGTGGAGAGCGGGTCTCACTATGTTACCCAGGATGGTCTCAAACTCCTGGGCTCAAGCGATCCTCCTGCCTTGGCCTCTCAAATTGCCGGGATCACAGTTGTGAGCCACTGCTCCCAGCCAGAGAGTGATTTTTCTAAATGCCAACCTGATCCTCTTGCTGCTTAATCTCCTTGCAAGACTTCCCGTGGCTTTCAGGATAAAGGCTAAACTCTGTGGCATCACTGACAAGGCCCTTTGGGACCCTCACAGAGCCTTCCTCTTTCTTCAGCTTCATGCCCCACTTCTTGGTCTCCCACTTTTGCTCTCCTGCCTGCGGAGGCCCCAAGTGGCTGCCAGCCTGAGACTAGCTCAGCTCCTCAGTCTGCGCTCCCTCTGGCCTGCACCCCAAGTTTTCCCAGTTCTCTGAGGTTGTAGCAGCTGCAATATCACCTCCCAGGCAGCCTCCTGATCCATACTCCCAGGCTTCTAAAGGGACACAATGGCCACTTCCATCTTCACGTTCATTGCGACCTGAGTAACTCATCTTAAACTGAAGAACTCATCATTTTTGTCCCTTAGATCTCAATGCCCCCCACCATGTGGCCACCTTTGAATATCTATTTTAACTCCCACAGCCATTTGGAGTGGACAGACTTGTGTTCTAATCTCACCTTTGAACCTTATTGGCTGTGTGACCTTGGGCAAGTCACTTAACCTCTCTGGGCCTCAGTTTCCTCATCAAAATTGGAGGTAATTATAGCCTACCTTATAGAATAGTGGGGATCAAAATGATGAAAATAATAAATATAAAGCTCTCAGCATAGGGCCTGGCATAAAGAAAGCTTTCATCAAATGTTGTTTATTACTATTGCTATACATTTGCTATGGTGCCTAGAACGTAAATGCTCAAGAAATAATAGTAATAACAATAGTAATTATTTATTTATTGAACAGTTCTTGCCAAACACTGTGTTAAGTGCTTTGGCTACATCCTCCTGCTTACTCCTTGCAACAACACTATAATCAGGATACATTTATTCTCTTTCATAAATAAAGACGCCCTGGGAGGTGAAGCAATTTGCCCAAGCCACACAGGTAGAGGCCGGATAGCAGTCGGTTACAGGCCTCTTGGTCCCGAGTCCCTGATTGTCACACCACGCTGTACTCTCCTGCAGTAGGAGTTCTTGGTAATGGGGATATGGGAATTTTCCTTATTCTGTGTCCCTAATCTAGTCCAGACCCCTCCTCACTGAATCAAGGCACCCTGGGCTAATGGACCTTTGAGAGGAAGGGACACTTTCCCCATCGGAGACCAAGCTGAGACTCGGGAAACTAGAAATTGTCCCAAGCCAGGGAGCCAGCAACAGGGTTGTTTCGCCCTGAGTCCTGGCCCGGGGCTGTCGCAGCCTTGCTGAGCTGTTACCGGAGCCCCAGGCTTCCCATATGCAGCAACTTGACTCCTAAGGCTTTGCAAAGGCTGGGGTGATTCGGAGCCTGCTTCTCTGGCTTCACCCAGATCCTGGAGGCCAGACAGGCCTCAGGAGCCTTCCTCACACCCAGTCCCAGAGCCACCAGGCAGGGTTAGCCTCCTGGGGCGGTGGGTGGCGGGAGGCAAGCTGCTGGGCTGCAGTGCGGACAGATCCCGCCACCAGGTGGCACAGGTGAGGTGCTCTGACTTTTTTGTTGTTTTTCTTTTCTACCTTGATGAAAGCGCTGCCATTTGCTGAACCCCAGCGGCAGGGAACACGTGGGCTCAAGGTGAGGGTCTCAGGACCTGAGGAGATGGTATTATGTACTATTTGAAGCTATTTTTTTGTGATTCTAAAATGTACCATTTTCCCCCCTCTGCCGAGCTAGTGGCGACCCCACAGCCCCACACCCCCAGTGCCTGGTTTGCAATAGATGCTCCAAACAATGTCTAATCACTGAATAAATGAACAAACTCGTGAACGTGTCCAAAGGGCTGTCTCTTCCTTTCCGGAACCACTCACCCTTGGGTGCTGCCGCACCTCCAGCAGGCCAAACCCTGGGGGCGGATTAAGGAGCAGATGCTTGCTCCACAGCTGGCCCATCTCCAGGTGTTGCAGAGGGGCCCAGACTGAGAGCGGCGCCTGTGAAGGGTGGAGGAGATGGGAGTGAAAGGGCAGGCCGGGGAGCAGACGTCTTGACTCTATCTCTGCCTCTCCCAGGAGGCCACAGCCATGGGTGCTGAGTTACCCAGAATGGCTTTCTGAGAATTTAGAGGAGCCCCTCTACTGTGACTACCTCCAACCCCCTGGAGGAGGCCAGAGCCAGCTCCCATAGAGTTGATTTATCTTCCTATAGCTTCAGAAAGTAGAATGCTGTCAATGTCACCAATCAGCCACCCAGCTGTTCTTTGACCTTAGATGCTTCCTCTTGTCGGAGATGCTTTCTGGGGTCTCCAGCTAGCTGATCACCTCCTTTCTCTGAGACCTCCCCACTAACCAGAAGAGGGGTCCCCCAAGCAACCTGTTTCTGCCTGTGGCTAAGAATCACTGAGCATTTACTGCATCGCAGGTGCTGGTATTATCTGTCTCCTCCTCTAGAATGTGAGCTTTGCAAGGCGTTTTTCTCACGGTTGTAGTCCTAGCACCTAGAACTGTTCCTGCACATATTAAGTGTTTCGTAAATATTTTTTAAAGATAGAATGAATGCCTCCTTATGCATAATCTGATTAAACCTTCCCAGTGACTCTGTGAGGTAGGTGCAAGCATTATCCTCACTTTGCAGATGGGGAAACTGAGGCCCAAGGTCACACAGCTGGAAAAAGGTAAAGCTGGGATTTGAACTCAGGCCTGTTGGACTTCACCTTCCACATTCTTCCCAGCATGCCTCACTCCCTCTCCCCAGCAGCAACTCCTGCCAACCTAGGAGGCGGTGGATTGAGATTTTGCAATGAGAAGTCCAAGGACTTTTTCTGTCCTTGCAGGGCAGTTTAAAAGACAAGAGACCAGACTAGCCAAACCTCTTCTTTCAGGAAAAGCTCCTTCCAGCTTTCAAAGACTTCCCAAGAGCCTCCCTCAGGGCCCTGGGTGGAGGGATCCTGTTGGCGAGGGAACCCTGGGTGGGTGGAAGACAGCTGGGAAGTTTATGGAGTATTCACACTACACTAGAGCAGCTTAGAAGCGGGTCTTCCTCCCCGAGTCTGGGCAGCCCTTGCTGCTGATGTTTGCCCAGCATCCGTGACGTGGCTGCTCTTCCTTACTTGGACACAGACCAAGAGAGAGGGCACCAGGCTTCTGGCTCCACAGGAGGTGGAGAGGGCAGAAGACCGCCTGTCACTTTAGGAAGGCTGGCTGCCAGGGAGGTCAGAGAGGGGCAGGGGCACATGTTGGTTCTGGGGTCACAGACCAGGGTGAGGTTCCAAGAACCGCATTGACTGGTATTTTCTAAATAACTCGTTTTGTTCCATGAGTGTTATGTGTTGAGAGCAGAACATGGGATGGGGCTCTGGAGTCAGCAGTCCTCAGTTCAAGTCCTGGCTCTGCTACTGACAAGAGAGGTGGCCTAGGGCAAGTTAGCTTCTCTGAGTCTCAATTTCCTAACCTGTCAATAGGCCTGACAATGGTCTGTCTCATGGGGTTATGAAGAGGAGTGAGACAAGCCACGTGCAGTGCCTGGTGCACAGTGAACTGGAAACGGCTCACCACCAGCACATGGCAGAGGAGGAGTCCTGCGATCTCCTCCCTGACAAACTTCTAAAGTGGTAGCTGCTGGGAGACAGTGTTCCATGGGTTTCCAGAATGTCAGTATATCTTGTGAGCAGAGACACTGACAGCATGGGCATTCCAGACTACCTTTCCAAGGATGTTTGTAAGCAAATAGTCTTGGAAAATAGAGATAACAGAGGGAAAGTTTGTTTGCTTACCAGTAATGCCTCCCTCTAGGGCAAAGGGTGGGCAGGATCTAGAAGCTTATAAAAAACTGGGATTCCCTAAACTCAGGTTTCCTCTGCTATGATGCAAAACCTTGTGTGGATAGCAAGCACCTGGGTCACTGTCTGTCACCCCTCATAGGACTTAAGGGTAAAGAGGAAACAGACACAAGCATAAATCTCATGCTGCCTGCTGTGTAGTAATAAACTCCTTTATCTCTGACCCAGTAGTCTTATGTCATCTTCCTGCATTGACAACACTGTGACAGGCTCACTTATTAGCTGAAAGTATGGAAAAATCTTAGAACCTTCACAGTTCTGTTGCATCCCTACCACCTATGACTGTTCCTGATACGTCATGCATGCTGAGCAAATATTTTAAGAGAAAAAGTAGATTTGGGATCTCTATTGGCGAATTTGCACACATTCACGGCTCAGCTCACACTTCCTCACTGGGCTGGCAGGTTTTTGAAGCAGGATCTCTGTTTTCTTTCTTTCTTTCTTTTTTTGAGATGGAGTCTTGCTCTGTCACCCAGGCTGGAGTGCAGTGGTGCGATCTCGGCTTACTGCAAGCTCCACCTCCCAGGTTCATGCCATTCTCCTGCCTCAGCCTCCTGAGTAGCTGGGACCACAGGCACCCGCCACTTCGCCCGGATAATTTTTTTTTTTGTATTTTTAGTAGAGATGGGGTTTCACTGTGTTAGCCAGGGTGGTCTCGATCTCCTGACCTCGTGATCCACCCGCCTTGGCCTCCCAAAGTGCTGGGATTACAGGCGTGAGCCACCATGCCCGGCCTATAGGTATCCATGAGGTTTTGCTGCATTGGGTGGAAGTAAGGATCCCTACCCTTAAAGAATGTGGGCCAGGCGCGGTGGCTCATGCCTGTAATCCCAGCACTTTGAGAGGCCGAGGCAGGTGGATAACCTGAGGTCAGGAGTTCGAGACCATCCTGGGCAACATGGTGAAACCCTGTCTCTACTAAAAATACAAAAATTAGCAAGGCATGGTGGTATGTGCCTGTAATCCCAGCTACTGGGGAGGCTGAGGCAGGAGAATCACTTGAACCCGGGAGGTGGAGGATGCAGTGAGCTGAGATCAAGCCATTGTACTCCAGCCTGGGCAACAAGAGCAAAACTCCATCTCAAAACAAAAAAAAAAACAAAAGAATGTACAGTCTAGTTGGGCAGAAAAGACATAGGTTAGAAACCGGGTGCAGTCACTCCCATTTGTAATCCCAGCACTTTGGGAGGCCAAGGCGGGCAGATCACAAGGTCAGGAGTTTGAGACCAGCCTGGTGAAACCCTGTCTCTACTAAAAATATAAAAATTAGCTGGGCATGGTGGCGGGCACCTATAATCCCAGATACTCAGGAGGGTGAGGCAGGAGAACCACTTGAACCCAGGAGGTGGAGGTTGCAGTGAGCCGAGGTCGTGCCATTGCACTCCAGCCTAGGCAACAAGAGCAAAACTCCGTCTCCAAACAAACAAACGAACACAAAACAAAACAAAACAAAAAACAAGGAGGTCTTCTTTTCCAGACTGAACATCCAGCTCTGAAACCCAGAGTGGTAGCATGGTGGGAAGGAAGCAGGAGAAAGCAGAATCTCAGATGTGTGGTTTCTCTAGTTCACCTACCATGAATTTGAATGGGATTCACCTTGCAGCCAGGGCAGCAGTGACCTGTAATTAAACATTATTTATTCTTAACTTCAACTCTGCTGTTTAATTTGTCACCTATGTGATTAGGCCACAGAAGCACCTGGTGATACCGCTCCATCAGACTCACTCGTAAATATCTGTTTTACAGCCACGCTTATATCCAGTTACACCGGACAGTAAACGCAGCTGCTCAGGCCCGGTGCCTCTCTTCATGCCTTGATGTGAAGCTGGCCCCTCAATTCTCAAACCAATTTTATGAAATACTTTACTACCCATTTCTCCTCGGCCAGCTTTCCAGCTGGAAGCAACAGCCCCTGGGCTGGTATAACAAGCGATGTTCACAAAAACTAACGTGGTTGCATTTACAATGAGCTGGGCCAACAATAATTCTTCAGCAACTGGGCGTCCCTGGAGAGAGTGCTCCCCTTGATTTGCTTTTCCTAGTTGGACTTTCCCTCTGAAGGGCAGGAACTGTCCCCCTCGTAGCAAGGCTGCCTGCACCAGGCCTTGCCCAAGGAGCTCCTCACTTTTTGTAGCTGGAATTCTCTTAGGACAAGTGAGCTACTAAGAGGTGCTTCTTTACCTTCAGCCCCTGGATGATCCACATACATGAGCTTGGTGTATTATCAACATTAATAAAAATAGACACCAATTATAGAGCAACTAACAGAGGAATTCAGCTGAATGAACATGACACCTAAGATCGAGGAGCTCCCTGGGGGCAAAGCAGCACTTGTGATGGGTGCCATTATTAGTCCCCACCCTTCAGGTAAGGAAGTTGGGGCATTGAGGTTCTTGAACCAGCCTGGCAGCCCCATGGGGACAGGAACTACATTTCTTCCCTATGGCCACCTGCTCTCTCTTTGGCCCCTTTCTGCACATAACAGCTCATCTGTCATCCAGCGTCTACCATGAAGCATCTCCTTCTCTGAATTGCAATCTTGCCAAACACTACCTACTTTTACTGCCCAGCTCACCTCCTCCAGGGAGCCCTCTTTGAGTCTCCAGCCCATAGCAATCCCTCCCTCCTCTGGGAATCTTGCTGCATTAAGGTCAGCCATCTGAAGAGACTTGGTAGGAGGGATTACAAGTTAATATCACTAGTATTGATATCAGCGCTCCAGGAGCTTCTGATCAAGCTCTGGGGCCCCATCCTGAACTGCCCAGTTGGCCTGAGCTGTTTGTGTAACCGGGGTGGGTGATGGGGGGTGACAGGGAGTCATGGAAAAATGCAGGGCAACTGACGGTGTTGTCAGGGGTTTCCCACTCTTGACAATAGCCAGATCTTCCAATTTTCCACATAAGCCAGAAATTTAGATTTTTTTTAATTAAAAAATATGAAAGTTTCAAATTTTTAGGTGTTGGCCATTAATTCAATTTTGTATAAGTCTTTTGCAAAGATGGTGAACACACTCCTAAGCCAGATTTGGCTGTGGGGCACTAGATTCTAACCTCCACTCTTGGTGGTGAGGGAAGGCTATGTCTCGTCCATTTCTGTAACTTCTGGAAACCACTCGTGCACAGTAGCTTCTTGATGACTGCAGGCGGAGTAGCAGGTTTCTTGGAACTGAGATACCCTGGCCCATCAGGTGGAGGGTCAGTTTCAGAAGCTCAGTGATTACAGGAGTGGTTGCCTCCCAAGTAGCTTCCACAGTCTGTAGAGGGTCCCAAGGAGCATGCCCTAACGTGCACGTGGGTGGCAGGAAGAGAACAGAGACACTGAAAAGACTGAACACACTGGTTCTTGACCAGAAGTCATGTTGTCCCCCAGTGGACACTTGGCAATGTCTGACATTTTTAGCTGTCACATCTGGGGAACGGGTGCCACTGGCATCTTGTGGGTAGAGGCCAGGGATGCTTTTAAACATCTACAATGCATAGAACAGCCCCTACGCGCCCCCCCGCCCCCCCCACACACAATTACCCCAGCCTCAAATGTCAATAGTGTAGAGATCTAGAAGCCCTGGAACAGGGAGGTTGGAGGCCCAGACAGACCGAGCCTCAGTCATGGCTCTGCTCAGGTTTCCTGTGTGACCTTGAACTTCTTATTAATAAGCCTCACTAACTCTCATTTTTCTGTAGACTGAAGTTAGTGGAAGTAGCATTCTTTCCAGGGTGGGTGTGAGGTTTCAGTGAGATGATGTGAGTCAAATGCTTAGCTCATGCCTGACACATAGTTACATCCTCACCATGTCTCAGCTGCTGTTGATATCCACCTACCTGTATATCCGCCTGAACTATGCAAAAAGAAGGGGTTTTGCAAACTTTTGCATGCAGGCTTAGAATTCAACATTAGCAGGACCCTGACACAGCAAACTTCCAAGCTATGAAGTGAATCAATGTTCAGGTTAACCGATGGAAATCACTTTTCTTTTTATGAGTGTGCGTCTCGATGCCTTGCATTTTATTTGACAATAGCCCCATCAAACCTAACATGTTGTGCCTTCCCAGCCCTCAAAGTGAAGATGAAAAGAGCCATCAAAATGAACAACTAATAAGCAAGTGCACGTCTTTCCCTGCTGTCCTCCTCATCAACCTCGCTTTGATGTGAGTCTTTTTTTTTTTATCTTTGAGACAGAGTCTTGCTCTGTCGCCCAGGCTAGAGTACAGTGGTGCAATCTCGGCTCACTACAACCTCCACCTCCCGGGATCAAGCTGTTCTCCAGCCTCAGCCTCCCTAGTAGGTGTGATTACAGGTGCCCACGACCATGTCAGGATAATTTTTGTATTTTTAGTTAGAGACGAGGTTTCCTTATGTTGGCCAGGCTTGTCTCGAACTGCTGACCTCAGGTGATCCGCCCCACATCAGCCTCCCAAAGTGCTGGGATTATAGGTGTGAGCCACTGTGCCCAGCCTGATGTGAGTCTATAATTGATTATTTAATGGGAAAAAAAGCCAGGTTAGGTTCTGGGCTCCAGCGAACACAACCAGGACTAGAGAGAGGCCTTGAAATAGGAAAGTGGGGGCCAGAGAGGCAAGAAATATTAACAATGTGGAAACTTACTTAGAGAGTATTTGTCTTTCAAATGATCTGATCCTTTTGTCCGGGGCCATTACAATCTGGAGGAGAGGATTTTTCAATTAGAGAAATTAGTGCCTTCCCTTCGTGACTGGCTTCAGATTCAGACCCAGAAGGAAGAAAGTGTTCTTGAATTCCATGAAGTAAAAGAGACAGTTTCCATGATGTAAGCCGAGGAGGGTAGAGACTTGGCAAGACATCAGGTCAGATATCTTTTTGCGGGAAAGGGGTCCCAGCCAAGACTAAATTAGAATCCACTCTCTGTTGGAGTCAAAGCCTCGGTTGATCTGCAGAGGGACAGTGTGGGAGGCAGTGCTCTGAGCGTGGGCCCTTGGGCAGAGGGAACAGGAAGGTATCTGTCCCCCTGGGGGACCCCCGCGATGGAGCTCACTCCATCTAGAAAGAGGGGCTGCAGCTGAAGCCAAGGGAAATGCTCTCTCCAGGGATCCCGAGGTTCTGGAAAAAGCTTCATCGCTTTGTGGCCAGGCAACTGAGTGTGGCCGCCTTTAGGAGAAGGCGGAGGCAGCACAGCCTGGGTGGTACGTTGGTGTCTGGGTGACCTCAGGAAGCTGGGACATAGTGCCCAGGGCAGGGAAGCAACGTCTTCACGGGGCCACGGGACAGGAAATCAGGAGAGCGGGAGAGCTGGAAGGGATCTCACTCCGCAGCCTCATTTTAGAAAAACAGAAACTCAAGCCCACAGGGGAAGCCTCTATAACAACTCACGCTGATGTCGGCAATGGCAGAAGCAGAGATAAGACCAGGCGCGGTCTGAGCCCTGCATGAGTCACAGCTCAAACGACTGTCACAGCAATAATAACACTGTTATTCCCTCCGCTTCACGGGTGAAGAAACTGAGGCACAGAAAGTTGAAACATCGTGCCCAAAGCCAGAATTGGCCCCATGAGCTGTGAGTTGGGCGTCCACGGGGTCTCCCAGCCTCAGTGTTACAGAAACGACCCACCGGAGAGAAATTCTGTTCTTCCTTTGGCTGTTAAATCTCAAGAAATGTGATCTTTCCTTTATTCTAGTCTTAAATTTTAATTTGTTTTATTTAGCAACGAATAAAACAAATTTGTTCCTTTTAAAAAAACAAAATCAGATGCAGAAACCCAATATGAGAAATGGATAAAGATAGAGCAGCTTCTAATTAAAAAAAAAAAAAAAGATAATTTTCTTTTACTTATCAGATCGGCAAACATTGTGAAAGTTGATAATCTCCAGTGCTGGGGAGAGTGTGGGAAAAACCAGCACTCTCATGACTGTGGTGTTCACGGGAGTGCATGTTTGCTGCAAGATTTTTGGAGAGCAATTGGGCAATGTCTGTGAAACATCAAGAGCCACATTCCCTCTGACCCACCAATTTCTCTTCTAGGAATTTACCCTACGGATACTTGCGGTGGAATCACAAGAGGTATGTCCAGGGATGCTCATCATAGCATCATCTGCGATGGCAAAAATGCTGAAGACGACCTATTAAGTCCATACACAGGGCAGTGGTTAAAACATGGAACTTTGTGCACTAGAAATCTCTGCAGATAGTCGACAGAAGGAATCAGATGTAAATGTGCTGATACAAAAAGATAACCTTTTAGTTAGGAAAGTGTGCTAGTCTTAAGTACACAGCTTGAGTAATTTTTCCATGTGTCTACACCCGTGTAACCATCAAGATCGAGATGGAACATTCCCGTCACTTGAGAGGGCTCCCTGTGCTCTTTAGAATCAGTCACGCCCTCTCCCCACACAAAGGAACCATTCTTCTGACTTTGGGGGCTGTTGAGTAGTTCTGCCTGTTCTTGAACTTCACAGAAAAGGAATCACATGGTGTGCGTTCTCTTATACTTGGCTTCTTTCACTTAGCATAATGTTCTTGAAATTCATCCATGTTATGTATACATGAGTGCTTTGTTCCTTTTCATTGCTATGTAACATTCTATTATAGGTTATAACACAATTTGTTATTCATTTACATATGGGACATTTGGGTTGTTTCTACTTTTTGACTAATATAGTAAAGCTGCTCTGAACATTCTTGTATGAGTCTTTTTGTGGACAAGCTGCTGAGGCAGTGGATAGGTGTATATTTAACTTTAATGAAAACTGCCAATCAGTTTTACAAAGTGGTCCAACTAATTTACAATTCTCACACCAGCAATGTATGAGAGTTCTTATTGCTCCCGGTCCTTGTCAACACTTACTAGTGTCAGGTTTTTTCTTTTTTTAGTCATTCTGGTGAGGGGTTCTCATTGAGGTTCAAAAAGATTTGTAATTTAAAAAATCAATATGCAAGACCATAGCTATATTATGACTTTTTTGAGTAATATTACATAATATAATACATATATGTATTTTACATATATAACAACATATTTTAACAATATATGCACTTATCTATAAAGAGGTTTTCAAAGAAAAGTTTTCTGAAATAATAAATATGTTACAAAGAAAAATTGGAATTGGGATAGGGAGGGAAGCTTTTACTTTTTGTTTATTTCTGTAATGTTTAATTATTTAATCATATCAGTCAAGTTTCAAAGCAAGAAATAGAAAACATTCCAGGGTTTAATGTAAGAAACACGGTGCTTGCAAGACCACTGGGAGCTTTGGGGACTGGAATCCAATGTGTTCTTCCAAGAAAGACTCCCATAGCATGCAGAACTGGCCTTGCATGGGGCTACAAACTCTGAGGTTGCCAATAGAACCACAGAGTTCGAGAGCACATGACCGTACCTGCTTCTCAACAATGAACAAGCTGGAAAATGCACAGGGGGTTGCAGCTGCAGTAAACCCCATCTCTCACATCCAAAAGGGGCAGGACAATGGCACCTGCCTCACCTTCCAAATTCCACACAGGTACATCCATTTAGCAGAATCTAATTCACATCCAGAAATCTAGCTGCAAAAGAGTCCAGGAAATATGATTTTCATCTTTATAGCCTCTGCCTTACAAGCAGGGATGCTAGAGGGAGGGTGGAATGGAGGTGGAGCATATTCATCAGAACACCTACCATGCTAACCTCGTGCAATTATATTAATGAAAGTAGGAGTTGTCTTGGGCTTAATCTGTACCAATTTTATTTTCTTCTTTACATTTTCATGTACAAAGACTACACATATGTGTGTATAAATTTTTGAACAAAAAGCAGAGTTGTTTCAAGCTGAATTGAAGGAGAAAGCAACCCTCACCTTTACTCCTCCCCAAGAAAGACCGAGAGACATCTCTTTGGAAGTCCCAGGGCTCATAGTAGTGGAGTTGAAAACCTCAACTCTGTGTTAGTTTGTTGATAAAAATCCACACTTCTGTAGCACCTTAGAATTCAGGTGCCAAAGTCAGTCAGCATCCCACTTGCCACTTTATTTATGACTGAGTCATGGATGAATCACTGGTTTGGCTTCTCTGTGTATCAAGAATAATGCAAGGAAGAAAATTAGTCAAGAAAGCTCCACCATAGGTGTCTTTTTTTAAAAAAAGCAATTGTAAATCAGATTCCTACCTGCTTGGCAAGTTTTCCTTCTCTAATGAATCCTTTTTGATTTCTCTGTGTGCTTCAGGTAGTTACTAGGTACACTGATTGTCTATTATTGATAAATTTTGAAGTCTAGCCAGGAACATTATGCAAGTTCCTTGGCCAGGACTCAGTCCTGTTACTGCTGAAAATGATTCTTTACAGCTCTTGGCTCTGTCTTCTGGGTTCTTGCTTCTAATCCCTGAATTATCTTTTCTTTTTCATAAAAGTAAACGTGTTTTTGCAGTTGAGTAGTTTATTTGCCAATAGAAGTCTTCAGTTCATCTTGTAGTGTTTCTTTTCTATTCAGTCAAAGCTGGCAATGTTTTTGCTAGTGAAATTCTCTTAAAATTTTTGCAAGTGTCCTATGAATCTTATTGACATTCACTCTGTTAGACAAAAGCTACACCCGCAAATCTCTTTTCTACTTTAGGATGCTATGAAGTGGCTGAAAGACTACACCTTGCATAGTTCTGAGGTCTAAACAAGAAAACCTTGCAGCCACACCTTAGTTTCATCTTTACGCTCTGTTTTTCTGGCTGTACTTTGGATTTTATCTTTGTCTCAAAATGTTTTTAAAATTTTCACATTGTCTGTTACCTTGACAGACTGGGCATTTTCAAACCCTGCAGTTTCTGCCTCTTTTGTAATAAATAGGTTTTTTTCTTCTTTAGCTTATCTTTCCTCTGATTTTTACTCAAAGTAGCAACGAAAATCAAGGTGGCACCTATACCACTCTGCCTGGAAATCTTTTTAGCTGGATCACCCAGTTCAGTAGGTACATTTTCTATTTTCCATGTTAACAAAATGTGCTAGATGTTCTGCTGTTCCATGGGTAAGAATCCCCTTTCTTCCAGCTTCCAGTAACATGTTCCTCAATTTTCTTCAAGATCTTACCAATAGCCTCCTTGAAGGCCATCATATTTCTGAAAACAGTCTCTTTAAGACCATTTAGGCTTTCCCTCACACTCTCTTCATGGTCTCTACAACTTTTTCCCACTCTTGGTCCCAAAACCACTCTCATATTTTTAGATTTTTGTTACAGCAGCATCTTGCTTCTAGGAACTAAATATTTATTAGTTATGCTTTGCTGCATAACAAGTTACCCCAACACTTAGGAACTTAAAAGAAAAATAATTGTTATCTCTTCTAGTTTCTCTGGTTCAAGAATTTGAGAGCACCTTGGATGGAATGTTCTGTTTTGGGAGCTCTAAGGGTGCATTCAGTTTTTAGCTGGGCTACATGCATCTGGCTGGAGCTAGGGACCCACTTCCAAGATAGTTCATTTCCTTGGCTGGCCAGTTGGTGTGGCTGTTGCCCAGCCTTCAGTTCCTCTCCATATGGGCCTCTCCACAGAGCTGCTTGAGTGTCCTCACAACATGGCAGCTAGCTTCTCACAGAGCAAGCAATCCAAGAGGCCAGGGCAGAAGCAGCAATGCCTTTTATGACCTGGCCTCAGAAGTCACATTATAATTTCCACTGTAGTCCTGATTCAACATTTGAGGGACAATATTGAGGAACAACACAAGCACATGAAGACCAGGTACTGCCGATCATCGAGGGCCATCTGCAAGGTTGGCTACTCCATCAGGAAGCTGGGAAACAAAAGTTATTTTAGAAATTAAAGTGAGAGTGCTACCTTCAGAGGGAGGACAGGGTTCCCTGTTGGAAGGAAATACTAGAAATGGAGTTTTGACTCCCTCTCTGAGCTTTCCTCTTCTTCTAGAATGAGTGTGAATTATGTATGTGCAGGGGAGTTTGATTGGCAGCTCCACTTAGCAGATTTGGGGCCTTTGGCAAGTGGCTATGTCTCTGGACCTCAGTCACTTCATCCATAAAACAAAGCTAATAATAGAACTTACACCATAGAGTCACTTAAAGATTAAATGAGAACATGTATATAAAATATTTACAAAGGATCTGGATGCAAAGTGCTTAGTAACTGTTAGCTGGCAATACCACAGCATGCAAATACAAATACTGCTCACAAAACACACCACAGCAATATTGGGGTTCTGACTCCATTGAGCTGTGGTTAGAATTTCATACAGGAACAGCAACTAAATGAAACATTAATTTGTTCATTCTCCCTTCAGATAATATCTGTGGTTCAATAGTTTCTGGGTGTTTTTAAAAGCCAATCCATCTATCAGCTAGTAACATTCTCAGGTTATAGTTGTTCTTTGCTACCTTAAAGAATTTGACATTCTTGTGATAGCAATCATACTATTGCTTTGCATTTATTCTGTTAAACAAATAAAAGCAGTAGACCTCAGTGTCATTGAGGAACAAGTACAGACTCTGAGCTGGAGGTGGGTTTTTTGGTGGGAGACAGGGGTCTCGCTCTGTTGCCCAGGCTGACGTGCACTGGTGCAATCATGGCTCACTGCAGATTCGACCTCCTGGGCTCCAACAATCCACCCCCTCAGCCCCCCAAGTAGCTGGGACTACAGGTGCACACCACCACTCCCAGCTAATTTTTGTGTTTTTTGTAGAGACAGGGTTTTGCCAAGTTGCCCGGGCTGGTCTCAAACTCCTAGGCTCAAGTGATCCTCCTGCCTTGGCCTCCCAAAGTGTTGGGATTACAGGCATGAGCCCCAGCATGTGGCCAAGCTGGAGGTTTTAAGGCCTCTATCAATTGGCTTCCCATTCCCCATCAGTAAGAACCTGGCTGCACCCACACAGGTCAGAGCTCTGCAGTAGGCATTCAGAGAAGAACACAGTGGAGGAAAAGGCCTCACGCCTTCTCCGTGGGGTTCCCAGTGGAGCTGGCCACACTGGACAACTACAAAGGCACTGAACACTGGGGAATCCTGAAGGGCCAACATCAAGGTCACCAACTTGAAATGCAGCAGCCCAGTTGGGGGTGAGCCTGTCACACCATACAGTGATGAAAGGCTACACAACAGGAACCACGTGGTATAGTGGTGAACAGATTCAGCTCTGGGTTCAAATTGCCTGGGTGCAAAGCTTGGCTCAAGCAATGACCTGTGGACGGCCTTGGGCAAATTTCATGACACCTAGGCCTCGATTTTCCTCTGTAAGTCTGTAAAATGGGGATGATGGTAATGATAGCCACCTCACAGGGTTGGAAATAAGATTATGCATGTTATTAAAGCATATTTTTAAAGACAAAATCATGACTCTTCTATAAATCTAAAACAAAGATTTTTACTTAACTCTTAAAATTAACCAGGCACTCAGTAAGATGTTACAAATAGTTCAAAGGATAATTCAAACACACACATAGATAGGCAATCAGAAATGCTGAAATGAATTTACCAATAGATGCAGAACTAGTTAATAGTCACAGAGCAAAAATAGTGTTTCCAGGGACAAAACATTTGCATTTCTACAGATGAAATCATCTGGCCGGCGCGGTGGCTCAGGCCTGGAATCCCAGCACTTTGGGAGGCTGAGGCGGGTCAATCACCTGAGGTCAGGAGTTCGACACCAGCCTGGCCGTCATGGTGAAACCCTGCCTTTACTAAGAATACAAGAATTAGCCAGGCACGATGGTGCACACCTGTAATCCCAGCTACTTGGGAGGCTGAGGCAGGAGAATTGTTTGAACCTGGGAGGTGGAGGTTGCAGTGAGCTGAGATTGCAACACTACACTCCAGCCTGGGCAACAGGATGAGACTATCTCAAAAAAAAAAAAAAAAAAAGAAAGAAAGAAAAGAAAAAAAAGAAAGCATCTGTATTACTATCAATAAAGACAATGAAAAGCAACGGCTCTTATAGAATCAGATAACTAAAGAGAATGTTAGAGATTTAGTAATCTTTTTCTGTCTATTTCATAATTCCTTTCTGACAGTGTAAACCACTTAGCACACGTCAAGTCTTCATAAACATCGTGATTGTGTTTGTTATTTCTTGCAAAGCAAGATTCTTTCCTACCCATCCTGTATTTTAGGGAAGGGAAGGAGGCAGAGAGGGTGGGAGGAAACAACAAACCAAGCTCATAACATTTTTTTGGCTGAGTTTGACACAGTTTGAGGTTAGGCTAATTTAGAGTTTTGGTCGGGGGTCCTCTTCAACTCCCGGGTTTGTGTATCATTAGCTTGGTCATTAGCTTCAAAGACTCCGAGCCTAGATTGTGGCTCAGTCCTATGGTCTGTCACTTCACACACAAACTCTTCCCTAAGCCTGGCCTGTGGACACTGAGCCGGAGGCTGGGATTCTTCAGTCTACACAGGTCGGCCAGGTCTTTGTCTTTACTGGCCCAAATCTTTGGAGGCCAGAGGGGATCGGGTTGGGTCACAGGTAGGTTCAATACATCTACTGAACGCACAAATGGAAATAGCTTAATCCTGCTGGGTGAAATGTTGTTCTTCATGGTGTGTGTAGTTTAACAGTGTGTCTCTGTACACTTCTCAAGTTTACATCTTATAGCCACAGGCTTGGAGATTGCATCTCTCACCGCTGGCTCCCTCAACACCCAAAGCACAATCCTGCCTCCAGCCTTTTGTATGTGCTCTTTGCTGCTAAGAAGGCTCCCCCGCCCAATTGTCTGCATTCAGGTCCTAGCTCAGTGTCACCTCCTCAGACTTTCCCTGCCCCTCCTATTTAAAGGAGACCCCCATCACTTCCCATTCCTTTCCTATTTTTCTTCTTCCTAGCATTCATCTCTCCCTGACACTATGTTACCTATTCATGGTTTATCATCTGCCTCTCTCACGACAGCACAAGCTTCACTCAGATGGGAAGTGTTTCGTTCTCTGCGGTTTCCCCACTGCGGAGGACAGTGCCTGGCACATACACACAGGCTGATTATCAATCACCAGAGATGTTTGCCATCAGAAGGGTTTTGGAGTTTGGGTGTTTTTCAGATTTTGGATATTTATAATATACTTACCAGTTGAGCATGCGTAATCCCCAAATCTGAGATCCCGGCCAGGTGCAGTGGCTTATGCCTGTAATCTCAGCGCTTTGAGAGGCTGAGGTGGGAGAGTCACTCGAGGCCGGAAGTTTGAGACAGCCTGGGCAATACAGTAGGACCCTGTCTCTAGTTTAAAAAATGAAATTAAACACACACACACACACACGCACACACACAAACTCTGAAATCCCAAATGCTCCAAAGAGTGTTTCCTTTGAGCATGGTGTCAACACTCAAAAAGTTTTGAGCTTTGGAGCATTTCAGATTTTCAGATTAAGAATGCTTCACCTGTAGCAGGTACTTAATGTATCTGTTGAATGGGTGAATGCAGGAGTGAGTGAATCATAACTTGCAGTCATGTCCTCAGTAATAATCGATATCCCTTTTGTGGGCCTCCTGCTTGCTACAGGCAGCTGCACTTCTTCATTCTTTGCTTATTGTCTACAGTTGCTTCTGCACTCTGTGGGCAGAGTTGAGCCATTTCCACCCTATGCTCCCCCAAGCCTGAAAGATTTACTATCTGGCCCTTTACAGAAAATATTTGCAGACATGTCTTAAAATGTGCATAGAGATGGCTGGGCACGGTGGCTCACGTCTGTAATTCCAGCACTTTGGGAGGCCGAGGTGGGCGGATCACGAGGTCAGGAGATGGAGACCATCCTGGCTCACACAGTGAAACCCCATCTCTACTAAAAATACGAAAAATTAGCTGGGCATGGTGGCATGCACCTGTAATCCCAGCTACTTGGGAGGCTGAGGCAGGAGAATTGCTTGAACCCAGGAGATGGAGGTTGCAGTGAGCCGAGATCGCGCCACTGCACTCCAGCCTGCGCGACAGAGCCGGACTCCATCTCAAAACAAACAAACAAACACAAACAAAAATGTGCATAGAGTCAAATCTGGCTCCTGCTTAAAATGATTTGATAGATTCCCATTGCTCCTAGGATCAAGAATAAAATCTTTAGCATGGTCCCAATGCTCTGGACAGCCCAACTGTCCAGCCACACTGCCTTCAGTCCTTCTGTCACACCAAATTTCCTCCTGCCCCCGGGCCCTTGCACAACTGTGTGCACTGCCTCAACCACTCAGCCCTCCCTCCCACCTCTGTCTTGCTACCTCCTGCTGATGCATCTGATCTGACCTCCACAGTCACCGTTCGACAGACACCCTCCCTGGCTCCCCTGAGAGATCAAAGAGACCACACCACCCTGCAGCTCACCTTCAAAGATTGAGTTTTAGGCCCCTTTTTTAGATTATTTAACATCCTTCTCCCCACGCGCCCCACAAGGGAGGGCCATGCTGCTTATATCCCAAGGCCCAGCACAGAACCTGGCACAGAAGAGACCTCCTCAGTGTTCATTTGTGGAAGTGATCACGCTCACACATGGGTAGAGGACTGCCACTTTACACAGGGTCTTGTTCTGTCCCCCAGGCTGGAGTGGCCTCACAGCTCACTGCAGCCTCCAACTCCTGAGCTGAAGGGATCCTGGGATCCTCCCGCTTCAGCCTTCCAAGTAGCTGGAACTACAGGCATACACCACACGCCTGGCTAAAGTATATCTTTTTGTGTTTTGTAGAGATGGAGCCCCACTATGTTACCCAGGCTGATCTCTTACTCCTCAGCTGAAGTGCTCCTCACACCTTGGCCTCCCAAAGTGCTGGGATTACAGGCGCGAGCCACTGCGCCCAGCCTGGGACTCTGTTCTACACTCAGTCATGAGGGGAGATAACAGCTTGGCAAAGTCCCCGGTGGAAATCTCTGGATCCTTATGGTGTGGAATAGTATCAAACACACAGCAGGTGCTCACGGCAGGTGGCATCCTGTGCCCGTGCACTGACCCTGATATGGCGACGTGGTCCCTGCCTGGGAGAGCTCACAACCTGGTGAGACGGACACGTGGGTTACCCAAGCAACGCAGCATTCGCGTTTCACTGTTCTATCATGTGTTTTGCTGTTTTGTATTGTTTTTGTGTAATCTCATAGGTCAGAAGTCGGGACTCCATGGCCGCTCAAGGTTTAGGGTAACTAAAGGATCCAGATGGAGCTGGATCACAGCTTTCCCACTGTCCAAAGATGGGTGTTCAAGGTGGTGGACATTTGGGATTTGAGATGGCCTGAGTGAACTTCCCACGGCTTCCCCGCAAGGCTGGAATTCTGGGCACAGGGAAGTCACAGCAGATCTGTGGGTCTCTTGGTGGCTGAGGAGCCATAGCCTTGACCTCCTTTTGCCTCAGTTTCCACATTGGGAGAGAATGGGGGGTGCTGTTGAGATGCATAATTATGACTCGTTTGCAGTGAGCCTGGGGCTGCTGGGATGAAAGTCTTCATGTGTGTCGTATATTTTATTGTTATAATCACAGCAGACTCTGGAGAAAATTCAAAGAGATCTTTTATAACCCAAATTATAGAAGTTTCTTCATTCAGGAGGGAATATCCCAGAGTAATTAGTGAGGAAACTGGGAATAGCCCTGCCAAGAGCCTCTCAGTCGTTTTCCCCAGAGGGAGTAGAACTTTCTGAGGAAAGCTGTTTTCCCCATTGGAAACAAGAGCCGGACTCCACACAGGACAACTCGGTGACCTCACCAGGATGGGTCGCTGGTCTGTAGAGCAGAGGGAGGGAGGAGCTGCAAAGCCAGAGGGGGTGCACTTGGACCCTGTGAGGGATCTGGATAACATGACCTTCGTTGTTCCTGGGATGTGGGAGGTCATCCAGAGGACTGAGCTGGGCATTTCCTAAGGGGTGACATTTCCTCCAAGGATTAGACCAACTCCAGTGGCAGTAAGGGGTTTTCAGAGAGGGACAGAGGGGCTCCCACTAGTGGCAGGGTGATGATGGGAATGGGTACCTTTTCACTTGAGTTGAACCCACCTTGTGACGGAGCAGTGTCCCCTGACCTCATCCCAGGCCTGGTTAGTAAAGAAGGCTGCCAGCCTCTCTGCCCCACTTCAGATAGGAATGCATTGAGCTGCAAGTAAAAGAAAAATCACTGCTTCTTACATGATGGGAACTTGGACCTAGGTGGCTGCAGGGAATTCAGCAGTTCAATAGTGCTAGTGCCACAGGTTCCCTTGGTCTTTCATTCATGGCTGGGAGATGGCTGAAGCTACCTCAGGCATCACCCTTGAGCTCTTGGTAGGAGGAAAAAGGAACAGATGGTGCCAGCTGCACCTGCGCTTCCCCAAGAACTGCCTTGGGGCCTTTGTACAAGCTGTTCCCCCACCAGAGCATGCTCTTCCCTTTTTGTGATGCTGTCATCTCCCACCAATCTTGACCTTTCCATTCCCAAAGGGTCCCCTGTCATTCTCCTTCAGGAGAACTTTCAACCGCTGGGATGAATTATTTGTACAAATATTCCTTTAATCTCTGTCTCCCCCACCGGACTGTAAGGCAGGCCGACAGGCACAGGGGCTCGGCTCACTCTAGTGAGCTCTGGGTCCAGCACTGTGCCCAGCACACAAAAGGGGCACAATGGGTGATTTCCATGACAAAGGCCTGGGTAGTCCAGAATCTCTGGGCTGTAGGCCTCAGTTTCCCTGCTTACCCCTGGTGGGGATCTGGTCACTGGATAATCACTCCTGTGAAGACACAGGAGCCCCACAGTGTCCACACACCTGTCATGGGGGACGGAATGAGCTGGGGTCTGGGGCTCCACATGTCGCTCAGGAAGTGCTGGGTTCCTGCCCTCTGGGGGCTGGCATTTGCCTCCCACTTCAGGGAGGAAAATGATGGAGGCTGATCATGCAGGGCAATGCCCCAGAACAGGACTTTACGGCACCCCAGAGAATGCACAGTCCAGCCAGCCGATGGCCGAGAAAACCGTGGCCATTTCCCTCCTTTTACAGGATAGTGATCAAGACCCAGTTAGGGGAAGGGGCTGAACATGCCAGGCCCTTCCTCTCCTGGATGCTGGCCACTTTCCCACACTCGTGCAACAAAGACGTGCTGGGCTCTGCTGTGTGCCAGGCCCTGGCTTGGTGCTGGGGATACACTCATGTGGGAGGCGGGTCCCAGTCACACGGTGCTCACAGGCTGGTGGGACAAAAACAGGCTACAAAGAACAAGGAGAGCAGAGACACACACTAGGCCAACCCGCCCGGGGGGATGCCAGTCTCTGGAGCCCAAGCTAGGCCAGAAGAGCAGACTTGTCTGCCCCTCCGTGCTCCTCCCTTATCTGACCCCCATGCTCCTCCCACATCTGACCTCCTCCTGTTCCTCCCCTATCTGATTCCCAAGTTCCTCCTCCATCTGACCTCCTCTGTTCTTACCCCATCTGACCCTCCATGCTTCTCCCCGATCTGAGCCTCCATACTCCTCCTCCATCTGACCTCCTCCTGTTCCTCTCCCATCTGACCCTCCATGCTCCTCCCTCATCTGAGCCTCCATGCTCTCCCCCATCTGACCTCCTCCTGTTCCTTCCCCATCTGATGCCCATGTTCCTCCCTCATCTGACCTCTGTTCCTCCCCATCTGACCCTCTATGCTCCTTCTCCATCTGACTTCCTCCCGTTCCTCCCCTATCTGATCTCCTGTTCCTCCCTCATCTGACCCCCACATTCCTCCCCATCTGTGTCTCCATATTCCTCCTCCATCTGAACCTTCATGTTCCTCTTCCATTTAACCTCCTCCTGTTCCTTCCCCATCTGACCCCTCATTTTCCATCTCCAACTGGTCCCCATGTTCCCCCCATCTGACCCTCATGCTCCTTCCCTGTGGGATCTTTAACATGCTCACCCAGCTGGGTGTGGTGGCTGATGCCTGTAATCCCAGCACTTTGGGAGGCCGAGGCAGGCAGATCATGAGGTCAAGAGATCAAGATGATCCTGGCCAATGTGGTGAAACCCCGTCTCTACTAAAAATACAAAAATTAGCTGAGCGTGGTGGCAGGCGCCTATAGTCCCAGCTACTTGGGAGGCTGAGGCAGGAGAATCACTTGAACCTGGGAGGTGGAGGTTGCAGTGAGCCAAGGTCACGCCACTGCACTGCAGCCTGGTGACAGAGAGAGACTCCATCTCAAAAATAAATAAATACATAAAAAACATGCTCACCCAGGCATCATCTGGTCCCGTGGATGTGGGACCTAGAAGAACATTTCTTGCAAACACTTTCTGACTTTAGTTCAAGACTTGAGAAGAAAATTCATGTCTTAAGTCATAGGGAAGAGTCTTCAGATATTTTCTATCCTTCACTCCCCAAAACCCACTCTTCAGACGAAGCGTGGGAGGAAACTCGGAGTGCAGAGGAGTCTCAGCCTTTGGAAATGGGGAGTGGGGAAGACAAGCGCTTTGGAGTCTTCTAGAAGTCAGCATCCACACACATTTTCTCACCGACAGAGATCTGGCATGGGACAGCTTCTAGGTTGTTGTGAAACCTCCACAGGCGCCTGTTTTTCCTGTTGGGCTCATTTGCATGGAGAAAGACACAGGTGCGGGAGGTTTTGAAACTGGGCGAAGGAGCGCAGAACCCACACAAAGCCAAGCCCAGCTTCCACTGGCAGCCAAGGATCCCTGCTGGCGGTGTGGGGCTTCCTGCCGCTGTCCTGACTTTCACGGCTTGAGAGTCACCCCTGGAGACTGTGTTAGTTATTGGAGTTATTGCCCCTTCTGAAATCATAGATGCTTTTATAACCTCTTCCACAGAGGACAGTCTGTCAGCAACATCTTGGGTTGTGCAACTGGTGGCAATGCTATTGTTGCCCCGAAGGGACTGCATGAATCTCGTTAAGTGAAGAGGGTATCGCAAAATCTTCATCTCCGCCCAGCGGCATTGTCTTGCCCTGCCCCGTTTACCCCGATTTATCCTTTGGTCTTCAGTGCGCCTATTATTCACATTGAATGACGTTCACAGGAATCTGAATCCTTGCCCTGGACGTGCCTGTCCATTTAAGCCAGAAGGGGGCAGCGTTTTCCTGCCAAGTGAAAGGCTTTAAAAGCTAGAGAATTGGGGTGGAGGTGGCAGTGGGGAGCTGTTCCGGGGCAGCAAAGTCTGTGTTGGTTGTCCACACCACAGTAGTGTGTTGAAATGGCTTTGCTAACCCTGCATGACAGGTCTCCAAGAAGGTCGGAGGGCCCAGAGGGAATAACTGCAAAATCTACTCTCTCCATTCCTTCAACACACATCTGCAAATCAGAGTAGGAAAGCCAGGTGCCCCTTCTGTTCAAAAAGAAAAAAATCCTTCAAAGCAAATGATAATGAATGTGAGATGGGGCGCGTTGAGATGGGGCGCGTTGAGATGGCTGAGAAATTCATCTGTGATTTTACTTTCTAATGCACATAGAGGCTCAGCAGCGTGCTGGAGATGGTAGTAGAGACCTGGCTTTGAAAGCAAATTCTGCAAAGGTGTGTGCTGGGCGAGGCCATCCCTCAGAGCTTCCGTTTCTGCATCTGCAAGTGGGGATAACAAGAAAAGCAGCACTTCCAGAGTTGGATGGGAAATGAAAGCTCTGGCTCATGGGAGGCGCTAAGTGACTACCGTGCGTGCGTGCACTCGAGAGGTTAGATTTGTGGGTTTTAATTTTCATTCCTCGGCATAGAACACTTTTTTTCAGGGTGCAATCATACCCAGAACCACACAACACTGGCAATATGGATGGGAGACGTGGAGATTTTACATAATCTACTTAGCTTATCCTACAAATAAAAACACTGAGCTTATTTTGCAAATAAATGCAGCTTTAAGACGGATGCCCAGGCCTCCCCCTAGGTATGTCTACAACGTGTCTCCTAGTTAAGGATCCTGGCGCTGTCCCTGCTGAAATCTCAAGGACATGGAAACTGAGGCCACAAAAGGTGGAAGGAGGCTTTTCCATCCCGGGGGCAGTCCTGAGAAATCTCCAAGGACACCTGGGATCTGGTCGGGTTTGAAAGTCACTGGCTTTTGATCCTTGGAGAGAAAAGGAGGGAAAACACTGAGCTTCAGGGCCAAGGCCATTCTGCCCACTGAGCTTTGGGACTTCAGATTCCAGAGCCCTATCACTCACCCAGAGGCCTCGGGAGGTCCAAGTCATGCTGAGTTCTCAGGATCCAGCCCTGTGGCCTTGGCAGAAATGAGATCAAGTCTCTCATCCTCATCTGACTCAAGGGGATAGAGTCTGATTTCCAAGTACGGCTTCTCCTTTGGATGCGCCTGAGAGTTTGCCCAAGTCCCATTAGTCACTAACAAACCAAGAAAAGCCCAAAATGGAGGGGGGAAGCAAATTGAAGGCACCACGTTGGCACCTGTGCCCCCACCCCCACGCCTATCTCCCGTTTTCTGTTTAGCGGAGCATTTGCCAGGAGCCAGTTTCCATGGGACCCTCCTCACCAGCCAGTAAGGAAGACAGTGCTGAGACTGCAGGGGAAGCCATGTAACTTGCCCAGGGTCACACCCGGGAGGGGATGCAGGTGGCAGGTATGGTGTCATCTGGCACTGTTCTTTCCCTCAGCCTATGGGTGGGGGGTCCTGGGTGAC
This sequence comes from Homo sapiens, assembly GCF_000001405.40. Classification (NCBI taxonomy): domain Eukaryota; kingdom Metazoa; phylum Chordata; class Mammalia; order Primates; family Hominidae; genus Homo; species Homo sapiens. The sequence continues at coordinate 56,973,020 of NC_000020.11, read as the reverse complement.
ACCTCGCCTGGCACTGAAAGTCCCACTTAGAAGTCTGTTTGAGGGTGCCTGCTAGGCCTGCCTTCTGCAGAGGCTGGAAAAAGCAGTCCCAGATCTGAAGTGGGGAAAGGAGCAACTGGAAGATTCCAAAATGAGCCCCTGTCATTTGCTTGGAAGGCAGGACAATTGTTTTCTGCATTTGAAAGGCCAGCTCCCTGGAGTCTGCCTTCACTGCAAAGGGAGCAGACTCAGACTCACCCCGGGCCCCTCTGCCTTCTGGGGCCCCAAATGGCGAGTGGGACCCTGTGCTGCCAGCCTGGGGCAGAGGGAAAGTGCCTGGAAGGCACTCCGCTCCCCAGATGGAGTCTGAAGTGCTCCAGCGGCCAGCTGAAGGTGGGAGACGCCAGGTTTTGCTTTAAAAACAGATCCAGGACAGGTACAGTGGCTCATGCCTATAATCCCAGTATGTTGGGAGGCCAAGGCAGGCAGATCTCCTGAGGTCAGGAGTTCAAGACCAGCCTGGCCAACATGGTGAAACCCCATCTCTGAAAAAATTAGCCAGGTATGGTGTCACGTGCCTATAATCTCAGCTACTCGGGAGGCTGAGGTGGGAGAATAGCTTGAACCTGGGAGGCGAAGGTTGCAGTAAGCTGAGATCGTACTACTGCACTTCAGCCTGGGTGACAGAGCAAGACTCCGTTTCAAAAAACAAACAAACAAACAAACAAACAAACAAAACAGACCCAGGACAGTGGAGCAGATGGATCTGCATTTGGATTCTGCCTTCACTACTTAACTGTGCACCTCTGGGCAAATAAGAGGGCCTCGGCATGTGTCACCTACTCCACAGTGGGCCTGTCTCTGGGCTGACACCTGACCATGCCTGTAATTCACCTAGCGCAGATCACGAATAAGCATCAGCATGAATATTCTCACTCCTGCCGTGCCTGGTTGGTAAAGCCACAACCATAAATCATTATCGAGTGTTCTTTGAGGATTGGGGCTGCTCAGTGATGCTGGCATTCCCACAAACCTTTAAAATCAGAAGGGTTTACCTTGGAGGTGAGAGTTTGGACCTCTTGTTTCTGTGCACTGTCTTGAGAGCAACCCGAAATTCAGTTACTCCCTCAGCCTTCTTCAACAGGTGGATGCAGAGCCCTCAGCAAACTCAAACCTATTTTCTAAAGCCTTGGGAGAATTGGCCAGAAAGCCCAGCTGAACCCTTGGGAGAGCTTTGAAAAGAAAGCAAATGCTTCATTTCTTTACCATTATTAGTATTATTATTCCCATTTTGTCCCCAGTAGAGAAGAGGAGGGTCCTGGACTGGCTCCAGGAGGACAGTGTCTGAGTGGCCCAGAGAAGTGGGGTGTGGGTGACAGACTTGAGGCCCAGCAATCTTCTCATCATTTTATTTCTTACCAGTGGCAAGATGGCTTCATTGCTGTTAGAACAAGAGCCTCCCCTCTCTGCCCTTTTAAGCCCAGGGAAACACTTGCCAATATAGAGACAGAGTAAACAGGGATTAGGACTCCTCCATCTAAAATCCCCAGAAAAGTCTTGGGTCTGAAACAGCTCCTGTCCTCCTGCCCCATGACAGCAGCAAATGGGCGATGAAGGGTTAAATCGCTCTGGATGGTTTTGGTTTTGCCACTTTCCATGACAGGCCCCTATCTATGGGCCTGATCAGACAAAGTGCACCTTTGGACACAGGGCACCTCCAGGAAATGTAGTTAGGAGCTTTCTGAATGGAGATGAGAATACACATGTGAGGTACCGGCTGCTTCGATGTAGTAGAGAATTGGGACCCCAGGATGGTGAGGGGCTTTGAGGTTAGGGACATCTGCATTCTAGTCCTGGATGGCCATGGCAGGTGACTGACCATCCCTGAGACTTCCATCCATCAAAAGAGGATAACATCTCCTTGGAATTGTACCCCTGGAACCTAAAGCCCTGTGAGGGCAGGCGGCTTGTCTGTCTTCCTCCCTCCTTGTTCCATCCCCAGGGACTTCGAACTGAGCCTAGCACACAGTAGGCACGTAATAAGCAATAAATGCCATCTATTGAAGAGTGGTTCTATCTGCTTTGCAAGGTGGTTATGATCCGCTGGGATAAAACCTTTCCAATGTCAGGTACTGAACAGGAAGCTCCTGTGGGCTGTTCCTTTCATTTTAAGTCCCCTTTCATGTAACTTCTTTGATCCAGCAAAGCATTGACAATTTCAGATGAGATGGCATCTACCAGAGAGCCTTGGGGTGAGCTGCAAAATGCTCTTGATAAATGTTTATAAACTCTGAAGTGCTTTGTCTAAATACTTCTACCCTCCAAAGAACTGAGCAGAGAATGTTCTGTTTTCATATACGTTACATCATTTCATCTTCACAACCCTATGGGATGGCAAGTGAATAGTGATTTTTAGAGATCCTGAATTATTTTATGTAGGCACCATTTTTCTGGACACTTTAGCATAACCTCCTCTTCTCCGATGTGGCCTCCCACACTTCTTCTGTGAGGGTTTTCCAGTGGCAAGAATAGAATAGCTAGGCTGGGCACTGTGGCTCACACCTGTAATCCCAGCACTTTGGGAGGCTGAGGTGGGCAGAATCGCTTGAGCCCAGGAGTTCAAGACCTGCCTGAGCAACATGGTGAAACCTCGTCTCTACAAAGATACAAAAGTTAGCCGGGCGTGGTGACACATACTTTCAGTCCCAGCTACTCAGGATGCTCAGGTGGGAGGATCACTTGAGCCCAGGGAGGTTGAGGCTGCAGTGAGCTGTGATCATGCCACTGCACTCCAGCCTGGGCCATGGGAGTGAGACCCTGTCTTAAGAAAAAAAAAAAAAAAAAAGACTAGCACAGCTGGGTGGGATGACCTGAAAACTAATTCAGCTGTTGAGCTGATGCCGTACATCCATTTATCCAACCTTTAAAGCAGAAGGGACTCATAACCACATAACCAGCATCATGTTTTAAATAGATAATAGATCAAGGGGAAGGGGAAATAAGGTTTAAAAAAAAGAAAATGCCAAGGCTGGGGAGAAAATGTGTAAAATCTGTGCTGTAAAGAAGAGGAAAGGAAGCCCAAATGGCCAGTAAATTCCATATAGAAAAATGAAATAAATTCATGGCATCAGGAATTTAAGAATGCAAAGGAAAACACTGGCAAAGATTTAAAAAACAAAACCAAAATAACCCCTGAGCTGCTGAGGAGGTGAGCGGGGTCCTTCCGACACTGCGGAGGGGTGGCAATGGCTGCAGCCGTTCAGGGGCACCTGGGAATGTGCATCTGAAGCTTGAAACAAATACATCCCCAGGCCAGACATGGTGGCTCACGCCTGTAATCCCAGCACTTTAGGAGGCTGAGGCGGGCAGATCTCTTGAGCCCAGGGAATGCAAGACCAGCCTAGGAAGATCCTGTCTCTACAAAAAAAAAAAAATTTTTTTAATTAGCTGGGCATGGTGGTGCACACCTGTGGTCCTAGCTACTCGAGAGGCTGAGGTGGGAGGATGGCTTCAGCCCAGGAGGTGGAGGCTGCAGTGAGCTATGATTGCACCACTACACTCCAGCCTGGGTAGCAGAGCGAGACCTTGTCTCAAAAAAAAAAAAAAAAAAGAAAGAAATACACACTTCTTATCCTAAGGAAATGATTGATCAGAAAAGCAGGCAGAAATACAGGTTTAAGAATATTTTCAGGTATTACAATAGCAGAAAAATAGGATACAACATAAATATCCAATCAGAGAACCCTAGAGACTTGGAAAATGTTAAAAAGTCATGCCGTAGGCCGGGCGCAGTGGCTCACGCCTGTAATCCCAGCACTTTGGGAGGCCAAGGCAGACGGATCCACCTGAGGTCGGGGGTTCAAGACCAAACTGACCAACATGGAAAAACCCCGTCTCTACTGAAAATACAAAATTAGCCAGGTGTGGTGGCGCATGCCTGTAATCCAAGCTACTTGGGAGGCTGAGGCAGGAGAATCGCTTGAACCTGGGAGGCGGAGGTTGAGGTGAGCCAAGATCGCGCCATTGCACTCCAGCCTGGGCAACAAGAGCAAAACTCAGTCTCAAAAATAAATAAATAAATAAGTCATGGCTTAAATGTAATCCCCTAAAAAGTAGATAGAAGCAGATAGACAGATAGTTTGGAAACAGCCATAACCAAAATATTTATGTGGGTGATTTTTATTTTTGCTTAGTATGGTTTTTTTTTTCTCAAATTTTCCATATGAACAGATTTTACTTTGTAATCAGAAAAAAAATCATTAGTTGTTTTATTTTTAAAGTAATGCTATAGGGCAGTATGGTTTTAGCATTCACGTTTATTTATTTGGAATTCACTTAGCAAAAGAATGGAACTAACCTTGGCGGAAGGTCTGTCTGTTGGCCCTGAGACTTAGCAGATTCCGCAGCTTCATTAGCAATAAAATAAAGCTCCTACACTCCACATGCATGGACGTGTGTGCAATGAAACGAGTCAATACACATAAAGGCACTTAGCCACTGCCTGGCAACTACCACAGCCCAGCACCGTTCGCTGCTTTTAGGATCATTATTGTTATTGTTGTTTCCAACGAGGAAAATAGAAACACTATGGGAGCCCATGATTAGGGAAGAATTTGCAAAGTCTTATGTATCCCACTGGAGATAAGGACTTGGATCGTCCAAAAGGGAAGGTCACGATGGGGTGAATAAATACTGGGAGGCTTCATAGGGGGCTGGAGGGAGGCTGTGAACCCGGTGCATGGAGAAGAGTGAGAATAAAGTGGAGGAGGTGGAGACAGGCTCTCGGGGAAGCAAAGCCGAGAGATGCCGTGGCCTTGGGCTGCCCACACTGCCCGCCCCCAGGACCTGTCCTGGGGCCAGACCAAGTCTTGCACCTGGGTCTTACAGGCACCCAACGCTACCCCCAGCCCCGCCCATGCTGTCCAACTGCCCATCGCTGATTGGACCAGGGCCTTGTGCTGGGAAGTGATGGGATGTGCTGATTGGACCAGGGTGGGGCGCTGAGATGCAGTGGGTTGTGCCAACCAATGCCCCCAGGGTGGGAAGCCCAGAAGGGCCTGCGGGATGGAGGTGGGCGTGGAAGGATGCCCTGGGGCCGGTCAGGAGCCCTGGCCCATAGAGGCAGGGTACCACTTGGGGTTCTGAGGACTTACACACTGTAAGGGGCCCAAGGAAGTCATAACCCTCAGATTCTATTTGGTAGAAATAATAGTATCTAACATTTATAACCTGAGAAAGTCAGTTTATAGCAAAGGAAAAAAAAATGCAGATTCCCTGTGACAGTAACAGTAATAACACTGCCAGGCTCCTCCGGGAACGCATGCACTCCCATTTAACCCTCACAGTCACCCAGCCCTGAGGTAAGACCAGCATCCCCATCTTCAGGGAAGCAGAGGCTCCAGGCTCCCAGCAGTTAAATGACCTGTTCAAAAGTCACAGCCAAAAAATGGCAGAGCTGGGATTCGAATCCAGGCAGTCAGACCCCCTGAACCCCAACAATGTGCAAAGTAGCTTTATAACATATCCCTGTTATGTGAGATAGCCATGGTGGCTCTGTTTCTTACAACCAGAAGCTGCAGATTTAAGCAGGGTGAACAGCAGGCGTTGCCTTTAGGAAGGAGAAAGGGGTCCATTTTTTTAAAAGGGTGAAATACCCTTGGTTTACTCCTGCCTAGGGGAGGAGAGGCTGAGTCAGGATTGACTCCTGTGCTCAGTCTTGTGCTGGCATCTGAACGGAGAAGAAAGAGGAGGCTGGGAACTAACCACTGGGCTGGGGAGACTGGACTATTGGGTCCTGAAGGTTTTGTTCAGGGCTGATTCATGGATGTTTAAACACTAAATCCTGAGAGCTCAGATGCTCTATTAGGCTAAATAGTGGCCACCTAAAGATATTGGGTCCTAATCCCTAGAACCTGTGAATGTGACTTTGGAGAAAAAGGCTCTTTGCAGATGTGATTAAGTTAAGAATCTTTTTGAGATAAGGGGATAATCTAGGCTTATCAAGGTGGGCCCTAAAGGCCATCACAAGTGTCCTCATAAGAGACAGACAGAGATTTGATGCACATAGAGGGGAGGACAAGTAATGACAGAGGCAGACTGGATGGATTCAGCCACAAGCTGAGGAATGCTGGCAGCCACCAGGTGCTGGAAGACGAAGACACAGATCCTCCTGTAGAGCCTGCAGAGGGAGGACGGCTCTACTGATACCCTGTGGTTTGGTTCAGTGTGTTATTCATTGTTTCTGATTCTGGCTTCCAGATCTGTGAAATACATTTATATTGTTTTAAGCCATCATGTCTGTGGCAATTTGCCATAGCAGCCATGGGAAACTAATGCAGACATTAAGCACAGTGGGGGATGTTGTGGAAAGAGCATAGGATGAGAAGTCCAAGGATGAGGACTCAAATCCTGGCTCTGCATTCTAGGGGGCCTGGAGCAATTATTTAGCTTTTTTTGGCCTTAGTCTTTTCATTCATGCAACAGAGGGGCTAATCTTGACTTATGTTCGTCAGAACTATTTTGGTTGCATGTGCTGGAACTCCAACTCAAACTGGCTTAAGTAAAAGATGCCAAGCAGATCCACGAAAGGAAAGAAAAAAAAAAGGGGGCTGGCTTCAGGCACAGCTGGATCTAGCAGCTCAAAGGCTATATCATTTCCTCTCTCTCCCATTTCCTTCTCTTTCACCTCTGCTTCTCTTGCAAGTTGGCCTCATGCTCTCTTCCTGCAGAAGGGTTTCTCCCACATGCCTTCAGACCAGATGAAAACGAGCTCCATTTGTGTATCTTCATAGCGTAATCAGCTCACATCAGTATTTAGAGATCCCAGGGAAGGCTCTGATTGGCCAGACTCATGACACATGTCTAGTTCCTGGGTCTAATCACTGTAACCAAAAGAATAGGGCATTAGGTTTGGCCTGGCCTGGGTCACAGGCCTCCCTGTGGCACAGAGTGAAGAGTGCCACATTGTCGTTGGTACCACCAGAACCACATTGATAGAGCACAGAGGGGTAGACCCTCCAAGTCAGAGTTTGGGGTGCTCTTACCAGAAATGGGAAAGGGATGCAAGGGCAGGTTAAACGGGAGACGTCCACTACATTATGTTGTGGAGCTGTGGCAAAGACCTACTGAGTTAGCACGGATGAGCACGCCCCATGAGATGTAATGACTGTAACATGTTCACTGTGATGTCTGTGATCTCAGCCAGCCTGACTCCACCCACGCTCTCCCAAGCCCTTGGTCTCAGCACCATTCTCCACCTCTTTTTCCCCCCTGACAATCCACAGGCCTGGCCTGTGGCTGCCTTAACTACAACAGAGCAATGGGAAGACTGGACTGGATGAACTGAGATGGATTCAGGCTCCGGAAGAGCTTAGAAGCCCCAGGAGTTCAGCGTTAACCCAACAGAAAATAAGCAGCCGTTGAAAGTTATGAGCAGGCGGCTGGGCGCGATGGTTCACACCTGGAATCCCAGCACTTTGGATGGCCGAGGTGGGCCGATCACTTGAGGTCAGCAGTTCAAGATCAGCCTGGCCAACATGGCGGACCCCATCTCTACTAAAAATACAGAAATTAGCTGGGCATGGTGGCCGGATGCCTGTAATCCCAGCTACTTGGGAGGCTGAGGCAAGAGAATTGCTTGAACCTGGGAGGCGGAGACTGCAGTGAGCCAAGATGGCACCACTGCACTCCGGCCTGGGCGATAGAGCAAGACTCCATCTCAAAAAAAAAAGAAAAAAAGTAAAAAAGAGAGAGAGAGAGAGTTATGAGCAGGGGACATGACATTTAAGTAGCAATGGTTTGGGAAATTTGGAACTCCCTCAGTGTAACTCATAGTAGACATTATTTAAATTTAAATCTTGTGGGAGAGGCTCTGCCTGAGGGATGCTGGGCTATTATTTGCTTTTCTTTGTGGTTTTCATGCAGACCGTGAGCAAGCAGCCCTCAGAGTTTTCAGAACCGACCTGAAGGAGCAGACTCTCATCACCAGGTGGCTTTCAGCTCAGGGGGTTCCATGTTTGAAATCTCTCTCCAAAACCCAGAATCTCTTCTTCTCTCTAGTACCCATGTTAAGAGCAGCCAGAAGTGATCCATAGTTGTGTCATATTTCTTATGGGCCCAGCCTTATGCTAGAACTGAGCTAATACAGCAGCTACTAGAACTGAGCTGATACGGCAGCTACTAGCCACACGTGGCTCTTGAGCATTTGAAGTGTGCTGGTCTGAATTGAGATGTGCTGTCAGTGTAAAATATACACACCAGATTTTGAAGACCTAGTACCAAAAAAATGTAAAATATCTGATTTTTATATTGATTACATGTTGAAATGATAATCTTTTGAGCCAAATAAATTATAATAAAATTAGTTCCACCTGTTTCTTTTTATGTTTTGAGTGTGGCTATTAGGAAAGTTAAAAGCACACATGTGGTTTGCATTCTCTTTCTATTGGATAATACTGCATAGAGGATTCTACATGTATGGATTCTCTTATTGATCATCAAAAAACCTATTGTATAGACGAGAAAATTGAGGCTTGGTGAGGATGAGGTGGCAGTGCCGGTAAGGGGCAGAGCTGGAATAAGCCCCCAGACTGGTGTGGTTCAAAGGTTGATCTTGGCTAGGCATGGTGGCTCACCCCTGTGATCCCAGCACTTTGGGAGGCCAAAGCGAGCAGATCATTTGAGGTCAGGAGTTCGAGACTAACCTGGCCAACGGGATTAAACCCCATCTCTACTAAAAAAAAAAAAGTACAAAAATTACTTTTTTTACATTAGAGTGTAAGTGGAGCTTACACTCTAATGAGGAAGGCTGACCAAAAACAGGAAGGGAAACTCATATAATACATAGCACAATTATGATTGTCCAAGTGCCATGAAAAAATGAAACAGGGCTGAAGAGTGTGGGCAAAGACAGGCTTCGTTATAGCGCCCTTGCTGTGAAGAAAGTATGTCAACAGAGATCTGTATGGTGACAAGGAGCTCACTGCTCTCTGAACCAGAAAGTAGGGATAGGGTGGGAGTGATCTTGGCAAAGAGGAACTTCATGTGCAAAGGCCTGGGGGAAGCAATGAACTGGGCAAGTTCAAGGGGTGAAAGGATCTGCATAACCCTGGGCAAGTTCTCCTCCCTCTGGACCTTACTTAGTGCATATGTCCAGCTAGGTCATCAGGATGTCTAGCCTCATATCCCAAGCTTCTCTGATTCCATTTTTGCCACTTACACTGGATCAAGAACCTGGAACACTATGCCTGGTTTTGTGGTTCTGCAGGGCAGGGGTCTTAGGGCCCACTCAGGAGTCACAGTCTGTATGTCTCTGCTCCTCCACCCTGGGAGGGGGCCGCTCTCCTTACTGTAATCATTCAGCCCTGGCACAGTTGTATTACATCATGTGTTACTGGTCCATCTCTCCATCTTCTCTCCCATTGGACTGGGATCCCCTTGATAACAGGGATATTGATTTGCTCTCTTTCATATCCCTAGCACCTCTCATGGTACCTAAAACATTGTAGGCATTTAGCATAAATTTGCTGAGTGGATAAATGGATGATTGATGCGTGAATGAATTAAAATGTATAAAAGCTGGTGCTCAATGCTTTAAGGGACTTGAAGAGCTTATCTGGGCCCACACTACATCTTTGGTTATCACCCCATTTTTCAGATGACACAGCTGAGGGTAAGGGAGCTTATGAAATGCTCCCACACCCTGCAGTGACAGGGTAGCAGTGAAGGTGAAGAGGAACATTCAGGATCCTTCTTGACCTCTCGTAATGGGCTACATTTCCTTCATGTTGACCTCATAGAAGATGTAGAATCTGCTCTTCCATGTCATTTGAAGAGGATCTCTCCCTCCTCGCAAGGCTGGGAGACATGAAGTAGAGGCAAAGAAGCAGATAGAACAGGCTCATCACAAGTTGATCAACCTGGCCATATGTATGGTTACTTATTACTGGGCAATAAATTATCCAGAACTTAGTGTCCTAAAACAGCAATAAACATGTATATTCTTCCAGTTTCTATGAGTTAGAAATACAGGAGCCCTTTTGCTGACCAGTTCTGACTCAGGGTCTCTCATGAGGTTGTAGTCACGAAGTTGACCAAAGCCACAGTCATCTGAAGGCTTGACTGGGGCTGGAGGATCCACTTCCAAGGTGATGTCCAAGGTGACTGACAATTTGGTGCTGCTGGTTGGTGAGGAGCTTCACTTCCTCCCCATGTGGGCCCCTCTACAGGCTGCTTAAGTGTCCTTACAACATGGCAGCTGGCTTTTCCCACAATGGGCAATCCAAGAAGGAGAGAGCCAGCAGAAGCTGTATTGCCTTGCATGAGTCAGTCTTGCAAGTCACAGATGATTATTTCACCATCCAGCCTGTCCCACATTGAAGGGGAGGGAATCCATTTTCACCTTCTGAAGGGAGAATGTTAAAGAAATTAAGAACATATTGAAACATGCTAAACTGCTTCCCAAGACCAGCCACTGGCTTGTCCATCCCTAGCCTAATGATGGTCAACTGGTTTGCCAGAGCACGCTGGTAGACCAGAAACTCGTGCCACCTGATGATGATCAATCTGTGGCACACACATTAGCCACATACTGTGTCAACAGTGTCTTTTACCTAATGCTTGTGAAGTGGGCACCTGAGGTTGAACAGCCTCTGGGGTGACAGCCCTTCCTAGGTTGGGAGCAGAAGAGAGTCCAGAGGGTCTTAGGGCCTAACTTCCCTCTTTCATCTCCAATACATGGAGACACCCCTCCTTTCCTTTTCCCAGCCACAACCTTCCAGGCTAAGAGACTGCTTTGCAGAGGAGACTTCCCTATCCTTATCTGCCTTTTGGAGGAGACAGAGCCAAACTTGGCACGTTATCTAGACACTCCACATTTCCCAGACTGCCCCGGTAGTGCCACTCATCTCAGAGCCGTGGAGAACATTCATTGCTCTGTGGACCTTAAAATCAGGCACAGTGTCAAGCTGGACCTGTCAGTCTACTCAGGGTATGAATTGACGCAACGTCTATGGAGGACAATTAGGCAATAGATTTCCTAATGAAAAAGACACACATCCTTTGGCCCAGCAATTCCACCTTGAATAACTTATTATCCCGCAAACATACTCCCACTTGTGAGACATAATGTGTGTACAAAGATAGGCATTGCAGCATTGTTTTTGGTAGAAAGAGACTGAAAACAATCTAATTGTCCATCACTGGGGGCTGGCTAAATAGATCGTGACACATCCATTCAACAGAATATTCCGTGGCTGTTAAAAAGAGAATGAAGCTCTTCTTTAAATACTAAAATGGAGCTACCTTCAAGATACATTGTTAAGTGAAATAAGCAAGATGAAAAACAGTGTGTATAATTTGCTGTAATTTATATAAAAAAGAAAACAGAAAGATTCTGTCTAAGTGTGTATTTATACACACAGAGTATCTGAGAAAATGAGAAACTGGGAGTAACAGACTGAATCATATGAAACTGTCATTTTTTTTTTTGGACAGGTTCCTACTCTGTCACCTAGACTGGAGTGAAGTGGTACAATTATGGCTCACTGCAGCCTTGACTGCCCAGGCTCAAGTGATCCTCCCATCTCAGCCTCCTGAGTAGCTGAGACTAATGGTGTACCACCATATCTGGCTAATTTTTGTGCTTTTGTGGAGATGAGGTCTCCCTATGTTGCCCAGGCTGGTCTCAAACTCCTGGGCTCAAGCCATCCTGGGATGATAGGTGTGAGCCACTGCATCCAGTGAAACTGCCATTTTTGTTGGTGGAAAACAAGTAAATATTGAAATGTCATGTGGGTTACCCCAATAGTAACAGTGGTTGCCTCTGGGTGTACAGGAGCAGGGAGGGAAGCTTACTTCCCTCATTATAACTTTTTCTTTGCCTTTGAAATGTTGCACCCATATGCATGATTTAGCTATTTCTATAATTTCATCTCATTTAGTTTTTTTTAAAAAAATAGATGTTCAGAGTGTTATCCATTTGAATAACCATTGCAAAGATTGGAGGTTCCCATTGTGATCAAATCGACAACATTATCTTGAAATTCCAGAGAGGCATTTTTACTTGCCTATTTGTTCTTGTTGTTGTTGTTTTTGTTTTGTTTTGCTTTTTGAGTCAGTCTCTGTTGCCCAGGCTGGAGTGCAGTGGCATGATCTCGGCTCACTGCAACCTCCACCTCCTGGGTTCAAACAATTCTCCAGCCTCCCAAGTAGCTGGGATTACAGGCACGTGCCACCATGCCTGGCTAATTTTTTTTATTTTTAGTAGAGATGGAGTTTTGCCCTGTTGGCCAGGCTATTCTCAAACGCCTGACCTCAGGTGATCCACCCGCTTTGGCCTCCCAAAGTACTGGGATTACAGGTGTGAGCCACCGCACCCAGCCTGCTCTCCTATCTGTATTCAAACAGAAAAAAAATAATTTCTTGCTTCAAATTTAATTCAGAGGGGAAATGCAAACTGAGCCAGAGATTTGTCATTGGAAGGGGAACCTGAAGGCAGAAGAGCAGCAGGTTATTACAGTGAGGAGGGTGACCTCAGGGAGCCGTCCTCTTTAGGACATCCACTGTCTCTGGGGAGCACAGGTCTCTGCGGGTACGGCCCCCAACCTGCCTTGCATGGCCTTCAGAGATGATGCACCTGGGCTATCCACATGTCTCTGGGACTCAGAGCTTGGCCTGCATCCTGGGATGGCAGAGGAATCCTGAGGTTGGGCTAGTCTGCCAGGCCCTCTCTCTTTGCAACAGGGTCACTAATCTAGGACCCGCCCACGTGCTTCTAATTTATTCATTAATATTTTGAAGTTCAAATGCGAGTCCTCTATTTATGCATGTTGGAAATTTTGAAATTGCCACTTTGAGTAATTATGTTTATTTCATGAAAAATAAGGTTAAAAGCAAAGTGCAAACAAATGACCTAAGAGCCCCGTTGAGTGAAACGTGGGATCACCTCTTTTCTCTGACACATTCAACTCATTCTGTTCTTCGGAGGGCTCTTCCTGATGGCTTTGATCCCTGTCAGCAAGGGGGCGGTTAGCAGGCACTCTCAAATGTCCTCAGTGAGAGGACGAATCGGTACAACCCTCTTTGGGAGGGGATGTTAACATTTTATAGCAAACATTTAAATGCCTATACTTTGATCCAGCAATTTTGCTGGAATCTGTCCTGTAGTAATACTCAGATGTGTGTATGCAGATGCAGGTGTGAACAAGCAGTTGTGACATTGATTCTTATGCAGAAAAAATGGAAACAGCCCCAAATATCTATTAATGGGGAGTTCACTAAGTTCTAGCACCTCCATACTCTTGAATCTGGTGTAAAAAGTGAGAGTTAGGAATGTCTGAGCTTAAGCCTCAGGACGCCACTCTGCAACAGCTAAGGGAAAGTTCAGCAGAAGAGCCCCGTACAGCTCTATCCACCTAGACCAGTGGTTCTCATCCAGGGATGACATTAGGCTCCACGGGACACGTGGCCATGTCCGGAGACATTTTTGGTTGTCGCAACTAAGGGGTGCGTGCTGCGGCATCTGATGAGCAGAGGCCAGGGATGCGGCAGAACACCCCACAGTGCACAGCACAGCCCCGCAAGACAGAGAATTAATCAGCCCCGAATGCCATTAGTACTGAAGTTGAGAAACATCTACCCCATAGCACAATCCTTTACATGTTCTGAATCCTCAACGAATGTTTGTTGAATGAATTCATGACATTTACTTACTAAAAACACTGTGTGTGAACGTGATACTGATGAAATGATGAGCAGCTTAAGAGGAGTAAGGCACAGGTGTGGGACACTTTGATGTCTTACCTTCCTCACTTTTGTATCATTGGCTTCTTTTTTAAAAACTAAGAGCAGCTTTCATATCAAAAATGTAAGCAGTGAGGGAAGGAAGGGAGGAAGAGAAAAAGGGAGGGAAGGAAGGAAATTTTTAAATATCCAGTTGCATGAGAAGGCATGAATGGTACTGTGATAGAAGCCAACCTTGGGTCAATTACTTCAACTGTTCTGCCTCTACGTTCTCAGCTTTTAAATGGGCATAATAATAGTGCTCCCCTCTCTGGGTGTTGTGAAGATTAAATCAGTTAGTCCATGGATGCAGTGAGAGCTCAGTAGATGACTTCGTCCTCACTGTTGTTGACAGGGGACCCTGATTGTCACTTTTTTTTTTTTTTAGACAGAATTTCGGTCTGTTGCTCAGGCTGGAGTGCAGTAGTGTGATCTCAGCTCACTGCAACCTCCTCCTCCTAGGTTCAAGCAATTCTGCCTCAGCCTCCCCAGTAGCTGGGATTACAGGTGCGCACCCCCACACCTGGCTACTTTTTATATTTTTAGTAGAGACAGCATTTCACCATATTGGCCAGGCTGGTTTCGAACTCCTTACCTCAAGTGATCCACCTGCCTCAGTCTCCCAACGTACTGGGATTACAGGCATGAGTCACCGCACCCAGCACCTGAAATTCATTTTGATTTCTGTCCGGAATGTTCTCCAGGCCCTCGGCTGGCTCGGGTTCAAGGAGGGCCTGTGATGATTTCGGGAGTGGAGTTTGTGCAGGCACATTCTGGGGTCCAGCGGGCAGCTGTAGGGCCCCAACAGGTGAGTGGTGGCCTTGCATTTGCCCGCATCTACACTGGCACTGGCCCGGGTGAAAGCAGCCTTGGCCTGTCTTTCTCTGCTTTGCCGCCATCTACCCCTCGGGCCTGCGTGGGCTTAATGGAGCATAAATGCAGCGGCCAGCGGGCAGAGGGCTGCTGGCTCTTCACGGCAGGGCTCTCAGCTCGCGTCCTGAAGCCCCACATATCAAGAGACCCTCGACCGCATTTTTCCCGGCTCAAGGCCCCCGTTTTCACCTCGGTCCGGGAACCCCAGTAGCTGCAAAGGCGTTTTCTAACAGAGCGTTGTCCTGGGAGACCGAAAACCTTCTAATCAATGCAAAACGGAGACAGAGAGCAGAGCTGGACAAGAAGCCTGCTACCCACCCCCCACTCCCCCACCATGTTAGCCCTATTAGCAGCAAATCCTTAAGCCAGCGCTTGTAAAAAGCAGCTTGTTTGGGCCTGACCCTCCCCATTCATGTAATGTGATATTGCACGCTTGGCCGACCTCAGCAAGCAGCTAAACATATGTCGTCAGCTGGGCGCTGCTGCCCCTCTATTAAGATGGTTCTGGAAGCATATGTGGGAACTGGCCTGCCCTGGAGACTCGAGGGAAAAGGCAGGAACACAGGCAATTAGAGGGAGCCACCCGGCCCCACCGACAGGCCGCAGGAGGAAGTTCAGGGACGCATCTCATGGGCATGGAAACAATTAGGGTCAACAAATAGTCGTAGAAAAGGAAACTTTAAAAAATAGAAACCCGGTTAAATGACCCAGTAAACACCCGCCCCTGCCCCTACTCTCCCCTGCACGGGGGCGGCATCTGCGCTTCACGTGGACCGTCTTCCCCTCCCCGCCTTGGATAATGACTTCCCTTTGCAATTTCCTGGAGGAAGTTGTTGAAGTGATCTTCCAGTGATAAAATAAGCCAGGGTGATTCTTAATTTTCAGTCTGAAGTCTTTTTTCCCCTCCCAGTCCAGTCTCCTCATTTACTAGGGTCAGCAGGGAGAGAGAGAAGTTCAGCTGTGAATGTTTCCCCTCCCCAGAATGGGGTGGGCTGGTCCTGAGTTGCGGCTCGGGGTGGGGGATGTGAACCAGCCGGCTTCCTTGACCAGGGTAGTCACTGTTGAGGTCAAGACGAGAAACCCTCCATTTCCTGTCATTCTGCTAGTTATAGTAGGACAATCACTGCTACCACTTGGGAAGCACTTTCTAGAAGTTCCTGACCTGTACTGGCCAACACAGGAGCCACCAGCCACACGAGGCTACTGCCCCTGTGATGTGTGGCCTGTGTGATGGAGGAGCTGAATTTTTAAAATGTCGTTTAATTTTATTTATTATTATTATTATTATTTTGAGATGGAGTTTTGCTCTTGTTGCCCAGGCTGGACTGCAGTGGCACGATCTTGGCTCACTGCAACCTCTGCCTCCTGGGTTCAAGCGATTCTCCTGTCTCAGCCTCCCGAGTCACTGAGATTACAGGCGTGCACCACCACGCCCGGCTAATTTTTGTATTTTTAGTAGAGACGGGGTTTTACCATGTTGGCCAGGCTAGTTTCGAACTCCTGACCTCAAGTGATCAGCCTGCCTCAGCCTCCCAAAGTGCTGGGATTACAGGCATCAGCCACCGTGCCCGGCCAAATGTTATTTAATTTTAAGTAATTTAAACTCAAAAGCTGGCAATTCAGTTACTGGAAAACTTCCAAGAATGCGGAAGGTGTGGTGATCTGCCTTTTCAACTGTAAATTTCGTAACATTCAAACAGTGATAAATATTTTCATTGAAAATTTAGTGCCTGCATTGAGCTGTGCTATAAGTAAAAAAATGCACACCAGATTTCAAAGAAAATTTAAAGAAATTAAAGAAAAAAGTAAAGTACCTTGTTAACGATTGTATATTGATTACATGTTGAAATGGTAATACTTGGTACATATGGAGTTAAATAAACAACATCATTAAAATAAATGTCACCAGGATTGTTGCATGACAATGTGAATATATGTAACATGCTGAGCCATACACTTAAAAATTATTAAGATGGTAAATTTAATGTAATGTGTTTTTACAGCAACAAAAAGTCCGCCACGTTTCTTTTTTGCTTTTTATAACGTAGCTACTAGAAAACATAAAATTACATCTGTGACTGGCATTGTATTTCTTTTGGACCCCACTTAAAAGCACGTGGCCTCCTTGAATCCATCAATAATCCTTCCAGCTAGGTCTGTGGATGGCGTCCCCTCCTCCAAGGCCTCTCAATCTGCTTAGGTAGAGAAAGAAGTAGGATAGTGCCTATTAAGAGGCTTTAAATGGCAAGATCCAAGGAAATATTTTGAACTGGAATCTGGAGGTCTTACCCTGCAAACGCTTTCTGCTTTTCTATACCAGGGGAAGACACTTAGAGAGAAAGGTTCGCAGCTTGGGGCTCTGAACATGCACTCTGCCCAGCAACTGTCTGCCAGGTTAAGAAAACTCAGCTCCGCTTTAGAAGCCCCGAGTCTGAGGCCGGGCGTGGTGGCTCATGCCTGTAATCCCAGCAGTGAGCTTAGATTGCGCCACTGCACTCCAGCCTGGGTGACAGAGCAAGACTCTGCCTCAAAAAAAACAAAAAGAAGCCCCGAGTCTGAGGGTCTCTCTAGCCCACATCCACTCCCACTTCCTCCTCCACTAAGCTTGTGAGAGGCGGTGCTCTAGACTCAAACAAGAACATCCTTTCCTCCCTGGGCGCTTTTGGCAGAGTCCCCTGCAGATATCAGAAGGGAGATTATTTCCCTCTTCCTCAGAATGTTCCAGGGCTCGGAGAATATGGAGCTGCAGGACCCAGAGGAGTCGTTTCGATTCCGGGCTTTGCAGCCTGAGAGAAGTGAGTTCGAAGCCTTGCCTCGCCTCCCTGCCACTTGCACCTGCGTGACCGTGGCCAGCCTCGTTACCTCTCCAAGGTTCAATTCCTTAAGTCATAATATGGGGAAAATAAGAATAGCTACTTCAATGGAGTGTGAAGAAAAAAACAAATAAGCAGTTTGTGCAAAAAGGCTTAGCACGTGTCTGGCCTTGCAGCCCTGCCCCACATGACAGCGAGCTTCTGGAGGCTGGGCTGTGGGTTGCTTCCAGCAGGGTCCATATCTGCCAGTGCCTCACGAGCAGCATGGAGAGGAATTACTATCTAATTGCCGTGCTCAGCCACCTCTCTCCAGTATTTTTGAGGTGTCTGAAACCCCTCTGCACCAGTCCCCTCCGTTCATTCCAGCCATCCCAAGTCTGTGGTTGGCTGGGTCGGGGGAAGGCAGGAGAGATGGTGACAGGAGGTAACCTCAGCCAGCCACCTGTACCTGCTCTCCTGCAAACTCCCCGCACACAGGGACATGCAGCCTTTGGGGCTGGAGTGAGCCCCAGGCTAAGCAGAAGACGCATCTCGGGTTGGAGCTGCTGGGACTGCGTGTGTGGCCCAAGGTGAAACCTGGCCCGTGGTGACAGTAACACACTGTGACAGCTGTCACAACTCCTCTTTGGTCATCCTGCCATGAAGGCACAGAGCAGAGGAGCGATGACTGGGGTCGGGCACAGAAGATGCCCAGGGCACCCGGGCGCGTTTGGTTTACATATCCACTCATTTCACTCCGGGAACGTCCGCAGAGCTTATCCTTCACGCCAGGTGCAGGGCCAGGGTAGGGGACTGTCACGAGCAAGCTGGGTGGGATCCCTGCCATCCAGGGGCTTCGTGGAAGACGATGAGCCCGCAGATTTCACCAGGACAACTTCAGATTGTGACAAGTGCTATGGTCAAAATGGGCGGGATGATGCGTGGTAGCCACGGCGCAGGCCAGTTTTCACCAGGACGTTCACGGAGGGCTCTTGGGAGAGGGAGCTTTGGAATTGGACCTGAAAGTTGGGGTTAGAAGGCGGCCTGGTGAAAGGCAGCCTAGTGGGGGCTGTTTGGGAAGAAGGAATGAGAAGACTTACGGGTTTCCCAGGGAGAAGCCATCCTGACAGTGAGAATGGAAGTGAAGTGGAGTCTGGGTTTGGGGTTTCTCAGACTAGAAGGCATTTTCAGAAACAATCTAAGGACTACGGTTTTTCTGCCATAGGCAATTTCAAAAAACTGTAATCATTCATAACATAAATAGGAAGTCCAACAAAGTTCTGAAATGTTCCACTACTTGGAGACCTTTTATATATTTTTATTTTTATTTCTTTATTTTTATTTATATTTTGAGACGGAGTCTTGCTCTGTCACCAGGCTAGAATGCAGTGGCGTGATCTTAGCTCACTGCAACCTCTGCCTCCCGGATTCAAGCGATTCTCCTGCCTCAGCCTCCCAAGTAGCTGAAATGACAGGCGTGCGCCACCATGCCCAGCTAATTTTTGTATTTTTAGAAGAGACAAGGTTTCATCATGTTGGCCAGGATGATCTCGATCTTCTGACCTCAAGTGATCTGCCCGCCTCAGCCTCCCAAAGTGCTGGGATTGCAGGCATGAGCTATGGAGCCCCGCCATATATATTTATTTTTAGAAGTAGGGTCTCTGTCACCTGGGCTGAAGTGCAGTGGTGTGATCCTAGCTCACTGTAACCTCAAACTCCTGGACTCCAGGGATCCTCCTGCCTCAGCCTCCCTAGTAACTGGGACTATAGGTGCACCACCACCAAGCCTGGCTAATTTTTATTAATTTTTTATTTTTTATAGAGACAGGGTCTTGCTCTCTTGCCCAGACTGGTCTCCAACTCCTGGGCTCAAGCAATCTTCCCATCTCAGCCTCCCAACGTGCTAAGACTACAGGTGTGAGCCACGGTGCCCGGCCGAGACCTTTGATTTTGGAAATATCGCTCATCAATGCATTTCCCTATGGTTTTGCTCTGTTCCTGGCTGTCCCTGCTTTGCTGGTGCCTTCACTGTGTGCACTGCAGCTGAGGAACCTGGGACGGGTGTGGACACTAGGGTGCCGGGAGAAGAGCTCCCTGCATGGGTGAACGGGCCCAGGGCCCCAGGACTGCACACCTGAGAGAGGCTTCGGCCCAGCCACTGGTGGGAGATGCGCTGACACCACGGGGCTCCGATGCCATCTGTGGAGAATGAGACATGCCCGAGCCAATTCCCACCCCGGATACCTCGAATGGCTCTCCCCTCATCGCTAGACAAGCCATCCCCTTCAGCGGGAGAGGAGCGAGGAGTGGCCATGACTGACAGTCGCGAGGCAGGGCAGTGGCCCCTGCGCCAACTCATTCACAACACCTGTCATCACGTGCTGTCAACAGCATGCTCAGTTATGATTTAATTTATGCCTCGCGTGTCATGAGCCAGCACAGACTGTTTTTAAGCCATCACGTGGACTCCTGTTGATGAGCCGAGTTTCTCTGACAGGTGTTTGGGTTGGACTGACTTGGCGGCTCCCTGAGAGCCTTCCCGTCCCTCGTCCTGGGTGGAAGTGGGCAGTGGGAAGCCCCAGGCTGGGAAACTAACAGCAGATCTGGGAGGGGAAAGAGAGGACGGGAAAGGGCCACCTGTGGTGTGGGCAGCTCCACCACGCACCGGCCACTGTAAGGCAGAAGCTCTGACAGTCCACTGAGCTTCCAGAACTGCCTTCGTTCCTCAGCCGTCTGAGTATGAATTTCTGTACTGTGCTTAGGGCCAGATTCTCACTACGTCTCAGCCTCGCGTGGTGGCTGTAAATAATCCTGTGCCTATATGCACGGAGATGTCAGTACATAATTGATCTTTTGAAAAATGCCAGCCGATGGAAGTGTGTGATTTACCTTTGACAGACTGTGCTCACATTTGAAATGTAGAACGGGAGACTCTGTTCTCCTAGCTCGGCGCCGTAGTTTGCAGATGCTCATGGGAGGAGAGCATTGGAATGCCATGCTTTTACAATTCTAAATGAAACTCAAACGTTCTATGTTTCAATTTGCTTCCTTTTTGCAAGAACCGATTTTCTGTTTTACATAGTTTTTGTTTTTTTATTCTACCCAGTGTTGCAATCAAAGAAGAATTTTTGCACCAACTTGTTGTCACGTGATGGTAAAAGACGGTAAGGAAATATACACACTTCCCTTAGATTATACGAGTTTACAAATGAAAAGAAAAGGGAATCCAGAAAAGTAATCAACTTGCCCAGTGCCTCAGTTATGCTGGTCATTTCCCAGAGCTGCTCTAACACTTCACTAAAAGTTTCATAGACTAAAACAACACTATTGTATTATCTTCCCATTCTGGAGGCCAGAAGTCTGAAATGTATCTCATTGGGCTATAATCAAGGATCAGCAGGGCTGTGTTCTTTTCTGGAGGTTCTAGGGAGAAGCCATTTTCAGCTTCTAGAGGAAGTTCTGCCCACCTTGTTGCCTCTCAGGACTTGCTGCAACAACTGGACATCGGCTGGGCATGGTGGCTCATGCCTGGAATCCTAGCACTTTGGGAGGCTGGGGCAGAAAGACTGCTTGAACCTAGGAGTTCAAGACCCGCCTGGGAAACATGGCGAAACCCCATCTACACAAAAATTAGCTGGGCACAGTGGCATGTGCCTGTAGTCTCAGCTACTGTGGGGTGTAAGGGGGTGGTGCTGAGGTGGGAGGATCACTTGAGCCCGGGAGGTGGAGGCTGCAGTGAGCTGTGATCACGTCACTGCACTCCAGCCTGGGCAATAGAGCAAGACCCTGTCAAAAAAAAAAACAAAAAACTGGACATTCTTGGCAGTTGACAGTGACATTGGACATCCAATACTCACCAACATCTGGTCTTTTAAATTCAAAAGGAATAAAAGTCTTGAGCCTGTGGGTTGAAAACCAGACCCGAGCCATCCTTGTTTGTCACAAGTCCTCCGGGAATGTGTGTGTTTGCCTTTCCTTGCTCTTCCCTTGAAGAATGCCGCTTGCACAGTTCCTGTTTCCAATTATCAGTGGCCAGTCCAACCACCAAGCCTGAGTGTATCAGTTTCAGACAGATCATAATTTTTGAAAAATACCACTTGCTATGAGTGGCATCAAGAAAAATCAAGAAAAAGCTACATTAAACAGACAAGTCAATTCTTCATTTAGGAGAATGCTCTTTAACACTGCACAGAATGTTTCCGATGTTCAGAGAGTGGTTTTTCCATTGCAAACTGGCCAACTCTTGCTTTTCTGCTTTTTAATTTTTGGTCAATCTGGAGCCACCATTTGCAAGTGAAAACCGCCCTTTGTTTGAGCAGGGGCAGGTTGTAGGGCATACTGCCGTTTCATCTCTACCCCAGAGCACCTCGCACTCAGGCAGTGGTGTGGAGGACCGAAGCCATGTGTGCAGGAACCACACCAGAAGACCAGATATGCACAGAGGGAGAAAGTCCTGAAGGTGGGGTTGCCTGGCTGGAAGGCCAAGTTTGTGATCTAATCACTCCTTTCTTCATTGTGTGAAGATGACACTCTCTTCATCTCTATCACTTTCTTTCTCTTTCTTTCTTTCCTTCTTCTTTCTTTCTCCCCTTCCCCTTCTCTCCCCCATCCCCCTCCCCTCCCCCTCCCTTCCCTTCCGTTCCCTTCCCCTCCCTTCCTTTCTTTTCTTTTTTCTTTCTTTCTCTTTCTTTCTTTCTTTCTTTCTTTCTTTCTTTCTTTCTTTCTTTCTTTCTTTCTTTTTTCTTTCTTTCTTTCTCTCTTTCTTTCCTTTTCTCCTTTCTCTCTTTCTTCTCTTTCTCTCTTCTCTTTCTTTCTTCTCTTTCTCTCTTTCTTTCTTCTGACAGAGCCTTGCTTTGTTGCTCAGGATGGAGTGCAACAGCACGATATGATCACGGCTCACTGCAGCCTCCATCTCCTGAGGTCAAGTGATCCTCCCGCCTCAGCCTCCTGAGTAGTTGGGCCCACAGGCACATAGCACACACACCCCCAGCTAGTTTTTTTATGTTTATTACTTTTGATATTACAAAAGAAAGCATTCATGTTCTTTGTGAGTATCTTTTAAAGAGAATGTGAAGCTTATGAAGAAGCAGGTACCTTGAGAGAGATTTTAGAGGCTGCGTGTAGTCCAAAACCCAACCCTGCAAGCCACTTTCCCTGTAAACTTCGTTCTTCTTGTCTGTAAAATGGGGGATAATAATGGCCTCTGTTCCTGGGAGTTGCTAGGAAGATTAAATCAGATGCATCTGAAGACTCTGTACATCACAGCTCTCAACAAATGGTAGTTTTAAAAATCTTCTCATCATATTATTTCAGATTGGAACTGTGAGTACCCTTTTAATTACCCTTTTTATTTCTTAACAGGCCAATTTACTTGGTTACTATGTATGCATTTGTTACATTTTTGCCATTTATGAGAACAATTCCACAAACCACATTCAGTGATTTAAAAACCAGCAATAATTCAGCAGAGCTCCGTGAATTCCAGCTGAGGGGTTAGGGGCTTGGGGGAAGAGATTTTGTTTGTTTGTTTGGTTTCATTCATTGCCCATGTCTTCTAAATAAGTATAACCAAGAATTGTTTTGACCATTTCTGCTTCAGGATTCGATTTAAATACAGATTAACCTAGAGGGCAATTTCAGCAAATATCAGAATCACACACTGCTTGACCTGGAAATCCCATATCTGAGGAGGCACCCTGCTGAAACGTGTCATTGACATGTGCCTGGCTACACGTTTTCTGCAGCACTCCAATAACTGGGGACGGTGTGAAGAAGAAGAAAGAATACGCAGTGAAGAGGATGTGTGCTTCCTCCCTGCAGAGAAAAGAGAAATCTGATCTGGGTACCAGAAGCAGCAGGACACAGGGTGGTTAACACCATGGGCTTCAGAATCAGACATTTGCAGACTTCAACCTTAGCCACACTGATTACTGCTTGATCCAAGTAAAGGCACTGTCCCTCTACTAGGAGTTTGCAAGTCATAGGCCGGCAGCCTCAAGGATAGACCAGCTGTCTCCAACCACAATCCCAACAGAGAGGCCTGATTGGCCCAGCTTGGGTCAGGTGCCCACCTCTGGACCAATCACATGTGTCCAGAGTCAGGTGCTTGCCTCAGAAACGTGGCTGCAGGTAGACGGTGGCTGGGCTTGCCCCCTAGAGGGTGTGCCCCGCACAGCACTAGCACATCACGACCCCCTCCCTGTATGCAGCTGGGCCAGGAGGAGCACCCTACGCCTAGACTGAAACTGTCTAGATTTCTAATGTCCTATCCTATCAATCCCAGGCACTTGCATATTTGCTGAAATTCTAGTATTTCACACCCAGATGACAGGCCTGTAATACTACCACCTGCTACTTTAAGCACCATTGGTCCATTTCTGCTGCTATAACAAAATACTACAGACTGGGTCATTTATAAATAATAGAAATGTAGGCTGGGTGCGGTGGCTCACGCCTGTAATCCCAGCACTTTGGGAGGCCGAGGCGGGTGGATCACCTGAGATTTAGAGTTCTAGACCAGCCTAGCCAACATGGAGAAACTCTGTCTCTACTAAAACTACAAAAAAATAAAAAATAAAAAAAAAAATCGGGCGTGGTGTGGGGCGCCTGCAATCCCAGCTACTCGGGAAGCCGAGGCAGGGATAAGTGCTTGAACCCGGAAGGTGGAGGTTGCAGTGAGCCGAGATCACACCAATGCACTCCAGCCTGGGCAACAGAGCGAGACTCCGCTTCAAAAAAAAAAAAAAAAAAAAAAAAAAAAAAGAGAGAGAGAGAGAAAGAAAGAAAAGAAAAGAAAAAAAGAAAAATGTATTGCTTACGGTTCTAAGGCTGGGGAGCCCACGATCCAGGCGCCAGCAGGTTCAATGAGGGTTTGCTTTCTGCTTCCAAGATGATGCCTTCTTGTTGCTTCTTCACGAGGGAGAAGAACAGAAGAACAGAACAGCCTCATCCTATTCACCAGGGTGGAGCCCTCATGACTTAGTCACTCCCCAAGGGCCTCCCCACTTAATACTATCACACTGGGGGTTAGGTTCCAGCATATGAATTTTGGAGGGACACACGCATTTCACCCACAGCGAGGGCCTTTCCTGTGCAGCCCTGGCAAGCAGATACCTGCCCTAAACACATTTTACAGAAAGTCAGACTGAGACTTGGTGAGGTGAAAAGACCTATCCAGTGTCACAGTCGATTTCAGAAATGCCCAAAGGGTCCAGCCACCAGCAGATGAATCCACCAGACACGACCTTCCAGATACGACCTTCCAGACACGACCTTCCAGACACCACCTTCCATCAGGGCAGGGGCATGTTTGCTTCATCTCTTGCTGTATACCCAGTGTTTGGCACAGAGTAGCTGCTCAACAAATCTCTGGTGAATGAACTAAATGTATTTTACTACTTTAAGGGCAATCTGTGAAAAAATGAACTACAATTTTGAGAATTAACATTTTTGTGCGTCTTGTCATGCCTTTTTTCTCTGATTCGTCGTCTACTCAGTGGGGCAGCCTGGCCCACCCACTGTTTCATGCAAGCAAAATTGAAATTACCTATGAATCCTTTCTTTTTTCTTTTTTTTTTTTTTTTTTTGAGACTGCGTCTCACTCTGTCGCCCAGGCTGGAGTGCAGTGGTGCGATCTCGGCTCACTGCAAACTCTGCCTGCTGTGTCCATGCCATTCTTCTGTCTCAGCCTCCTGAGTAGCTGGGACTACAGGTGCCTGCCACCACGCCCAGCTAATTTTTTGTATTTTTTAGTATAGACGGGGTTTCACCGTGTTAGCCCGGATGGTCTCGATCTCCTGACCTCGTGATCCACCCGCCTTGGCCTTCTGAATCCTTTCTTTCCCTGACCAGTCACAGCCAATGCATCAGGAAGCCCTCCAAATGTTCTGGATTTGAGATATTTCTCAAATCCAGCCCCTTCCTCCTACTTCCATTGCTACTCTGCCTAGTTGGAGCCAACACCCCTTATTGCATGGAAGGACACATCCACTTCCTAACTGGTCCTTTTGTTTCTATTCTTGCCCCCTCAATCAGACATAGTCAGGTTTGGCTGCAAGTAGTTGAAACCCCCAAATAACAATGACATGAGTGGTATACAGTGGATTTATCTCTTTCTAGAGGAAAGCAAGCCAGGGCTGATAGAGTAGCTCTGGGGTCCTCAGGTCTCTTCTTTCTAGCTGCTCAGCCATCCTCTGCTCATGACTCACACCTCTTACCCCCGAATGATTGCCCAAACCCCAAGCATGTGTCTGCATTAGAGCCAGCAGGAAGAGAGGAGGGAGTCAAAGGGCATATTCCCTCTCCTCAAGGACATTTTTTGGAAATCATATGTAATATTCCCATTTCCATCCCATTATCCAGAACTTAGTATTAATGCTTGGGAAATGTGGTTCTTACTCCTGGTGGCCAGGTGTGTCCAGTCAAAATTCAGTGCTTATTTTTCTCAGAGAAATGGGATAACAGATATCAAAGGAACCTCTGCCACACAATACTGCAAACTTCACCAGCTGCTCAAATCAGATCACACGACGCTCCCCTGTGGAAACCCACCAAGGGCTTCCCAAAACACTGAAAGCAAACTCCAAACTCCTTTTTGTGGCCAAAGAGGCCATTAATGATCTAGTTCTTTATTCTCCAAATCCATCTCTCCCCTTAATCCTCTCAGGTCTTCCTTTGGTGACCCCAAGGGTCCTGGTCACAGCAGCCTCCAGTTCTCTGAACTCGCCATTCTCTCACCCTTCAGCATTCTTCCTCTGGAGCATCCCACAAAGGATGGACTTCTTGTCTTTTCATTAGATCTTGGCTCAGATCCTGGCTCAGACCTTGTCTGCTGTCCCTAGAGCAGCCGCAGCCCACCCTCCCTGCAGTCTCTGTCTCCATCAACCTCTGAAACAACCTTGCACATTTATTCATGTGCTTGTTGACGGTCTCCCCCACCCCTCCCCTGTGAAAGTCCTTGAGGACAGGGACCGTGTCCGTTGTGCTCACCCTGGTGTCCCTCTGTTCAGGAGGCTTCATGGCACACAGCAGGTACACAGGCAACATTAACTGAGTCGATATTGCAAGATGGTCCTGGGGACAACACCCTCCACCACTTCCCTGAGAGAATGACGCTCTCTCTCCCTGCCCATGTGATTAAAGGGGGGCCACTGATCAGCATGGCCTGACACCAAGCTCCAGGACCCATCCTGACCAGTGCAGCCCTTCATGACTCAGGACATGGGACTCAGACCAAGGCAGATCTAAGATGAAAGTTAGCAAATTAGAGTGGTTTCCTCAGATCCTTCTGTTTGGAGCTGGGGAGAAGGAGAAAGACCCTTTGCTTTGGCATCATGATGTTGGAAGGAAGTAAAACTAGGACCACTTGGTGACATGTTCCCTATGTAGGAAGCAAGTCTATCTGCAACGGAGGAGGAGGGGCCAATACCCAGGGAGAAAGAGAAGTCAGAGATAGAGAATGAGGGAGAAGGAGAGTGAACTCGCCTGATGACATCATTGACATCTGCTGGATATAGCCGAGCCTGAAGCTGTCCCTGGGCTTCCCATTTCCCTGAGTCACTTAGTCCCCTTTTTCTTCTTTTTTTTTTTTTTTTTGATGGAGTCTTGCCCTGTTGCCAGGCTGGAGTGCAGTGGCGTGATCTCAGCTCACTGCAACCTCCGCCTCCCAGGTTCAAGCAATTCTTCTGCCTCAGCCTCCTGAGTAGCTGGGACTACAGGCGCCTGCCACCACGTCCAGCTAATTTTTGTATTTTTGGTAGAGATGGGGTTTCACCATGTTGGCCAGGCTGATCTTGAACTCCTGACCTTAGGTGAACCACCCACCTCAGCCTCCCAAAGTGCTGGGATTATAGGCATGAGCCACCACACCCGGCTTGCTAACTTTTGTAATTTTAGTAGAGAAGAAGTTTTGCCATTTTGGCCAGGATGGTCTCAATCTCTTGACCTCGTGATCCACACGCCTCGGCTTCCCAAAATGCTGGGATTACGGGCATGAGCCACCACGCCCGGCCCCCCTTTTCTTTTATTAAGCCAGTTTGCAACCAACATAGTACTGAGTGAGTATCATTTTCCCCCATTTTATAGAGAGGACACAGAATTTGAGAAGTTAAATCGCTTTCTGTACAGCCACAGTAAAACTGGCAAAACTGGGATTCAAACCCCAATCCATGTAACCCTGAAGCCAAAGAGCTCCCCATGACATGAGGCTCCTTGACATCCGCGCATTATCTTAAGAGGCTAAAGAACATAACCAGACACCAAACCAGCAGGCACAAGCACCGCTGGAGAGAAGCAAAGAATTAGAAGAGGCATGGAGCTCTTTCAGCTCAGGGTGGCAGCCTCGACCACAGTGGCTACTTGGGAGGTGAGGAAATTGCATCTAGAGCTTTTTTTTTTGACACGTGGCTGATGGTTTCTCTCAGAGGAAAGCAGCATTTCTAGCAGAAATGCAAAGTTTTCTCATTCAGAGGTTCTTTTCTTTAATATAATATATGCCTGGACTTAGATTTCTAGGCTGGCCATTAATAATGTACATTTAAAACCGACACAAGCCTTCCAAAGCCACACAGAGCGGTCACATTCTGTATTTCGATCCCGTTCGCTTAATTGCTGCATTGATGCCATTAGTCCCAGTGGGCCGGTAGGGGAAACCGGGTTATGACTTTGAAATCCTCCAAAATGGCTAGATCCACCCGAAATCTGATTTCACTCTTTTTTAAAAAAAACACATTCCAAGCATTAGCTGAGATTTTTAAAAATGTGCATAAATATTTGCAATCAGCATCGCTTGGACTCTAAAGATAAACAGTCATAAAACAATATTGTGACCGCATTTTCCCCTCCTGCTAAACAACTTCCTCATAGGGGGAAAGGTTAGACTAATCAAAAGTAAATTAACTACAGCTGCAACCAACTTTTTTTCTTTTCTTTTTTTTTTTTTGGCCATCAGTCCTCGGTGCCTGGCTACAGTGGCAGTAACTGGCCATGTCCAACCCACATGCGTCAAGGCCCTGGAGAGAGAGCCTTGCTGGGTGCTGCTGCTCTCCCTAGGACACTCTGGAAAGGTCAGCAGTGGCTCTCGCTGCAGCAGGGGCGCTCACGGGGCATGCAGCCAGGGTCCCTGTCTTCTGTTGACGGTCTCATGAGCTGGATGTTAATTCAAGGGTATGCATATTTAGAAATGTTATTTTTAAGAAAACAGCTTATTGTTTTAATTTACACAGCTAGAAGCTGCCAAGCCTTTCAGTCTGCCGCCAAAAGAAATTTAGCTTCCAGATTTACCAAGTCGTCATCTAGTTCATTGCAAGTGCTTGGTGGTTACTATACGGGAAGCAATATGGCAGTTGCGGCTTCTTTTCTCTCAAACCCAGGCTTTCCCAGATGCCAGTTGACTTTGTCCTCAACATCAATCACCAGCTACAGGCTACAAGTCTCCCCAGCCCGATCCTTGTGGCCCAGCTAGTGGCTAACCGCTTTCAGGGTTAAGGTGAAAGTAAAGCGATGCATCTACTCATTCATTTAACACTTACCTCGTGTCCACAGGGCACCAGTACACTCTCCTTGTGGACTAGAGGCACAAAACAGCAGAGGCCTGCTCTAGGAAGCTTGCATTCTAGTGGAGGAAGACAGAGAGTGAGCAATATACAAATGGTGTGTGTGTTGCAGGGTGAGGGCTATGCAGAACCATGAAGGAGGGTCGAGAGTTCGGAGCGTGGGGAGGAGTTGTGCCATTTCATTTTTTATTTGCTTGTTACTTTACACTAGGTTGTAATAGTCCCTTTTCTCACAAATGTCTTTGTTCAATAGGCCTCATTTTTCAGGGCCAAGAGGTTCTGATTAGTCCAGCGTTTCAGAGCTCAGGTTCTGGAGGCAGGCAGGGACTTGAATCCAGGCTGCCACTCGTGAACTTGAGATCTTGGGTGACCTCCTTTACCCCGTAGTGCGCTCGTTTTCCTCCCCTATAAAATTAGGTAACAAATCTATTGTAGGTTACAGTAGACACAAATAGCATGCATAGAGAGAGCTTCATTGCTGTGTTCGGTGGAGGGCAAGCATTTAATCAATATCACTTATTATTAATACTTACAGCTCTAAGTATTCCTTTCGATAGCTGCCTGACGTGCTGGATTGCAGACATGCAAAGATGCATGTCACCTATTGCTGGGGTGCAGGATATTTCCAGGCATTGCACGTCCTCTTCTGTTCATGCTCATTCGCTCCTACTCTTATTACTCTTTTATTTCCCCCCCGGAGAGGGAGTCTTGCTCTGTCGCCCAGAGCTGGAGTGCAATGGCGTGATCTCAGCTCACTGTACCTTCCGCCTCCTGGGTTCAAGCAATTCTCCTGCCTCAGCCTCCCGAGTAGCTGGGATTATGCCCGGCTAATTTTTGTATTTTGAGTAGAGATGGGGTTTCACCATACTGGCCAGGCTGGTCTCAAATTCCTGACCTCATGATCCGCCCACCTCAGCCTCCCAAAGTGCTGGGCTTACAGGTGTGAGCCACCGTGCCCAGCCCCTACTTTTATTACTCTTATTGCTGAGGGCCAGCTCTCTAAAAGTGAGAATAAGTTCATGTTCTAGTATAATCAATATCACTGTCTTACTTTTTCCAGTAGTTGTACTCAGAATGTATGAGGGTGCCTGTTTCCTTGTACTTTCCCTAGCACTGAATATTACCAGGCTTTTAAATGTTGGCAACTCTGAGGGGGGAAGGCTGACACCCTACAATCTTTGATGAGCATTTTGCAGACCTCCAGTGAGACTGAACATTTTTTACTTTATTTTATTTTATTTTGAGACACGGTCTCACTCTGTCACCCCAGATGAAGTGCAGTGGCACTATCACGGCTCACTGCAGCCTCAACCTCCTGGGCTCAGGTGATTCTCCTGCCTCAGCCTCCCAAGTAGCTGGGACCACAGGCACGAGCCACCACACGTGGCTAATTTTTTTGTGTATTTTTTTTTTCTTTTTGTAGAGGCAGGATTTTGCCATGTTGTCCACGCTGGTCTCAAACTCCTGGACTCAAGTGATCTTCCCACCTCGGACTCCCAAAGGGCTGGGATTACAGGTGTCAGTCATCATGCCTGGCCAACATCTTTTTAATGGAGTGTTTCGACTGTGCATTTTCACCCCGGTGAATTGCCTGTTCATAGCCTTTAACCCCTCTCTGCTATTACACACACCCCCCTTTTAAACTAAGCATCTGTTTTCACGAGGAAAAAGTTCAGTGTTCATGCATGAAGCCAATTTGTCATGTAAAGGAAGAAGTATCAGACAATAGCTAATATTTTTAAAACACAGTCTATGTGCCAACTATCAGGCTAAGATGGTCTGTGAATTCTCTCCCTTCATCACCACAGCATTCCTATTATAAGATGGGCATCAATTATTTCTCTAAATTAAAAAAAAAAATGAAAGCACAGAGAGGCTTAACCACGTGTGCAAGGTCACACAGCTAGGAAGCCACAGAACTAGGACTTGAATACTGGCCAGTCTGGCCCCATCTTAATGACTCTACTAAACTGTCTCCACAAAACCACCCCAGCAACCTCTCAGCCTGTCACTTCAGGCTCTCTCTTATGAGCTGGGCCAATAATGTGGGAAGATCAAAGGAAGGAGGATGAGTATATTTTCCTCCACCATTACATTTTCTCCCCTCCTTCTGCCTGAATAAATACGTCCTTCAGCGATTTAAACACAGTGACAACACCCTCCCTGTGACTGTGTCTTCTTGCCTGCATGGGCTTCCTTTTTGAGTGGCATTAGCAAAATCCCTCAGGAAAAAACAACCCCCCACCCCCAGATCCTTTTGGTTAGGGATTTAGCTTTGTTTTTTCTTGTTTTTAAACCACAGCCCATAGTGTGTTTGGCCCAGTTGAGAAGCTCCGATGTTTCCTTGCAGGGAAAGGGAAGCTAGAGGTTAAGGCAAATATTGGTTTATCAGTTGTAACTGCTGACGTTGGAATGCGGGAGTCTTATATTTTCTTTTAAAAAGTGTGTGAGTTGTAAAAGCACCTTCAGGAGCATTTTGGGGAGTTTGCCGTGTATTATGCCAGGCATTTTTATTGCATTCTTTTACTGATTCTTCAAATAAATAAATAAATAAATAAATAAATAAATAAATAAATAAAGCAAGGTATGGCTGTTATTGCTCTGTTTTTATGGAGCAGTGAAGCTCAGAGAAACTCCAGTTCTCTAGCCAGTGAGGGATGGGGCTGGTTCGTACTCAGGGCTCTGGAATTCTAAAGCCAAGGACCAAATCTGGCCTCTGCCCTAGAAGAAGATACCTAAGACACCAGAGGTACTGCTGGGAATAGTTTAAAGTATTTCAGCCTGGGCGCGGTGGCTTACGCCTGTAGTCCCAGCACTTTGGGAGGCCAAGGCAGGTGGGTCACCTGAGGCCGGGAGTTCAAGACCAGCCTGGCAAACATGGAGAAACCCCATCTTGGTGTAGGCAGGTCTTTGTGTTCCCATCAGATCCTGATGTGAGGACTAGGGTGGTGCGGCCTGTCTCCTGCAGAGGCTTGGGGGCTCCTGGCTAACCCGTGGTGGGCACTCACCCTCGGGTCATGGTCTCAGCCCTTCACACTGACCCGGTGCCATCACACTATGAGGGCAGGCCATTGTGCCTCATTTCATATTTGCAAGTTAAGTGAATTCATTTGCCCAAATTCAGTGAGGAGTTAGTGGTGGGGTCAGGAGTCACACAAAATCTGACTCTATTTCTCAAATCCCAAATCAACTCACTTAACAGAAACACTAAGGCAAGACATTTAAGACATGAATAAAACTGGGAAAACCCAAGCCAGTCATCACTGTTGCTTTTTCAAGGTGAATATTTTGCTGAGTGTCTGATCTGCCTCCATGGAGGGATGACAGGTGTGAGCAACAGGGCACTGCCTGGCTGGGCTCCCACTTGGGTCCAAGCAGGCACCTGGAGAATAGCATGTGTGCACCACATGGCAGGGCCATCTGACCTAGAAAGAAAATACAGGCAAGGAGGGCTGAAATGAGGTGACTGCACCTTAGTCTATAGAGCAAATAAATGGTCTAAGTCTGTGGTTCTCAACTACAGGCAATTTTGCCTGCCAGGAAACATTTGGGAATGTCTGGAGATGTTTTTGGTCATCACAATGAGGTGGGAAGAGTGAGGATGTAACTGGCAACTAATGGGTAGAGGCCAGAGATGCTGCCAAATGTCCTACAATGCCCAGGACAGGCCCCACCATGGAGAATTCTCCAGGACCAGATGTCAGTGGTGCCATGGTTATGAACCCTTTTCGTAGAAGCTTCCCTTTAATGTAGAGTGCCAAGAAACCACACCATTGCTAGGGCCTCGTGGGGGACAGAGTGACCTTCCCTGCCTTTGGCTTGGGGCTGGCCACGTGATTTGCCCAATGGACAACTTTAAGCTTTTATATTTGACAACCCCAGAGTAAGATACCTCTCTCCCAGGCCACTCCATAGAGAATAGGCTGGGCAACCGAGAGCAGCCCCCACAGGGCTCCTGAGTGCTGGCGCCTAGACTTTCACCGTGGGGAATTACCTCGCAGTAATGGGGACTCCCAAGAACACTGCCTGGTAGGCTGCCCCAGAGGCCATAGGACAGAAAGGCTCACAGACCAATTTACAACTCCCTCATTTCATAATTCATTGAATTAATCTAAAACATACCATAAGAAGCAAGGGGAGTGATTTGGGGTGGGTTAACACTTAAGATGGGAACAAGCTGATAGAAGAGCTACACGAATCCAGTTCTCCTTCTTTCCTTCCTTCCTTCCTTCCTTTCCTTCTCTTTTTCCTTCCTTCCTTCCCTCTCTCTCTCCCTCCTTTCCTTTCTTTCTTTCCTTCTTTCTTTCTTTCTTTCTTTCTTTCTTTCTTTCTTTCTTTCTTTCTTTCTTTTTCTTTCTTTGTCTGTCTTTCTTTCTCTTTCTCTTTCTTCCTTCCTTCCTACTTTCTTTCTTTTTTTTTTTTTTTTTTTTAGACAGAGTCTCACTCTGTCACCCAGGCTTGCGTGCAGTGGCGTGATCTTGGCTCACTGCAACCTCTGCTGCCAAGGTTCAAGTGATTCTCCTGCTTCAGCCTCCCGAGTAGCTGGGATTACAGGTGTGTGCCACCATGCCCGGCTAATTTTTGTATTTGTAGTAGAGATGGGGTTTCACCGTATTGGTCAGGCTGGTCTTGAACTCCTGATCCACCCACCTCGGGCTCCCAAAGTGCTGGGATTACAGGCGTGAGCCACCGTGCCTGGCCCCTTTCTTTCTTTCTTTCTTTCTTTCTTTCTTTCTTTCTTTCTTTCTTTCTTTCTTTCTTTCTTTCTTTCTTTCTTTCTTTCTTCTTCCTTTCTTTCTCTCTCTCTCTTTCTCTCTCTTTCTTTCTTTCTTTCTCTCTCTCTTTCTTTCTCCCTCCCTTCCTTCCTTCCCTCCTCCCTCCCTCCTTCCCTCCCTTTCTCTCTCTCTCTCTCTTCCTGCATCATCACTTTCCTCGCTGACAGTGTGGTTACAAGGACCAGAGCTGAGGGTGGGCAATGGACTCAGCACCCAGGAGGTGCCTGGAGCCAACGCACACCTGGCTCTGCATAGAGTTGGGGGAGAACATCTGCACGCAGCTGTAACTCACAGAGAACCTGCCGAGCAGCCACCGATTTCATCTGTCAATCTTGGGCCGACGACATCTGGGGCCAGAATTTACAAAAGGCACAACTATCAATTTCAAGGAGATGGGATCAGTGTCTTCTGAATCTTTCAGGTTTGCTGGGGCCTCCCATTTCTTCTTATCTACAAATAACACTCACTCTCCCACCCTATTCTCTATGCCTAGCACACTTGCCCCTCTATTCTGCCTGCATCCAGCATGCTCATGCCTCCCTAACTCACTCACTATCTATAATTAACACTTCTTATGAATTTCTTTCATTCCATTTGTTTTTATTGCTCTTGATATCAGCATTGAATATTTCTGAATAATACAGAAAGCACATCTTGCAAGAATCAGCAACATCAAGCAGTGTAGGTGGCAGGTGACTTTTTAGCAGAAGGACCAAAAAAAGTAAAAACCAAAAAAGTAAAAACAATGATGGTCATCTCTGTCCAGCAATAGACATCCTTCTCTATAGCTCTGCAGAATACTTCTAAATGGCCTCATCATTCATTAACCAGTCCTTCAGTGATGGGCATTGCTTTTCTATAGTTTCCTTAGAATACATTCCTAGAAAACAGAGGTCAACCGACCCTTTCTAGAAAGAAGCAGGGTGTAAATATTTCAGGCTTTGCAGGTCAGAAGGTCTCTGCTGCCAAGGCTCAACTCTGCAGAAAATACATAAACAAATAAGGCACGGCTGTGCATGTGCCAATCAAACCTCACTTATGGACACTAAAATGGGAGTTTCTATCATCTTCAGTGTGATTGCAGCAAATTCTATCGTTCCTGCCTTGGCTCGTGTTAGCATTTTGGGTATAAAATATTCTTCAATTTTTAAAAATCATGTAAAAATGTAAAGACCGTTTTTAGTTGTTGGGCTGTACAGAAGCTGGCTGCAGGACCTGTACTTTTTTTTTTTTTTTTTTGAGACAGAGTTTTGCTCTTGTTGCCCAGGCTGGAGTGCAATGGCGTGATCTCGGCTCATCGCAACTTCTGCCTCCCGGGTTTAAGCCATTCTCCTGCCTCAGCCTCCTGAGTAGCTGGGATTACAGGCATGAGCCATCACGCCCGGATAATTTTTTGTATTTTTAGTAAAGATGGGGTTTCTCCATGTTGGTCAGGCTAGTCTTGAACTCCCAACCTCAGGTGATCAGCTGCCTGGGCCTCCCAAAGTGCTGGGATTACAGGCATGAGCCACCGCGCCTGGCCCGGGCCCTGTGCTTTTACCATCTCTGCAGTTCACAGACCCTTGCTCTAAACAGAATTTCTGAGCAAAGACTATGTGTGCTTTTACATTTTGATGAACATTGTGGAGCCTCTTTTGTTTAAGGCAATACCAATTTTTATTTCCATAGTCTATGAGCAGCCCCTTTCTTTAGGTTCTTACCAACTCCAGGTATCTCCCACAAATGTGTCAAGTTATGAAATTTGTATTCCATTCTCTTTCTGTGAGGCTCTAGATACTACGTGACTCAGAATTCAGGTTTTAAATTTGTCCAACCATATTGAGTAGGAATTATTGCTTAAGAAATCTTTCTTTTCTTTTCTTTTTTTTTTTTTTTTTTGAGACAGTCACTGTCTGTCACCCTGGCTGAAGTGCAGTGGCACTATCTCGGCTCACTGCAAGCTCCACCTCCCTGGTTCACGCCATTCTGCTGCCTCAGCCTCCCAAGTAGCTGGGATTACAGGCGCCCGCCACCACGCTGGGCTAATTTTTTTTGTATTTTTAGTAGAGACAGAGTTTCACGTGTTAGCCAGGATGGTCTCGATCTCCTGACCTCGTGATCCGCCCGCCTTGGTCTCCCAAAGTGCTGGGATTACAGGAGTGAGCCACCGTGCCTGGCCAAGAAATCTTTCAAATTTGCTAACGGCCCGTGATCAGGGAGAAACCAAACTTGATCTGATGTCCCAGTGGCCGCCTCCCACCTACGTTCCAGCCAGCCTCACAGGAGTGAAGACATCTACTTCTTGTAGCAAATTACTTAGAAACTCTCTCTCCATGAATTGGGTGGTGTAGGCAGAGCTATAGATGTTGTCAAAGAGATATCTGGCTGGTTTGGGTCTTAGAAAGTGGCCTGGGGCTGCGTGCCTCTGTTGACAGTACAGCTATTACAAAAGAAACTGAGAGGGCCACCTTGGCTTAGGTCAGGGTGTCTCCCTTCCACGGTTAAGTCTTTTCTGTTACCAGACAGATAGATTAACCAGGGGGAATCGCAGGCTCTTTGGCAACTCCAGATCCCATTGCTCTTAAAATAATCTCCTCTGCTTTCCGAAGATTTTCTCAGAAGCAGTGAAAATCAGGCTGGGCGTGGTGACTCATGCCTGTAATCCTAGCACTTTAGGAGGCTGAGGTGGGCAGATCACCTGAGGTCAGGAGTTTGAGACCAGCCTGGGCAACATGGTGGAACCCCATCTCTACTAAACACGTAAAAAATCAGCCGGTCATGGTGGTGGGCACCTGTAATCCCAGCTACTCAGGAGGCTGAGGCAGAAGGATCGCTTGAACCCCAAAGGTGGAGGTTGCAGTGAGGTGAGATTGTGCCACTGCACTCCAGCCTGGGTGACAGAGCGAGACTCTGTTTCAAAAATAAATAAATAAATAAATAAATAAATAAATAAATAAATAAATAAAAGAAGCTGTGAAAATCAGCTGATTTTAGGTGGAATTAAGTCAGCTAATTCTTGATTTTGGCCAGAGGCAAATTTTGCAGAGTGAAGAACAGACACAAAACCATCCTTAACAAAAGCATCAAGGTTTCAGAGACAGAACAGAGCAAGAATGAATTCCTGTGTTCACAAACACAGATTTAGAGGGTTTTTTAAAATGAAAAAAATTGCCAGACTAATGTAATCTCATGTTGATTTGATTGACTGATCAAAGTAAGTTTAACTTTTTATTTTGGCAAGATTCAGTGCAAAGAAGGGAGAGATTCCAGATGTTTCCTGTCGTGTATTGATTAAGGCATATGTCACTTGACTATCTCTGAACTCTTGAGTGAAAACAAGATGGAATTTTCAGAAAACCCTCCTAAAAGGATTCTAGATACCTAGGTTGGACTGGGCCTTTATCCCTGATATTCTAGAGATGGCAAAACCAGGAGGCAATGGTCTAGTCACTTTTTTTTTGGAGACAGTCTCCCTCTGTTGCCCAGGCTGGAGTGCAGTGGCGTGATCTCATCTCACTGCAATCTCGGCCTCCCAGGTTCAAGCGATTCTCATGCCTCAGCTGAGATTATAGACCGTGCACCACCATGCCCAGCTAATTTTTGTATTTTTAGTGGAGACGGGGTTTCACCATGTTGCCTAGGCTGGTCTCGAACTCCTGGGCTCAAGTGATCCTCCCACCTCAGCCTCCCAAAGTGCTGGGATGACAGGTGTGAGCCACTGCGTCTGGCCTGGTCTATTCACTCTTGCATCCTAAGAGTTGGGCAGAGTCCCTGGTGGATGGTAGAAGTTTGGACAATGTTTGTTAATGAATGAATGAATCAGTGAATACCCACCACTGAAATTCTCCTTCCAGGATGCTGGCCAGCTTTTAACCCCCATGATGAGAAGACAAAAGTTTGAATCATCCCCAACTTGGAAAGCTGTCTCAGATTATGGAGAAACATCAGTTTTATTTTTACTTTGATCCTGTATCTATTTTGGGAAGCATTTTGGGGAACGATCTCCTCCAACATGTCTGGGCTTTTCTTGAGAACTCTTTACAAAAGGGCCAATGGGTAAGCAAAAAATTAGGAGGCGAAGGCATTTCAGCGAGTTCTAGCATTCCCGCCCCAGTTCCTGTTAGCATTTTGGGCATTCAGAGCGGGCTCCATTGCTGGAATAAATGGCCTCATTGTCCTGGCTGCAGGGATGTGTCTCTGGGAGTTACAAGACTGGCATTTCCTTTTTCTTTTTTTATTTATAACTTCTATTAATAGATACTCCAAGGATGAAGGGAATTTTAAGAAAGGGAAAAGCTGGGCTTCAAATAATGCATTGATTCTTCTAGCCCTCACATCGTCACGACAGAGCCAATGACTGGGAGATAACTCAGTGTGCTGGGAGCTCTCAGAAAACTGCTCACCCTTTACTTGCTTATATTTGGAAAGTAAGGCGAGCTACCCACTGTATTTAAGAGGTGCTATTGCCTCACCATCTTAGCATTAGACAATGGATGTGGGATACATTCGTTTTCCTACCTATGTGAGAAGAGCCAAACTTACCCATTGCTGACACAGGAGGAAGACACAGACCCTGTTCAAAGGCTCCAGGCCGTCCTTTTCCATGAGAAATCTCAAAAACAAGAAGGTTGATCAGCTATGTCAGGGGTCAGCAAATTACAGCCCAAAGGCCAAATCTGGCCCACCACCTAATTTTGTACAACCTACAAGCTAAGAATGTTTTCTATATTTTTAAATGACTAAAAAAAAAAAAAATCAGAAGAATATTTTGTGACACATAAGAATTACACGAACTTCACATTTCAGTGTCCATGTAGGATATCCTCATTGTTTGCGGATTCTCAGTTTGCAAATTTGGCTACTGGCTGAACTGTATTTTTAAGCCCAATAGCAATTCTGGAGGTGCTTCTGTGATCATTCTTAGACATGCACAAAGCAGGGAAAAGTTTAAGTTGCCCAGTGCACGTGTTCCTCACTGAGGCCAAACAGGGCGATGCCCTGCCTCTTTGTTTCACACTGAACTAATGTCTTTTCTGTGGTCTATTGAGTGCCATGTTTTTCACATTTTGTTGCTTTTTATTGGTGATTTCAATATTTAAAATGGCCCCCAAGGCCAGGCATGGTGGCTCATGCCTGTAATGCCAGCACTTTGGGAGGCCAAGACAGGAAGATCACTTGAGCCCAGGGGTTCAAGACCAGCCTGGACAACATAGTGAGACCTTGCCTCTACAAAAATTTCTTTAAAAGAATTAGCCAGGCATGGTGGTGCGCACCTCTATTCCCAGCTTTGGGAGGCTGAAGTAGAATGATGGCTTGAGCCTGGGAAGTCAAGGCTGCAGTGAGCCGTGATGGTACCACTGTACTCCAGCCTGGGCAATGGAGCAAGACACTGTCTCAAAAAAATAATAATTAAAACAAAATGGCCCCCAAGTGTAGTGTAGAAATGCTGGCTAGTGTTCCAAAGTACAGCAAGGCCGATACGTGCCTTAAGGAGAAGCTATGTTTATACATGTAGCTTTAGCTCATCTGACACCTGAGCTGTGTTCAGGGATGAGTTATAGGGCTGTTGGCCTTGAGTTCAATGTTAATGAATCAATTATGCATATTAAATAAGGTATGTTTAAAGAGAAGCACACATAAAACGAAGTTATGTATTGATCAGTTGACAAGATATTGTGACCAAGGGCAACCTTGCCTGCCCCAAGAGTGTTTGCCAATTCAGGCTTCATGGCAACTTCATAGAACATAACTGCTATGAGTAATGAGAATTGACTGCATAAGTTTTATTGGAACACAGCCACGCCCAATTGTTCCTCTGTCATCTCTGGCTACTTTTGAACTATAACGGCAGAGCTGAGTTGTTGGAACAGTGACTATATGGCCTGATAAACTGAAAATATTTACCCTCTGGCCCTTTGCAGAAAAAGTTTTCTGACCCCTGTGCTAACACACAAGGAAATTCAGCTGAGAATGGAGAGAAGATGAACAAACATTTCAATTCAATTCAATCGTGACCTGAAACATCATTTTCATTTTGCCACAGGCTGGTTCTCTGATTGCTAGACAATTGAGAGCGGCAAATAGTCACAGGCCAAAAGGCTGTTGTTGGTTTTAGTCACTTCCTTATAACCATGTCTGGTGACCGGAACTAATGACTTTGGAGTGATTTGACTGGTCAACTGATCTCAACTTTTTCAACAAAATCCTTTCTTTTTCAGATGGGTTCACACATGTTGTATGCAGCTCAAAGACAGGGTAGTCTTGTCTATGAGTGAAAAGGGCAAAAACAAAGGGTAAAGGGAAAAGGGTGAATGAAGCAAAAACAGGACACTGTGGGTTCAAATCCCAGCTCCATCACTTCCTAGCTGTGCAACCTTAAGACAGTGACTTGTTCCTGTTTCCTCACCTGTGCAATGGGGATGTCAATTATGCTTTTATTGTTTGCTAATTGCCAACTGGACCTACTTGGCAAAAACTCAAAGAATGGGCATTGTTTATTACGTAATTGTTATAAAGCACCTGATCTGATGCTTGGCCTATACAAAGTGCTTTTTTTTAAAGATAGTGTATTGCTCTGTTTCCCAGGTTGGAGTGCAGTGGCGCAATCATGGCTCACTGCAGCCTCAACTTCCCAGGCTCAAGTGATCCTCCCACCTCAGCCTCCCAAGTATTTGGGACTAGAAATGTGCGCCACCACACCCAGATATTTTTTTCTATTTTTTGTAGAGATGGGGGTCTCACTGTGTTGCCTAGGGCTGGTCTTGAACTCCTGGGCTCAAGTGGTCCTGCCTTGGCCACCCAAAATGCTGGGTTTATAGGCGTGAGCCACGTGCCCAGCTCAGTTCTATCTTTTTAAAATATAACCTGGCTATGATCGGGCCACTGCACTCCAGCCTGGGTGACAGAGCAAGACCCTATCTCTAAAAATAAAAATAAAATAAAATAAAATATAAAATAATCTTATTGGGTGGTTTGTTAGGGTCTTACAGCAGGGATACAGTAGGTGCTCAATACTGTTACCTGATAAATGTCATCAAATAAGTGAAGAGAAAGTTCCATAGCTTATTTGAATTTTCTGCACCTGGCCTCAACCTCAGGCCCAAGAATCTTTTGTGCCAGGTCAGAATTGTTCCCAAAGCACAGACAACGACCTCAGAGGGTATAGGGTGCCATTTTTTAGGCCCACATGAGCGTCTGCAAAACCTGTGAAAACTCGCATGATCCTGAAAGCAAAGGCCTCCATAAATCCTGCACACCGGGTACCCCTCTTGCCTCCCCCAGTCCCAGTGCTGTTGGAGGTCTGAGGAGTTGAGAGGAGGCCAGCATGGCCAAAGTGACAGTTCCCTTGGTGGGTGGTGGGGACATCACATGGGGTCTCCTAGGGAATGTAAAAGGCCTGGCTTTTATTCCAAGTGTGGTATGGAGCCATTTGAGATCTTTGAACAGGGGAATGACGAGATCTCATTTCCATTTTAAAGGGCTGATTGCAGTTTAAATTTTAAAAGGATAGTCAGCAGAAAAAAAAAAAAAAAAGAATACTCTGAGAGTGAAGTCATTGGCCCAAGGACAGGAAGCTACCAAAATTCTGTTGTCTCTCCCTCACTCCCAGTGTCCTTAACCGTGAGGCAGCACTGTCTCTCCACAGGACACCCACGGTTTCTCGAGGGCTCTTCGTCCATCCCTGAGCTTCAG